>NC_000007.14:30865242-31490242 GCF_000001405.40 Homo sapiens | reverse complement strand
GCTTTCCATCCATCCAACCTTTCTATCAGCCAGCCTGTTGTTTATTTCATTCTCTCCCAGTGTGTACACATTTTCTCCTTGAGGCAGGGAATCTGGCCGCAGGGAGTTTGGGGTCCAATTACGAAAGAGGCATCATCTTTCCTGTTGGTTCCGGTTAGAGTAAACCTCAGGGAAGTAATCTGATGCGTTCAACTTGGGTCCCAGTTTCTTCTGTTGACCCATCACTAAGTCCAAGCCATGACTGCCCAGCCTGGGTTCCCCAGGGACAGAGATCAGTCAGCACACAAAAAAGCGACAATGTGAGAGAAGCAGTCACAAAGGATGGTGGTGGAAGTGCACAGCAGACATAAAAACAAGTGTCCAGGCCAGATGCAGTGTCTCACACCTGTAATCCCAGCACTTTGGGAGGCCAAGGCAGGCAGATCACCCGAGGTCAGGAGTTCAAGACCAGCCTTGCCAACATGGTAAAACCCCATCTCTACTAAAAATACATAAATTAGCTGGGCATGGTGGCACATGCCTGTAGTCCCAGCTACTTGGGACGCTGAGGCAGGATAATCACTTGAACACGGGAGGCAGAGGTTGCAGTGAGCTGAGATCGCACCACTGCACTCCAGCCTGGGCCACAGAGTGAGATTCCATCTCAAACAACAACAACAACAAAAAAACCAAGTGTCCACCATGGCAGCTAAAGGAGGCATCTCTGGCAGAGTGGGATTGTGCTAATCACACTCAATATCCCAAATCATATACAATTCAAATATGGTGCACATGTTTTGAAGTAGGGAGCATACGTCTCACCGTGGCTTACAGATGCTGCATGATGTGGCATGCTACCTCGTCAATCTTGCATGGCATGTTCCCCTCTGCCTAATGACACTGCTCTCCATTCAGGTCCTGGACCACACACAGCAGGCTCTTTCCCTCCTAGGACTTTAATGCATTTCATTTCTTCTGCCTATCAGGGTTTCTCACTTGTTATTTGAATTGTTAAGACCTTGTCATCCTTTAGGGATGGTGTCCTCAGGAAGGGCTTTCCTGAACACCCGATTTAAGTAAACCTTATTCTCTTCTTGTTTATCAGAACACTTAGTTTAGTTTTCCTAACACTTCACAAGTTTGATACATTTATTTGTTTGCTTAATTGTTCATTTTGCCCTTTCCACTAGACTGTAAGCTCCTTAAGGGTAGGTACCCTGTCAGATTTCATGGATCGCTACTCCCAGCATCTGAGAATGTGCCCTACCCATAGTAGAGGCTCGATAAGTATTTGTTGAATTAATAGATAGACAGATGAATTCATTGTCCAGATGAATGCAGCAGCAAGTGAGAAAGAAAAAGCAAAAATGAAACCGCCCCCGCAAAAAAGTTAAGTGGGGTATACCGAGTGGATGGGCCAGGAGGGCCTGCTGCAGGACTCGCACAGGGCTGCTGCGCCCCCGAACACCAGGGGGCGCCATTGACATGGACTACAATGATACCCGGGCTCCTTGGAGTTAGTATGTCCAGCCCACATCCTTTCACGGTTCGGTACATCTCAGTTAGAAACAAATGAATCAATCCTAGAAAACCACAGAGCTTCGGGGTTGCGTTGAATTTCAGAGCAGTGCTTCCTAAGCCATCTGTGATGAAGGAACATTTTTGTAAAATTATTTCTAATCCATTGCTCACCAAAACTCTTGTAAACTGCGATACTAAAAAGAAATTGCTTAAAAAAAGGAAATAACAGAAGACATACAAAATTAAAGCCCAAATTTGCAAATGGGTGGAACACACATAAAATCATTCTGGCCAATTACTATTAAAATATAGAAACACTTTGACCTTCTGTATATTCCAGGCCAACTACAGTTTATAGAGTGCCACTGGTCACTAATGACCAGTAATGTAATGTCAATGAGAAGGGCAGCAAGTGAGGTGAGTCGGGTAAGAGCAGAGTCGGGTCAGATACTGTCTTTATTTACAATTTTAAAATTTTGTTCATCATGGATTTTTTTCACCAATTTTGATTTTTCCAAAAAATATTGTATTAAGATATTTTCTTGATTACTGAATTTTTGGTGCTTCCTTAATTTTTGTGTCCAAGGTAAATCCCTCAGTCACCATTCCCTAGTCCCAGCTGTGGGAAGAGCATAAGATTTTCTATTATACACAGAGAAAATTAGGCTAAAAGAGGTTAATTGCTCAATATCAGTGGATAAGTTTCAGGGGCCTTAACACAGGTCTAACCCCAAATCTATACAGGTTCCATTGCATCATACAACCTCCCATGCTGAGCAAGCGCTATTCATTCATTCATTCACTAGCAGTGCCCCCGAAGATCTACTTTCAGTGTGCAGGACCTGTGTAACTGGGAATGAGTACATCTGGAGCAGTAAGTAATGGGTAAGTGACAGGTGACCTTGAATGTGAAGCTGAGGAATATGGATTTTATCTGGAGTTTGTAGGTTCTAGCTACTGCATTCCAGAAGTGGTAGGTCAGATTTATATTTAGAAAGTTCATTCTGAGAGCAGTAGGGTGAATGAGTAGACTGGAGTGGGCAGAACTAGAGGCAGGTGCCCAAATAAAAGGATACAGTAATCCAGGGGAAAGATGACAAGGGAAGTAAAGATGTTGGCCATATTGGAAAGGACCCTTATCATTGGTATCATGAGGGTTCAAGAGAAGAATGAGAATGAATCACCCCTGCTACCCCCAGGCTGTGCCCGGGCATGCTCATTGTGGTAAGGAAACACAGCATAGGTCTGTTGGAGAAACCAAGCAATATATAACTATGTGTATAGGGGGTGGGGAGGGATAAGAAGGAAAACACAGTAATGAGAATCTGAAGTAAGGAAAACGGGTACAAGGAGACATGGAAATGCAAGAAAATGGTGAAGGAGAGAGCAGAAGGCAGGCAGCATCTGCGTGCTCAAGGACAGGAGGAAGGAGGAAGGCGGGAGTGGGCGGAAACAGCAGTCAGATTCTCAGCAGCACTAAAATTGTCCCTGCCACTTGGCAGGAGGCAGTTCAGACATCGCAGATCCAAGAGCCTTGTCCTTTCCTCATTCATGTAACTGCACAGGGAGCCAATTGGTGAGATTCATGGACCAAAGGATCCCTTGGCAAATATCAGTTCTATCCTCGGTGATGTTTTAAGCCCTCAAAGCTTTGTTTATCAAAGTGATGACAATGACAATGAGTTATTTCTGCTAGAGTAGACTATAAAAAATTTAGTCTGGCTGATAAAAAAGTTTATGAAGTGCAGTTCAAACATATTTATAATATCTCTTAGGAAAAATTAATTTAGAATAAAAATAAATACATAATAGATACTGTGAGTCAATCTTTAGAGACCCAAATGGCACTCTTGATTAATGACCATTTTTCACCCATATTATGCATTTGATTCTTTCAACAGTATTATAAAATAGAAAGGGCAGGGATTATTACTTCCATTTTGTGGAAATGAAAACTGATGCCTAGCAGGGTGCAGAGATTTGCCCAAGGTTACACATATGCAAGGTGGCAGAACTGGCCCTAGGACCTGGCTGTCTTGACCAGAGCATTTCTTCCACTAATTTCCAGGATTCCACCCAAAGCAGCCTGAGTTTGTGGCTTTCTGGGAAGTGCATCATGATGATCATTCATTATCCTCTCCCGAGGATCTGCTGAGTAATAGTTTTTAAAGGATCACATTGCTCCCAGGGAGGCAGCTGCAGAACCATGGACTCACAGTCAAAAGGCTTAGATGCTCCCACACTGTAACTTACCATCCCTATGGCTTAGGGCAAGACACTAAACCCTGGACTCTCAGTTTTCTTCTCTGCAAAAGAGTGGCAGTTGTCCCTATCTCATTAGGTTGTTATAAAGTGCTATTTTCCATCATAATAGCAAATAGGGGACAAAGCGGTGGAACAAAGGACCCAGCAAATATGATTGGGGGAAAAAAAAGCGAGAAACCCAGCATATTTAGGGCCCCCAGGGAGAGGCAGACCACCCTAGGTGTATGAGTGGGGAAGGAGGCACTCAGAAATATGGTTTGGAATGAGCATGAGTCTTGTGATCATCTGGAGGACAGAAGGAAAGCATACTTCCTGAGTACCTACTGTGTGCAGGGACTGTGCTAGACACTTTCGAGTACATTTTTTTAAAAAAGTATTTATTTCAATAGGATTTTAGGGAGCAGGTGGTGTTTGGTTCCATGAATAAGTTCTTTAGTGGTGATTTCTGGGATTTTGGTGTACCCATCACTCAAGCAGTGTACACTGTACCCAATATGCAGTCTTTTATCTCTCACCCCCTCCCACCCTTCCCCCAGTCCCCAAAATCCAATGTATTATTCTTATGTCTTTTTGTCCTCATAGCTTAGCTCCCACTTATGAGTGAGAGCTTACGATGTTTAATTTTTCATTCCTGAGTTACTTCACTTCGAATAATGGTCTCCAATTCCATCAAAATTGCTGTGAATGCCATTATTTCTATCCTTTTTATGGCTAATAGTATTCCACAGCGTATACATATATATCTCACATTTTCTTTATCCACTCATTCATTGATGGGCATAAAGGCTGGCTCCATATTTTTCAATTGCAAATTGTGCTGCTATAAACATGTGTGTGCCTACCTGACTTCAAACTATACTACAAGGCTACAGTAACCAAAACAGCATGGTACTGGTACCAAAACAGAGATATAGATCAATGGAACAGAACAGAGCCCTCAGAAATAATGCCGCATATCTACAACTATCTGATCTTTGACAAACCTGAGAAAAACAAGCAATGGGGAAAGGATTCCCTATTTAATAAATGGTGCTGGGAAAACTGGCTAGCCATATGTAGAAAGCTGAAACTGGATCCCTTCCTTACACCTTATACAAAAATCAATTCAAGATGGATTAAAGATTTAAACGTTAAACCTAAAACCATAAAAACCCTAGAAGAAAACCTAGGCATTACCATTCAGGACATAGGCATGGGCAAGGACTTCATGTCCAAAACACCAAAAGCAATGGCAACAAAAGACAAAATTGACAAATGGGATCTAATTAAACTAAAGAGCTTCTGCACAGCAAAAGAAACTACCATCAGAGTGAACAGGCAACCTACAACATGGGAGAAAATTTTTGCAACCTACTCATCTGACAAAGGGCTAATATCCAGAATCTACAATGAACTCAAACAAATTTACAAGAAAAAAACAAACAACCCCATCAAAAAGTGGGCGAAGGACATGAACAGACACTTCTCAAAAGAAGACATTTATGCAGCCAAAAAACACATGAAGAAATGCTCATCATCACTGGCCATCAGAGAAATGCAAATCAAAACCACTATGAGATATCATCTCACACCATTTAGAATGGCAATCATTAAAAAGTCAGGAAACAACAGGTGCTGGAGAGGATGCGGAGAAATAGGAACACTTTTACACTGTTGGTGGGACTGTAAACTAGTTCAACCATTGTGGAAGTCAGTGTGGCGATTCCTCAGGGATCTAGAACTAGAAATACCATTTGACCCAGCCATCCCATTACTGGGTATATACCCAAATGAGTATAAATCATACTGCTATAAAGACACATGCACACGTATGTTTATTGCGGCACTATTCACAATGGCAAAGACTTGGAACCAACCCAAATGTCCAACAATGATAGACTGGATTAAGAAAATGTGGCACATATACACCATGGAATACTATGCAGCCATAAAAAATGATGAGTTCATATCCTTTGTAGGGACATGGATGAAATTGGAAACCATCATTCTCAGTAAACTATCGCAAGAACAAAAAACCAAACACCGCATATTCTCACTCATAGGTGGGAATTGAACAATGAGATCACATGGACACAGGAAGGGGAATATCACACTCTGGGGACTGTGGTGGGGTCGGGGGAGGGGGGAGGGATAGCATTGGGAGATATACCTAATGCTAGATGACACATTAGTGGGTGCAGCGCACCAGCATGGCACATGTATACATATGTAACTAACCTGCACAATGTGCACATGTACCCTAAAACTTAGAGTATAATAAAAAAAAAAAAAAAAAAAAAAAAAAAATAGGAGAGCAAAAAAAAAAAAAAAAAAAACATGTGTGTGCAAGTATCTTTTTCATATAATGACTTCTTTTTCTCTGAGTAGAGATGCAGTAATGCATTGCTGGATCAAACAGTTTGAGTACATTATTTATTCAATGACTGCTTTTTGACAACTTACCATGTGCTGAGCTCTGTTGTGAGCACTGGCAATACCCAAGTTGGGAGAGAGGGGTTGGGATGGCCCTGGAGGCCCCCCTCTTCCCCTTGCTGTGGGTTAGCAAAGAGAGGTTGTTCCTGAGACAGTGACCAAAGCACACAGCCAAGCACTCTGGAGGCTCCACCTCTCTGATGAGGCTGCTTCTCTATTAGGGAGCTTTTACTTTACAAGATCACCCATTCTTACAAATATGCAGGACAAGGTGGGAGTGGAGGCTTTCCCTCTGCCAGAGACCTGTCTATAGTCAACCTGACCTGGGCACCCTTCTTCTCTGTGGAATAATGAACTTGGAGGATTATGAACACGCAACAACTCTCCTGCTTGTGATTTTCTTTCCAAGGGGTTGCTGTCTTGCTACAAGTCATAGGAATGGCTATCTAAGACTTTGATTATTTCAATAATTCTATAAAATAGAAAAGGCAAGGATTATTATTTCCATTTTGCAGAAATGAAAACTGAGGCCTTAGATAGAAGGTCCTATTTCTATCACATGCTATCAGTGGCAAGTGTGTCTATGCCTTTGTTGTAGAAAACAAAGCTAACATGAAGCTAATATCCCTGTGGATGAGGCAGACATTCAGCAGTTAAGTGAAATATACCATGCCATAAAAACCTCTCGTCTTTACAACTGTGCAGGTTTGAACCCCCTCAGGTGAGAGTTGTAACTCTCACCCAGCTACGTCCAACGCAAAAGCACAAACTTTCTTTCCCCTGCACTAGCCAATGCCAAGGGGTTCAGGTCTTGTTGCGGATAGTTTGGAGACCCTAAGGACAACCTCTGCCAACCTGACAATTTGGTGGCCAACTGACCCTGAAGAGCACACTGCAAGGCCTCCTAGGAGCATCTCTAAAATGGTCATTTATTTGTGGGCAGCAGATTTAAACACTCTCAGAGCTTGGACCTCAAGTCACCTCAATGATCATTGTATATGAGGAATAAAGTGGCCAAGACATGACTAGTGCATGAACAGTTTACAAGCTAGTAAAGAGAAATCATGTGATTTGAATCTCCATGTTCTTCACATTTCTGCCTCAGGTCCCCAGGTCCCCTGGGCATTCTCAGCTGCTCCTATGACTTCTGCTGTCATCTACAGGCTTGATGAATTCCCAAAACCTTTATCCCCAGCCTAGGTCTCTCTTCTGCACACCAGACCCATCCACTCAGCGGCCTCCCAGGTATTTCCACGTGTATTCCAGAGACACTGCAAATTCTGCCCTCTCCCTATTTTCAGTCTTCCCTTACATAGTCACCGTCAATCCTGCCACCAAGCTAAGAACCAAGAATCAATTACCCTCAATTTTTCCCTCACCCTTTCTTCCTCCAGCCACTCCGTTACCAAGCCCTGCCAAGTCTTGCATCTCTGGACTCGTCCTCTCCCTTTCCACACCTCCTCTGCCTTAGATCCAGCCCTAGCCCTCTGACCTCAGGCTCAGAATAGTTTGCTGACTGATGTTAAAGAAAAAATTATTCATGACACTTGTTACAGATGTCAAGAAAGACTTTATTCGGAGGTGGGGGATTGCGGGGTAGGTAGGACATTTCTGCAATGAGGTCTCACAGTTGGGGAGAGAGACTGGGCTCAACTCCAAATACAACAAGGACAAGTGGAGATTTATAGCCAGGGAGCAGGGTGGCAGTCAGTGCATGACAAATTACTAAGAGGAGACATCCATGTAAGGGGGATTCCAGCTAAGCTGAGGACAGGATGATTGCTGAAGACAGGCCAGGATAATAAGATATCAAGAGAAGGGCAACAAGAAATTTGATGAGATTACCAAGGGTGGTCAGACACCAAGATGTGGGGGATTTTTGCTCAACCAACCCAGCATCTTGCTTTGCTAAACCAACCCAGTATCTTGCCCAAACTGGACAAAATGGACAAAGCCACTGGATTAAGGGTCAAGCCCACTTCAGTTACCCCACTCTAGTCCCCCCTCCACCGTGCGCCACTGGGATCATCCTGTAGTGTACCTTTAGCAGTTATTCTCCTGTGCCCAGAAGCTTGTAGAAAGGCCACACTCCCAAATATGGCTCAGCAGTCTCTCTCTTTCATCTCCTCTCTCATTCTTCTTCTGGAAGGGACCTATGTCTGGCTCCATTAAACCCCTCACCGATCTCCAAACATAACTTGCCATTTGGGGGCAAGTTATGTTTGGAGCTATATTTGCAGACTTAACTTGCCATTTAAGTCTGCAAACCCTTCCTAGAAGGCCTACCCTCTCATCAGCCTGAAGAACTCCTCCCATCTTCTAAGACCCAGCACCATCCCATGGCTACTAAAATGCCTTTCCCATTCTCCCCCTGGCTAGGGAGAGTTGGGCTTCTCAAAAATCTCAGAAAAACATAGTTTAATTTATCTTCTTAACATGCTTGTTCCTATTCAACTTTGAGCTGTGTAAAGAGCTCTTTGTATCTTTAGGGCCTAGAAGTTTTTATATAATAATAATATTAATAGGAGCTGTAATAACCATAATGTCTATCACTTATATAATAATAGACTACTGTGTTCCCGGCAACATATATGTGCAGGCATGCATATATATTCAAGTAATCTTGTGAGGCATGATTCCCATTTTACAGATGAAGAAACTGAGGCAAAGATGTTACCTGACTAGGAGAATATCACACAGCTAGTATGTGACAAAACTGAATTTCTAAGTCAAGACCAGCATCCCTGCTCTTTAGTAAGAAGTTTTACTACATCACACAGGGGTGCTCTGTGACTGTATCTAAGATACAGCTGGCTGTCTGAGCAACTAAAACATGAGCCACAGGGCGATGAGGATAATGAAAATGGTTAAAGCCAAGAGACCAGGAGCTATGATGCACCTCAACAGTGGCACGTAAGTGGGTGACATTAGAGTGTTTGCCGAGTGGAGAAGATGGTGTAGACAGAAGGAATGGGGCAAACAGGCAAAACTTGGGAAAGATTGCAGCACATTTAGGAGAACATTAGGGAATCAAGTGTGGCTGCAGAACTACAGAGCAATATTTAATTCAATAAAGGGAATGTCTCCCTTGGAAGTTAGAAGTGTTTTCATTGCTTGGCACTTCTCTCAAGCCTGCGGTATGACTTTCGTGGGCCCTGGGCGCTTTTGCCTTTGTGGGCCCTTCTCCTATAAAGAGCATTAAAAATTATATTTTGTGACTGCATTGGTATGAAGATAAACATATTAAAATTATATATTAGGGGCTGGGTGCTATGGCTCATGCCTGTAATCCTACCACTTTGGGAGGATAAGGTGGGAGGATCACTTGAACCCAGAAGTCCGAGACCAGCCTGGTCTATACCATAAGACCTTATCTCAACAAAAAAATTAAAAAGTAATAATCAATTAAAATTATATATTAAAATATTATATTTAACTTAAAAGTTCATTTTTTCCCTGATGTTAAAATAATTTAAAATGGGCCCTGAAAAGATTGTAAGCCCTAGATACTTTGTCTTTTGTGCCTAATGAACAAATTGGCCCTGACTTCTCTCTTAATGGTACAAATTGACAAGGCCCTCAGTTGTGTCTCAGGACTGAACTGAAGGTAACTCTGACTGAGTTAGTGTCCTCAAAGGTCATTGCTTATTATTAATGTTATTACTCACAAAGTAAGAAAATAGGCTGTCTCAGCTCTGTGGAGCTTTCTGACTAAAATGTCTCCTTTGTCATTTGTGAGGTACTTACCCGCTCATAAATCTCTTTTAAGCTTATCGTCCAATGTAATTCTCACAAATTCCCATTATTCATGTAAGGAAACTGAGGCTGAAGAAGGTAGGCTGCCTGGTTTCACAGCTCGCATGTGGCAGAGGATGAGGCAAGCCCAGGTCTTCTCACTCTCACCCCACGCTCAACATCAGTGGGTTTGTCCCAAGAAATAACCACTGGGATAGAAGAGCAGCTGTTTAAATCCACACATGGTTTTAGGTCATGAACTTGGAGCCGGCCACGTGGTATAGGGGAAATCGACCTGGGATTGGTGTCGGGGCCCTCAGCTTCTACAATATCATAGCCATGTGCCCTGGGGCATGTTGCTTAACCATTCAGGGTACCATTTTGTCTTAGTCTGCTTAGGCTGGAAATCTGAGATCAAGGTGCTAAACGATTGGCTTCTGGTTGGGAGCTGTCTTCCTGGTTTACAGGTGGCTGCCTTCTCTCCGTGTCCTCACATGGCCTTCCTCAGTGCGTGACCTGAGGGACAGAGACAGCTTGCCTCTCTTCCTCTTCCTACAAAGCCACTAATCCCAGCATGAAGACCCTACATTTATAACCTAATCGAATAAGGTTACATTACCTCCCAAAGGCTCCATTTCCAAATACCATCACATTGGGAGTCAGCTCTTCAACATATATAGTTGTGAATTCACATATATATATGAATTGTGTCCCCCCCTGCCGGCCCCAACATATTTGGGGGTGGGGCCCACAATTCAGTTCACATTGCTTAACATTCTGAGCATCACTTCTTGTGTTGGTCAGGGTGAGCCAATTAGCACTTCTTGAATCCAAGATGCGGGCATAACAGAACATTTGGGAAAAAAATAAACTGAAATTCAATGAGCAAATAGATATTTTTAAAACTACCTTACTAAAGAGTAGATATTTGACTTTAAAATGATTAATTTCTTAGACTTTATCTTTGCTGGTGTTCTCGTGGCCTGCCCACCGGCAGGTGATAAACTGAACTCAGGTACTAATCCCTCATCTAGTCTTCTTCCAGACCAAATGCACCTGTCCAAATCCTCAAACATTTCACTTTACAGTACTTAAAATGTATCGGGCACCATGCTGGACCGAAGCAGGGCAGGGGAAGGAGAGAAAGGTACACAGCCGCACACTAACACTGGCATGAGAGTCTACACAGAAAGCAGGTTTTGACAAGAAGAGAATGACCAGGATTATATTGGGTGCTGGAGCCGAGCTGGAATAAGGAGGAAGGAAGAGCAGTGAGAAGGAAAGCCCGAGGTCTTCTCTCCTTTCTCTGGGGCTGGTATGCTCTTCCTCCTTGCTTCTTCACCTCACAGAAAGAGAAATCAGGAACAGAAACTACTAATACAAAAAGAAAGATTTGTTTCTATCATTTCCTACGAAAACCGTAAAAGCTGGCCTGATCTGAATCAGCTGAATGCTCCTCCCCCTCACTGTTGGCTGGGCTAATAACAAAAGCATTGTATTGAGGAAGTTTAGGCATGAATTTTATCACTCCCTAGACATTTCTAAGCAATAGAAAGGGAGGCATTACTATGAAGTTTTAAAACGCATACTACTTTGAAATTATCACGTAAGAATAGTCACAAGGGAACCCAGTAAGACTGCAATTTCTCCTTGTTTTACACCACAGGACTGAAAAGGGAGTTGAAGGAGATTAATTACATTCCCTGCTAATCAATGCAAAGACATATTTTTCTGCTTCTCCATCTCATAATTTTTATTTCATCTAGTTTGGGCTTTTTTAGGGTTGCCAGATGTCCCAGTTTCAGTGGGACAATCCTGCGTTTTGAAGGTACGTCCCATCTGCTCTTGAAAATATTTCTGTTCACTGATCTCTCATCGACTGTAGGGTTTTTAGAGCTGCCAGCCAGAGTACGGCTGCTGGAAAGAGGATGATAAATTATTGTAACACTATAAAAAAAAAAATCACTCACATCTACCGCTACCCCACCTCAGCAATGCTGTGAATTAATTCTGCAAGAATGTTTGTCATGAAAGGTGAATCTCCACGTCTCCATATGGGAATTTGAAGCTCTTTTCACAATGGCTTTGAGAAGATGCTACCAGGCAGGAAAGAATGCATGGAATGAGTCCTGGACTAGTCCTCAGAACATCTGGCTCTGCCATTTTCCTGAAAAGTAACAGTGGGCCAGTTACTTAAGAGATTGTTTTCTGAGCACCTACTCTCTACTCAACGCTAGGCACTTTAGATAAAATATCCAATTCATGTCTATAATAACTTGCATAGCAAGTTTATAGATAAGGGTGTTGAGGCTCAGATCCGCTGAATCCAGAACTCACTGGTGCTTTTTCCACTACAGACGTCTCACTTGCTTCATCTGTTAAGCAGCAATAATAATAACAGTAATAATAATTTATACCTTATAAGATTTGAAACAGAGGTTGATGAACAGACTCTCTAAAGGTTTCTTCTAGGGCTTCTATAACAGGGAGTAGGGGAACTTATCAATTAAGTTCCTGTCCATGGGAGGTTTTAAGTGGACAGGTTCCACTGAGCCAACATTCTTAGTGCTGGTCTACGTACTTTTTAACTTGGCCTCAGGGTAGATGCCAAGGCCAGCTCCATCACAGATAAACTGAGTCACCTTAGTTAGGACCATGGAACCACAGTGTCTTCATGCTTGGTATTCTCATATTCCTCATTTCTCATAATTGAAGCATTGAAACTGCCGCTTCAATTCAGCTGTCCTCTGAATCAGGCCACTTATTACATTATTAACAGCCACCGTAACTTACTGAGAGTGAGTTTATCATAATTATTCTAACAGAACAAGGCCCTGACAGCAGAGGCCAGGCAGGGCAAACACTAGCGGTGCTTGCTGTCCCGGGCAATGGGGTAATGTCTGGGAGGCACACTTTGCAGGGAAAGCTCGTTACGCCAAGAGGCAAATGAAAATGTTCCAGAATCCTGAGAAAAAGCACTGGATGATTTCACTAATATTCATTGCCTAGTTTTCATCACACCAATAGCTTGGTGTTCTTTTCCGGGCCCATAGCTTTTTTTATTGCCATGCTTTAATAGGCCTCAATGGAAGGAGAGTTGATAATCATCTCAAATATGAGCCTTTGTCAGTGTATCTAAGTAACAAACACGCAGGAGGAGAGATCCTAAAATACTACAAGCACGTCAGCTGTCATCACTTAGGATGTTTTGCTGGTAGCGGCATCACACGGCCTACTCATTTTGTTGTTTTTCCTCTTGCCCTTCACAAAGGCATTTTCTCCCAGTAATGATGAAAATCTTTTTTCTTAGATTTCAGTTCCTTAAACTCTTACCTGGTCTCTCTCTGCTCCTTATTGGGGGCAAGGAGTTTTTGTCTTATGAACTATGGAAGACGCTTCAGGAGGTCAATAGACCCCTTGCAATCTTTTCAAAAGCATGCATACATGTGCATATGCACATTTCATCAAATTCTCAGAGGGATGCATGATATCAAAATGTTTAGAAATGAGTGCAGTAAAATATCCCTTTCTCTGGGGTTACAGGGCCAGATATAAGAATCTGGATGGGAGGTTGAAACCACAGCTAATGTTCTACTGGTAAAGAGATGAGGAGTTATTTCGAATCCTCATTGCCTATGTTACTATAAGCAAATTAGTTTAATTCCTCTGTTTTCTCAGCTGTAAAATGGGCTCCATCTGTCTCTCCCACGGACTCCACGGCCCTTTGTTTTCCCTGTAGCTGTGTTCCTGGCACATGAATTTTCTCACCAATTGTGAATACTCCATGCCTCATGGCCCACGCTGTCACATGGTGGTTTCTCTACTCCAGCACAGGGTGAGAAAACTACACTTTTCACATGTTCCCAGCTGGTCCTCTGGCATGGTTTGGTTAGGTTAGGCAGAGATCTGGCTATTAGTGGGTTGGAAGAAAACTGAAAACTCTTCCTGAGATCAGAAGAGGGTCTGTCAGGGCAGGACAGAAGCTGAAGAGCTGAGGGAACTGTTCATTTCCTTGAGTGTCCTCTGGCAGTACCGTGCAGATGCCTCCACCAACAGATGGCAGTGCCCCTCTGGGCTCTTGAAAACTCATTTCTCAGGGTTAGCCCTGGGATGGGCTTCTGCTGTGGGGTAAGACTGCCAATGCCAGGGATTTACACTAGGTGACCTCTGGCAAGCACATGGTTCTCCACCCTATTTCTCAGCTCATCCTGATTTGTGGAGAGAAGGTCGTTTCAAAGGCAGGACGATGTGTCTGGGTCTCCAGGGCAGTTGTTGCTTCTCACACAAAGAGTGAGATTACAATGGCGGGATGTTCAGTGACTCGACGAGTCACGTTCCTCCTTGACTTGTTTTTAATTACAGAGGCAATACATGTTTTTGTAGATGATTTCAAAAAAGGCATATAAACAAAAATAATTTTTAAAAGTCACCTGAAATCACACTACCCACAGATAACCACTGTTAACATTTAATGCATATCCTCAAAATGATACTGTTTGGTAACCTGCTTTTTCTAACTTAACAATATAACAAGAAGAGATTCCAGGCTAGGAAGTGCATATAAATCATTTTGGAAAGTTACATAGTGTTATCGTAGTTCATTTACAGATAGACAGTGGTTTATTTAACAAACCCCACATTGTGGGACAGTAAAGTCATCTCTCTCTCTCTCTCTCTCTCTCTGTGTGTTTCTTTTTCCTTCCCCCCCTCTTTAAGTGTCTTTGTCTTTTATGGCCAACTCTGGCAAAGGCATTCTTACAGTTAGTTACATTCCTGAGTTAGTTACTTAGTTGCCCTTTCTATCCTTGTCCAATCATTTCCTAGAGTGTAAATTCCTAGAAGTAGAATGTCTGGGACAAAGTTATATAGAAAATTACAAATGCTTATCACCTTCTGGAAAGTTTGCCCTTTTTACCCACACCACCAGTGAATGAGAGGGCCCTCCCTAAAGGGACCCTCTGAAGTCTTCTGAGAATCTGTCCTGCTCCTAGTCTGGCAGAATTCTGTGCTAAATCAGCTAAAGGAGACAGGAATGGTGGCTGTGGAATGCCTCCACAGAGGGGCCGTCAGTCCTGCCAGATCCTCACCAAGGATTCTGCAGGGCCAGTCTTCTCATCCCCTCCCACCCCTACCCTTGGTGAGGGGCTTGGGAGCCTGGAAATTTACTGGAAGTCCTCCAGAATTAGTCTGAGAGAAGAAATGTGGGCAAGGCAGTGTCACCCTAAGCAGTGGCTGATGTAAATTTGATGTCCACTATATCGCCTCGTCATCTTTCTTTTGGAGAACAATTATGACGATTTTTCCTTCCTGCCACTCTCAAGTCCCCAGGAATGGGCAGTGGGAGAGTGACCAGGACTTTGTGCATTGCCCCATTGTAGGTTATGAGGGTCCCAACAACATTTATAGACAAACTGTTGGACTATGTTTTATCCCAACGAAAAAGGGACAGGGGATGCAGGGAAGATATGTTTACCCTGGCAGGAACTGAAATTCCATATGGCCATGAGGTTAGGATAAAGGAAATGCACAAGGTAACAGAAAACAGCAAAAGTCATAGGAATGAACCAGCCAAAGACCAAGAAGTAAAAAGAGGCAAGAAAGTTGCCAGAGGATATCAGAGGCAGCCGTCAATGTTGGATAGAGAGTCCAAAACCTGAAGCCAAGAGTCCAGGAGAAAGGACAAGTGGTTGGAAGCCCTGGGCACAGTCTAGAGTGTCTTGTTGCTTAGAGTTTGCTTTAATCAGCCCACATGGACTCAGTGCTTGGATGGATTATGCACTGCCTGGCTTACACAAGCTCACAGGCCCGCCTGTGCAAAGGCATCACGGCAGAACAAACTGGCAGATACAGCTGGATCCTCCACATGCATAATGCAATGGTCATAATGAAATCACCAAGTAGTGGAACTGACCTTTGGTAGCCAGGGTACCTGGGGTGGGAGTAGGGGGCAGGATATTTTATAGAGTTAGGCAAAAACTAGCAAGGAAGAAATGTCTCTGGCTAAGGAGAAAATCATTTCTAGATCAAGAGAGGTCATGTACAAGCACTCCTATCCAATTCTGCAGCTCAGCTACAGGACATTGGCCCCAAGGAACAGGCCCCAGAGAGTCAGAGATTTACCCTAACAGCAAGAGGTGTTACTCAGGCCAGGCATTTTTGCAAAGTGTGCTGGAGACGAGACAGGGCTGGGTGTGGGTAGGGAGAGTCCAGGCCCTTGTATACCCCTGAGTAGTCTTCCATATGAATATATATTTCTCACAATTAAAAAAAAACAATTAAATTGGTTTCCCAAACTGTTTTCATAGAATTTCATATAATTTTGCATGCTGTAACAACATATTGTTGAGAAAAACAAAGCAGAGTATAAAATTATGTATATGGTATAATTTCAACTCAGCAGAAATGTTTATACATGTATATAGAAAGGGTCTTAGCAGGAAATAAACTAATATTTTAACAGGTTGGGCAAAATATTGAACTTTGATCTATTTTATCCACTGATACAAACCATTCTCTACCATGGGTGATAAGTCTCCTGTTTAAGGAAGAAGGAAGCAATAGCCCCGTGCTGCCATCCACCTGTGATAAGAACTGAGTTGAGCCCAAGCAGAAGCATTTGTCGGACCTGGGAAATGAACAAAGAGGCACAGTGCTCTGCCAGACAAAGCCACATCCTTGGTGAAGTATGAATGAGAACTGCTGTGTTTTCCTGAGCTTTTTCTTATGTCTTATTTTTGCTCCCTCTGATTTCTTCCATAATATTTTCAGCTTGTTAAACTGTTTGTACCTTTTTATAACCAAGCTAGATATCAATTAACTAATTGATTACAATGAGGCAGATGTGGCAAATGATGTCAGCAGGAATATAACGATTACACTTAAGTTAATTGAAGAGTCAACTGCAGCTAGCTCTTATCCCATGATGCAGATTCAGCCACTTTCACATAATCTGTCTTTGTAATTCTCTGTTTAAAAGACAACTCCAAGGGTTGTTAGAGATATCTGGACTGGGAGGGGAGGCAGAACTGTGTGATGAGAAGCAGCTTGGATAGAGCAGAAAAGATCATGCATGAAGAGGAAAGATTTGGGGTTTGATCCCAGCCCCACCCACTCCTGCCAAATTAACAGCTGTGTGACCTGGGACAAGTCCCAGACAGTCTCTGAGCCTCCATTTTCTTATTTTTGTAATGGGGATATAGTACCTATTCTCTGGGTAAATAAAATTTATATAAAATGAGAGCTAGAGCAGGGGTCCTCAGCCCCCATGCCACAGATCAGTACCAGGGCGTACTGGGTCACACAGAAGGAGGTGAGCGGCAGGTGAGTGAGCAAAGCTTCATCACCACCTGAGCTCCGCCTCTTGTCAGATCAGTGGATGGCATTAGATTCTCATAGAAGGGCACACCCTATTGGGAACTGCGCATGTGAGGGATCTAGGTTGCATACTCCTTATGAGTATCTAATGCCTAATGATCTGTCACTGTCTCCCATTATTTCCAGATGGGACAGTCTAGTTCCAGGAAAACAAGCTCAGGGCTCCCACTGATTCTACATTATGGTGAGTGGCATAATTATTTCATTATATATTACAATGCAATATTAGGAATAAAGTGCACAATAAATGTCATGTACTGGAATCATCCGGAAACCATCCCCCACCCCCTAACCCTCCCAAGTCCACGGAAAAATTATTGGTCCCTGGTGCCAAAAAGGTTGGGGACCACTGAGCCCCACACACATAGCAATTTCCCCTCCAAGTTATTGAAGTTAAGACTATTCCTGAGAAGACAGCCCTCTGTTCAAAGTACAACTCCTTGGCCCAGAGCTTCAAAATGGGAGCCTTCCCTCTCTGCTCCTGTGTGCACCTGGGGCTGGATTTCTCCCTGTGGAATTCACTATGAACTAGTTTTACCCCCCGTAGGCTGAAGCTTTAGCTTTGCTAAGTCCTACGTGTCAGGCCTCTGAGCCCAAGCTAAGCCATCATATCCACTGTGACCTGCACGTACACATCCAGATGGCCAGTTCCTGCCTTAACTGATGACATTCCACCACAAAAGAAGTGAAAATGGCCTGTTCCTGCCTTAACTGATGACATTATCTTCTGAAATTCCTTCTCCTGGCTCATCCTGGCTCAAAAGCTCCCCTACTGAGCACCTTGTGACCCCCCACTCCTGCCCGCCAGCGAACAACCCCCCTTTTTCCTTTACCTACCCAAATCCTGTAAGATGGCCCCACCCCTATCTCCCTTCTCTGACTCTCTTTTCGGACTCAGCCCGCCTGCACCCAGGTGAAATAAACAGCTTTATTGCTCACACAAATCCTGTTTGGTGGTCTCTTCATATGGACACGAGTGAAATTTGGTGCCCTGACTTGGATCGGGGGACCTCCCTTGGGAGATCAATCCCCTGTCCTCCTGCTCTTTGCTCCATGAGAAAGATCCACCTACGACCTCAGGTCCTCAGACCGACCAGCCCAAGAAACACCTCACCAATTTCAAATCTGGTAAGCGGCCTCTTTTTACTCTCTTCTCCAACTTCCCTCACTATCCCTCAACCTCTTTCTCCTTTCAATCTTGGCGCCACACTTCAATCTCTCCCTTCTCTTAATTTCAATTCCTTTCATTTTCTGGTAGAGACAAAGGAGACACATTTTATCCGTGGACCCAAAACTCTGGCGCGGGTCACAGACTAGGGAAGGCAGCCTTCCCCTTATTTCCATGCTGCAACCCCTTCTCTGCTTTTCTGGAGGGCAAGAACCCCCCACCCCTTCTCCGTGTCTCTACTCTTTTCTCTGGGCTTGCCTCCTTCACTATGGGCAAGCTTCCACCTTCCATTCCTCCTTCTTCTCCCTTAGCCTGTGTTCTTAAGAACTTAAAACCTCTTCTACTCTCACCTGGCCTAAAATCTAAGCATCTTATTTTCTTCTGCAATGCTGCTTGACCCCAATACAAATTTGACAGTAGTTCCAAATAGCTGGAAAACAGCACTTTCAATTTTTCCATCCTACAAGATCTAAATAATTCTTGTCGTAAAATAGGCAAACAGTCTGAGGTGCCTGACGTCCAGGCATTCTTTTACACATCCGTCCCTCTCTAGTCTCTGTTCCCAATGCAACTCATCCCAAATCTTCCTTCTTTCCCTCCCACCTGTCCCCTCAGTCCCAACCCCAAGCGTCGCTGTGTCTTTCTAATCTTCCTTTTTTACAGACGCATCTGACCTCTCCCCTCCTCGCCAGGCCGAGCTAAGTCCCAATTCTTTCTCAGCCTCCACTCCTCCACCCTATAATCCTTTTATCACCTCCCCTTCTCACACCTGGTCCGGCTTACAGTTTCCTTCCATGACTAGCCCTCCCCCACTTGCCCAGCAATTTACTCTTAAAAAGGTGGCTGGAGCTAAAGGCATAGTCAAGGTTAATGCTCCTTTTTCTTTATCCCAAATCAGATAGTGTTTAGGCTCTTTTTCATCAAATATAAAAACCCAGCCCAGTTCATGGCTCGTTCGGCAGCAACCCTGAGACGCTTTATAGCCCTAGACCCTAAAAGGTCAAAAGGCTGTCTTATTCTCAATATACATTTTATTACCCAATCTGCTCCTAACATTAAATAAAACTCCAAAAGTTAAATTCCGGCCCTCAAACCCCACAACAGGACTTAATTAACCTCACCTTCAAAGTGTACAATGATAGAGCAGATGCAGCCAAGAAGCAACATATTTCTGAGTTGCAATTCCTTGCCTCCACTGTGAGACAAACCCCAGCCACATCTCCAGCACACAAGAACTTCCAAACGCCTAAACCGCAGTGGCCAGGCTTCCTCCAGAACCACCTCCCCCAGGAGCTTGCTACAAGTGCAAGAAATCTGGCCACCAGGCCAAGGAATGCCCACAGCCTGGGATTCCTCCTAAGCCATGTCCCATCTGTGCGGGACCCTACTGGAAATTGGACTGTTCAACTCACCTGCCAGCCACTCCCAGAGCCCCTGGAACTCTGGCCCAAGGCTCTCTGACTGACTCCTTCCCAGATCTTCTCGGCTTAGCGGCTGAAGACTGACGCTGCCCGATCGCCTCAGAAGCCCCATAGACCATCGTGGACGCCGAGCTTTAGGTAACTCTCACAGTGAAGGGTAAGTCCGTCCTCTTCTTAATCAATACGGAGGCTACCCACTCATTACCTTCTTTTCAAGGGCCTGTTTCCCTTGCTTCCATAACTGTTGTGGGTATTGACAGCCAGGCTTCTAAACCTCTTAAAACTCCCCAACTCTGGTGCCAACTTTAACAATACTCTTTTAAGCACTCCTTTTTAGTTATCCCCACCTGCCCAGTTCCCTTATTAGGCCGAGACACTTTAACTAAATTATCTGCTTCCCTGACAATTCCTGGACTACAGCTACATCTCATTGCCGCCCTTCTTCCCAATCCAAACCCTCCTTTGCGTCCTCCTCTTGTATCCGCCCACCTTAACCCACAAGTATAAGATACCTCTACTCCCTCCTTGGGATCATGCACCCCTTACCATCTCATTAAAACCTAATCACCCTTACCCCGCTCAATGCCAATATCCCATCCCACAGCATGCTTTGAAAGGATTAAAGCCTGCTATCACTCGCCTGCTACAGCATGGCCTTTTAAAGCCTATAAACTCTCCTTACAATTCCCCCATTTTACCTGTCCTAAAACCAGATAAGCCTTACAAGTTAGTTCAGGATCTATGCCTTATCAACCAAATTGTTTTTCCTATCCACCCCGTGGTGCCAAACCCATATACTCTCCTATCCTCAATACCTCCCTCCACAATCCATTATTCTGTTCTGGATCTCAAACTTGCTTTCTTTACTATTCCTTTGCATGCTTCATCCCAGCCTCTCTCCGCTTTCACTTGGGCTGACCCTGACACCCATCAGGTTCAGCAAATTACCTGGGCTGTACTGCCACAAAGCTTCACAGACAGCCCCCATTACTTCAGTCAAGCCCAAATTTCTTCCTTATCTGTTACCTATCTCAGCATAATTCTCATAAAAACACACGTGCTCTCCCTGCCGATTGTGTCTGACTAATCTCTCAAACCCCAACCCCTTCTACAAAACAACAGCTCCTTTCCTTCCTGGGCATAGTTGGATACTTTCGCCTTTGGATACCTGGTTTTGCCATCCTAACAAAACCATTATATAAACTCACAAAAGGAAACCTAGCTGACCCCATAGATCCTAAATCCTTTCCCCACTCCTCTTTCCGTTCCTTGAAGACAGCTTTAGAGACTGCCCCCACCCTAGCTCTCCCTGACTCATCTCAACCTTTTCATTACACACAGCTGAAGTGCAGGACTATGCAGTCGGAATTCTTACACAAGGACTGGGATCATGTCCAGTAGCCATTTTGTCCAAACAACTTGACCTTACTGTTTTAGGCTGGCCATCATGTCTCCGTGCAGCGGCTGCTGCTGCCCTAATACTTTTAGAGGCCCTTAAAATCACAAACTATGCTCAACTCACTCTCTACAGCTCTCATAATTTCCAAAATCTATTTTCTTCCTCACACCTGATGCATATACTTTCTGCTCCCTGGCTCCTTCAGCTGTACTCACTCTTTGTTGAGTCTCCCACAATTACCATTGTTCCTGGCCTGGACTTCAATCCAGCCTCCCACATTATCCCAGATACCACACCTGACCCTCATGACTGCATCTCTCTGATCCACCTGACGTTCACCCCATTTCCCCACATTTCCTTCTTCCCTGTTTCTCACCCTGATCACACTTGGTTTATTGATGGCAGTTCCACCAGGCCTAATCGCCACACACCAGCAAAGGCAGGCTATGCTATAGCACAAGCCACTAGCCTGCCTCTTAGAACCTCTCATTTCCTTTCCATTGTAGAGATCTATTCTCAAGGAAATAACTTCTCAGTGTTCCATCTGCTATTCTACTACTCCTCAGGGATTATTCAGGCCCCCTCCCTTCCCTACACTTCAAGCTCAGGGATTTGCCCCTGCCCAGGACTGGCAAATTAGCTTTACTCAACATGCCCCGAGTCAGGAAACTAAAATACCTCTTGGTCTAGGTAGACACTTTCACTGGATAGGTAGAAGCCTTTCCCACAGGATCTAAGAGGGCCACCACGGTCATTTCTTCCCTTCTGTCAGACATAATTCCTCAGTTCGGCCTTCCCACCTCTATACAGTCTGATAGCAGACCGGCCTTTATTAGTCAAATCAGCCAAGCATTTTTTCAGACTCTTAGTATTCAGTGAAACCTTTATATCCCTTACAGTCCTCAGTCTTCAGGAAAGGTAGAACAGACTAATGGTCTTTTAAAAACACACCTCACCAAGCTCAGCCACCAATTTAAAAAGGACTGGACAATACTTTTACCACTTTCCCTTCTCAGAATTCAGGCCTGTCCTCAGAATGCTACAAGGTACAGCCCATTTGAGCTCCTGTATAGATGCTCCTTTTTATTAGGCCCCAGTCTCATTCCAGACACCAGACCAACTTGGACTGTGCCCCAAAAAACTTGTCATCCCTACTATCTTCTGTCTAGTCATACTGCTATTCACCGTTCTCAACTACTCATACATGCCCTGCTCTTGTTTACACTGCCAGTTTACACTGTTTCTCCAAGCCATCACAGCTGATATCTGCTGGTGCTATCCCCAAACCGCCACTCTGAACTCTTAAAGTAAATAAATACTCTTTGCTGGCAAGGCTATGTTGAACCTCCTTAGGCACTAATTAGATGTCCTAGGTCCTCCCAATTCTTAGTCCTTTAATACTGTTTTTCTCCTTCTCTTATTCCGTTTAGTTTTTCAATTCATACAAAACTGTATCCAGGTCATCACCAATAATTCTAAATGACAAATGTTTCTTCTAACAACCCCACAATATCACCCCTTACCACAAAATCTTCCTTCAGCTTAATCTCTCCCACTCTAGGTTCCCACGCCGCCCCTAATCCCACTCAAAGAAGCCCTGAGAAACATCGCCCATTATCTCTCCATACCACCCCCCAGAAATTTTCACCGTCCCAACACTTTACCACTATTTCATTTTATTTTTCTTATTAATATAAGAAGACAGGAATGTCAGGCCTCCGAGCCCAATCTAAGCCATCATATCCCCTGTGACCTGCATGTACACATCCAGATGGCCAGTTCCTGCCTTAACTGATGACATTCCACCACAAAAGAAGTGAAAATGGCCTGTTCCTGCCTTAACTGATGACATTATCTTCTGAAATTCCTTCTCCTGGCTCATCCTGGCTCAAAAGCTACCCTACTGAGCACCTTGTGACCCCCACTCCTGCCCACCGGAGAAAAACCCCCCTTTTTCCTTTACCTACCCAAATCCTACAGAAGGGCCCCACCCCATCTCCCTTCGCTGACTCTCTTTTTGGATTCAGCCCGCCTGCACCCAGGTGAAATAAACAGCTTTATTGCTCACACAAAGCCTGTTTGGTGGTCTCTTCACACGGACGCGAGTGAATTAGTCCAGGGTGAGTGCCACTATCTTTCAGGTAGGTAGAATGCCTTTTCGAAGAAATAAATTGGTACTCAGAAATACCAAAACTTACTGTGAATATTTTCTTTATTTGACAATACTAAAAAGTAGTAAAGCTGTCATTGCTACTAAAATATATATTAAAATACATATTCCATCAGCTAAAATATATATTTCATCAGCTCTGAATTTCCAAAGACTAGTTCACCTGGTATGAATAATCATGTCCAGTAATTTACCCTTTCTTTTAGCAATTTTTTTTCCTGTGGAAAGTTGGAGTTTTCTGCCCAATCATCAAGCTAGATGTTTTTTCCCTCCTTTTTCCAGAGACTCCAGTCTTAGCCCCCAAACTCTAATTCTAGTTGATAAGCAATGGAACTGCTAATATCCCTTGTGGGCTGGCTACAGTTCTGTAGTTTGAAATGTAATTCACAAAGCAACCTTCAACAGTCCCATTTGCTTACAGAAATACTGAGAGCTAGCCTTGCCTATGTATCAAGTGCCTGAAGACAGTTTCCAACTGGTCCTGATTGTTTGAATAACAATGACGTTGACATGAATAGTGCTGCAACAGTTATTTTATCACCATATCAAGTACCTTTTAAAGAACAATAGAGGGTTGGCATTCAAGACACTTCTAGCAATTAGGAAGACAATCACCTCTTTCTCATTCTCCATCACTGCTTTCTTTCACATTCAGTTTCTACAGGCAGTTCTGCTTTAGTGATCATTGTCAAATCCACTCAGAGGTAGAGACCAATCCAAACCTCTTGGATTGTTTTAAGGCTCTGGTATATTAAAAGATGTATCAATAAATGTCAAAATAGGTCACAGATATGATGGTATTTTTAAAATATTTACATTTAACAAATTGATGTTTCATACCCGAAATATGATCTAATATAATCATGCTGTTGTTCACAAGTGTCTGGTAGAAATAAAAATAAAAACAGCTTACATTTACTGAGTGCTTACTGTATGTTAGACGCTGCTCAAAGTACTTTTTATATATTATGTCATTTAATTTTCCCCTCAATCTTATCAAGTAGATTCTATTACCGGTATTTCAAAGACAAGGAAGCTGAGGCAGAGATGTTCATCAGCTTGCCTGGGCTGATAAGCAACAAAACAGATTTTCAGTTTTCAGCTGACTTTTTTCCAGTCCTGCTTGTATACTTCTGAGGCTGTGATTTTGGACTCAGTGAGAGTCAGTGATGTAAGTTCAAATTTGAGACTGAATGTGAAACCTGCGCCTCCATGGGCTCTGGTCATTTGCAATAACCAGGAGGCCACTTACTTTGCAGTAATGCCAGGACCTCACCCTAGTCCCCAGTTGGCACGTGACCTCTCAGTGGAGAGCACACCAGCCACACACTTCCTCTTGGTTCTGAGTCCTGGCATGGACACACGAATTAGGTCTTCCCCACATGAGACCACAAATACTGCACTGAAACTCTTTGCCTTCTCAAAAGGAAACACTTTAGCCCATTTCCTCAGTGGCTTTCCCAACTCCAAGCATCATTCCCAAAGACTTGGAGCTGAAACTGAGTCCAGGGAAGTCACCTTTTCTGTCTCACCTTTTTTCATCAATCCAGCAGGAAAATTGTTTCTTCCTAGACACCTCGAGATATGTCTCAAGCTTTCTCAACAAAGTGAGTGAGCAAAATGGAGAATGGCATGGTTTGATTCTTTGTAGCTTTCAACCAGAGAAGGAGGGAGAGAAAGAGGCAGAACAACAGCAAGAGTGCATTTCTGCCGTTTTTATCCCACCCACTCCTCAACCTACCCCAGCCTGTCTCTTTCCTGATGACCTCTGTGATACTTAATCTAATGAACATGTCTCTGTTCTCATCTTATTGTACCTACTTGTAGCTCTTGACTCCACTATTGCTTCTTCTTAAAATAATCTTTTCCCTCAGCATCTGTTCCTGACATAGTTCAGGTTCTTCTTCCCCAGCTCTCTGCCCCCAGCCCTTCTCAGTCACACAAGCAGACCTATCTATTCTACAAGGATTGGTGGCTGCCTCTTTTCTTCTCTCTCCCGTATTTTCTTTGCTTAGGTGATCTCATTGATGACTAAGACCTCAATCACTGATTACACACAGGTAATTCTTTCAAATTCTTGTCTCCAGACCAGACATTTCCTTTTATCTCCAAATGCATGTGTCAAAAAGATTACTTATTACATCTCCTTTAAAGCACTTGGGATTCAACATTTTATGTGCTTCTGAAATCAGACTTATAATATTCCCACCATAAACCGAGTTCCTTTTTGATGTTTCCTTTACCAGTCAATGGCCAGAATTTACCATGTTCCTTTCTTTCCCAAGATGCTTGACACATGCTATTCCCTCTTCCACATTAATATATGTTACGTAAATATATGCATGCATAAATATACGCATAAACACAAATGTCTACATACAAAATGGCAGATCAGTAGAAATAAGTCCCATTTTATCACTTGCTAAATTTCAGTCTTAATGACCACTTTCATTTATGTACTGAGGTAGTTAAAAATCATTTATTACCAAAAAGTAAATGTAAACTTGGTGTTGAATTCTACACACATAAAACGTTGATCTCAGCACACATTGCAATTCTTTCCATCATAATCATCATAATTTCAGCTGAAATTATAATCTGCTATTGCAAACAACTGGTTGAATTTTTTTTTCTATTTCTTGTTTTCCCACTCAGTGGACAGCTGTTTACACTGATGTTTTTCTGATGGAATTATACCAATAATTTTTTTGCTGCCACAGGTCAGCTGTCAGTCTGTTTCCTAATCTAAAAATAAGGATTAGAAAGGAATGTATGTACTGGCTTATTTCAGTTTAAATAGAAGCACATGAAAAAAAGATTCCAAAGGCCCAATTTCTCACTTTTATCCAGATGTAACCCTCAAGTGCAACTTCATCCTTCCAAACACTTTCTAAATATTTAATTTCCCATTTACTTCCACCATCTGTACACAGGACTGGCTAAGTAATTTGCAGGGCCCAGTGCAAAATGAAAATGTAGGACCCTTGTTAAAAAAAAGTATTAAGAATTTCAGAATCCCAACAGCCGAGCATTAAACTAAACGTGAAACCTTCCAAAGCCTGGGGCCCTGTGTGAGTGCACGTCACTACCCATGAAGCAAACACTGCCAAAACTTATACAGAGTTTTCTTTTAATTCCTTATATTGCAAACCTCATGTTTCCAATTCTTTTGAAATTTTCATACCTTCTTCAGCTCCTTCCTATATTAATGTACCCACATTTTATTTATTCATTCAACAAACACTGAATTAATGAATAGTTTTCATATGTTAGGACAAAGTATCTGAGTGCTGCAGATGCAGAGATAATAGTTTTCGTATGTTAGGACTAAGTAGCTAAGTGCTGGAGATGCAGAGATAAATTAGTGATGAATCTTACCCTCAGAGGTCTGGAATCATTCTCCAGAGAACTTCAGGTCCCAATCCTTGAGCTAAAGTCTCCTCATGAGGTAACAAAAGTGTTGCAACCCTTTTGCTCTTAGAAGGTCAATAAGAGCATGATATGAAGCTCAAAGGTGCTCAACATGAAAATTAGATACTTGTCATGAAGTCCTCATAAACTCTATAAAGGTAAAAATTGGAATTGCCTCCTAACTACTGAACCCATTTTCTTCTTTTTCCTTTCCTTCCTCTTACCCTCTCCAAAGTTCATAAACAATAAGGACTAGGTTATGTTGCAATAATAAAAGACCCCTAAATCTCAGAAGCTTCTAGCACAGAGGGCTGTCCTCACTCATGCTAGGACCCAGCACTGGCTGCAGCTCACTCCAGTCACCTCCACTCTAGAACCTAGACTGATGGAGCAGCCTAGGGCATCGCAGCCTCCATCCGGCTCATGGCAGAAAGAGAAGAAAACATGTCAAAGGCCACACAGCTCTAGAACTTCCACCCACAAGAGGTAGATATCACCTTTGCTCAGGCTTCATTGCCCAAAGCAATCTCATGGCCACACCTGATTTCAAGAGGAAGAGATGCATCATCCTCCTGCTGGAGAGGATGGTGAATCTGGTGAATAATACTACAAAGAACAACATGAAGAATCACAATTAGCAGCCCAGACTGACAGCAAGGTCAAGACCTAAAGTAAAGGGCCAGCATGGAGAATAGGCAAGACGGCAGAGCAGAGAGTCTAAACCAGCCAGACAGTGTTTTTTTCAAATTTTATTTTAGCTTTTGATGAAAGCCCACATACCAGCTTTTGCAGAGACGATGAGGGAGATCAGAAAATATTCTACAGAAGCAGTATAGTTCAGGGAAAAAAAAATCAAGAGACCAAGAATCAAAAAACTAGATTTGTAATATTGTTTGTTATCCTCTCTAAAGCAGCACTGTTCAATATATAAATAATTCTAGGCACATATGTAATTAAATTATTAGTAGACACATTAAAATGAAGTACAAAGAAACAGGTAAAGTTAATTTTAATAAATTATATTTAACTCAATATATCCAAAATATTATTTCAATGAGCAATCAATATAAAACTTATTGATGAAATGTTTGCATTTTTATAGTCTTTTAAATCTGATGTGTGTTCTATGCTTACAACATGTCTTGATTCAGATGCTAAATCTTCCTCAGAAATAATCTGTATTTAGATTTACAGTTGAAAAAGTAGATTAACAAAGCCAAATTGCTCCAGATGTACTTAAAGTTTTTCAATAACTAAGTAAAATATCAGTACGTAAATTGAAATTAATTAAAATAAAATTTAAGTCAATTTTTTAGTTACTTTCGTCACATTGCAAGTTCTTAATAGCCACAGGTGGCCAGTATCTACCTTATTGCATCAGTTGCCATCTTGAAAATCAGGTTTACTGACTTGATCATGGGGTGATTGGATTCATTCTTTGCTTATACAACTTGGGGTTCTGTCACTTGGTAATTCAAAATGACAAACAAATCAGAATTACAGAGCATCCTCAGAATCTCCTCTTCACATCCTTGAACAATCGCTGGGCTGGTTTCTGTATCAATGAGTTTCAGATATTTCTGAGAGTATTTCAGAAATCTGAGGATGCTACTTAGAAGTGAATAGAGCCCATAAAATATTTTCTAAAAAATATCTGCAAAATTAATCTTGAAGTCATTCTATCATGATCTTCGAACGCCTTTTTGTTCTTGTTGTTATATATTTAAGTGTTTGCCCTAAACTTCTGGAGATGTGCAAGGTAGCTGTGCCAGAATCAGTAAGGCCTGGAACATAACACAAACCACCGCCAATTGCTTCCCAATATCATTTGTCATCTGATCAAGGGCGGTTCCATTCCATCTCCACATGAGCTTGTTTTCTACTTCACCTACCTGTCCATATGGGTTAAATTCAACTTCTAGTTTTCCATATTATCTAAGAAGCCAAGAAAATAAGTTCAGAGCCAAATGTTTTTGCTTTCATATTAAATAACTATGTGCAATAACAGCCTACCTAGGGCTCACACTCTATACATTTTGAAAATAAATCATCTCACTTGAACATTCAATATTCATGTCAATATGAATGACAGGAAGAGAGCAGTTTAAAATCAATCATGCAGCCAGTACATAGAAACATCTATATTACAAAAACAGACTGTAAAGTGTTTGTCTAATACCTCACCCTACATCAGCCACATTGGGTTTCTGCTGGGACTAACATGACTCTAATTCCACTTAGTACATGATCAACTCTCAATATGGGCACTTTCTTCTGTGTTTGGATGCGCTGCAAAGAGCAGCCTTATAAAAAATAGGGTATCTTTCCACTGGTTTCAAAGTCACACTTCTGGCAAGTTCTTTCAACTCTCCACAATAAAGTCCTGAACCCAAAATAAAAAACAAATAAACACAAAATATTCTATTACTTGCTACTGAGCAACAACCGATTAAGTGGCGTGTCAGGCACCACTGTTTCCAAGGAGTTGTCACTTGGAATGTTCCACAGCATAAAACAACGGGGAACATTTTCTAACTCAAGATTCAAAACAGGAAGCCACCCTTCCCTCCTGTTGGATGCTTTTCTCACAAGAAAAGAGCATGGGAAAGAAGAGGGTACAGAGGTACAATCAGGGACAACAAACCATCCTTTATTCCTGAGCAAAAGGAGCAGGATGAGATGAGGCTCGCTGGAGGTAATGGAGTGGTCCCATGAGTGGGGAGACTTAGTATTCAGCCCGTGCTTTCAGCATCCCAACAAATATGGGATGCAGTAAGTCAAAGGAGAAGTAACAACCATGTCTTCTCATCACCGCACCATTTGAGAGAGCATAGACTTAGAGACTTCAGGTTGGCGAGACAGAGATACAACTTATCCCAGCTATTTCAGAATAAAGAAGTACATTAAAGGCCGGGTGCAGGGGCTCATGCCTGTAATCTCAGGACTTCGGGGGGCCAAGGTGGGTGGATCACTTGAGGTCAGGAGTTTGAGACCAGCCTGGCCAACATGGTGAAACCCTGTCTCTGCTAAAAATACAAAAATTAGCTGGGTGTGGTGACGCACACCTGTATTCCCAGCTACTTGGGAGGCTGAGGGAGGAGAACAGCCTGAACTGGGGAGGCAAAGGTTACAGCCAAGATCGTGCCACTGTACTCCAGCCAGGGCAACAGAGTGAGATTCTGTCTCAAAAAAAGTAAGAAGCACATTACATTTGTATGTAATAATTGTCTTAAAGCTAGAAAGGGATACAGTCATGCATTGCTTAAACAAAGGAATATTTTCTGAGAAACTATATTCTGAAAAATGCATTATTAGGTGATTTTGTCGTTGTAAGAACATTATAGAGTGTACGTACCCATACCTAGATCGTATAGCCTCCTGCACACCTAGGCTATGTGTTGTCACCTATTGCTCCCAGGCCACAAACCTGTACAGCATGGTACTCTACTGAATCCTGTAGGCAACTGTAACACAGTGGTGAGCATTTGTGTGTCTAAACACATTGAAACATAGAAAAGATACAGTAAAAATACTGTGTAAAAATTTAAAAATGGTACACTTATATAGGACAGCTCCATTATAATCTTAAGGGACCACTGCAATATATGTGGTCTGTCACTGACCAAAACGATCCTTATGTGATGCCTGATTGTATTATTAAAAAAAACTCACTGCCAGGCGCGGTGGCTCATGCCTGTAATCCCAGCACTTTGGGAGGCCGAGGTGGGCAGATCATAAGGTTAGGAGATCGAGACCATCCTGGCTAACACGGTGAAACCACGTCTCTACTAAAAATACAAAAAAATTAGCCAGGCGTGGTGGTGGGCTCCTGTAGTCTGAGCTACTCGGGAGGCTGAGGCAGGAGAATGGCGTGAAGCTGGGAAGTCGGAGCTTGCAGTGGAGCCGAGATCACACCACTGCACTCCAGCCTGGGCAACAGAGTGAGACTCCATCTAAAAAAAAGACAACAAAAAAACCCTGACAATTACAGTAAAATTAACAGTATTAATGATAATGATGACACCAATGACAGTGAAATATTGATTTCCTTTCTTCTTTTTTTTTTTTTTTTGCTTACTTGCAGTTAGTGAACTAAGGCAGGTCTGAAAGGTCCGGATCAGGTCAGCACAATTACCCCATCCTAGACATTGTGGTGAAGTTTGCTCTGACTACTCCACGGCCATCTGGCTCATCTCCAGGCAGTCTTTCCTTGCCATTGGAGTAGGAAGATATGGAGGACTTGAGAATCATGTGTGAGCTTAAAGGAGAAGGGAGCACAAGAGGTTGCTCAATTGCTTTAGTCTAGGCCAGTCTTCTGCATGGTTCAGTCTAACTCCCCAGAAGAGTCTATTTTGATTTGGGTCCCAAACAAGTTCCCATACAATACCCAACACAAATCCCAACTTGCCTTGAAGTGCCTCCTTTCCCAGTCTTGTCCTCTGTGCAGATGGTGTTTTGGTGAGCAGTGAGATTCTGGCAGGACAGACCTGGTGATGGGTTCCTGGAACCTTTGGTGAACCTCCAAAAGACCAAGGTTATGTATGCACAGAGGGCTAGAATGTGAGCAGCTGAGTCCCACATTTTGGCAGGTACAATTGGCATTAGGAGAGGCCTCCAGGGCCCTGTTTCCAAGTATTATCCACAGATTTCTAGGTGGAACTACCCTGAAGATGGGCAGGGAGGCTGTGTATTTAAGGCTCTGGGCCAATTACCCTTACTTCAACCAGAGCAACTCTTTGTAATTACTTTATACATTGGCCACCTAAGAAAGATTTTATTTGAGTATAGGATTCTATATAATAAAGCAAGATGAAACAAAAAGTCCTGAGAACCACTTCTTTAATATTTGCACCCCCAATGGCAAACTGTATTATGTCCTTTTATTTTCTGTATTCTGATGCTTTGACATCTGGGATCTTGCTGACTTTGAATGGACTGCCCCGCCTGTTAGGAGTGTGCCTTTCGTATGCAAACCAAGCGAACGAAATTAACCAACATCCCTAACCTCTTCTTTGTTAGACTATCATGTTCCAAGCTACTATTTCCCTGCCCTAATCACCCCAGGGCCAGGTACCAAATAACTAGGGTCTGACCCTACACCCCAGCACCAGCCAAAATTATTCCAACTAGCTAATCCTAAACCTGCATACCCTGCCTTGCTTCTTACTTCCCATAAAACCATAATAAGGCTCTTGCACACATTTCCCCTGCCCCCAGTGCGTTGTTCAAATATTGAACACGTATCCATGCTATTGGTTCCCTTTACTTCATTTGATTTTTCAAACTTGATGTCATGATGCAGTTTCCCTAATTAGCTTCTTTAATGATAAAGCTTGGAATGTTATTTAGAATTCATCAATTCAAAATATATTTTCAATTTTTTTTCTTTAAATAGCAGTGCTTATACAGAACAGGGAAAAAAATCCAAGCAGGACACAAGGATATAGAAAGATATAGATTTCTGACATCTGTTCTCAGCCCCGTTTTCCCCACTTTCACCAGTTTCGTGTATGTGATCCTAGAGAACAAATATGCTATTGCTGTTGGTTGTACACATCTTAGCCACTGTGTCTTTTAGCTATGCCACAATCAGGGAGGGGAGGGGTGCCCATGCGAACAGCATCTGCTATGGGGAAGAACAAAGATGCTTTCCTGAATTCACATCCTACCCTTTGCTCCTGCTGCTCCATCATCCTTTCTCTGCTTTGCCACAACTGTAAATTACTTCCTGAAGGCCCAGGTCAAACATACCCAGCTGGTGATGGTGGCCTCCCTGCCCACTAAGTCCCGCCTGCTGCTCTAACTCTCCAGGAAGAACCAACGTCTCCCTTCCAGTGCCCCACTCCTAGCTCTTTGCATGTACCAGTATTCTAACCTATTTTTCCAAGAGTCCTAATTGTTGAAATGCTTGTCCTCCCCCTGTTTGCTCCCTGTAAGTTCCTTGATAGCTAAGACCCTTCATTAAAAATCTTTGTGGTTGTACATAGGAGAGTGCATTTCACATAGTAGGGGGTCAGTAAATTTTTAATAAGTAAAAGAATGAGGCACAGACAAGCCCTTCCCGCCAGTGAGTGGAATCTAATTGAGATGTGATTGAATCCTAAAAGCAAACCCTGGCTGGGTTTCTTGGTAAGAAACTGTGATTTTCTCACTGTGGCTCTCTGGAGGGGCCTGCTTCTCAGGGCTCAGTGTGTGGTCTAGAATCATGTGCACCGACATATTGCAACGCGGTATTTTAATGATGCCTTAGGTAGGAGGCAGCGCTGTCACATATGAAATAGATCGAGAAAGAGACGGCTCTTCCTCTTCCCATTTTGAAAGTTATCAGATATTTTGGAGGAAGATGCAAATATCAGATCCCTTTCAGACACACAGACATGGGCAGAGACACATACGCACACGGAAACGTTGTGTCTTTGCTAAATATAAACCTTTGTAGCGACAGTATCTCAATAATTTTAAAGTGAAAAGATAACGAAGGGGAGCCAAGTCTTTCATAATGAATGCGAGCCTATAGCTTTTAAACAGGGCTAACATATGGGCCACTGATGTGAATGTGAATGCAAATTAGGTATTTTTGATTGCTTGAAATAAAGTCAGCAGAATCAAAGCCTCACACAGCAAATGGTGCAGCTTTAACTACGTCGGTGCCAGGTTGGAAACAAGAGCTCTTAACACATCCTTGATGGGGGGAAAAGGGCTTTCAGGCTGGCATTTTGGATTGAGGCCTTTCTAGGTAGGACAAGGATAGGGAGTGCCCTTCCCTTGATTGCCATTCTGGTTCTTCTTCTATGAGAGTCTTTCATTTTTACCACACAGAACTAGACTAAAGATCAACTTGGATCTCTAACCTTCCTGTTTTATTGTAGGTTGTCACAAATCTTGGGGTGATACGGAGTCTTTGGAGGTATTTTATCCAGCTCCTTTTACCTTCAGGTTGGTAAAGTCTTATGCCCACTGTGATAGGCACTTTCCTGACTGCTGGAGAGCCACAGGGGACTAAAACAGTCACTTTGTTCAAGGAGATTTCTACTGTTGGGAGAAATGAGACCTCCTGTCTCACTCTTGTGTTGTGTGATGCTGTGGTGGAAGTGTTCCTAGAATGCAATAGGGGAACAGGTGTGGGCCATCTCCGAAGTGTGTGTGTGTGTTTGTGTGTGTGTGTGTGTGTGTGTGTGACATGGAAAGCTTCCTGAAGGAGTGACTACTGAGATAAACCTGGAAGGATAATGAGCAGCCAACCAGTCAGAGGAAGAGGGACTAGCCTGTGCAGAGATACGGAGGTGAAAGAGGGGCCCATGTAGTGGGACACAGTTCCCTATGAGGTAAAGGATGAGAAGTGCTGAGTAGGCAACCTGTGTCAGGGGAGCTAGCCCTAATCCCAGCACAAGCTACCTGACCTGGTTCCCAAGAGCAGTAGGTACGGGGCCAAGGTCAAGATAAAACCTCTAGGGGGTGGATTGCATGAGCTCAGGAGTTCAAGACCAGCTGGGCAACATGGCGAGACCCCGTGTCTACTAAAAATACAAAAAAGTAGCTGCGTGTGGTGGTGCATGCCTCTAATCCCAGCTATTCAGGTGGCTGAGGCACGAGAATCGCTTGAACCCAGGAAGCAGAGGTTGCAGTGAGCTGAGATTGTGCCACTGCACTCCAGAACTCTTGCCCCCTCTAAAGAATGAAGTGCCTGTCAACTAGGGTGGCCATTAGGGTGCCTGCCCAAGCTCAAGTGGTTAAAACCTGAGAGTCAGAGCCGGTCAAGCAGCCCCTGTCCTCTTGTCCTTTATTCCCAGGCCTGAATTGCAGCCTCCAAAGTTTACCACTAAGAGGGACTAACATTGTCAAAGCAGGCTAACACTTCTGTCCCCTTCTATTATAGTAAATGCAAGATTCTCCCCATCCTACCCTCTAACTCAGGGTTTCTCAACCTTGCTACTATAGATGGTCCCTGACATAACTGTGGTTTAACTTAAGATTTTTAGATTTCACAGTGGTACAAAAGTGATATGCATTTGGTAGAAATTGTATTTCAGGCACTCAATCATCATTCTGTTTTTCACTTTCAGTACAGTATTCAATAAATCATGTGAGATATGCAGCATTATATTATACAATAGGCTTTGTGTTATATGATTTTCCTCAACTATATGCTAGTGTAAGTGTTCTGAGCACATTTAAGGTAGGCTAGGCTAAATTACGATGTTCAGTTGGTTAGGTGTATTAAATGCATTTTTGACTTACAATATTTTCTACTTATTAATGGATTTATCAGGATGTAACCCCATCGTAATTCAAGGAGGCCCTTTATTGACATTTTGGACTGCATACTTTTTGTGGTGGGGGGCTATTCTCTATATTATAGGCTGTTTAACAGCACCCCTGACCTTGACACACTAGATGCCAGTGGCACACATACCTCTCCCCCACTGATTGTGACAATCAAATATGTCTCCAGACATTGCCTGACGTACCCTGGGGGTAAGTCATCCCATGTTGAGAATGCTGGCTCTAGCCAATACATACAGATACACTTTTTGGGGGGGCAAATGCTTATTTCTCTATTCCAACATTCTGACCTTGATGGGGACTTCTGCGCCTCACAGACCTCTCCTCCTATCCCAACTATGCTTGAGGCTGGATTCCTGGTTTGAGCTGTAGCAACCGGAGCACTTCTGAAGTACTCTCTTGGACCAGGGAGGCTCTCAGTTTCTTCCAGGAGCAACTCTGGATGACATCAGCCTGCTGGTGGCTGTGCTACCAGCGACAGCCTTTACTGCTCCAAGGTAGTCAAGTGATGAGGCAGAGATGTCACAGAGCAAAATTCTAGTGGCATTTGAGCACCTGGTTCTAGTTTCCCTAAGACCACTTATATTCCCTGTTCATCCTGTGGTTTTTCTCCATGAGCACTACTCTCCCCTTTATACTGATTTAGTTTGAGTTGAGTTTGTATCATTTACAACCAAAACAGACCTAAAGAATACACCATGCCAGGATGAGAAAAGTCCAGTCCAAAGAAAGCCAGATAAGTCAACAAGATGAAGGGAAGTGAGAATGAGATTGTGTTTCTTTCCATGTCTAGAGCACAGTGGGTGGCCCATATCAGGCTGGTTTAGGCATGGCTGCTGGCTGGGGTTCATCTTACCTCCCTGGGACGAGCAAAGAGACAGCAGTGAGACAAATAACCAGGAGTCAATTCTTGAGTGGGATCAGATCTTTAACCCTTTTGCTTATCCCAGTGAAAGTTCCTATTCCCAGAACTCTTACCTAATGAAATGTATGATGATTGGAAGTATCCTTGCTCAAGGGTCAAGCAGAAAATACCTAGTCTCCCAAGGATAAACCATACTCACACTGCAATGTAAACTGCTAAGAATTGCTCATGTTAACAGGAGTGCGTACTGAAGGAGAAAGGAATAAGAGCTGTGCCACTATGGGGCCTGATCTGGGATGGCATTCACCTCACAGTATTGAGAAATGATGTCCTCTCTGCTTGGGTGGAGCAATCCTACACAATGGCCCTGCAAAAAAGAGTATGTGAGAGGGAAATTCTAGCACCATTTGGAAGCTGGGATAGGACAGAATTATCTTTTAAAATTCCTGAAAATTGTGCTTCCTAAGTGGCCAACTGTATACAACTATCTCCTAGTGGTCATTTTTCCCCTCCCCCACTTTTTTTCCTTAGCAATAGGAATGTTTTAACTGAGTCTAAGACCTTCCAACTAGAAACTACATTTTCAAGCAACTCCTGATGGAATTAGGCCAATGAAGTTTGAATACAAGTGATCCTGTAACTTCTGGGTCATCTCCTTAAAGAAGCAGCCGCTTGTCCTGGATCTCTTCTCCTGCTATCTGGGAAAGAGTGATGCTTGGGGCAATTGGAAACTACGTGTTGAAGATGGCAAAGGCATGTGAGAGAGTTACTGCATTTTGAAGTCTCTGGTACAGCAGTTTCACATGTGACCTGTCTAAATGACTTCCTTTTCTCTCTATTGCATTCTGATTCCTTATGATAATACCCACTGCTGTTCACTCTGGCTGAAGCCAAGGACGAGACATGTCAGTCAATTTGTCAGCCATGCTCAGGTTGCCTGGGAGCCCTGGCTTTACCATTTACAGTGTGACCTGGGGTAAGTTACTTAGTTTCTCTGTCTCATTTTCCTCTTCTATGAAATGGGGATGATAGTATTATTTTATAGGGTTGTCATATGAAGCAAATGGGATGGTGTATGTAAAGTGTGTGGTGTAGCCTTTGGAACACAGTAAGCATTAAATAAGTGCTAATTATCATTATTATTAGTAGTAGTAGTGGTACCTTCACAGCTCTTGCTCAAAAAAAACAGCCCAGGGCTGCTATTTGCACTAAGATTGAACAAAAGATGAAGCATGGGAAAAGGCCTGTACATGGACTTGACATGGAAATCAGACCTGTATGGCCTGATTCAAAATGACGATCTGTGTGCATTATGTACCCTCTTTTGGAATCTGAACAGAATCACCAAATAAAGTTGCCAGTCAGATGGGAAACTTCATCTTATATCCTATAGATGAATCAGAGAGGTTAAGAGGAAGTAGAGAGCAGAGGCTAAAGTACCTGTCCCGAGAAAATGAGAAAGAGAGAGAGAGAGAGAGAGAGCACAACCTTGCAGCTTCTATTAAAGGTAGTCCAGGCTCCTGGCCATTTTCCAGTCCCCAGCAGTCCTGGCTGTACTATGGATTCTGTCCTTTGATTTCAGTAAGTGTCCTTTGTGTGACTTTATAATAAATGTCCCCATTTTGAAGCTGACTTGAGGGACTTTCCATTCTAGTCATCAAAAAGATTCCAAATACAAATTAGTTGCAGACATGTCTCTCTCCACCTCTAAACTATAGACTGTGATCATCTTTAAGTAAAGCATGAAATCACTTTTCTATTACTTATAAAATATTTCAAACATAAAAATGAAAAATAATGAATGTGCATTTACGAATCCATACTTAGTTTTAATGATTATTAAATAATTTTGCCATATTTGCCTCACCATTTTTAAAACATAAATGAGACATTTCAGATGAAACCTTTCAGATACTCCTCCTCAATTCTATTCCCCATTCTCTTCAAAAGTAGCCACTATTTTGAATTTGGTATTTATCATTCACATGTGACGTGTGTGTGTATGTGTACACACATTAATATGCACACACACACATACATACACACATATACACACACATATATATGATTTTATTTTGCATTATTTGAAATTTGCAAAAATGATATAATTCTGTAACTTCATTAGACAGGTTGAGCATCCCTAATCCATAAATCTGAAATCAGACATGCTGCCAAATCTGAAACTTTTTGAGTGCCAACATGACACCACAGGTGGGTGATTCCACTGCTGACCTCATGTGATGGGTTGCAATCAAAACAGTCAAAACTTTGTTTCATGCAAAAAATTATTTAAGATTTTATTTAAAAATTTCCATAAAATTATATAAAACTTTCTTCAGGCTGTGTGTATAATGTGTATGTGAAACACAAATGCATTTTGTTCTTAGACTTGAGTTCTATCCCCAAGATATCTCATCATGTATATGCAAATTTTTAAAAACCAAAAAAATAAATCCAAGGGATATTCAACCTGTATTATGTTTTTGAGAATTATCTATGTAGGTATATAAGACTCTATTTCATTGTATGACTAAATCATAATTTGTCTGTTTTCCTGCCAATCATTTGGGCTCTTCCTAGATATTTTTACTATTATAGAAATGTTTCAATGAATATTATTGCACATATTTTCTCATAAACATTTTGAGGCTTTCCCTAGGATAGTTGCTTAAAGGTGGATATTAAGTTCTTCCATCTATGAACACGGTATACATCTCCAATTTTAAAATCTTCCATGTCTTTCTGAAGTATTTTATTGTTTTTGTAAAGATTTTTCACATTGTGGCAGTATATGGATAGGCTACTAAAAACCATTCAAATACATTTCCTTCCTGGCTTTCCTCTGTCTTAGACAATGAAAACCAGAAATACTTAACTACTCAGTCTCCCTTACCTAAGAATTATCAAAAGACAGAGTTTGGTCCTTGAGCTGAAAAGCCTTTGGAAGTTTTGAAAACCATAGTGGCAGGTCTGTCTCATATTTTTAAAGTATTACTCTGGCTGCTGTGTTGAGAGTAAACTGTATGTAGGGGACAAGGCATAAAACAGGGAGAACACTTCAGAGGCTTTAGCAATAAACCAGAGCAGGAATAAGGGTGCTGGATCAGAGTGGTAGCAATATAGGTGATAAGAGATAGTCAGATACTCAACATATTTTGAATGTACACCTGATAGGATTGCCTTGTTGTATGTGGGATGTGAGCATTTATGAAAGAAGTTAGTGATGGATGCCAAGCTTCATGTCTTGAGTAACCAGATGGCTGGAGTCATCATTTACTAGAATGGGAAAAACTATAAGGAGAGCCAATGTGAAGGGAATTTAGAAGTTCTCTTCTGGACATATGTTTAAGATGTATCTTGGACATCTAAGTGGAAAGGTCAACTCAAAAAATGGGTTTATTAGTCTAGAATTTAGAGGGGAGATCCAGAATCAAGATACAAATTTAATATTTATGAACATAATTGGTATTTGAAGCACAATACTGGAATACATCAGTAGGGGCATGAGTATAGACAGAGAAGGAAAGAGTTTCTAGAGCTGAATGCTGTGGCACCCCAACATTAAGAAGTTGATGAGATGAGGAAGAACCAGCAAAGAAACTTTGAAGACTTGGCCAGTGAGATGGAAGGAAAAGCAAGAGAATGGTATATCCTGGAGGTAAAGTGAATAAGTGAAGGTCTTCTCAAAGAAGAGGGAGAGACTGTGTCTAAAGCTGTTGCTGGGACAAGCACATTAAGAGTAGAGAATAAACCACTGCACTTAGCAATGAAGAAGTCACTGATGACGTTAAGAAGAGCAACAAGAGAGAATTATTTTTTATGTGGTAGAAATGATAATATGTTGATACGTCAATAGAGATGATCCAGGGAAGAGGGGGGAAGTGGTGTTAAAGGATATTGGGAAGGAAGACAATTTATGGGGCAGGAATAATGGGACGGAATCTAGGGCGCAAACAGAGGGATTGGCTTTAGCTGGAAGCATAAACAGAAAAGACAGCCTGAGAGGCAGGTAACAGAGCCACTGATGGGCACAGGCGAGAAGATGGGGGTGGTGAAATCTCTCCTTTAATTGCTTCTACTTCCTCTTTGAAATAGGAAGGTCGGTCAGCAATTAAGAGGGTAAGGGATGATGTGTTAGAGCTCATGCCTGTAATCCCAGTACTTTGGGAGGCTGAGGTGGGCAGATCACGAGGTCAAGAGATCGAGACATCCTGGCCAACATGGTGAAATCTTGTCTCCACTAAAAATACGAAAATTAGCTGGGTGTGATGGCACATGCCTGTAGTCTCAGCTACTTGGGAGGCTGAGGCAGGAGAATTGCTCAAACCCAGGAGGCAGAGGTTGCAGTAAGACGAGATCACGCCATTGCACTCCAGCCTGGGTGACAGAGCGAGACTCCATCTCAAAAAAAAAAAAAAAAAAAAAAAAAAAGAATTGCTACTCTCTTCTTTTGATCTGATAAGTTTTTGGGTTTGGAAGGCCAAAGTGAACCAAGAAGAATGTTCTCACTGTTCTAACATGACCTGTGCTTTAGGATACTGGAAAGCCTAAATCAGTTTCACAGTTAATTGAGAGGAATTATTTTATAGATTTGTATATCCACTATCCCCATAAGGCTATTTTCTATAATCTACCATTCATTTTCCTTGTACAGATTTCACTCACATACAACCATAATTCATCCCTCACACTCTGCAGTAGGTTTTTAAACACACACACACACACACACACACAATCATTTTATTCCCCATATTTGCCAGCTGGATGAAAGACTCTTTGAGAGGCAATGTATCATTAAGCACGAGCTTTGTAGTTAATAGACCTGAGTTCAAATACCACTACAGCTAATTACTAGGAGTGTGAATTAAGGAAATTTACCCAACTTCAATGAGGCTCAGTTTTCTCATCTATAAAGTGGGGATAATAGCCACCTCATAATGCATCCATTAAAATTAACAATTATGCATGGAAAGATTTGAGCATACTGTCTGACACAAAATAGTTGCAAATCAATAGCAGCTATTATTATTATTGACCTCACTCATTATACCCTTCAAGCCACACAGCCTCTAGTCACACATGACTACTTGCCAGTTTTGAAACATGCTTTTTCATGACTCTCTGCTTTTAGCTATGCCTTTCCTTGTACTTTAAACAGCATGCCCTCTTCTCTACCTGGTCAACACCATTGGACAAGTTTGGGCTCAAATGTCACCTCTGTAAATGTCTCACTAAACCAAACTCCCAATTCTGACAGCTAGAGTTAATTTCTTCTTCCTCTATGTTCCCATGATACTTTGTTTAGGCAGCCTCAGTGGTGCTTATCACATGGTATTTAAATTATCTGTTTGTATGTCTGTTTCACAAACTGGACCCTGAGCTGTTCAGGCACAGCTGTCCACAGTGTCTGGCACACAGTGTATGTGAAATGAATACTCATTGAATGAGTAAGGAGTAGGGAGCTATGTTAAAACCCTCCACCAAGCAGGGTTCCTGGAAGAAATGTGCTTAGTCTAAGAGTCATTCTGTCTCTTATTAAAGCATATGTGTAGATTTCAGGTGGTCTTTGTACATGCCCATGCGGCATCTAACCAAGAGTTTTGGAGAAAATGAAGCTCCAGGGCATGTGCCCACTGCCTTCATTTCCTCCTTTTTTTGGTGCTTTCAAGACAAAGCTTGGGTTTCTGAGCAAAAGTTCAAGACAAAAGTTCTCATTGGCTGACAACAGATCACGTATGCATCCTATTTCATTTATAATGTTCTTCCAGCAGCACACAAAGAAGAGAGGGAAGACATCTGTAGTTAAAGTTAGTATGTTTTAGAAACCAGTTATTCAAATAATCAATATTTACTGAGTACCTATTTTGTGCCCCAAACTATGGCAAGACAATGGTAAGAGCTTTCAGCCCCTGGGTGTCCTGTGGGGTGATGTTTGCACTCGTGGGCATTGGACTAAGACAGATGTGGGACCAAAGACTGTTTCTTGATCTTCAGTAGCTGTGTGATTGTGAACAAGTGCCATAAGTTATCTCTGTGTGAGGTTTCTCTTCTGTGAAATGAAGTATTGTGAGACATCAACAGCAGAATGTGTGTAAGGAAACTTGCACAGTGAATGACCTAAATAAGTGGTAGAAAAATAAATAAATAAAATTAAAACAGAAAATACTTATAACCCTGTTGAAGTTTGAAAGGTAAAAGTGAACTCAGGGTATCATCATTAAAGGTCAACTGGTTGCCCCAGAATCTTACAAGGTTGGATTTTTACCATAGTGAATTTATATGATCCAGAAATGTGCTTTTATCAGCACAATGAAAAATCTACATTGTGAAGAATTTACATTGTCCCAACTCACAAGAGCCTAAATAAAAATGAATGAAATGTATTAATTTATACTAAGAAACGTATCCATTAGATGGACCTTAATACTTCATATCATCAGTGCACGTGATGAATGAAAATTTAAGGGAAACTGATGTTTTCATAACTGTTTTTCAGCTAAACTAGTTTGTAGCATTCTGCTCTGTTATATATTGCCGTGTAACAAATGACCCCAATGCCTAACAGCTCAACGCAACAATCATTTTATTTTATCTCGGAAATTTATGGGTCAAGAATTTCGGCAGGGCTTGGGTGGGTTATTTCTCTGCTCTGAGTGGCATCAGAGGTCAACCGGTGTCCAGATGTGCAGTCTAGAAGGTCCAAAAGGATTTCTCATACACACCCAGTGCCTTGATGTGGATGGCTGTAAGACTGGTCTCCACTAGGGCTTCCAATCAGAGGGCCCTCATGGAGCTTCCCCTAGATGCTGGTCTCAGGATACTTAGACTTCTTACATGGCTTCCACAGACAGAGTTCCAAAAACCCTGGGTAGAAGTCCCAGACTATTACCTCTGCTGCACTCACTAGGGCCAGTCTAGAAACAATGGGTGAGAAATCAGATGCCAGCCCTCAAGGGGAGAAGTAGCAAATAATTTGTGGCCATTTGTAATCTACCACACACTCTTTCCCAGAACAAGACTTGCTTTTCCAGTGACCCCAGATTATCCAACAGCTCTTGGCATGAACCCCTCTTCCTTGAACAGTACTCTGACAGGCGTTTCCTTTAGAACTTAAGAAGTTTTTGTGTCTGTTTCTGGAACTGACCTTCTAGGCAACACAGTCTATCTATACAGCTGTTACACGGCTGTGGTTTTGTCTTGCTTTGGCCTAATAGCCTATCAATTAGTCTCTTTTAGGTGATTTCATTTATCTATAGATTTTCACAAATCCATTTAGCACCTTAATCAATTTATCTCTTCTATATTGTACTCACCTTGCCTTTTCACTGCTGAATGAATGGAGGGAAAAGGTAATAAAAAGAGAAAGAGAGGAAACAATATTCTCTCACATACCTGAAAATGGCAGTAAAAACAAACAAAGGCATATTGATATTCTAAAGTCTATTGAACACATCTCAAGGCATTCTAATGAATGAGATTAAGAAAGATTGAAAAACTCACAAAGTTCTTATGAAAGATGTAAGACTTCAGCTAAGTTTAAAGGATGGACAAGAATTTAAATAGACCAAATTGAACTTTCAAGAAGGACAAAATGAACTTTAAATCTTGAATTGAGTCATTTTAAATCAGTAGGTGACTAAGTGATCCTTCTAAATGGTAAACCTGTTCTTTTCACTCCTTGCACAAAGACTTACAATGACTTGGGGTCTGCTGGCCTGGAATGCACTGTTCAGAACAGCACTCAGAAACTCTCAATATGCTGTATCTAAGTTGCTTTATCACCTGTTCTCTTTTATGTATTCAAATCTGCAGACACATGAAAATGTTCTCTTTCTCTCCTGTCCTCATAATTTTGGTGTAATGCTCTAGTGCCTTCCCCACCCGATCTGAATGGCGAGCCTCTCTTCACCTTCCATAGCAATTCTAACATGAGCTCTCAGATGCAGCTTCTTGCGGGGACTTTCTCCTCTCCTCCCACTGCCTCTTGTTTCTACCACCATCAAATTAGTCATCCAAGTATATTGTAATTAACTGTTTGCATGTCTACCTCACTCACTCATAAAGAGATCCTAGAATAAGGGTCAGCCAACTTTTTCTGGGCCCTAAATTCTCTGTCACAACTATGCAGCTCTGCTGTTGTAGTGCACAAGCAGCCATAAACAGTACCTTGCCACATGGACATGCCTGCGTTTTAATAAAATTTTATTCATCAGCACTGAAATTTGAATTTTATATGATTTTTACATGCCAATAAATATTATTTTTCCTTTATCTTTTTTCAACTATGTAAATATGTCAAAACCATTCTTAGCTCACGAGCTGTACAAAAACAGACAGTGGGCTGGATTTGGCTCACATGTCATAATTTCTCAGCCCTTGTTCCAGAAATCTGAGATCAGGCCTCTTCCGCTTTGCATCTGTTTTGCCCGTCCAAGTGCCTGACACATAGTATGTGTTTATCAAACTTTATTTGAATAAATTAATGAAGAAACGAGAAGGGGCAACAGGAGTAAATAAGTATGTCTGCTCTCTCTATGCACAAGATATAGGGCCCAAAATGTTCAGCCTGTTGAGTTACTAGAATATAAACAAAGTATACACACAGCCTAGGACCAGCGTCCTCTAGGATTCTCTTCTCAGTGGGGCCACCAAAATCACTGAAACAGGTCAGAATCAGGTTAGCATCCCCAAAGGAGTCAAAACAAGAAGGCAGTGCCTAGACGTGGAGCTTAGCTGGATGGAAAAGGAGGAAAGTTCATGGGGTCCATGAGCGGACTCAGAGCAGCCCTATCGCAGGATTAAGCCTGGGAGGTTAATATGATGCATCGGTAGCTGTCACGGCCTTTATTTCTCTCCTACAGCTGCAGACAGTGGTGTCCCGAGTCCTTGAGAGAACAGCTTGGGAAATGAGGCTTATGTGAGATGACAGGAAGAGTCATTGCGGCAGAGGGATGGGACAGAGCAAGAAAAATTGTGAGATGGCTGACATGGTGCCAGGTTGGAGGGAATTTTATAAACCAGGCAGAGGGTGTTAGACATGAAATATTATCAGAGAGGCAGAGCCATGAGAGTTTTTTTATTGGGGTGAAGACATGATTGAAGAAAAGTTTTGTTGCCACTTATAGGATTGGAGGGGACAGAAGTAAAAAAAAAAAAAAAAACCTAGAAGTTTCTTAAATAAATTCAGGTGTGACATGATAAATGTTGGCAAGGGAAATGAGAAAAAAAGGGTGACTTTAAGAGAGACTTCAAAGGAACAATCTTTACGACTGTGCATAGCCTCAGTAGGTAGAGAAATGTAAACCAAAGCTGATACCAAGATTATATGCTTAGCTGACTGAAAAATGCACCATTTCTGGCCAGGCACGGTGACTCACACCTGTAACCCCAGCACTTTGGGAAGCCAAGGCGGGTGGATCATCTGAGGTCAGGAGTTTAAGACCAGCCTGGGCAACATGGTGAAACTCGTCTCTACTAATAATACAAAAATTAGCCCAGTGTGGTGGCGCGTGCCTGTAATCCCAGCTACTCGGGAGGGTGAGGTATGAGAATCGCTCAAACCCAGGAGGCAGAGGTTGCAGTGTGCCGAGATCGCACCATTGCACTCCAGCCTGGACATCAGAGCAAGACTTCATCTCAAAAAAATAAAAAGAAAAATGTGTCATTTCTTTCTCAAAAGAGACAGAGGGTAGAGAAGGAAAAGGAAACAAATGTGAGACTCAGGTTTTACCTTTTGCCAGTACAGTTTGAGATGGTCATGATACATTCAAATAGTTATGTCTATCAGGCTGAAAGTTAGAACTTGAATGGAGAGAGGTTTACTGGTATGCTGATAAATGTTTAACAACTGGCTCTCCAGGAAGGAAAGCACCCTGGTTTATATCATTTGCCAATTCTGCGGCGTAAATGCTTCCACCATGGCTGATTTTATGCTGCCAACCTGAAGTCACTGAATGCAGAGTTGGGAAGAACTGCCTGTGGGGACTGATGGGAGGTGACCCCAGAACAGCACTGGAAGATGACAGGGATGGAGACTTGAAAATCAAAGAAAACATAAAGTCAAGTCCTGCATTTTACGATGATGAAACTGAGACTGGAAATGGGACAGAGAAGAGAGCTGAACTCTTGAAAGCAGTAGGATGGTTTAGAGGCAGAAGACCAAAGTGTCAGAGATTTAGCCTTTATCTCTATACACAGAGCTTGGTGCTGCTGCAAAAACAATTCATTTGAAGATCAGGAAGATTATGATATTTAAGGTAAGAGAAATATAATTCCCAATGATTATCAGTAGATAGAAGAAAGATAATGCTCAGAGGGTTGGTTGCAATTTTCTATTCTACCTAAGTTCTGATTGGCCTATTGTCTGTCATCCTTAGCTGCTAGCACAAATTACTTCAGGTACTAATTTTCTGAGCTTGTATGCACATTCTGTTTGGCTTATTTCTGCAACAGGTCAAAAGAAGGAAATGAGCCTGTGTGTTCTTATCTAGGCATTCTCAGAGAAGGCTACAAACCCATTACCTCTCACATCCATTCAGAGCACTGTGACACCAGGAGCATGGTGAGAGCTCATCTGTTGTCTTTGGGGATCTTAGGGATCTTTTCTTACTTCCTCATCATGACTCCTAAAACCTTATTCTAAAGAGCCTGCCTTGGGAACACTTGCAGCTTTTACTGCCCCCTAGTGGATATCACACATTACTTCATCCTTCACGGCTTTTATCTGCTGAGAGGGATTAGAGATCTCATCAAGCTCTAGGGTTCAAGGAAAGCCCAATAAATAGCTTTCTCCTGATAACTTAAACTTCAATAATGCGACGGTTCTCAATAATCTTAGCACTCTGAGTATGCCCAGCATTCCTTTTAGGGAAATACAGGTTCATTCAACTTCGTGTGTGACACTAGATTGTCCCCCAAAAGTCTCATTTAAATGTTGTTTTAGCCTCGTTTCTTATTCTAAAGCTTTTTAATCAATTGAGAGCATCTGAGAACTTGACTTTAAGAAGGAGGAGGATCTCTTGTTCTATGAGTATTCTATGGGTTTCTTTCCATTTTGTGGAAATAAAAATAATCACAATTTTCTCTTTAAGCTTTTGACCTTTGTGAGATTAGACCCTGTAGTCCATTAAGAGATCTCAGACACCAAAGTTGATATGGCCTTCAGAAACTTAAAAAGCCATATTAAAATTTTAAGTGTACAAAGACTACATTGTTCACCGGGCCCTCTTTGACCTTGCTAAGAAAATGTTTATAGGGAAACATCTGCAGTCTTGTGTGCAAATACTTAGGAGCGTAAATCAAATCTACAGATAACGTCTTTGAAACCCACTTGTAACTCACTCATTCTTTATTATTGGGTGTTCCTCTCAATTGCTCAATCAGCAGAGTCAATTTACTAGTTACAACTATGATTTTACTTTACTTATGCAATCGGAATTAAATTGGCCTTTTGACTATGACTGTAAGGCTTATTTTATCATACACAAAATACCCATCCTCACATCATCCCACCCCCAACACACACACACATATCTACAAAAGCTTTAAAGGGGAATATAGCCCTTTTCTGAAGGTTTTCTTAGAGATGGGTAGGATGTCAAGGAAGGGATTATACCACACTTTAAATAAAAACCATCTTAACTGCATAGCAGGGTTTCCAGTCTCCTTTCATTCTCAAACTTCCCCTGTCCCTCCGTCTCCTCTCTGCTCTCTCATGTTGGTCCTTCTGGCCTCCTCTCTGTTTCTTTCCCTCTCTGCCCATCGTTCTTGCTAAGGTGATCAATCTGGTCTGTTCTTGGATCCTCTCAAAACCTTATTCATACAAAGCCCATTTGAGAGAAAATGTACTAAATATTTTCACTTTAACTTTTTGTCCTACGATAAAAAAAACTTCTTTGTGATGATTATTGTGCAAACACGAAAGTTTGCCCTTGGACCAAATTACTGATGTCATCCACATGGAAGTGGCAAATGCTGATGCTTCTGCTCCTCCTTATTTCTTCTCCTCCATACAACGTGTCTCTAGACATTCCTCCGGGAGCCAGCAGAGTGGAATCACTGCATTATCTGTGGGCTCTTGTACACAGGCCACTTGGGTGTCTACACTGAGGATAGTCCTGATCTCACTGGAACTTAGACAGGAAGGAATGCTTCTTTTCAAATTGTTCCTAATACCACTACTCTCTTTCCTCTAAATGAAGACAGCTGTACTAGTGTATTTTCATTTATGGGCCGTGACCCACTGGGAGATCATAAAATCAACTTAGTGGGTCACATTGGGAGTTTTTAAAAAATGAAATATAATAGAAGAAAATATCAGGGTGCATCACCTAGGAAGGGTGACTACCGTTTTATGCAACTTTTCAGTCTTATCTAATGCATAGCATATCTCCTACTGTGACCTGGAAGTCAAACATATCTGAAAGTTTGAAAGACACTTTTTCCAGATTTTTTTTTTATGTGAAAGTTCAAAAATTGTCTCCAAGTAGACGTGGGTGGGGGAAATTAGGCATTGTCCTGATCTGTCCCTCGTGTGCCTTGTATCAAAGTAAAGTGTCCCACTGGGTCTTTAAGGGAGACAGTTCTCAAATATTCTCCCGGCAGGCTTTCAGAGGGTGTTCCGCTGGGATAGCTGTCATTACAAAACTTTTCTTTTCTGCATCCCACAGGCCTCTCCCTTTAAATCCCGCTTCATATAGAGTCCAGTTCTGTCTCCAATTTTGTTAAACTGGGACTCCCCATTTCTCCCTAGAAAATCTACTAAAGCTTAGCCATCATTACAATCTTCAACAGGGTTATATACTTAACAACTTCAAGTATTGGCTATCTCCTTCTCAAGGGTTAATGAGCTCTGGTGTCCCTGAGGGGGTGTGTGTGTGCTTGCCTGAAGGGAGAAAACTCTCCCCTATACAGTGCTTCTCAGACTGTAGTGGAGATGTTGTAATAATGCAGGTTCTGAGTCTGTGGGTCTGGGGTGGAGCCTAAGATTTTGCATTTCTACCATGCTCTCAGGTGGTACTGATGCTGCTGGTCCTTGGACCATGCTTCAAATAGCAAGGCTTATAGCACATAAACACATTTAGCCACCACTAGAATTAACTTCCAACTTACATCCCCTTCTTCTCTAGTACATGTAAGAGATCCACATCTCTTGTGTTAAGACAGCTTGATTCTTTCTTAAGAACTAGTACCTTGACTTTATTATGCTAAGAAGATACAGGCACTCTCCCTCTCCTGAGTCATCACTCATGGCACCAGGACATCTCCAATAATTTAACAATGAAAAGCATCATGCCCAGTCCTCTTTTTCCTGCTTCCTAGAGATGGAGGCTGTGGAGAAGTCTGGCTTTGCCATGTCACATCTATGACTGCTGTACCAATTAGTTCTCATAGGTTAGAATGGCTTGTTAGGCTGTCTTTCAAGTCATCATTTATAATACGCACTCTCACACCCACAAACATGTTAGCATCTCTGAAAACTGGGTGTCTTCCAACTATTGTCAACCAGGTGGCAGGCTTAAAGTAGTTGAGATTGCCTGTGCATGAGCACGTCTTATTACTGGTAGGATAATCGAGTAACTTCAATTGTTGAAACTTTCAGTCAACAAAGAAAGCATTCAAAGACCATTTGAGGGGGAATATCAATCTTGGTAGTTTCCTGAAAACATCCAGTTGAAACCTTCTGGTAAAACTAAGAAACTGTCAAGGTCAAAACTTGCATAATGAATGTCAGTAGCTTCAAAAGAAAATGCTAAAACCAAAAGTGGCATGTTCTTTCAAAGAAACATACATCATTAGCATTCTTGATGATGCAGATGATGATGTTGAGTGGAAAAGTGTTAGCTCAACAGCCCTGAGCTAACAACTGATTCAGAAGACTATAACTATGAAGAGTGTTTGATTCTGTTTCGATTTTTCCTTGCTGTGTACCAAAAAAGGATATATGATTGAAGAAAACTGATGTTTAAATAAGTCTAAAAGAGCTCTCCCAGTATATATACAATAAAAATTCCACCTGGATAAAAAAGCATTTTGTCATAGCTTAGTAAGCAGTTTTTATTTTATCTTAGTGGCACATTAAATACGGTTCTTCCTACTTCAACAGCATCTTAAATTGATGAAACATGGATTTACATTTTGAACCCAGTTTCCTCACTTGTGAGACGTCCAGGCCACAAAATATGATAAAACCAGGACCATCATTCACATTTCCTAATTCTTGGCCTATTCCATCCCCCTACAATATCAATGTTGGTGCTAAACCATCAAATCTTTAGAGGCAGACATTGTCTGTCATTAAATTTCAGCACAGTGGCTAGCATGTAATGTCATTCAACTAGTATTTGTTGAATACTAGTTGAAAGGGTAACAGTATGGGTATCTAAGCACTCAAAGCAAAATGATTTTAGCTTTATAAGAAGTAACGGCCAGTAAGTACCAAACTCAACTGCAGAAAAAGGTGACCATCTCCTTTCTTCCACAACAAATAGAATGTGACCAAAATCTAGGTCTAGAGGCAGTGACTCGTCCTCCATGAGTACATCACTGTTTAATGCCATTTGTATAGTAAGAATAAAGAAGAAAAGATTTAGATCCATCTAAATTTCATTAGCATAGCAAAATGAAAGGAACCTTATTTGTGAAGGATTATTTTCTTTCCATGTGGAAGAACACATTTTTCTTTAATTTGTGCCTGGAATGGCTAAAGATGACAGGATGTACAGCCCCAACTCTAGATAAATTCAAACCAGTACCCGAGACACTCTCTGAGCCTTTCAAGAGGCTCATCAGTGATGGAAATTTGTCACTTTTGCCTAAGGCAATGTCATTGCTCAAGAGAAAGTAAAGCACAAGTGTTAGGTCAAGGGAGTTGTAGACACAGAACACCCACGGGCATAAGAGGTTTCTTCAAAGAAAAGTGTAAGGAGAACTAGGAGTGAAAGTATGCAAATTGCCTTGAAAATGAGATGAGAAAGTCTTTGAGAACTATGCGAAGCCCTTGATAAACCCAGAGCCCTGATGCCTCATTTACATGCCAATTAATTAGAGAACCTTCTAAAGAAGACAGATAGAAATGTTGGTTTGAAAACAAAAATTGTAGCAGTACTTGGGCCCTTAATTGTAAATTATCAATAAATTTTCTGATCGACCCATATTATACCTATGATATTTCAGCTCAGTTTGGAGAAAAAATTCCTTTCATGGGCAAAGAGAAAACAGAAGTCATCAGTTGACCATCAAGAATAAACCAGAATACCTAACTCAAAAGCATGGTCAGGGCCTGACCTCCCACAGAAAATAGTCACCTAGCCATTCACTTAATCAAATTTGAGAACTGTCTTATCCTCCAGTCCTGGAGTAGGGGTGGGGGGTAATTTTTAATCCTTTTATTATACCTCCTTTCCCAAATGGCTAAGTCATCATTCCGGTGGGGGTAAGAGACTGGCGAAGGCTGGGGAAGAGAGGAACAACAGTTCACTGATCTACAGTAAGAAAATGACCTAAGAGAAACTCCACACTCAGCAGCAACAGGGGCTAAGCCCAAGTATCAGACTTCAAGTCCCAAACTGCTACTCTACTGCCTTTTGATTAAGGAGAGCCCTGGGCAGAGAATGTTCCAGGATAAAGAGTCCTGCAGCAAATCAGCCACTTTCATTGGTGTGAACCACTGGACAAAGTTGTCAGAAAGTCTAATCCCTCTCCCGGCTCTGTCTTCAACTAAATATGCAACCTGGGAATATGCAGGTCATGTCTTTGTGTCTCAGTTTCTCCATATTTAAAATGAAGTCATGTGAGATTACAAGACCTTACAGATCCATCATGCTACCGTCACTCCAGCTCTCAAAGAGTTCTATTTTAGCCAATAGAAAGAAATACAACTACAAAGCAGAAGCACAAGTTAGGAACCGACAAGTTCCAAAAGGGAGGAATAAATAAATTCTGCATGTATTCAGGGGAAGAAGAAATATTTCAGGAAAGAAGTTCACATGGAGTTTATGGCCTGAGTATCATTTTGGATGAGTAGGATCTGGACTTTCAGAGAAATAGGAGAAACTATTTTAGGCAGAAGGTAGTGCAAAAGAAATTATGAAAACAGGAATGATTTCTGTGACATATAGGAAAAAAAGGACAGGATAAAAAGAGAGAAGGAGAAAACTAAGATATATGAATTTTCTCCTGTATAATAGACTGTGTTAAGAACTTTATATATGTTAACTCACTGAATCTATAGAGCCATAAGAAGTAGTTATTATTAAGCATACTTTATAAATGTAGAAATTAAGGGTCAGAAAAATTAATAATATGGCTGAAGTCTCATAGTGAGTAAACAATTATTAGAGTAATGACATGGATTTGTGTCTGTCAGGCTCCAACCTTCAGGGATAAGCTGGGAGCCGAGCAGAATCCTAACGAATACCCAGGAGTGGCATGATTTGAGAGAGATAGGAATTGGCCATGTGGGTAAGATCTCAATGTTGGAGATGCAGCCACTTCACTGGAGAAGGGCCACACCTGCCTTGCATGACACGCATCTCTGCAAGCAACACAAGTCCCCAGGGCATCCTGTCACATTAGGGGATGGGTATGTGGAATGAATGGGAAGATCTCAATGTGGAAAGAATTCATTTTTGCATACAGGCTGTGCTTACTCACATGTCAAAGGTGCTTGTATTTTTCACCTCACTTCTTTCTGACTCTCTGGGGAGGCAGTTCAGGAGCTATCAGAATCCCTTGATGGAGGGGAGCCTTGATGAGTGGCCATGGCCACTTCCTTAGTTACTGACAAGCTGGGCACTCTCCAGTTTCCTCTCTTCTCCCTCCCTTCCACTCTCTCTCAGATCATCCTTTCATGAGTGTTCACGCCTTCTAATTTGTATAGCACTTAGATTACATAGGATTTCATGAAATGAAGTCATCCCAGCAATTTATCCCCACTTTGCATGTGAGAAAACTGAAGTTCAGAGAGGCTAAGCATTTAGTAATAGTAAATGGCATAGAAAACACAATTAGGAGCTGTGGATGAAATGTGGATGGTTTGTTCAGGAGCTTGAAAGGCAGGGTGATGTGGAGTCACAGGTATATTAGTCCATTCTCACATTGCTATAAAGAACTTCCTGAGACTGGGTAGTTTATAGATAAAAGAGGTTTAATTGACTCACAGTTCTGCAGGCTGTACAGGAGGCATGGCTGAGGAGGCCTCGGGAAACTTACAATCATGGTGGAAGGCAAAGGGGAAGCAAGCATGTCTTCAAATGGCTACAGGAGAGAGAGTTCACATGGCTACAGGAGACAGAGAGTGATAGGAGAAGTGCTACACAACCAATCATATCGCATGAGAACTCACTCACTATCACAAGAACAGCAAGGGGGAAATCCACCCCCATGACCCAATCACCTCCCACCAGGCCCCTCCTCCAACACTGAAGATCATAATTCAACATGAGATTTAGGTGAGGACACACAGTCAAACTATATCAACAGGTAAAGCTAAAATTCTTGGTTCGCAGCTCTCTTCTAATATTCGAACACTGTCCTATATAAGAAGGAGTAGATTTGCTTACCCCTCTATCTCTATGGAGGCACAGGAAGCAATGACTTAGATAAGAGGGAGGGAGATTTCAACTCAATGTAAGGAAGAATTTTTTTAATGTTTTCTGCTTATAGAGGAAATACATGATGATTCAAAATGCAATTTTAAAACAAAGAGAAATAATAATTATTCATAATCCTATAACCTACAGGGAACCATTCAAAATATTTTAGCATATTTCTTTCCAGCAATTTTCAATGAGTATGTATGAGTAAATAATTGAGATGATCCTGTATATAAAATTTTGCATGCTATTTTTTCACTCAACATTATATCATCTTATAAGCATTTTTTTAGCTCATTAAAAGCTCTTCATAAACATAATTTAATGACTGCATAATTTTCAATTGTATGGCTGTATCACAATTTATTTAACCAATCCCCTATTTTTGGACATTTATGTTGTGCATAATCTTTGGCTATTATGAAATAATGCTTCAGTGAAAATCTCTTGTGTATAAATCTTATTCCACCAGTTCTAGAATTTTATAGGCTAGATTCCTAGGAGTTGACTTACTTAATAAAAAGTGTGATTATCTTTAAGACACTGATACATATTGCCATTTTCCCTCCATAAAATTTACACTAATTAACCTCCGCATCTTCACTTTTTTTCTCTTATTCAAGACTTAGCACACTTCTGTTTTTATTTTACTTCTTCATTGACTGTTCCTTCTCCATCTTTTTGTTTGCCTTTTCTCTTCTCATTGGCTTCTGACTACTGGCAATCACAGGACTCTCTTTCTGAGCCTCCCTTCTTTCCACTTTCAAGGTATTTTCTCTATGTGAATTGAAACAGTCCCTTGATTTTGAAAATTATATAGAACTCCCAAACTTACATCTTCATCTCCATCACTGACTTTTCACTGCAAATTAAACCTACTATAACCAATTCTTACTTGACATCTACAATTGGATGTCTACCAGATATCTCAAACATAACATGGCCAAACTCTTGATTTTCCTCCAAAACCACCCCAGTCAGCTTCTCTGTAAGCCTTTTCCATCTCAGTAAATGGAAAGCCCATCCACCCAACTGTTCATGATGAGAGTTATCCTTGACTCTTCTCTTCCCTGTACTCACCAAATCTAATCCACCAGCAAGCCCTATCAACCTCTTCTCCAAAAATTATCCTAATTATCCTAATAGGATTCTCTCCTATCCCATCTCTTCCAACCTAATCCAAAATACTATATTCTCTTGCCCTCTCACAGATGTAACTTCCTAGAAGAAGTTCTAATTTTCAATCTTGCTATGCCTACAATTCCTTGTCCACTTAATTGCCATCTTTTTTCTTGCATGCATCCATTCAACAAATATTTTTGAGCATCTACTACATATTAGGTACTCTTCTAGGCATTGGGAGTATATCAGGAAACAAAATAAAGTGTCAGTTCTCAAGTAATTTACATTCTAGTTGGAGAAGACAGACAATACACAAATAAAATATAGAATATAAAAAGGAAAGCTGCAGGGGGAGATCAAATTACTATTTCATTTTTGGTTATCAGGGAAGGTCTTTCTAATGAGGAGATATTTTAGCAGAGATGTGAGGGAAGTGAGGGAATGCTCCATAAACTTATCTTGGGAAAGTATATTACAGGTAGAATATACACCAAGTGATGTGTATACCAGGTACAAAGGCAGGAGCACGTTTGGAATGTTCAAGGGGTCATCCATATTGAATGTCCTTGGGTTGATATGGGATTGTTCAGCTGAGCCAAAGATAAACTGCACGACATCTACAGAATAAGTAAGGAACAGGCTTTATTAGGGAATCTTACAAGTGAGGAGTCCACAGGATTGGAAACGGCATACAATTTCCTAATCTCTCTTCATCTCATGATGAGGCACGCTGGGGTTTGACACACAACGGGCTTGTCCTCCCATGGAGTGACTCAATTCCCTGGGAAGGTGAGGGTGACCTTCTCAGTGGGAAATAAGTGCTGCTTGGAGGCAAGCAGGTGGGATTTGAGGTGTAAGATGTTTGCTAAAGTTATTTGGGGATCTTGGGGTCCATGAGTATTTGTAGCCCCTCCTGTCGGGGAAAGAAGCCAACAGACCCAAGGAAAGCTAAGTTTTGGGGAAGCCCCGTCTGCCAGATCAGTGTCATTCCAAACAATTCATTGTGTAGGTCACCCCAAGTGAGCTTCCAGGGCCACCTTTGAACATTCTTGCTTATCAAACCATAGCAGGGAACAAGGAGGCCATTGTTTTGGGAGCAAGAAGGGTGAGGGGGGAGAGTAGTAGATGACAACCAAATGGCAATGGCAGGGGAATATCCTGTCCTGCTTGTAGGCCATTGTAAAGATCTGCTCACATATGCTACCTGTACTCTTGTCACGAGAGATAACAAGTGCACGCTCTTTTCTAAGGCTTCTAGTGAATGCCTTCAATTTCTCTTAAATTATCCATTTTTTTCTCTGCACTAGATCATGTAACATGTCATTATTTTCCAACTTTGAAAATCCTTCCTTTCTCCAGATCCCATGTCTCCATCCTGCTCCATGCCCTGGGAGTTTTATGGATGGCAACTCTCACTGTGCCCTGCTTTCCGGTTTTCCGGTTAAATTTACCCATGGAGATAGGGTTGCCAGATTCAACAATGGCAACACAGTTTGAAATTTCAGACAAATGAGTCATTTGTTTTTTAGTATAAGTATATCCAAATATTGCACTAATATTTAAAAATTTCTTTATTTCTCTGAAATTCAAATTTAACTGGGTGTTCTATATTTTATCTGGTAACCCTACATGAAAGTCACGGAGATTGTAGGGCATGGCAAGTAAGGACTGAGAAGATTTATCTTCTACCACTCTATCCCTGAAGGACTGCAGTGTAATAGCTTCTGGGATCCTCTACCTAGGGCCCCAGCTCCTGTCGGGGACCCCCTCTCCCAGGGCCACAGCTCTCAATTTTTCTGCCCCTTCTGGCCTGGGAGTGACAAAACCTTCTTGCTCTATCTAGTCCCTGCATGCATTACCATCCCTGTGGTTCCATGAACTCTGTCCACCCCACTGCAAATAGTCTCCCCTCATTAATCTTTCTTTGATTACCCACTTTTAGTATGCTGACTGTTTTCTGCTAGGACACTCAGACATACAGCACTTATTTATTCTCAGCCACTTGAAGTTTCTTCCTGAGGGCCTGGGATGGTGTCTGATTTATTTCCTGAGCCTGGCACTAGTACCCACTCCATAAGTATTTATTGACTGACCAGTTGATTGGCTACAATCCATTCATTCATAAATGTTTATTGAGCCACTGATTCTCAAAGTGTAACCCTTGGACCTTGGATAATTTAAGAAGCATCAGCCGGGAGCTTAATAGAAATACAAATTCTCAGGCCACACTGGGCCTATTGAATCCGAGACCCTGGGGATGAGGCCCAACCATCTGTGGTTTAACAAGACTTCCAGGTGATTCTGATTGCTGCTAAAGTGGAAAACTATTAGGCTAGGGAATGGGAACATATCAGTGCACAAAAACAACGAGGTCCCCATACTCAGGGTAATTACCAATAGAGCAGACACATCTGCACACATTCGTCTTAACGAGTGACATAGCTGACTGTAAGAGACAACATCTGAATACAATCTACTCCCTTATTCTTGTGAATGGATGCCCCACGTGATTCATAGTCTGGGCATGTCCTCTGCAGGAAATCCTTGGAAACTTCCAGCAGGCCCTTTTAGAACCTGACCTGAACAAAAACTGAGCTTTGCCAGTTTAGAAAAGCTGAATTCTCTACCCCAAATTAAAGTTTGTCCTAGGCAAGATGGGTACTTGAGATTTTCACAGAAAATACAAGAAAGCCTGAAGAATTGTCCTATAATGTGCACTACTTTCAAATATTCTACCTGGTATTAAAAAAAAAAACCTGAATCAACATAAACCCTATTTATAATTATACAAGTCTAAAGACCTAACTCCATTTGACATGTAAACACAAAGCATATTTTGCATCATTTATTATACGTTATATTTCTGGTAATGCAAACATTATGCAAATGGAGGTACCTTGTACTTTGTTTTGTTCTCAGCTCAAGAGTTATTCATCATTTCCAAAAATCATATCACCAGTGGATGTTTGAGTTGACAACACAACACATCTGTATAGTCACATTTGCAGCTGTCATATTCACCATGATTCTACAAGTAGTGAGAAACATCTGACTACATTATGTCTTCCAGCACTGCATATCCCAAGCTTTAATGTGCACTCTGAGTCTCTTGGGAATGTTGTTACAACACAGATTCTCATTGAGTAAGTCCAGGCTGAGGCCTGAGGTTCTGCTTTCCTAACATGTTTCCAGCAGGTGTTGATGCTGATCCCTGAACCACAGTTTGAGTAATGAGGTTCTAGTGTGATCATGCCCCACCATTTGCAGATTGAAATATATATTATTTTATCATGAACTCCTTTCATTTCTTTTATATTATAATTTGGATATTATATCAATTTTGTGAGGTTAAACATTTAGTTAAGTTTAATTCTTTATGGATTTTACTTAATAATAAAGAGAACAATATAAAAATTTAATATTAAAAAAGGAGTACAAATCAGATAGAGATGAAAACTATTGGCTAACCTCTCCAAGGTCATCTCGAGTTGTCACACCTTTCTGGATGGAACCAATATACATATTACATGTATTGATTGATGTCTCATGTCTCCCTAAAATATATAAAACAAAGCTGTGTCCCTACCACTTTGGGCACAAGTCATCAGGACCTCCTGAGGCTGTGTCACAGGCGTGCATTCTCTCGCATGTTAACCACATGAGTGATTTAGGGATGAGAAGGCAAAAACAATCTCTGCGTGGAAATTGTCCTGGAAGAACAGGTTTAGGAACAGGCATGTCCCAGTTTAGAACAGCAAATCTCACAGAGCGCTTTGCTGGGAATTTTGGGGAAAGATACTTCCTCTGTCTCCTGAGAGTGGGTCCAGGATTTATCCTTCTTCTTTTCTGTGGACATCGAGGAGTGAGGATCTAAGGTCTCAAACTGCAGAAGCCCTGTCACTAACAGCTAGCGGACAAAACTGGCACATGGCGTGGGAAGGGGAGAGACAAGAGAAGCACTGCCAATCGGAGCCATAGTCGCTGGATTAAGCCAGCCCTGGAGCTCACCTACTTGTGTTTGCCTGTGATACGTGTGTCAATAAATGTCCTTTTGTTTAAATCATTTGGAGGTGAAGTTTGTGTGTGAGTGGGGCATCAGAATAGAGTGTCAATTAGATGAAAATGGGTTTGAGAGACAGCAACATATCTTTTATTTCCATAGGATAGGCACTCACCTAAGGAGAGATGATCATTAGAGAATAGAAGAGGCTCAGACTCAAACCACAAACTTGAGACTGTGGATAGAGAATAAAAGGGAAAGAGTGGCCTACAATGGGCAAGAGAACCATCGGACTTCTGCCACTGACAGCAGGAAAAACGAATATAAGCCTGAGTTTGTCTTCCTAAGCTCTTGCCAACATAGTGCAATGTTTAGTTTTATTTTTCTCCACTACTGCTTATAACATCTTCCCCAGACTCTAAACTTGCCAAAGCTCTCATGCAAATGGGAATTGTTTTCATGTAAAAATCAATTAATATGCATGAAATGGATTATTTTAGTGTTTGAATTGTATCCCCCCAAAACACATTTTAGAATTCCACGAAGCAGTGTGAATACAAATTTCTCTTTCTTTCTCTCACATGGGGAAAGTCCCTGCTTTAAAAAAAAATGCCTGTAGTACACATTCAGAATTCACTAAATATTGTGCAGGACAGCTGCTGCTTTTCAGTCTACAAGTATAAAAAAGTGATTGACCCACATGAGCTTGTGGGCCAGGACCCTGAACAGTGGAGCCGTGGTGAGCCTGAAAACTTCTCTCCACTTCTCCAGGAGAATAAGAAGAATATGAAAGCAGGGAGGATGGTGGACAGGGAGGGTAGGAGCAACAATCTGCGATGCTAGAGACAAGCACAAGGCAAGGCCTTGAGAGACATTGATCTGGCCCATTCTGAGCAGAAATGTCCTATATAACATTTGTCCATATTACAAAACCACCTCCACAAACGTAGTTTAGTTTACTCTTGACAGGAGGCTGCTTCCCCTATGCTTATTATTGCCCTTTATCTGGAATAGCATCCCCCTTACGCCCTGGCATTTTCTCTGGGAGCCCCACTAAGTCCTGAGTGACTAAACGGTGGCACCCTCCACCACACTGGATGGTGGAGATTAGCTCCTTTCTAGAATATAGAATAGAGAATAGTTCCTTTCTAGAATCCCTACTTGCTCCAGATACACACCATGAACCCTCAACATTCCATTGCAAAAGTGTTATATACTTCGTATAGTGTCCCATTCAACCAAATGGATTTTCTGACAAGCCCACTGTGTACACACGCACGCACACACGCACGCACACACACACATACACATGCACACACACACAGCATCTCGTATTTCCCTTGAAAGTGCAGCAATTTATTCTAGGAAGGATCTAATCTGCACATCAAATACCTCACTAGAATTGCTCCCATGTGGACCTCTTGCATTATTTTTTTCTCCAAGCAGTAGTTGCACACTTGTGGTCTTCTAGCTGAATTTCGTTGGCAGTCGTGTTTTATTTGTCCCATAAATTGTTTTTTAATGGATATAATTTTAAAATTACAACATTTCAATGTAAAAATCTGGACTGCTTCTTTCTCTTGGAAACTCAAAAGGCCTGCTGACACTGGGCTTCATTCACACATGCCCACCATTGGACATGTTTTGTTGTTTGCCACAGTCCTCACCATTCCCTACAGTCTCCATGACCTAAAGTTAACATAGCATATGCCACTTAGCATCACGTTTGTACTGTTTCTTTTCTTTTTGTAGATAAATATTTCTCTGTACCCAGGGAAAAATGATAAGCAATACACCACATGTTTAAAGAATAATGAGCTTGGGCTTCTTTGTGAGAGTGAAAATTATTCCTGTGTGCTCTAAAGGAAATGCAGTGCCACTTTACTTATTTTTTTTAAGTTACCACAGCTCCTATTTGAATTTGCAATCCTTATATATGAGGCACTGACTTTCACCCCTATATCTCCATATTACAAAAGGAGCTATAAAATCCCACAAAATAAAACATTTTATTAGCTTCAAAATTAAATATGGTGTTCAACCTGTTTACAAAGAAGGGGTAGAAACAAGGTTATGGAGTGGGGAAATAAACAGTCATATTCAAGATTATCCCTCCTGTAGCTCAGAACCAAGGCTTTCTTTCTGAGAACACGTAATATGTTCTCATTTCACAACTGCATATCCAAATATACTGGTAATTAGAATTCTGAGAATAAAAATATGTAAATCTACTTGCTCTTATGGAGAAAAAAATCTAACACTAAAAAATAATCTAATTGAATGGGAATGGATTTCTTTCTAAAACAATAAATCTAATTCTTTGTCTATATTTAAAGTAATACCAAATTTCAAAATAGCCCTGAAATTTAACAAAAAAATGGTAAACATATTTGTCTTTAATTTTTTGCACAAAAAGATAAACATATTTGTCTTTAATTTTTTGCAATGTACAGACTTCAGTTTAAAAGAGAAAAAGTAATTATGTTTCATTAGGAATTTTAGCAGCAATTCTTCCATTCAAAACTTATGCATTTGGATTAAGATTATGGAGAACACATCACTTCTTAATGGTGGAATGTGACAGTTATTTCTCTAAAAGAATGATCTCATTCAGGCGCATGCTTTCCATTAAATATTTGTTTGTACATTGGCTTTATATTGTTCCTTTCAGTCTCCTTAAATCTTTTTTAGGAGAAGGAAGGGTATTGATTATATGAAAGTATATATTGCATCTTCTTTCTAAATGCGGAAGGAAGGAAGCTAAGATTTGAGTTTCCATGAAACGAAGGAAATTCTGTCACATATTCTCATTTAGATAATTTAACTTTTTAAACTCATTTATCAACCATGTTGTAGGGTAAACGCACCTCCTAGCAATACCTTAAGCATACCCTGAGAATGACCCTGTGTGGCAGACACACCTGAATGCGTGTTCTCAGCTACGGAATCCAGGAGTGGCCAACCTGGAGATCTGTTCCTCGCCTATGAGGAACGTCTGAGCCCCCCAACATCTGTCCCATCCCATCCCAAGGAACACAGGCCATACAGGGGCTCGAGGCCCCGAGTTTGACTTGAATGAAGGATGCCAGGTGGAGGTCGTTATGGGGAGGGTACTGAGTGAAAACATGCTGTATAAACTGCATGCCTGTTGCAAGCCACTGCAGTTCTCCTGCCTAGCCCACCGCTGCTGGGCAGTATTGTTATCCTGCCCAGCCCCTGCCACTGGACTTTCTCCCCTGTATGTAAGCCCCCAATAAAACCCCAGGTCTCATTTGCTGGCTCTGGATCTCTTCTTCAGCCTCTTAAACCTGGTGACATTCTGAGTGCAGCCAATCAGGGTTTGACACGACACAGGTGAAATACATATTATTCAGGCTTTTTTCTATGACAAACTTTGCCCTTTAACACCATTAACATTTAGAGGAGCTGAGATTCAATTCCAGGGTCATGTAGATTTCAAACTATCTAATTTCCACACCATTAAAATAAGATGTTTAAAGAGAAAATGTGAATCTTGCCTTCCAATACAATTAATTTGGACATGAAAAATAATGACAAAGAAATGGAGATGCAGATTGAAGCATATATTGATGAAGAAGCAAAAGATTTGGTCCATAATTATTTAAGTACCAATAAATCTGTTATTTAAAATGTTTACTCTTTAATTTGTACTTGGATCTTAAAATGGGAAGTTTCTCAAGGAACCCAGCCTGATATGGGATCCCAACAGGGGGAATTTCAGGAACCTGATAGTAGAAATAGTTTGAAAACAATAACCAGATGCTGGCATGGCCCTGGAAGGAGGCCGCAAGGTACTGACGAGGGACCTCCCCCTCCTCAAAAGGAGAGTCAGCTAGGAGGGCAGGATTCTCTTGAAAAACGGGTCACAGGGATCATCTCTCTTTATCTTTGTGAAGCAGAATTCTCTACCTTCCCTGCACTTTGAAATCACCTGAGAAACTTTAAAAAAATATTGAGGCCCTGCTCCAAGAAATTCTGATTAATTGGGCTGAAGCGTGGTTTGGGTAAAACAAGTTTTAAAAGCTCCCTTGTTGATTCTAATGTGCAGCCAGAATTGAGACCTGCTATTAGGAAGGAAGAACACCCCCTCTACCTATATGATCCTTCTTAGCTGGAAAAGCCTTTGTCCTGGCTGGGAAAGGCAGCTGAAAGTAGACCACACTGAAGAACTTTGTTTCCCAGCTTCACGTCAAAATTCAGAAAACCTGAGAGCTGTTAATAATGATTCTCAGCCTGCTATGGGCATCTATCTCTCCTCTGGGGAATCCCAGTGATCTCATTACTCAATACCTTCTCATCCTGGGTGCAGAGCCTTGCGTCTCAAACTGTGACCCTAGGTCAGCAACATAGGCACCATCTGGGAGCAGGTTAGAGACACAGTCTCAGGTTCCACCCCAGACTTATTGATTGAGAACCTGCATTTCAAGAAGATCCCACATGATTCCAATGCACATTAAAACTTGCAAAGCCTTGTTGTAACAGAACATGTATTCTTTCTTTTTTTATTTGTAAATTATTTAAGGTTGGCAATAAAATCTGCATGCATTAACACAACGCATTAGGAATAAATACGTAAAAATCAAGACAAGAAAAACGCAAATTAGAATGGGGTATTAAGAAAAGAGATAAAAAGTAGTACATAGATAATTGAATCATAAGAAACTTCTGAGTTAAATTATTAAGCACAAATTTGAAACCAAGTTTCCTACACTCCAAAGAGGAAAACAGAGATAGTTCATCTTGCTCAAGGAGAGAGGCAATCATTTATCACGGGGCTTCTTGAAGGGTACTACATGATCTAGTAGAAAATATCTTTAATACACATGCAAGTCAAAGAGATTCTGCACATGCCATTTCCTGAGTGTCTTCACACAGACATGTTACCTAACACCACCAATTCTTAGTTTCATGATGTCTAAGATAGGAATAACACTTTCAATCCGACAAGGTTGTTTTAAGGACCAAATACAGACTGTAGATGCTATATCCCAATTCCTCAGCTTGTGGTCAGAGTAAGTTCACACCTGGTTTTTATTTAAATGAAGTATCTTAGGCCGGGTGCGGTGGCTCATGCCTGTAATCCCAGCACTTTGGGAGGCTGAGGCGGGCGGATCACGAGGTCAGGAGATCGAGACCTTCCTGGCTAACACAGTGAAACCCTGTCTCTACTAAAAATACAAAAAATTAGCCGGGCGTGGTAGTGGACGCCTGTAGTCCCAGCTACTCGGGAGGCTGAGGCAGAAGAAATGCGTGAACCCAGGAGGTGGAGCTTGCAGTGAGCTGAGATTGCACCACTGCACTCCAGCCTGGGTGACAGAGCGAGACTCCATCTCAAAAAAAAAAAAAGAAAAATGTCTTAAAGCATAAGCTCAACATATAAATCACAGCTTTCTAATTTTCAAGAATAAAGGTGTGGGTCTTGCCCTATCAAATATCAAATCTTGCCATAAACCTATGATAATTAAAACAATACTATATTGGTTCAGCAATAAACACATAGATTAATGAAATATTAGTCATAAAGCACATCAATACCTGAAATAGAAAACAGGAGGCCTTACAAAACAGTAAAGAAAAAGATATTTTATCCCAGAATGATACTGTGACATGCAGAAATACCACAGCACACATTATACAAAAATAAACTCTAATTTAATTTAAAAATTAAATTAAAAAATGTGAAAACTGGAAACAAACCAATCATCCTTTAATAGAAAAATGGATGAAGTAAAATATGTAAATAGTATACAAAGTGTTATATGTATAGACACATATATAGTATATAGAGAGAGGGAGAGAGAGAGATTAAAACAAATGAACTAGATCTAATTCTATTGTATCAAATGAATAAACTTCAAAAGTTAATGTTGAGTGAAATTGAAGAAGGACACATAAAATATAATATTGATATATATTTCAAACACATCAATATACCATTTATGAACACACACGGGCAGTAAGTGTATAAAAGCACAGATAAGAAGGTTCACACCACCTATAGAAGAGTAGAAAGAGGAAGAAGGGAAGAAGAGAAGGCAGTGAAAATGGATTACAAATACTTTAGCTCTATGAGCAATTGTATTGTTTTTCATCTGAGGAAATATGACAAAACTTTAGCGTTTATTGAATCTGGGCATCCGATACTGTGATATTATGATATATATTATTGGTTTTCATCCACGGCACCTGGCTTATAACTCCCACAGCCCTGGTTATTTTTTAAGTGACTACAGCAATAAGCATATCTTTCGTTAAGGTATTTGGCTTTTTGGCTTTGGTTCCTGGAGCAGCTTCAGAGCCATAAAGGTGAAAGAGTCTTTTGTTAAAACGTTGGGTGCTTTACTCCATAGGAGCAGGCCTCAGAAAACAGTCTCTCTCTCTGAACTTTTCCTGCCCTTCTTTTACCTACTTCTTTTTCTTTTTCTTCCTGAGGCAGGAATCTTCCCTCACTCTTCTTTCTTAGACCATAAAGAAAATCTCTTACCTACCTTCCCTGACTGTAGGTCATAAGACCCTATTTCAGAAGAGGTCCTGCCCCATATCCAGGAGGAAGAAATGCCACACAGAGAGGTCAAGAAGAATCTGGACAGAGAGGCCCTGCTGGGCTCCCCACTGTGTTAGTGTTGGATGGTACCCTTTGTGTCCAGTCACATCTCCACATGGTTGTCCATGCCTCCATCATGCCTGTCCAATGAAGTCTCTGTAAAAGGCCCAAGAGGACGGGATAGGATGAGCTTCCAGATGGCTTAGCACATGGAGATGTGGAAGGTGGCACACCAGGGAGAGCTAGGAGCTCCACGCCCCTCCATGTGCTTTCTCGTATGCATCATCTCTTCATCTATCCCCTTTGTAATATCTTTTTTGATAAATGGATGAATGTGTTATTTTGAAGTTCTGTGAACCACTCTAGCAAATCAGTCAAACCCAAACAGGGGGTTATGGGATCCCCCAGTTTATAGGCACTCAATTAGAAGCACAGATAAAACAACTTGGGGTTTGAGATTGGCATTGGAAGTGGGGTGCAGTCTTGTGGGACTGAGCCTCAATTTAGGGGACCTGACATTGTCTCCAGGTAGGTCATGTCAGAAAGGAACCTAATTGGAGCACAGGAGCTGGTGTCTGCTGCAGAAATGATTGCTTGCTTGGTGTGTGGGGGAAACTTTTACTTTGTGGTGTGGGGGCAGAAGAAAAACAGTGTGTTTTTCCTACATATATGTAATAATTTATCATATAATTATATAATATTTATATATTATTTACTACTTATATTATAAATAATATAATTCTAGGTAATCATTTATTATTTACATATATTATTTATATAGTTTATATTATATAATATTTATATATTATTTCTGCATATATAAACTACTGATTATTTTATTATCTTTTGTATATTTGAAATGGTTCTTTAATAGATAAAAATGTTCTCCACTTCTACACTGCTGGTGGGAATGTAAACTAGTACAGCCACTATGGAAAACAGTGTGGAGATTCATTAAAGAACTTAAAGTAGAACTACCATTTGATCCAGCAATCCCATTACTGGGCATCTACCCAGAGGAAACAAAGTCATTATACGAAAAATATACTTGAACATGCATGTTTATAGCAGCAAAATTTGCAATTGCAAAAACGGGGAACCAACCCAAATGTCCATCAGTCAATGAGTGGATAAAGAAACTGTGGTATTCTACTCAGCCATAAAAAGGAATGAATTAATGGCATTTGCAGCGACCTGGATGAGATTGGAGACTATTATTCTAAGTGAAGTAACTCAAGAACTGAAAACCAAACATTGTATGTTCTCTCATAAGTGGGAGCTAAGCTATGAAGATGCAAAGGCATAAGAATGACACAATGGACTTTGGAGACTCAGGGGGAAATAGTGGGAAGGGGGTGAGAGATAAAGGACTACAAATAGGGTGCAGTGTATACTGTTCAGGTAATAGGTGCACCAAAGTCTCACAAATCACCACTAAAGATCTTACTCATGTAACCAAACACCACCTGTTCGCCAATAACCTATGGAAATAAAAAATTAAAAAGCAAAACAAAAACAACAGCCATGGGAACAACAACAACAAAAAAAATGTTCTCCTCTATAGATCTCATATTCCTGTGACAAGTCCACAAGCTTTGGGGTCTTACTCTTTCCAGGAGGTCTGATTAAATCCCTGCAAAGACAGGAAGCAGCGAGCACGCTTCTTTCTCTGGGGAACTCCATGTGACAGTTGTCATGGTTGCAGCCACGTGTTGTCCCTGACAGTCTATTGGGCCAATTTGGTGTAGTCCACTTTAGAGTCATGCAACAGAGCCTGAAACTCAAGCTCTGCTTTACCCCAGGAGTCCACAGCTAGGCCACAGCCACTGCCACCGTCCTGTCACTCACAATCTGCATGCAGAGGGTGATGCAGAGGACGAACAGGTGCCAGGTCTCCAACCCAAGTTCCTGGCTGCCAGGCACAGCTCGGGCCATCTACTCACACACATACAGCTCCTCTCCCCAGCTCAGGTCCACATATTCCCAAGGTATGTTCTGGGGCGAGGGTGGGGCATGCTAGTCTGTCTGTCTGTCCATTATCTTAGTATGTGTCCATCTTTCTGACCTTTCTGCATCCCATCCCTCCCTGCATAACCAGAAACACTGTACCTCAAGCACGATGGAAGCCTCTGCTCCCCAGTGTCCTAGGCGCTATCTCAAGTCTTGCTTCCATTTTCTGTCCCACAAGAGGTGACATCTCCTCCAGGAAAAATCCCAGATGGTTATAGTTTGTTAAATGAGAAATCTCAATATTCTCCCAAACTAGAAGAATATACATTAGCCTAACAATTTTGAAAGCTGCCATTCTATATGGAGAAAGCTTTTTTTAGTAGATAAGAATACACGGAAGCATAGAATCTGATAGCAGACCACAGATTTGGTTTCACCCAGCAATATCTAGGTTTCAAGGTCCATTTTGGGGGCCCTCATCCTCTAGCCATCCTTCTCACCTTAATCTTTTCTCACCCGGAAGCTAAAGGCACTTTGGCATCTTAATTGAAGGAAGCTTTGGACTGGCCCACAGAGTTTGGTAACAAGCTCAAGAAGGTCTCTTCTAGTGGAAGCCTGGATGGAAGGCACTAAGCTTCTCTGGCCACAGCCCCCTGTCACTCAGTTCTTCCCTCTGTCTCAGTCAGGGACAGAGGAAAAGAATCAGGGAAAAGAAGCCCCTGATGTTGTCCCCAGAGATTGATGCAGTTCCTCAGTGAAGTGGAGGTTTCTGGAGCTTCTGCGCCCTGGAGCATTTGCCACCTTTTTTTTCTCTATTTATACTTTCCTACTTATCTTTTCTAAAGCATGTCCATACAGGGTAGTTTTATGATTGAGTCCCTGACCCTCCAGCCTCAGTCCAGACCCTTATGTGAGCAGACTTCTCTTTTCTTCAGCTGAGCCACCTGCTGCATTTCCTTGTCTTATTTGATGCTACTTCTTATTCACGGTTCATTTGCAAACAGACTCAGCCCTTGTTCTGACTTTAGTTCCTTCCTCTTCCAACTCAGGTTTCCTTCAATGACCTCCCACAGCTAACCTCTAGGAAATAATTTTTTAAAATTTGCTAACCACCATTTTACAAGGGAAAAAGACTATGTATACACAGTCATAAATGTATGTTTCTTATCACAGCAGTTTTCTTACTCACCTATGTATTTTAAATACGTCAAGTGCTGAACACGTAATAAGCCTGTCATTCCTTGTTAACTGGCTGGTATTGGAACCATCAATGTCAATAGCATGTATAAATATCAGTAATATGGTGGAATGTTAATGAGTCACATACAAATATGGGTAGTATTGTGATCATTTATACTTTGATAGGAAAACAGTATGTGTAAGAATATGGCATAGGCTCTTAATTGCAATTCAATCATTAGAAAGCTTTGGAACATCAAGTGATGTAAGTATATTCTAAAATGTAATTAGAATGTAGAAAATATTGTTAGTCTCAATGGTATTTAGGTTCCAGGAGACTGGAACTAAATTTGACATTAATTACAGCCATTTCCAAGTGACATGCTAAGTTTGAAAGCAAAGTTGATTTTCACAAATCAACTTACCTGAAAAAGTTGTTGTGTTCGTCTGAAGCATTTTGAATGTTTGGTTCCTCAAACCATTGGTAACACTATTTTGACATCACAACATAGCATTATGATTAAGCTTACCAGTTTTGGGTGCACATCTGGCTTTGACACTTTCTAGTTATGTGACCTTTGGTAAGTCTCTTAACCTTTGTGCTCCTCATTTCCTCATCTGGAAACTGGTGAAAGCAATAGATCTACCTCCCAGGGTTATTGGGAGGGCAGCTAGTACATGCAAAAGCACTTGGAATAGTGCTGGCAAACAGCACTCAATAAATCACCATAATCATCACCATCATTGTGATTTTCATTTCAAAGGAAGTTACTAAAACATCTCTATATGCAGCTTACCTTCACTATGCACTCTTAGGTACAAGGAGTGGGAATCCAAGCACTGGGAGAAGGGGACGGATAGGAGTAGGGAGGGGTCTCTCTGACCCTGGATTGTGGGCTGGTGTTCAGGGAAAAGCTCCAAACCTAGGGGGGACCTGGCAGGTAGGGCAGGGAAAGGAGGCCAGATCGCCCATCCAGAGGAGGAGCCGTGGCTAAGGGTTATTACACATGGAAGACTGCCACCTGGAAGGGACACAGGCTCCCAAGTGTCATTCCTGACATACTAGATACTGGCTTTACAGGTAGCAAGACCAATGCCAAGCCTGACTAGATGGTGGCCCTGAGGTTTTGCTCTATTTTCTGCCTTGGCTATGAAACTTAGCTAAGCTTTGTCCCAGAGATGGAGGCCCAGTTGTAAACAAAACTGTAAGATGATAGAAAATATCATGGATATAACTGTATGCCCTGGTCCCAAACAGACAGGGTGTGAATCTAGGCTTGCCACTTTCTAATAGGTAGCTTTTTAAATAGTTGTGAAGATTAAATGAGATAATCTGTTGAAAGTCCTTGACCTAATATCTGTCCTATGGAAGTGGTCATAAATGCTGGCTATTATTACCATTATTATTAAGATGGAATGATGATGATGACGATGATGATGATGATGATGATGATGATGATGAGATGACAATCATTATGATGAAAGAGAAGGACCAAAGGAAAGAAAACAGGAATGAGAGTGTTCCTAGTAATGGAAAAGGAGGTAAAGCTTTAATCAATTTTTTTAATCAAGTAAAATGAACCCCCAAAAGAAGTGATTATACTTAAATTGCAATGGGACACAGCTATTGGTTTTGCACAGCCATCTCTTCCAGACACAGGAGCCATATTTCTATATTGGTTTAGGGGGACCATTTCTTTCCACAACTGCTTAAAGACCTGCTTAGCCACAATAGGATGCAAGTCCACAACAGACTGTGCACTCAGGAAGCAGAATTTAAAACATAAGAAGCAAGGATTTAAATAACAGAGCTGACAGCTCAGTTACATTCCCACACCTTTGGCAGTGTGTGCAGATCTTTGACATTTCACCAAAGCTAAATGTTCCATCTCTAGAACCTGACTCGTTCTTTACTATTTTTACTGTGTTGCAGCTTAAAAAAAATTGCCAATTAAGTTAAACTAAACTGTCGCACAATCAGTTTCTATAATTACCAGCAATGGTTTATGATAGGTTCGAGCAAACAGAGGGTTTGATTTTTTTTTTTTTTTTGCCAGAGTTGTAGTTTCTTTTTGTAGAAACAATTATCATAGCAGTGCTTCCCAGCAAAGGGAAAACATAGCCTGAAGCCATTGCATATTTCATTTTCAGTCCAGCAGTTTTAGAGTTCTTGCTTTCCCTATTGACTATTCAATGGGAGGAAAAGACAGCTGAAGATTCTGGGTGTCTCACAAAGCAGGCATCAAGGCCACCAGAAGCTGGACAAAAAGATTGCTGCCCTGTCTGTTCCCAGCTTCTGAACATGCACATTTGTCCACAGGAAGTAAAGGCAGCATCGGGATCTCATGTCAGAACCAAATTAATGCACCCCCTCTCCAGCAACAGATGTCATGATGTGTAAGAATACAAATATAAAATGCATTAGGCATTAAAATACATTTATAAAAAAATACAAATATAAGGTTAGATTTACCAATATTGTCAATAAATGGCAATATGCCTACAATAACTTGTTGGTAGGGATCACAGGAATGTGTCTGGGTTTAAATCCCTGCTTTGTTGCCTACTGGTTGAACAAGTAACTTTACCTTGTCAAGTCTCAGTTTTCTCATTGTGTCAAATAGGATTACCAGAAGCATTTAGCTCTGAACTATTTTGAAGATTAGACAAGCTAACAATGGGTTTACTCATTTATTCAAAAAATATTTATCGAGCCATTACTATGTGTCATACACTGCTCTAGGTGCTGGGGACACCACAATGAACAAAACAATTAAAACAGTCCCTTAACTTATAGGGGCTTAGAGGACAGTTGTTTAGCAACATACTGGGCACATAATAGGGCTGTGATAAATGTTAGCTGTGACTTTTATATTCGTATTAATTTTTTGTTATATGTGGTTTTGGTTTTGTTATTGGCAGCTATTATGTTTTACACTCACAATGCTATGATATTTTATTATTTCCACTTCACACACGGGAAAACTGAAGATGAGAAAGCCTTTCACAAGGTCACATGGCTAGTTGTCAAAGAGTCAAGTTTCAAATCTAAGGTTATCAGACTTGAGTCCATGTTCTACCTAAGCTCAGGTCACAGTATTATTTCCAACGAGTCCAGGAGCCTAGGTCTCTCATCTGGGATCAGGCCATAGATCTCTCATTCTCTTTGCCTCTGGCTTGATCCTTGAATATATGGAAAATGGTATAATCTTAAATCTCCATTATGCACAGTAATGGATAGCTCAGTGTGATGGACATGATCTTTTACTTGGAGAAGAAATAAGAGCCATGGGTAGAAATGAAGAAAAGTTATGATTCACTTGATCATAAAAAATAACATTTTAGCTGGATGTGGTGGCTTACGCCTGTAATCCTAGCACTGTGGGAGGCTGAGGAGGGTGGATCACTTGAGATCAGGAATTTGAGACCAGCCTGGCCAACATGGTGAAACCCCGTCTCTATTAAAAATACAAAAATTAGCCGAGCATGGTGGCACACGCCTGTAATCCTAGCTCCTCGGGTGGCTAAGGTAGGAGAATTGCTTGAACCTGGGAGGTGGAGGTTGCAGTGAACCGAGACCACACCACTGCACTCCAGCCTTGGCAACAGAGTGAGACTCCGTCTCAAAAAAAAATTTTAATAATTAAAATGAGTAGACTGTGGTCTGGGCTGTGTTTTGCACTACCATAATATCTTCAGAAAATGCAAGGATATCTTATCTTCAGGAAATTCAAGGATAAGCTGAAGAAACATTGAATTAGACTGTTTTTCAGGGGATTTAAATACCCATAAGGGAATTTGGTCCAGATTTTCTGCTTCCCAAATCTAGTCAATCTTAAGAATCTCTCAAAGTGCTTGATAAAAGGACAGATTCTCTGGTCCCCCTCCCAGAATCTTAGTGTACCTGGAATATTTAATATTTAGCTCGGAGAGCTGTCTGAAGATTGGATAAGCTAATAATGCATTTGTACATTTATTTAACAAATATTTATTGAGCGGTTACTATGTGCCAGGTCCTGTCCTAGGAGCTGAGGTGACAACAATGAACAAGACAAAACAGTCCTTAATTTAAAGGAGTGTAGAGGAAACTTTTATAGCACAGTGCTGGCCACCTAAGTGTGTGATAAATGTTAGCTATGATCTGAATGCTCCTATTCTCCTATTCTTTTATTATTCAGGCTCCTAAGGCTGTGTTTTTAATGGCCATCCCTGGTCTTCTAACACAGACCATCCTTATGCTAAACTGAAGGGGCAGCTCTAATATATGACCATCTCAGGTCTCAGGAATGGCATTTTGCACAAACGCTCAACAAACATTCCTTGGCTGGTTGATTACTGAATATTCCACTAGTATTTATTCACCTGCATCACTGAGATGTAGAAAAGCCAATAGAATGTGGATTTTCATTACCCATCCGCAATCAACTGAGTCAGAATTTCTAGGTAATAGGTCTCCAGGAATACTTTTAACAGCCTTGCTCCCCCAGGTGGCTGTGATGCCGGGGACAAACTGATGTAGGCTAACCTGCCCTGACTTGGTTAGACCTGAGACTTTCCTGGAATTCAGGCTCAGGGGACTCTCTCCATCCGGGAGAACCTTGCTCTCAACTGGGTTGCCCATCAGGGACACTGGCCTGGAGACAAATTCTTATGCTTATTTTTCTCCCCTTCATTTCTGAAACTGCCATCCACGTGGAGACCAGGGGTAGGGTGGCAGTGGCTCATGCTGGGTTAGGCGCCTGAACTTAATTCACCTTGCTTTTTCTACCATCTTCTCTGCTGTGCTAAGCACCTATTTTAGAAGAATTTCCAAAAAGGTCTCCTAAATGCTCATTTTAAGGCGAGGAGAAAAGCTACAAGAAGTGCACCTTTTTTTTTTCTTGCTGAAATCAAAACCTGCATTTTCTTTTTCCCCCACTGATTAGAATCTCAGCATTCCACCAAGACAATCTCCAAAAAAGGAAAAGCAAATGAGCAGGGCTGTTTCTGAGGATATGAAATACTTTACAATTAAATAAGGTATGGCCAGGCTTGGGGCTGATCACTGGTGATGGGTAGGTTTCTGAGAGGCTGCAAATGAATTCAGCACGGGACAGTGTTCCAAATGGCTCCTACAAGCTTTCCTTTTATTATTTTTATTTGGTTATGTGCTGACTCTCATCCAGAATTGCACTTAATGCCCTAGTCTGAAGTTGTTGAAATGGCCCCCCATGGCACAGTGTGACAGTGAAAGGATATTGCCTTTGGAAGCTGCTAATGGTCCATGAAAAGGAAACAACAGCAAACAGGAAAGCCATGCTCCAAAATAATGTCAGATAAAAATATTCACGTCTTCACTTTCCTGTCCATTTACCAGGAGAAAGGCGTGATCCCAGGGGAGACGAGAGTCTCCAAAACAAGCAAATGTAGAAAAAATGCCAGCATCGAGGTTGAAAATATATCCACATTCACATATATATTTTTCTACAGTTCTTAATTAAAAGACAGAATTTACATTTGGAAACCTAACTGAGCTCCAGACTCTAAATGCAGAAGGGAAAGAGACTGAGAGTTGTACTGGCAAGAATGGTGGTCAGGTGTGGGCAGGGGCACTAATTTCTCTACCAGTCTCCATGGGCACTTATGATGTGCCAGGCCATGTGTTAGAAGCTGAGGGTATGAGTAAGATGGGTCTCTGCCCAGAAGGAGCCCACTCTTGGCAGGGGAGAGACACAATGCACGTATTATGGTAGCACAACAATTCAAAACAAAATGCTGGAGCTGCCCAGGAGCCCAGAAGCATTCCGGATTCAGAGAGACCCTAGCATCAGAGCTTGCACATTGCTAAGAAAAGGTCAAGCCAGGTGTTGGCGGGGAGGTGGGGAATCGTAAGAATGTCCCAGGCAGAGGGAAAGTCAGGTGCAGTGATACAGCATGGGAAAAGGGTTGATGGGCTTGGGGAACCCTGAGAAGGGCAGGGTGGAGGGAACAAGGTCTGCTCATGGGAAGAGGGGCTGGGCAAGGCCCAGGTTGCAGACCCAAGCAGGGGCGGGCAGCAGGGAGACTCAGAGAGGCCTGGTCAGATTCCAGTGACCAATAAACCCTTCACTAACTGACAAGGCCCAAGCATAATCTCCTCCTGGGACTTAGGATGTGTTTGGCTCTCAGTGTCTGGAGTGTCAGTATGAGAAGGCATCATACATTTTGCCTCGTGGCCTTCAGAACCTGGCCCGCATTATGCATGCCTCCCTCCCCTCCCACCTATACTCTGATAGGAAGAAGAGGAAACATTCCAGACAGAAGCAATCTCTTACTGCAAGAGAATAAGAAGTAATAAGAATTTTCATCATTTGAAATGCAGCCATGTGGCAATTTTATCCATCCAGAACAACTGACATACAGTAAATACTTAACATGTAGCAGATTCTGCTGTGTTTTTTGATGTCTTGTTATATTAAATCTCTTCAACCACACTATGAGGTAGGTGTGTCTTTCCTTCTCATGCTGTAAAGTAAGGAAATGGAGTCATAGAGAAGTTACATGTGCAGGCCTCATAGCTAGTACATGCTGGAAGTGCATTCCGCCTCTGGGACCTGGAATCTTTATTCTTAACCATTTCAGAACATGACCTCTGTTCAGTTGGAATAGAGTAGAGGAATGAATTGCAAGAAAGCACAAACCTACTCTGAGCAGCTAACTTACTATTTATGTTAATTAAAGAAATTAATGCATTTAGGTCCCTTCCCTCCTCTCTCCTACCCCCTCTCTGCTTGGTGGACCTTTTAATGATTTATATACATCATTTTGTGTTATTTTGGTAAGGGTTAAGAAGGCCTTGTGGCATCAACTCAGGGAGGCCATGGTTTAACAAAGATCAATGGATAGACAGCTGAAATACCCAGTGTTTGTCTGAGTTCTGCTACGGCTAAATATGTAATTTGGTCAAACCAATTGCTTTTCTTTTCCAGATTCCATTCCCTTACCTGTGAAGTGCGGATGGTTGTGTGGTTGCTGAGGTGCTGTCCAGCTTGGACATCGAGGAATTGTATGAGCACCTTTGATTGCCTTGCATGCAGAAACAACTCTGAACCCAGCAGTGTTACTTAGATTTCACAGAAAAGGGAGGCAGAGAGGAAGATGTTAGTCAGGACAAGACCAGAACAAAACAAGCGGCCCTATGTCTAAGTGTTGCTGACCACACTCCAGAAGCCAGAATTTCTGCAAACTGATCTTCAGCCCCAGTTCCATACCCACAGACATGGACTCCATATCCTCAGCAAAGCACAAGAGGGGAATAATAATAGCTCTGTCACATTTAATCTTCAAAGCAAAACTTTCTCCATTTAGAAAATGAGAAAATTTCAACTCAGGGAGTTTCAGAAACTTTCCCAGGGTATCGCAGCTGAAAAACAGTAGAGCCAGCATTTGAACTCAGGCTGCCGGACTCCTTTACTGTGTGTTCGAATCCACGCAGTGCTGCAAGACTTGACTAACTCACCCTGTACACCCATAACTGTCAGACATCAGAGTCCATTAAGAAGCTGGGAATCAATTAATTAACAATTGATTAGAACTGTTACAATGTATTTAGGATGCATTTCTGTATAGGGCTGAGCATACAGAAATTAGCCAGATGTGGTACTTGGTTTCCAGGAACTATTTACAGTAAAAAAGCAAACACTTATGAAATGCTTATGATGTTTTACATGTATTAATTTTTTAAACTAATTGAACAACTCTGTGAGAGAGACAGTATTATGTCCCAATTTTGGAAGATGAGGAAACTAAGAGGTTAATAACTTGCTCAAAGTCACAAAGCTGGTAATCAAACCCATGCTGGCTGGCTTCAGAGTCATACTCTTCACTGCCACACTGTGCTGCCTACACTTCCTCAACTCAGTGCAAATGTGCAAGTGTTCTGAGCCATGTGACCAGGGACCTATGCTGGCAATCTTCAGGCAATGCCCTGGGACTGTGTTGTGGAGAGAAGCCATGGAACAGCTGTGAACACTGCCGGGCAGAATAACATGGACAGGTAGAAAGCCTGGAATATAAATAATTCTGAGAAGGCAAGAAGGTCAGAGGAGGAAGTGGAGGAGGGTGAACTGGAAGGCAGGGGTATCCAGGGATGGTTTTCTTAGGGAGGAACACCTCTTCCTTTCCAAGACCACAGCCTTACCTCCATTCTCCTCATCTCCCCCCTACCCTATGCTAACCCCACATGGCTTCGTTTCCCCTTCAGCTCCATCCTTGCCAAGGTGACATGCACAGGGCCCCACTGGAGAGTCCAGTTTGTTTTGCATCTGCTCAGGAGAGAGCATCCTTGGGACCTGAGGATTAGTCAAGGGAAGGAGGGAATTGGCCTACTCTAGGCAAAAGCTAACCCTGACTCCGCTCTGGGGTAGACCCAAGCCTAATCACACACCTTCTGGCTCTTACCTCAATGTTCTTTCCTGAATGTTGAAAAGTCAGGGCAGAGAATTAAGGGTTATTTTTAAAAATCACATAAACAATGCAAAATCAGGAAATAGAAAACATTCATCCCTATCCTTCCTTTAGGGATGCAGGAACCCAGGACTCTGGCAGCTCCATGATTGTCTGAAAGCAACACAGCCACACTTCCATCTAAGACACCTAAGCCCCTTCCCCATCACAAGCTTCCTCTCCTGGGTCGTGTTTCTCAGAAATTTACTCTTTTCTAGACAACAATAAGACTAAAGGGATAAACCAAATCAACTAACTTTTGCTGGTGCCTTAGAGTATTTAAAAGGGAAAAGTCTCCAGGAGATACACGTAAGAATCCAATAAGGGAGAATTTAGAACCCAATAAACAGACCTTTGCATGTCCTTCAATAACATCATACCATTTTCTGCTCATTCATTTACAATGACAGCTGGCCGAGGGGAATCATGAGGTGGCCTGCCTTCCCTCCTTCCTTCCTTCCTTCCTTCCTTCCTTTCCCTCCTTCTTCATCTCCCTCAACTGTATCTCTCTGATTGTCCTTTCCTTCTGCTCATCCCTCCTCCTTTCCCCTGATCCCTCACATAAATACTTACTGAGTGCTAATTTTATGCAAGACTTTGGTCTAATAACATAAAATTAACCACATAAATATCCAGCCAGCTTGGGCATTTTGTATGGCAGACCATGTCTAATTGCGCATGAAAGCTGCAACATATTGGTAGGAACCATTTTACAACTTAAAAAAATTAGTGGCAAGGCGCGGTGGCTCACACCTGTCATCCCAACACTTTGGGAGGTTGTGGCAAGTGGATCACCTGAGGTCAGGAGTTTGAGACCAGCCTGGCCAACATGGTGAAACCCATCCCCCCACTCTACTAAAAATGAAAAAATTAGCCAGGCGTGGTGGCACATGCCTGTAATCCCAGCTACTCGGGAGGCTGAGGCAGGAGAATTGCTTGAGCCTGGGAGGTGGAAGTTGCAGTGAGCTGAGATCATGCCATTGCACTCCAGCCTGGGCAACACAGAAAGACTCTGTCCCCCCCCACAAAAAAAAAAGTATGACTGTCCATAATGGATAATCACAAATCATATATTTTCTTTCTCTCTTCAGTTATAGACTAGAGTTGCTATGATTAAAAAATATATACAGGCATACCTCAGACATATTTAGGCTTTGATTCCAGACCACTGCAATAAAGTGAATAATGCAATAAAGTGAGTCACACAATTTTTTTTGTTCCCCAGTGCATATAAAAATTATATTTACACTATACTATAAATGTGAAATAACATTATGTCTAAAAACAATATGCATGCCTTAATTTAAAAACACTTATTGCTAAAAAATGCTAATGATCACTTCAGTCTTCAGCAAGCCAAAATTTTTTTTGCTGGTGGAGGGTCTTACCTCCATGTTGATGGCTACTGACTGATTACTGAAGATTGGGGTGGCTGTGGCAATTCTGAAAAATTTAAGACAACAATTAAGTTTGCTGCATTGATTTATTCTTCTTCCCATGAAAGATTTCTCTGTAGCATGTGATGCTGTTTCATAGCATTTTACCGATAGTAGAACTTTTTCCAAACTTGGATTCAATCCTCTGAAACCCTGCCGCTGCTTTATCAACTAAGTTTACAGAATATTCTAAATTCTTTGTTGTCATTTCAACAATGTTCACAGCATCTTCATCAGGAGTAGATTTTATCTCAAGAAACCACTTTCTCTGCTCATCCATAAGAAGCAACTCCTCATACATTCAATTTTTATCATGAGATTGCACAATTTAGTCACATCTTCAGGCTCTATTTCTAATTCTAATTGTCTTGCTATTTCCACCACATCTGTAATTACTTCCTTCACTGACATCTTGAACCCCTTAAAGTCATCCATGAGGGTTGGAATCAGCTTCTTCCAAAGTCCCATTAATGTTGATCTATTGACTTCCTCCCATAAATCACAAATGTTCTTAATGGTGTCTAGAATGGTGAATCCTTCCCAGAAGGTCTTCAATTTACTTTGTCCAGATCCATCAGAAGAATCACTACCTATGGCAGTGATAGCCTTAAATCTATTTTTTAGATGATGATATTTGAAAGTCAAAACTACTCCTTGACATGGGCTGCATGTTTTTAGGCATGAAAACATTAATCTCCTTGTACATCTCAATCAGAGCTCTTGGGTGACCAAGTACATTGTCAATAAGAAGTAATATTTTGAAAAATATCTTTTTTTCTAACAATATGTCTCAACAGTGGGCTTAAAATACTAAGTAAATCATGTTCTAAACAGATATACTGTCATCCAGGCTTTGTTCCATTTAGAGAACAAGGGCAAAGTAGATTTAGCATAATTCGTAAGGACCCTAGGATTTTTGAAATTATAAATGAGCACTGACTTCAATTTAAAGTCACCCAGCTGCACTAGCTCCTAACAAGAAAATCAGCCTGTGCTTTGAAGCTTTGAAGTCAAGCATTGATTTCTCTTCTCTGGCTATGAAAGTCCTAGATGGCTTCTTCTTCCAATAGGGGGCTATTTTGTCTACATTTAAAATCCGTTGTTTACTGGAGCCATCTTTATCAATTATTTTAGCTAGATCATCTGGATAACTTGCTACAGTTTCTACATCAGCACTTGCTGCTTCACTTTGCACTTTTATGTTGGGGACATGGCTTCTTTCCTTAAACATTAGGCACCAATATTTGCTAGTTCCAAACTTTTCTTCTGCAGCTTCCTCAACTTCTCTCAGCCTTCACAGAATTGAAGAGAGTTAGGGCCTTACTCTGGATTAGGCTTTGGCTTAAAGGAATGTCGTGGCTGGTTTTCATCTTCCATCCAGACCACTCACTTTCTCGCTATAAACAATAAGGCTGTTTTGCTTTCTTATCATATGAATGATCATTGAATAATCTCTGAATCACCTTTGGGTAATTCTTCTCTTTCCTTTAAGAATAGCACAGGCTCACAGTCAAAGAGCTCTATGGCTCAGTCCTGTAGAATCCAAGAGGCCCAACAGCCTTCCTTCATTCTGTCCTATGTTCTCTGTCCCCTTTAGTTCAAACTGATAGCATCTCAGCAAGTATAATCCCATCTCTGTTCCTAGCTTCTGCTGAGATGGCTGTCAGTTCATGATTTGCAGTCATGGTCTCTTTCTCAACTGGTTTTCAGTTACACTCTTAGTGTTATCTTCATAACAAACTTTCTCATTTTTTTTGCAATATGGATAGACTGAGAATTTTCCAAATCTCCAAGTTCTGGTTCCTATTTGTTTAACAATTTATTCTTCCATTCCTCTCTCTCTTTCTGGCATTTTGCTATAAGTAGTAAGAGGGATCCAAATCACACCTCCAGTACTTTGCTTAAAAATGCTTTGAAATCTCTCCAGCTATTCAATTATACTACTCACAAGTTCTACCTGCCACAAAACACTAAAATAAAATTCAGCCAAGTTCTTTGCCGCTATCTAAGAATCCCAGTTTCTCTAGTCCGATAACCTGTTCCTCATTTCTGTCTGAGTCCTCACTGGAATGTCTATATTCCACCATTCTAGTCATAATTATCCTTGTGTTCTCTGAAAAGATGGAAGCTTTGTCTACAGCTGTTCTCTTTTCTTTCTGAGCCTTCATCAGAATTACCTTTAAAGTCCATATTTCTACCAACAGTCCCATCATAGCAATGGCTTTTTCTAGAATGGACCTCAAAACTTGTCCAGCCTATGGCCATCACCTAGTTCCAAAGCTGCTTTCATGTGTTTAGATATTTGTTAACAGTAGCACCCACTTCTCAGTACCAAAATCCGTCTTAGTCTGCTCAGGCTGCCATCACAAAAGACCGTAGTGTGGGTGGCTTAAACAACAGAAATTGTTTCTCTCAGTTCTGGAGGCTGGGAAGTCCCAGATCAATTTGCTGGTCAGTTTGGTTTCTGGCGAAGTCGCTCTTCCTGGCTTGCAGTTGGCCACCTTCTTGCTTTGTCTTCATATGCCTTTCCTCTGTGTTTACGAAGAAAAAAAGAGAGAAATATCTCTCTCTTACTCTTCTTATATAAGTCTTATAAGACTTATAATCCTATCAGATTAGGGTCCCATTCTTATAATCTCATTTAATGCTAATTATCTCCTAAAGATTCTATCTCTAAATATAGTCACATTGGGAATTAAGGGTTCAACATTTTTGACATTACAGATTTGGGGGTCACAATGCAGTCCATCCACTTAGTTTGGCTGTCCTTTGAAGAAAATAACTCTTTAACTGTCTACATTACATGTTGCCTAGAAATAAAAGACTTATTTTCCAGTGTAACTATAACTCAGAAGTTTTCAACCTTGAATATCCTTAAACTTTCTCTTGTTCCCCATACAACAACAATAATAAAATAATAATAATACATTTGGGAGGAAAAAATATTACCCTAAGAGATATCTTTGTTTACTGAGCAGTAATTTCCCAACAGAAATTAATTCCAAGCAAATTTACATTTTACATTTAAAGAAGATATAAATAATTCATATTTTCATATCATCAGCACTGTGCATTTCCTACACTGGGGTGCCTGTAATTTTTTCAGTTTGTCTGTTCTAAATTTTGGTTCCATAGCTCATTATCACATTGTTTGTGCTTCTGTTCCAAGGTGGAAATTTAATAGTCTTCAATAGAATTATGTTCAATTAAAATGTATTCAGTTTTACCATTCAAAACCTTTTTAGTTTCTAATTTAATTGTTGTAGGCTTCATTTTTAGGTACCATTGACATACCTTATTTGCTCACTGCACTCACACAAATACCAAACCTTCTAAGTAAATGAAATCCATGACAACTAAGGGTGTGCCTGAGCTACTTCTCCCTGTGTACAATATGACTCATTCATGCCAGACTCTTGGAAGGAACTGATTCAGCAAAATTTTCTTCTAGTAACTTCAACATTTTGATTTTACTGTCTCCTTAATGGGCTGCACTGTGTAGGAAATTGAGTAGATTTTTTTTCCAACTCCTGTTGCTTTTTTGAAAAGCTCATGTCTATTTATATTACGGTGCTACATTCAGCATCAGTCTGCATATTACATATTCATGACCTATATCTAGATAGATTTATAAGCAAGAGCCCAGGGAATACCAAGCTGTAAACTGCGTAAACCTCACTGGTTTCTTCACTAAACTTCGCAAATTGTAGAGTGTGGGTTTTGTCAGGGAAGTCATCTAAAAGTTGCAAGAAGTATTCTATCTACTGTTTACAGTAATTTCACTTGAAAGGATATGTGACATGTTTCAAGTAATAAAAAAAGTCAAACAGGTGACATAAAAGGTAAGATGTAAAATTTTACATCAAATCTCACCTACTACACCTAAATAATAATGAAAATGTAAGTGCTATTTATAGTCATCTATGTTTCAATTGATAATTCAGGGAAGCAAACATATTACTTTCATGGCTCTTTAGAGGCTGGTAAGGCCCTGAGACCTCCTCTGAGGTCTCCAAGAGAACAACATATAAGACAGGGAAGAATGCATATTCAGAATTTCTCTATTATAGCAAAGACCTCTTTGATCATCTCCATCCCCCTTGGATTTTGTCCACCTCTGTTGATGGGTAAAAACGAATGAGAAAAAGAGATGTCGGAGGATGAGTGGTGGGAGAATTCTAGGGTAACAGCAAAAAGTCTATGGAAGAATGTGATGATGGCTGTGGCCTTGGGATTGGGGATCAGGGAATGCGCCTCACCTATTTACTCAATGCACCAAAACCCACAGAACTGGCCTTCTCACCATACCCACAAACCTCATTATTAATTCAGTGATTTCCTTGACTCCTTGCTGCTGTTGCTTGAGCAAGCATGAGTTTCTCTCCATGGGGTCCCTGGATCTTTGGTTCTTGCTAAGTTGTCATTTTATTTGAAAGGATCAAGAGCCCACAATGTATGTGAATATAAATATAATCCTTTGAAAATATGGGGGGATGGGGTTCAAGCACTAATAATTCCATTTTCTTAATCCAAAAAGGAAAACGACTGTAATTAGGCTGAGATGTCTGCCAAGTTTCAGCCTGGAGGGACTATTTTGGCCAAGATATAAACCCCTGAGAATAGAGGCTTATAATGGACGCATCAAATCACACTTAACTATGGCAGAACAAGTAGCTGTTTTGTAATGCAATCACTCAATGATTGTGCCTTATGTTAGCATTTTAATTAAAATAAAGAATACTTCCCTTTTTATTGTCTATCACCCTCTTCTCAGATATTACCAGATAAGACCATTAGGTTAGCAAAAAAAAACTACAAAATACAAAAACAGAAATGAAATATCAACTTTATCATACCCCTTTCCACAAGATACATCCACAAAGACAGGTTGGGAGGCAAAAAACACATAAGATGATCCTCAAGAAAGACCCAGGTTTGGATATATTCATCCCTGAGTATATTCAGTTTGAACCTCAAATTCCACTAGGGACATAGGGAATTTCATTTTTAGGGAACTTGAGTGTAGTTTAATTAATTATAGACACAAAGCACTAACTGGAACCTTAATGACTTGAGAGAAAGAATTCACCTCCCAATGAGCCTAACCTCCTCTCAGGGAAAATTTACACACAGGGAAAATCAAAATGATTATTAAATGAAATTACTCAATGCAGTCAGAAACAGCAGCCATGCCATGGATTTTATATTCTAGCCCATAGAGACTTCCAATGCAAACTGGCACCCAACTTGAGCTCCAAGTCGAGCTTAGATGAAAGCTCATAACAGCAGGAAAGCTTACCCTGAAAAGTAACCATATCTAGGTATCCAGGGGTAATTGACATGTGTTATGAGCAGGAAGCTATTCAAAATATTTATTATCCAGGACCCTGCATGAACCTACCAAGACAGTCATGAACAACTCTAAAGGGATAGTGGAAAGTACTGGCTGCACATCAGCCTCAGTTATGTGGAAAGTAGACTGTGGCTGCAGGGAATGTACTCAGGCTTCAGTAAGTGAGACTTTAAGAAATAGAGACCATGGGTCAATAGGAAGAGGAGAGATGCTTGTGCCTCTCCCCACCAATCTGTTCCCTGCCCTGGAGTTGTAGGGCCTGCATCTGTGAAGGATGAGACATCAATCATCCTCTGCACTTCTTGCAGTATTCTTCAAGGCGGTTGGAGGATAACCCCTGACCTCTTCCCTCTCCCAGTCTTCCCACATTCATATCGGGACTGGAAATTCCAGAAAACAGTAAGGTAGCAAAAGGAGTTGAGGAAGAAGTGATGGTGGCCCAGTGCATTCTAGGAAATGTCCCTCCACACAAAGTATTCAGCCAGAGGCACAAACAAGAAGAACTTTAGGAAGAGGATGTGAGAGAAATTATTCGTATATTTTATTTTTAAAAAGCTAAACAAGCCAGGAAAATGAATGAGGTATACCTCTAAGTAGCAAAGAGAAACATTAAGTGAAAGTCTGAAAACACAGGGAAATAGAATAAGAACCAAGTACAGCACCCTGCCTTCCAGCTGAGACCTGAGACTGCAATGTGATCCCCACAGGGTAGACAGAGGGAGGGACCAAGCGTACCCCACTCACCTCGATTGTTGCCAGACATTGAGTTGAAACGGATCTAGTTTATGCAACGAAAACAGAGTACACTCAACAAAGGGCCTTTAAAACTAATCGTGTACAAAGAAAATAGGAAAGCAGGTGCAAGACTGTGTTCACTGAAAAAGATGTGCCTCAAATCGGAAATAGTCTTTTTTTCCTGAAATGGGTATCAACAAGAGTGCAAGAAGATGCAACCGTTATGCATCAAAATAAAATGGTCATAAGAAGGGAATAGACTGAGAGGAAAAAACAGGTTGAGATGAAAATGGGCAAGAATGGGGAGGACTGCAGTGACATTTAATTCAAATGTAAAAATTAAACCCATATTTTAAGCAGAATGCCCACAACTGATACTCTGAAAAACTGCATCAGTGATACTAATGTTCATTGCTTACATTTATTTACCAGTAACTCATTAATTGTAAAGCATTATTCTAAAGACTTTACTTGTATTACCCACACATCAGTTTCATGAAATAGAAACTACCGTATCCCCATTTATACATAAGGAAACTGAGGCACAGGAGGCACACAATCGCAAACCTGGTGAATGACGAAGTCAGGATTTCAGTCTGACTTGAGATTTCAGTCATGTGTTCTTCATATGTTCTCTCTGAATCCAAAGGAAAAGATGAAGATGAAAGAAGACAGAAAATATAAAGGAGAAAAAGAACAAAACCAATGTGCACATAAATGTGTATTCCTAAAGAAGATACCAGCACATAGGAGGCAAAACAATACCATAGAGCAGGGAGAATGTTTTCTGGGCTAAATAAAGGCCTTGATGTGCAGAATATAAAAACTAACACTGTTTTAAACAATGCCGGTGAACAGAGACCATCACCTAGACATATCCTAGCAAAATCTATAAACTTTAAGATTTTTAAATGTCTGTGAACATCTAGTAAAAAACTCTTAAAGTGAGTATATTAGTCATCTCAGGCTGCCATAACAATATACCACACACTGAGTGCCTTAAACAACAGAAATGTATTTTCTCTTAGTCCTGAAGACTGGGAAGTCCATGACCAAGTGCTGCCCAGTTCAGTCCCTGGTGAGGACTCTCTTCCTGGTTTCATATGATTGTCTCTTCATTGTGTCCTCACAAGGTAGAGAGAGAGCTCCAGTGCCCCTTCCTCTTCTTATAAGGACACCAGCCCTATCAGATTAAAGCCCACCTTTATTACCTCATTTAACCTTTATTGCCTTTTCATAGGCACTGCTTCCAAATACAGCCAATTGAAAGTTAGAGCTTCAACAGATGATTTGGGGGGGACATAAACATTCACTCCATGAGAGTGACTGAGCTTATGTTTCTCCTCTGTATCTACAAACATGAAAAGAAACAAAACTCCAAGCTAACCTCATATTTAATGGAGAAAAACAAAATGTTTTTCCCTCAAGGCCAGGAACAAGGTAAAGCGGTCACTTTTGTCATTTCTATTCAACATTGTCTTAGAGATTCTAGCCAGGGAAGCTAAGCAAGATAAAGAAATAAAAGGCATCCGGATTGGAAGGGAATAGGTAAAATTATCTCTATATGCATGACATGGTTTTATATATATATATAATCCTAAAAAATGGACAAAAAAAAATTAGAACTAATAAGTGAGTCTAGCAATTTGGCAATAAGCAATACCAATATGCAAGTACCAATTGTGTTTATGTACAGCAGCAATGAAAAATATGAAAATGAAATTAAGAAATAATCCTTAAGAAACTATTAACAAATAATTTATAGTAGAAAAAATATGATAACTAGGAATAAATTAACAAAAGAAATATAGGAATTAAAATTATCAAACATTGGTGAAAGAAATCAAAGAAGATCTAAATGGAAATACATCCTGGGATCATGGATAAGAAGACTTAACATTGTTAAGATGGCAAACCCCATCTCTTCAAATTGAGCTAGAGATTCAACACAATTTCTATCAAAATTTCTATTAGAATTTTCCTGTGTTTCCTGTTAAAAATTGGTAAACATATCCTAAAGTCCAAATGAAAATGCAAGAGACCCAGAATATCCAAAACAATCTTGAAAAAAAGAAACTGTTGGAGAAATCGTACTCATCTATTTCAAAACCTACTATAAAACTATAAAAATCAAGACAGTATGGAAATGGTATAACAATAGACATACAATCCATGGAATAGAACTAAGAGTTCAGAAATGAACCCTCACATTTACGGTCAACTGATTTTCAACAAAGGTGTCAAAACAATTCAATGGGAAAAAAAAATCTGTCTTTTCAACAAACGGTAGTGGGACAACTTGATATTCACATACAAAATAATAAATTTGGATCCAGATCTCACACTGTAAATGAGATTAACTCAAAATGGATTATAGACCTAAATGTAAGAGCTAGAACTATAAAACTCCTAGAAGAAAACGTAAAAGTAAGTCTTTGTGACCTTGAGTTAGGCAACAGTTTCTTAGTTACAACACCACATGTTTAAATGACAATAGAAAAAATAAGGACAAAGCAGACTTCATCAAAACTAAAAACCTTTGTGTATCAAATAACACCATCAAGAAACTGAAAAAAAACCCTCACAGAATGAGATAAAATGTCTGCAAATCATATCTGACAAGTGACTTGTTTCCAGAATACGTAAAGAACTCTTAAAATTCAACAATTAAGAAAACAAGTAATCCAATAAAAAATGGGCAAAGGATCTGAGTAAACATTTCTCCAAAGATGGTACACAAATGGCTAAAAATCACATAAAAATATGGTCCACATTATTAGTCATTAAGGAAGTGAAAGTAAAAACTACAATGAGATATTACTTCATACCCACTAGGATAGCTATAATAAAAAGACAGACAATAACCAGTTTTGACAAGAACATGGAGGAATGAGAACTTATAGACTGCTGGCAGGAATATAAAATGGAGCAGCCACTTTGGAAAACAGCTTATCAATTTCCTAAAAGGTTAAACATAGAGTTATGCTATGGCCCAGCAATTCCACTCCTAGCTGTTTTTCCAAGATAAATGAAAAGATACGTTTACTCAAAATTTGCACACGAAGATTCATAACATATTCATAATATATCCAAAAAAGAAATAAACCAAATATCTAGCAACAGTATGGGGATAGATGAAATGTCCATATAATGGAATATTATTCAGCCACAAAAAGGAATGAAGTACTGATCCATGCTACATACAACAGTCCCCAACCTTTTTGGCACCCGGGACCAGTTTTGTGGAAGACAGTTTTTCCACGGACATGGAGGGGAGTAGTGGGGGAATGGTTTCAGGAGGAAGCTGTTTCATCTCAGGATCATTAGGCATTAGATTCTCATAAGGAGTACCCAACCTAGATCCCTTGCATGTGCAGTTCACAACTGGGTTCCCACTCCTATGAGAATCTGCTGGCAGGGCTGATCTGACAGGAGGCAGAGCTCAGGGCACCTTTCAGATCAGGCCTCCATTAGAATGTGGTAAGGCCGCACTCACTTCCTGCTTTGTGGCCCGGATCCTAACATTTCATGGACCAGTACAGGGGTTGGGGACCCCGTGCTACAACATGGATGAACCCTGAAAACATGCTAAGTAAAAGAAGCCAGACACAAAAAGTCATATATTGTATGATTCTATTTATACAAAATGTCTAGAATAAGCAAATCCATAGAGACAGAAAGTAGATTCGCAGTTGTCAGGGGCGGAGAAGAGAGGAAATGAGAGTAACTGTTAATGTGCATTAATGTGGATAGGATTTCCTTTTGGGGTCATGAACATGTTCTAAAATTGATCGCTGTGTGGGGTGCACAACTCCATGAATATACTAAAAACCACTAAAATGTATACTGGAAATGAGTGAATGTTATGGTATGTAAAATACATCTTAATAAAGCTTTAAAAATAGCCACAGTGCAGTGGCTCATGCCTGTAATCCCAGCATTTTAGGAGTCCGAGGCGGGCGGATCACCTGAGGTCAGGAATTCGAGACCAGCGTGGCCAACATGGTGAAACCCTGTCTCTACTAAAATATACAAAAATAAGCCGGGCGTGGTGGCGGGTGACAATCCCAGCTACTTGGGAGGCAGAGGCAGGAGAAACATTTGAACTCGGGAGGCGGAGGTTGCAGTGAGCCGAGATCAAGCCATAGCACTCAAACCTGGGGAATAAGAGCGAGACTTCTCTCAAAAAAAAAAAAAAAAAAAAAAAAGCTACAGGGTTTTGAAAGAGAAAGTTTAAGATCCAAGGCAAATGTGTACTTTCACATGTGAAAGCCATTGAAATACAGTCTCAGATACACAAGGGATTAAAAATGTACTATTTAAAAATGCTAATTGAAGACATATTTACACTAACCTAGGAAGGGGATCACAAGACAGAGAATGTGGCAAGACTATATTTGCCTATTCAATACCCGTTTTCTCTTTCTAATTAACAAATGGAACTTCAGTTGCGTTAGGATTGGCCACGTGTGCCTCTAAAAGCCACCAGTCTTCTTGTAATTGGGTGCGTATGGGAAATGCATTAGTATGCATTTCCTTTTAGGGTCACCAACACCTTCTAAAATAGATTGTGGTGATGGGTACAAGTTCTGTGAATGCATAAAAAAAAAACACTGAACTGCATAATGGAGAATATTATATTCTAGATCTAAACTTCAAATATTAGAACAGACTAGCTAGTCGAAGTGCAAGTATAACAAAAGGGAAATTTAGGAATTAGTAACTACTCTTAAATAATGGGATATTAAAGATATTCCATGTTTGAATCTTATAAGGAAAACACAAGAATTTTTTCAGCAAACATTAAGTTAATACTAGTAGAAATAAAAAAGAGGAGAGAAGAAAACAGGTAAAGAAATTATCCTCTACATAATACTAAAGTATTCAAAAAAAAAAAAAGAAAAGCATGATGAGAAAATTAAAATGAAGTAAGATCTGTTGCGTTTGGAAAAGAAGGGCTGGGAAACTCCAGCGCATTAGAGCTTAGATAGGTAGGAAGTGACATGACTGAAGTGGTGTTTTAGGAAGATTAAACAAATGCATTTGCTAAAATTATAAATTGACACATTTCAAACTCGGTAAAAAAAAATCATATGTTATTTCCAAAAAACATACTGAGGCAGGTGAGAGTTAGTTGGCTAATCTAGTCCTCCTCTGCATCCTCTACTACAGAGTCTAGAACAGATAAATACTTATTTTCCAGCCTTCTTTGCAGCTAGATGTGATCATGTGATACAGTTCCAGCCAATGAGATGAAAGTATGGGGTGTCTGGGAAACTTTTTGCTTTTCAGACAAAAGGAACTGACATAGCTGGAGCTACTCCGACCCTTTATTCCTGACTTGGAAATCATTGTGTTGTCTTGAGCTGCAGAAGACATCTTGTAAGCATGAGGCAACAAAGCAACGTGCTAAAGATAGCACTAGGAAAGAAAGTGAGTACAACCTCTAAAACTCTTAAAAATGCCAAAAAAAAAAAAAAGAGAGAGAGAGAGAAAGCTAGAAAAGCAAAAGAATACATACTTACTAAGTTATGGTTAGTTCTGATTTCTGAACTTGTAGCTAAAAGCTTTCCTAGCTGATATTTACAATACTCATAAAATAAAGTGACAGAAAAAGTTTAAAAGTAATACATGATGTGAAGATAAGCAATAGCATTAACACAAAAGGACATGTTCCTGTGTTAATAGAAGACAAACTAGAATGAACCAGAAAAGTAGAATCAAGAGGGCCTTGTTATGCTGATAAAGGACAAATGTTACAGTGGTGATACAATGACCATAAACCTCTAGGGAACAAATAAAATTGCATTGAAATATGCAATTTTCATATTGAAATCAGAAAAATATTTTATTGAAAATATTGAAATCAGAATATTGATTACAGAATATTGAAATATTCTGAATATTGAATATTGAAATCACAAAAATATTTTATAAAAATGTAACAATGGTGGCAATTTTTTAAAAACTGGTATCTGAACAAAATAATTACTAAAGTCTATTTTTAAAGCATCTATGTTGGAGAATACCTTACAAGCTAGATTAGGGAAGACCTTTCTAAAATGACCCAGAAGCTAAAAACTCTAAAGTGTAAGAAAAATGTTTGACTACAATGAAGAAAACATTTTTCTTTAGCAGCAAACACCACAGGCAGAATAGAAAGTTAAGCAACTAATTGGAAAATGCTTACAAAATAAATGTCAAAGGTTTAGTATTTTTATTCCCTAGAAAACTCTTAAGAATCAGCAGGGAAAAAGCAAATAACTCAATAGAAAAAAAAGGACAAGTCTGGGTGCGCTGGTTCGTGCATGTAATCCCAGAGCTTCAGGAGGCAGAGGCAGGCAGATTGCTTGAGTCCAGGAGACCAGCCTGGGAAACATAGCAAGACCCCATCTCTACAAAAAATACAAAAATTAGCAAGCCAGGGTAAAGCATGCCTGTAGTCCCAGCTACTCTGGAGGCTGAGGTAGGAAGATCGCTTGAGCCCAGGAGGTTGAGGCTGCAGTGAGCCGTGACTGTGCCACTGCATTCTAGCCAGGGCAACAGAGCAAGACCCTGTCTCAATAAAAAAAAGAAAAGAAAAAAGAGGGCAAATATCATAAACAGGCAATGCCTAAAGAAACAGATAAAAACATAAGTATATAAAAATATGTTCAGTGAAAAAATAAATATGCATTTAAATAATAATGAGTTACTATTTCTTTATAGTGGCAAATATTAGATTGTCCCTACGTTTTATTTGTGAGTGTGACAGAGAGAGTCACTTGCATTTTCTCTTTAGTGATGGGCCTTGGAGTCACCCTTGAAGCTAGGTGTGGTCATGTGACTAAGTTCTGTCCAATGAGCTGGAACGAGGAGTGCTGTGTGGGGCTACTGGGAAGTACACTTAAAGAAAATGCCTCAGTGAGGAGCAGCAGCACTCTGGGTACTTCATGTCTCCTCCTTTGTCCTGTGACTTGAAGACAAAAGCTAGAGATTCAGGAGCCCATCTTGAACAATGAGATACCTGAGAATGGAAACCAGATGTTGGAAGAGCAGAGCAGAGAGACAGTGGGAATCTGGTTGTCTGGTTGGTTTGGAGTCTGCAACAGCCTAGACTGCTTTCTTTCCTGTCGCTGTACCCAAGGTCCAACTCAATCCCTAAGAGCTATACCAAAGGTGGTGAAGAGTAAACTGGTGGAGGAGACTTTGGTGACATGTCAGAGAATTGTAAATGTGCTTGGATTTTGGCCCAAAGAATTTTACTTTTGGAAAGCTATTTAAAACAAATAATTAGGCAAATGTACCAATATATAGATATAATAAGACATTCATTGGAGCATTATTTTCATAACGAAAATTTTGTTAAGAAAAAAGGAATGTGGATGTTTTTACTCTTGTATCATAATATTTAGTGCAAACCCTGATATTTAAAAGTTTCTTATTTATTTATTTTTTATTATTATTTTTGTAGAGACAGAGTCTTGCTCTGTCATCTAGGCTAGAGTGCAGTGGCATTATCATAACTCACTGCAGCCTCTAATTTGTGGGCTCAAGCAATCCTCCCATCTCAGCCTCCAGAGTAGCCAGGACTATAGCTGCCTGCCATCATGCCCAGCTATTTTTTTTTTTTTAATTTTTGTAGAAATGGGATCTCACTATGTTTCCCAGGGTGGTCTTGAACTCCTGGCCTCAAGTAATCCTCCTGCCTCAGCTTCCCAAAGTGCTGGGATTATAGGCACAGGCCAACATGCTGGGCCTGAAACTTTCTTAAAGTTTGCTGAATAAGTGAATGATTAAAAGATTGCTTAAATAAACCATGACATATTCACCTAATAGAATGATATGTACTGGTTATAAACTTTAAATACTGACACTTAAAGATGTCCACAATGTTTTCCATTAAAAAAGATTGTAGTCTAGAATGTGTGCATCTTTATATAGTACACATTTCTATAGCACTTTAATTTCATAAAAACAAGCACATATTTCTATTACCAGAAAAAAGATATTCCCATTTTATAAAAAAGTAAATATATTTCAAATTTTGTGCCATCAGTGAATTTTCCTTAACATTCAAAAATTCTAATCACATAAAAGTCTATAAATAAAATCTCAACATCAAAAAGAAAATTTATGAAATATTCATTTTGGCTACTATGCAACAAAATATAAAACAAAAGAATTACTTGGAATTCTATTTTTTTTAGTCTCATAAATAATGTGGGTCCGAGAAACAATTAAAACAAGAAAGGCTGGGCATGGTTGCTCACGCCTATAATCCCAGCACTTTGGGAGGCCAAGGCAGGCAGATCACTTGAGGTCAGGAGTTGGAGACCAGCCTGGCCAACATGGTGAAATCCCATCTCTACTAAAAATAAAAATTAGCCAGGCATGGTGGCGGGCACCTGTAGTTCCAGCTGCTCAGGAGACTGAGGCAGGAGAATTGCTTGAACCCAGGAGGCAGAGGTTGCAGTGAGCCAAGTTCGCACCACTGCATTCCAGTTTGGGCAGCAGAGCAAGACTCCATCTAAAAAACAATTTTTTTTAATTAAAACAAGATATTTTAGAAATGGATGATATTGGGACCAAGTCTTAGGAGAATTAAGAAGATGGCGTAGCCAAAGAACTGTGCTCAGTGTCCTGAATGCTTTTATTGAACTATGAAAACAAGAACAAACAAATTAAGTATGGAAAGTAGGAGGTTGAGGATAGCAAAGACAAAAGTAGACGATTAAACAAAACAATGGTAGAGTTGAATACATTAATCCAACAATTGTTTCTTTGCAAAGACCAATAAAATAAGCAATTCTAACGTGTAAAAATGATAAAGAAAAAACAAATATTTTAAACATTTTAGACTTAGAATATAACATAGAGGCAAGAGAATATAACAACAGTTAAGTAAACTGAGGCACAATAAAATTTTAAAGAGTTTATTTGAGCAAATGTTCATGAATCCATAGCTCCAAACAAGAAGTGGTTTGGGAGCTCCATTAAAGGAACACAAGGGGGAAGGTTTTATAGAATAAGCACAGAAGTAAAGCACAGAAAATATTTGGTTACAGTTATGCAATTGCCTTCTTTGGTTTATCCCATTGGAAAGTCCCTAGCTATATTAGTTTGTTGTTTGTTTCTGATTAGTTGAGCTCCAGTTCTGTTTGTTTGTTGTTGTTGTTTTAATATTGTATAGGCATTTGCAAGAAACAGCTCCAGTTAAGTTTCACTTATGTTTGTAAAAGCAAGGTTGAGGTCATTTATGAGACTCAACTGGCTTTGTCTGCTCAGGGCTTCTTCAGGCCTGGTCTTCACTTTAACACAACTATAAGTGAATATAGCTATAATTCTTTAAGACCAAATTCAAAAATATAAATAAAGTGAATAAATTTTTTAGGAAAATATAGATTACCAAATCTAACTGAAGAAGAGGAAGAAAATGTGAATATACCAATAATCATGGACAAAATTGAAAATATATTCCAAGAATTACTCAGCCCAGATGGTTTTACAGGCGAGACTATAGACTGTCAGAAATAGATGAATTTTATACAATTTAAAATTCTAGGGCATAGCAAGAGATGGAATTCCTCAAGTGCTGTTAGTAAGTTAGCAAAACTTTGATACTAACACATGGTTTTACCATAAAGTTTCATAAAACCGAAGGTAAACATCACTTGCTAATATATTAATAGATATAAAAAGACCAAATAAAACATTAAAAAATATGAGTATATATATCATGGCCAAGAAATAGTTCAGCCAGAAACTTGAGTGATTCAACATTATGAAATTGATTTAGTCCATGATAATAATAGCCAAATGAAAAAAGCATATAATCATCTTGGAAAATGGCCTAAGCATGCATCCTTGTTTTAAAAAGAAAAAAATGATGAAAGAAATTTCTAAGTAAATAAGATCAAAAGAACACTTTTCACACATGGCAAAACTCTAGAGTGTTAATGGCCAATGATTTTCACTGTGCTCATTCCTATCAGTTAGTGGTAGCTGGGCGGGTAGAGCTGGTTGGAGACTGATGCATCAACAGCATCTAAGTTCTGCAGAAAGAGTTCTGAGAGTGAGTCCTGGTTTCTGTCATTAGTGGAAGGCTGTGGAGAGGCAGCATATACTTCAAGAATGCCATGAAATCAAGAACACGACAAGAATGTTCATTTTCGGCTGGGCGCAGTGCATCACGCCTGTAATCCCAGCACTTTGGGAGGCCGAGGTGGGCGGATCAAGAGGTCAGGAGATCGAGACCATCCTGGCTAACACAGTGAGACCCCATCTCTCCTAAAAACACAAAAAATTAGCCGGCGTGGTGGCACACGCCTGTAGTCCCACCTACTTGGGAGGCTGAGGCAGGAGAATCACTTGAACCTAGGAGGCGGAGGTTGTAGTGAGCCAAGATTGCACCACTGCACTCCAGCCTGGGCAACAGAGCAAGGCTCCATCTCAAAAAGAAAAAAAAAAAGAATGTTCATTTTCATGTTATTGTTCAACATTTTCTGAAAGTTCTAGCAAATATGGTATAACAACTGTTGGAAAGGAGGAAAAATATGTTACCGTTATTTCTACTGATGCTGCCTAGCTTGAGTGAAATCTGGGTCATGGTAAGTAAAGAACTCCACTGCGGCAATTCATAGAGCAGGGCAATGTGGTTAAAACAACAGCGTGAACCTGCAGCAATGAGTCCCACCCTACTCATCCTTTCCCTTTTGTGCTTGCCCATGCCCTTTGGGAATGAAGCACCACCAGCACCAGTGTGACCCCAAAACATCACTGTTGGAGTATATTTCCAAGGAACTATGGGAACTTATAAGGCATGAGGAATATCCAAAAAATTAGAAAGCAATGTATTGGTATAGGAAGAATAAGAAACTTGCTAACATCACTTTACTTTTGTGCCAATCACCTGTAATATATGGAGTCTTTTAAAAAGGAAAATAAAGAAAAAAAAACCAACCTTACATCCTTTTCTGCTATATAGTCACATCATTTACTGGCAAAACTTAATGTATGTACTTTCCAGTGAATGGAGCCCAGAAATTGCTCACACCAAAGACAATTAAATTCGTATTATTATAATCATATTATCCTTGAGAAAATAAAAGTAGGATAACAGTTTTGATCTCTGCTTTTGCTAAATAAAGACTTTTCACATAATCTGTGCTAAAATGTGTTGAACACTGAGTTATTATCTGAATAGAGCTCTATTTGGCAACTGGTTTAATCAGCTGTTTCACAATTTGTCATACATTTATGCCAGTTAATTTGGTTGTCTGACAATGGGAAATTTGCTTTTAAAGATTGTGATTACTGCATGGCATCACCCTTCTGACTTCTAAATTAAATACCACAAATTTTAATGATAATGCCCAGTCTGCCTATAAATGAACACACAAATAAGTAGTTAAATAAATATTCCTAGCTTTCCAGAGGGAAGGAAAGAAAAACAAGTATAGGCCGGGCATGGAGTTTTGCACCTGTAATACTAACACTTTGTGGGCTGAGGCAGAAGAATTGCTTGAGCCAAGGAGTTCAAGACCAGCCTGGGCAACAAAGTAAAACTCTGTCTCTACAAAAAATACAAAAATAATTAGCTGGCCATAGTGGTGCATGCCTGTAGTCCCAGCTACTGGGGAGACCGAGGTGGGAGGATCGGTTGAGCCCAGAATTTCGAGGATGCAGTGAGCTATAATCATGTCACTGCACTCCAGCCTGCATGACAGGGTGAGAGCCTGACTCTAGAAAAAGAGAAAAGAAAAAGAAAAACAAATCTCTTTCCCTCATCAGCAGCTTTCAGTTCATCATAATCACAAGGTAGTATTTTCACAGTTGCTTTTGGATGTGACCCTTGACAATTATTTGCATGACCTATTTTCAAATGCATTTCTAAATGCCCTGCATGCATAAATTGATTTTTAATATTCTGTTTCTGTAAGAATTTCAAAAACTACATTGAGAAGACAGAAAACCTTGGTGCAAAGGAAAGCTAAAGAATCATAGTATTCCTAGTTCACATTAAGTGGTTCAAGTTGATGCTCTTAATGTAAGGAGTGTAGAATATAACATTGTCAAAGGATACAAAGATTCATTTAGACAGGCGGAACTCATTTTTGAGATCTATTGCACAGCAGCGTGACTATAATTAATAACAATATATTGTATATTTCAAAATTGCTGAGAATAAATTTTAAATTTCTCACCACAAGAAATGATGGGTAAATGTCAACCTAAATAACAAGCAGAGAGGGAGACTCTCAAAAAGAAAATGCTATTTATTCAGGGATAGGTATTTACAATAGGAATATGCATGCCATAGTCAACTATGTGTATATTCAGGGAGGTAAAAGAACACAAAGGTTTTTAAAAGAGAAAAGGGGAGGAAAACATAGTTGTTTTAAGATAATTATCCTTGGCTACAAGGATCAATGACAAGGGTTGTGGCCGGTCCGAGGTTGGAAAGGCAGTTGCTGGGCAGACGTCCTTGAATAAGTGTATTTTTGTGTAAGGTTTCAATGGCCTTTGCACAAAGTTGTGGTTTTTGCTGAGCCTTTTGTGATAGTTCTTGTTATGAGGCATTTGTGTATGAGAACCCACTATTCTTGGTTTTCCTCAGCTCTATTTGTCAGGGTTTTTAACATAAGACATTTTATTTTGATTCCGACAACTTTCACAGTGAGGTGATGCATATGTTAATTAACTCAATTATTCCATGTTGTATACATATATGAAAACATCACATTTTACCCCAGAAATATATATATATAAATTATGATTTGCAAACTAAAATAATAAAACATTTTAATAAAAAAATAAAATAAACGGCAAGATTGGTTAAGAAGGCAGACTTGAGAAGCAGAATTCAGCTCAGCCACTTAATAGCTAAGTGAACAAACACTGTAAAGTTATTTAGCCTCTTTATATCTCAGTTTTCTCATCTAATGATTAAAACAGCACACTGCTCTTGAGGTTGTTAGAAAGAAGGCAGTATGTAAAGCGCTTAGAACAGTGCCTAGCCCACAAATGTGAGGTGCTAATTTTATGTGGATTATCTTATTTCATTCTTACAGCAGAACTAAGATGCAGCCATGAAGTTCTTTGTTTCACAGTTGAGGAAAAGTTAAAGGTTAAATGATCACCAGAAGCCACACAGCCTCAAGGGGGCTAGATTCAAACCCAGGCAGCTCTTTTCAGAGCCTGGGACTTATGAGTTACAGGCACAGACTGTAGAAAAGAGGTCTTGATATTAAGACCATTGAGGGGGAAGCTTGAGAGTATTTCCCAAACTCATCCACCTGGGAATGAAAATCACAAACTCTTTCCTTTATAATTAACTCACAATCTTCCCTGGCCATAGGCAATTCAACCAGAATTTATTAAGCAAAGTCTTTGTGCCAGACCTTGTGCTAGATGTTGAGGTTAATAAAAAGAGAGAAATAGAGAATCTGCCCTGAGGGAGCTCAGTCTATGGAAGAGACAGACATACAAAAAAAAAAAAAAATTAAGACTATAACGTCATGTAATAAACTAGATTATAGAACTATGTATGCCTAGCCATTGTTACATTGATGAGGAGTCAGGGAAGATTTTATAGAGGAAACAGCATTTGGATTGAGTTTGAACACGAGGAGGCTCTGAGGCATGAAAATCCCCATGTGCTTGCGCCCTTGTAGGGGCGTAGATGGCAGTGAGTGGATTGATTGAAAAACTTAGGCTAAACAAGATCAGGGTCAGGATATGAGGAGTTATAAATGCCATAACCGAGAGTCAGAACTTTATTTCAGACACAATGAAGAGGTATTCAAAGCTGTTGTTGTTTAAGACGGGGAAGTAAAATGGAAAAGTCCTGTAATTTAAAATAAGAACAAAAGAAACGGAAGCCTATATCAGCAGTGAGGACCAAAAAGAAGAGCCTGGAGGCAAGGCCAAGGGTTAGGAAACAACCTCTCTTAGCAGTGGAGGTGAGGAAAATCTCTCTTCTCGCCATCCTAGAATCTTTTTTTTTTTTTTTTGAGATGGAGTCTCGCTCTGTCGCCCAGGCTGGAGTGCAGTGGTGCAATCTCAGCTCACGGCAAGCTCCGTCTCCCGGGTTCACACCATTCTCCTGACTCAGGCTCCCTAGTAGCTGGGACTACAGGTGCCCGCCACCACACCTGGCTAATTTTTTTTTTTTTTTTTTTGTATTTTTAGTAGAGACAGGATTTCACCATGTTAGCCAGGATGGTCTCGATCTCCTGACCTCGTGATCTGCCCGCCTCGGCCTTCCAAAGTGCTGGGATTACAGGTGTGAGCCACCACGCCCGGCCTAACCATCCTAGAATCTTTTGTGAGAACCCCGCTGAAGAGAAGGACCTCCAATGACCAACTGCCTCCATGAGGCCTGGGGTACACCACTTGCCTTCCTCCTTGAGGCCTTTGGGGTGGACTCAGCCAGAAGAAGCCAGAAGAGGCAAGTTCATTCCATTTGAAGTACCCCTTTTATTTACAGCCATTGTGTGAGAGAACAGGCTTAGAGCAAAGAGGCTTGTGTCCTGTATAACCTCAAATATGAAAAGCCCATTACCAGATTTCATCCCAACCTTATATTCCTGAGTTTAAACTCTCCACATTTCTTTAACTTTTCCTCAAAATTTTGTTGTGTTAATTTTATCATTTTTCTCTGAACAGACAACAAGTATTAAAAATTCTTCTATATTTGGAAGCTTAAAAGCTTCCCTGAGTCCCTGCAGGGTCTCTGCAGGGTCAGTAGAAGAAAGAACCTCAGAGCTTGAAGACAAGGCTTTAAAATTAACCCAATACAACAAAGACAAAAAAGAAACATTTTAAAAACATGAGCAAAGCCTCCAAGAAGTTTGGGACTATGTGAAACAACCAAACCTAAGAATAATTGGTGCTCCTGAGGAAGAAGAGATATCTATGAGTTTGGAAAAATTATTTGAGGAAATAATCGAGGAAAACTTCCCTGGCCTTGCTAGAGATCTAGATATCCAAACACAAGAAGCTCAAAAAAACACCTGGAAAAGTTATTGCAAAAAGATCATCACCAAGGCACATAGTCATCAGGTTATCTAAAGTCAAGACAAAGGAAAGAATCTTAACAGCTGTGAGGCAAAAGAATCAGGTAACCTATAAAGGAAAACCTATAAGATTAACAGCACATTTTGCAGCAGGAACTCTACAAACTAAAGGGATTGGGGCTGTATCTTTAGCCTCCTTAAACAAAACAATTATCAGCCAAGAATTTTGTATCTACCAAAACTAAGCCTCATAAATGAAGGAAAGATAGTCTTTTTCAGACAAACAAATGCTGAGAGAATTCTCCACTACCAAGTCAGCACTACAAGAACTGCTAAAAGGAGTTTTAAATCTTGAAACAAAACCTCAAAATACACCAAAATAGAACCTCCTTGCAGTATAAATATCACAAAGCCTATAAAACATAACACAATGAGAAAAAAAACCCAAGATATTCAGGCAACAACTATCACGATGAATAGATTAGTACCTCACATCTCAATACTAATGTTGAACGTAAATGGCCTAAATGCTCCACTTAAAAGATACAAAATGGAAGAATGGATAAAAATTCACCCACCAACTATCTGCTGTCTTCAGGAGACTCACCTACCACCTAAAGATTCACATAAACTTAAGGTAAAGAGGTGGAAAAAGATATTCTATGCAAATGGACACCAAAAGCAAGCAGGAGTAGATATTCTTAGACAAAACAGACTTTAAAAAAACAACAGTTTAAAAAGACAAAGAAGGATACTGTATAATGATAAAAGGACTAGTCCAACAGGAAAATATTCCAATTCTGAATATATATGCACCTAACACTGGAGCTCCCTAATTTATAAAACAATTACTACTAGACCTGAGAAATGAGATAGACAGCAACACAATGATAGTGGAGGACTTCAATACTCCACTGACACCACTAGACGGGTCATCAAGACAGAAAGTCAACAAAGAAACAATGGACTTAAACTATACCCTACAACAAATACTTAACAAATATTTACAGAACATTCTACTCAACAACTGCAGAATATACATTCTATTCATCAGCACATGGAACATTCTTCAAGATAGACCATATGATAGGCCACAAAACAAGCCTCAATAAATTCAAGAATATTGAAATTATATTAAGTACTGCCTCAGATAACAGTGGAATAAAATTGGAAATCAACTCCAAAAGGAAGCCTGAAATCCATGCAAATACATTGAAGTTAAATAATCTGTTCCTGAATGATCATTGGTTCAACAATGAAGTCAAGATGGAATTTTAAAATTCTTTGAACTGAATGATAATAGTGACACAACCTATGAAAACCTCTGGAATACAGCAAAAACAGTGCTAAGAGGTAAATTCATAACATCAAATGCCTACATCAAAAAGTCTGAAAGAGCACAAATGGGCAATCTAAGGTCACACTTCAAGGAACTAGAGAAACAAAAACAAATCAAGCCCAAACCCAGCAGAAGAGAAGAAATAACAAAGATCAGAGCAGAACTAAATGAAATTGAAACAAAAAAAATACAAAAGATAAATGAAACAAAAAGTTTGTTATTTGAAAAGATAAACAAAACTGATAGACTATTAGTAAGAGTAACCAAGTAAAGAAGAGAGAAGATCCAAATAAGCTCAATGAGAAACAAAACGGGAGATATTACATCTGATACCATAGAAATACTGACGATCATCCAAGACTACTATCAACACCTTTATGCACACAAGCTAGAAAACCTAGAGGAGATGGAGAAATTCCTGGTAATAAACCACCCTCCTAGATTAAATCAAGAAGAAATAGAAACTCTGAGCAAATCAATAACAAGCAGTGAGATTAAAATGGTAATAAAAAATTGCCAACAAAAATGTTTAGGATCAGATAGATTCACAGCTGCATTCTATCAGACATTCGAAGAAAAATTCCTACCAATGTTATTGAAACTATTCCAAAAGATAGAGAAAGAGGGAATGCTCCCTAAATCATTCTGTGAAGCCAGTATCACCCTAATACCAAAACCAGAAAAAGACCTAACAAAAAAAGAAAACTACAGACCAATATCCCTGATGAACATAGATGCAACAATCCTCAGCAAAATATGAGCCAACTGAATCCAATAGCATATCAAAAAGATAATCCACCATGATCAAGTGGGTTTCATACCAGGGATGCAGGGATGGTTTAACAAGCACAAGTCAATAAATGTGATACACCACATAAACAGAATTAAAAACCAAAATCACATGATCATCTCTGTAGACACAGAGAAAGCATTTGACAAAATCCAGCATCTCTTTTTTATTAAAACACTCAGCAAAATTGGCATAGAAGTGACATAACTTAAGGTAATAAAAGCTATCTATGACAAAACCACAGCCAACATTATATTGAATGGGGAAAAGTTGAAAGCATCCCCCCAAGAACTGCAACAAGACAAGGATGCCCACTTCTATTTAACATACGACTGGAAGTCCTAGCCAGAGCAATCAGACAAGGGAAAGAGATAAAAGGCATCCAGATCAGTAAAGAGGAAGTCAAACAGTCGCTGTTTGCTGATAATATGATCACATACCTAGAAAATCCTAAGGACTCATCCAAAAGACTCCTAGATCTGATAAATGAATTCAATAAAGTTTCAGAGTACAAAATCAATGTGCACAAATCATTAGCATTGCTATACACCAACAGCAACCAAGCTGAGAATCAAATAAATAACTCAATCCCTTTATCTCAATCCCTTTTACAAAAGCTGCAAAAAATAAAATAAAATTCTTAAGAATATACCTAACCAAGAAGGTGAAAGACCTCTACAAGGTCACCTACAAAACATTGTTGAAGGACAACATAAACAAATGGAAACACATCTCATATTAACCGATGAGTAGAATCAATATTGTGAAAATGACCATACAGCCAAAAGCAATCTACAAATTCAATGCAATTCCCATCAAAATACTATCTAATTGGCTGAACGCAGTGGCTCACACCTGTAATCCCAACACTTTGGGAGGCTGAGGCAGCCAGATCACAACGTCAGGAGTTTGAGACCAGCCTCGCCAACATGGTGAAACCCCATCTCTACTAAAAATACAAAAATTAGCTGGGAGTGGTGGCAGGCACCTGTAATCCCAGCTACTTGGGAGGCTGAGGCAGGACAATTGTTTGAACCTGGGAGGCAGAGATTGCAGTGAGCCGAGATTGTGCCACTGCACTCCAGCCTGGGTGACAGAGCAAGATTCCGTCTCAGAAAAAAAAAAAATCCAATTAAGCCCTATTCATTTATCTTATTTTGTTGCACTATATATATATACAGTATTCCATGGTATATATGTATATGTGTATATATATATATATTTATACATGTATATATGTATGTGTGTAAATATATACACACATATACACACGTGTGTGTATGCACACATACACACGTGTGTGTATGCACACATATACACACATATACACACATACACACACGTGTGTATGTATATGTGTATATATACATATATGCGTGTATATGTGTATATATACGTGTATACATGTATATGTGTATATATACGTGTATACGTGTATATGTGTATATATACGTGTATACGTGTATATATATACGTGTATACGTGTATATGTATACGTGTATACGTGTATATGTATATGTGTATATATGTGTATATGTGTATATGTATATATACATAAACACATATACACATATACACGTATACATATATACGCATATACATATATACGCATATACATATACATATATACATACATATACATATACATATATACATATATACACATATACACATATATACGTATATACACATATATACATATGTGTGTATATGTATATACACGTGTATATGTATATACCCACGTGTATATGTATACACACGTGTATATGTATATACACGTGTATATGTATATACCCACGTGTATATGTATATACCCACGTGTATATGTATATACACGTGTATATATACACACATATATGCACATATATGTGTGTGTATACACACACATATGCACATATATGTGTGTATATACGCACATATATGTGTGTATATACACACATATGCACATATATGTGTGTGTATACACACATATGCACATATATGTGTGTGTATATACACACATATGCACATATATGTGTGTGTATATACACATATATATACACGTGTGTGTGTATATACACATATATATACACACATACACACACACACACCATGGAATACTACTCAGCCATAAAAAGGAAAAAAATAATGGCATTCACAGCAACCTGGATGGAGTTGTTAGGGATTATCATTCTAAGTGAAGTAACGTGGGAATGAGAAAAACAAACATTGTATGTTTTCACTTATAAGTAGCAGCTAAGCAATGAGGATGCAAATGCATAAGAATGAGGCAATGGGCTTTGAGGACTCATGTGGAAGGGTGGGAGCAGGGGTGAGGGATGAAAGACTACACACTGAGTACAGTGTACACTGCTCATGTGATGGGTGCACCAAAATCTCAGAAATCACCACTAAAGAACTTATCCATGTAACCAAAAACCACCTGTTCCCCAAAAACCTATTGAAAAATAAAAATAAAGAAAAGTAAAACAGAAAAAGTTAGGCAAAACCCAACAAATAAGTCTAAATACATGAGAGTTTATTAATCATATTCTTAAAAGGATGTAAATGAGAGACAGACAAATAGAGAGAGGGAAAAAAAATAGATGGCAAGCCCTCTCAAGAGGAACTAGACCTTGAAATTTAGACTGTAGAGGCTTGTTACGCGTCACTCAGGATGTAAAAGGTAACCTGGGTTCACACCACCAGACCAGCCTGGGTAAGAGTTCCTTTTTCTCTGGCTCCACCTTTACCCATTTCTCAAGTGGAAACTTGAGCACCATCTTGAAGACCTCCATACTGGGTCTGGGGATGGGTCCTTCTTGGTAGTCCATGCATCTATCATGCCATCTCCTTGTCCTCCAGCCACTGAGTGACACCTGCTGTGAGCAGGACCCAGAGCTCCTGAAGCATACTGTCCCCCAGATCTCTTATGGCACATCACCATGTCCAAGACTCTCACCATCACAAGGCCCGTGTATGGAAAGCGTCCTTTATCTCCCTATGCCACACCTACATACATGAGCTGCCACACAGCACTGGCTCCTGCTCACAGCATCTAAAGTTCTTGGTAAAACCAGTTTTCTGTTTTTTGTTTGTTTGTTTTTTGTTTTGACAGAGTCTCGTTCTGTCAGCCAGGCTGGAGTGCAGTGGCGTGATCTCGGCTCACTGCAACCTCCACCTCCAGGGTTCAAGCGATTCTCCTGCCTCAGCCTCCCAAGTAGCTGGGGCTACAGGCACATGCCACCACACCTGGCTAATTTTTTGTATTTTTAGTAGAGACGAGATTTCACCGTGTTAGTCAGGATGGTCTCATTCTCCTGACCTCGTCATCTGCCCGCCTCGGCCTCCCAAAGTGCTGGGATTACAGGCATGAGCCACTGCACCGGCCCAGTTTTCTGTTTTTGACTTGTTCTTTATTATACTGCTCATCTTGAAACTTAGGCAGAAGTTATGAGGCTTGGGCTGTAGGACAGTCTGCGTGGTGGACACCTTGCTGTAGAAAGAATCCCCTTGGTCCATGACCTCAAACTGACTTCATACACCTTTCCTCTCTTGGCATGAGTTTCTTCCTGAGAGGACCTCCAGGTCAGTCTCTGAAGAGTAATGATTACTGGTTTCGGCCTCACTGTTTGCCGGCACCAGATTTCACAGGAGTTATTTTACTTAATCAACAATCCTTTGGGATAGAAATTATCCCCACCTCACACATAAGGAAAACGGGCTCAGAGAAGTGCATGCCTCCCCCAGCATCTGTCAGCCAGTATATTGCAGAGTCAGAATTTATATTCAGGTCTTCTGTATACCAAGAACAAAATTCTTAATGGCTGGCCAGAATGCCTTCCAGGGGTAACACAGATGAGACAGGGCTCCCGTGCAGAGGGAGACAGGCTGCAGGGCTGTCGCTTGCCTGGGTTTAAAGCTACTGCATTCCTTTTAAACTGGTCCTCAAGAAAGGAGACACGATAAAATAGTTTATTCTGTCTCAGAGCTGTGGCATTCCTTAGTAACTTTGATTTCTACAGACCAATCTCACTCACACCAGATAAGAGGAGTGAAAAGGCTTCAGGCTAAAGAGATGTTGTATGAGGTTAAAAAAAAAGTGGCATTTTTCAAGTCTGAAAAATCTCCAAGATCTGTGTTAACTCAACGCATGTATACTTGCAATATGACTTTCAAAAGTGTACAGTCATGTCAGAAATGTCTTCTTTTTTAATATTGCAGTTTTACAAGACAACTACAAGAAACATGGCCATAGGAAATTAGGTGGCATGGTTTGACGCTGCCTATGTAGTGGAAACAATTGCAAATTTTAATTTCATGACCCAAATGACTCTTAAGACGGTAGACAACAGTCACTCTATTTGGTGTTCAGAAGCAACTAGACAAGTGTAGGAATATATCTGGGTTTGTAAGAAATCAAAAATGACAATCAAAGCATGTACAAATAGTCATCTTATATGTATAGGGAAAACCAGCTTGCTGTGCAGATTCTAGGAATAAATTGGCAGGCTGATCATGGGGAAATTATAAAACAAATCAATTCCACTTCCCTGAACTCCTTTCACTTCCCAGCTTCCATTCCATGATGTTCTCACTCACAATGAGGTTCTGCTCTCTGTTGTGCACAAACCCCTAAGACTAAAAATTCTTAAAGGGACATGTCTCAACATGTGGCATTCCAGGGACACTGTTGTAGCCACATGGCAGCCATTTTGTACCATTAGGTTCACACCTCAGACAGCTGCCTTCTCTAATTTCATCATGGTGGGTACTCTATATATAAATATGCTGAGTTTGGCCCTGGACGGTGGCTCACGCCTGTAATCCCAGCACTTTGGGAGGCCAAGGTGGGCAGATCATGAGGTCAGGAGTTTGAGACCAGCTTGGCCAACATGGTGAAACCCTGTCTCTACTAAAGATACCAAAAATTAGCCGGGTGTGGTGGTGGGTGCCTGTAATCCCAGCTACTCGGGAGGGTGAGGCAGGAGAATCGCCTGAACCCGGGAGGTGGAGGGTGCAGTGAGCTGAGATCCCACCACTGCACTCCAGCCTGGCGACAGAGCAAGACTCTGTCTCAAAAAAAATGCTGAATTTATGTAATAAATAGGTTAACATAGCTTTGCCCTGATTTATTTCTATTATTTTTGCTTTATACATTTTGATACATTTTATATTACAAAAATTTAAAATTATTGCATCAAAGGTAGAGCAGACCCATATAGGCAGGTGGGGAGCTTAGCTTTTTTTATTTTCTGGAAGAGTGTTATAAGATAGGTGCTTCTTTTCTTCATCACACTGATAGAACTGGGTGTGGTGCTTTTGGGAGGTAGATTTTCATTAATAGTCTAAATTCTTTCAGAATATTAGGATTTAAATCCTTTGAAAATATTAAAGCATTCTGATAATTTTCAAGCCATCCTTGGTAATTTGTTCAAATTTGTCTACACTTTATAAAAATTTAGCATAAAGGTTTTCAAAATGCTCTCTTATGACATATGTAATTTACACTGTCACCGTGACCCTTCTGTGCTTCTGATATTATTTGTTTCTTTTCTGTTTTCCATGAACAATACCAACATTTTTTTCAATTTCTTTGAAGAACTAGGTTTTTATTTTTTTGATCCTCTCACATATCTATTTCCTGTATCATTAATTTTTGTTCTTCCTTTATTAGCTCATTTATTCAATTTTCTTCTATTTACATTTTGAATTGAAATATTAGCTCATTTATTTACAACCTTTCTCAATTTCTAATGTAAGTATTCAAGTATGTACCAAAATGAGTCATGAGAGAAAGCAGTACATTCAAATGACTCAAGTGAAAGAGCTTAAAATGGGATTATTGGTAAGTTGTGAGCAGAGGTAGCAAGCCTACGGCCCATAATGAAGTCTGAAATCACCTATATACCTATTTATTCTACACTACTATGGCCTTCAGACGCCTTAAATCCATTTTCCCATTACCAGTCTTCCATGTTATTCTGACCTCATATGTTAATTTCAACTTTTTTTAAACCACTCTACCCCTACCCCATTTAGTCATTATTGTTATAGTTTTGCTTGTATAGCCATTTAAAATTTATATTCATCTTTTATTCTCTCATGACTTCATCCTTCTTTGGGGTCTTGGCCTGGATCCAATTTCCTTCTTTCTAAAGTTCAGCCTTCAAGAGATCTTCCAGTGAGCATTTGCATATAGTAAACTGAGTCACTCACTGACATTCTTATTATTTTGTCCTCACTCTGGAATAACTTTTTTGTTGATTACTCAGCATGGGGTCTCCTAATCATGTTTGTGGTTCACTTGGGATTCCTTAGTGCAGGGGTATAGGCCTAGAATTTCAAGTTTTTGTGAGTGCCTTCTTTCTTCTGAGAGCAAACCTTTTTGCTGCTTCACCAGGCCAGTGAAGGAAATTTTTTCTAGATAGTGAGGAAAGAAAAGACTTTGAAGCTAGAAGCTTTCTTTGTGGAGCTTTGGTCTTGCTTCCCTGTTCTGGATGGGCTGCAGTCCACTCCCTGCTCTGTATGGGCATTCAAACTCCAGACCTCAGTCCCAAGACCTTCATTTATTCTGAAAAATCTGTGGCTGCTCCAGGATCGGCTTCTCTTTAACATGCACATTTCCTTTCTCCTTCATTTTCATTATCTCCCCTTTTCATTAAATATCTAGCATGTTCATTAATGTTCACTGCTGTATAGTATTTCATTAATGAATACACTACCATTTATTTACTCACTTTCTTATTCATGGATATTTTACCTCTTTCATAGCCAAAGTATGTCCTTTTTAGACATGTCTTCCATGTACATATATAAGAGTTTCTCCAGGGTATATGTCAGTGAGTTTGCTGGGTCATAAAGTATGCACATCTTCACCTGTACTAGATTTTGCCATATTGTTTTTCAGTGTGGTTGTACTAATTTAATCCCACCAACAGAATGTGAGTGTTCCTGTGGTCCCACTTCCTCGCCAGTAGTGTGTATTGTTAGTCTTTTTGTCTTTTTGACAATCTGACACATGTGAAATTTGTGGGTTTTTTTGAGATGGGGGTCTCACTCTATCACCAGGCTAGGGTGCAGTGGCATGATCCTGGCTCACTGCAACCTCTGCTTCCCAGGTTCAAGCAATTCTCCTGCCTCAGCCTCCCGAATAGCTGGGATTACAGGCACGCACCACCACGCCTGGCTAATTTTTGTATTTTTAGTAGAGACAGGGTTTTACCACGTTGGCCAGGATGGTCTCGATCTCTTGACCTCGTGATCTGCCCACCTTGGCCTCCCAAAGTGCTGGGATTACAGGCATGCACCACCATGCCCGGCCCTGTGGTCTTATTTGAATTTTCCTGATAGTTGAAGAGATTGAGCATCTTCATGTTTTTCTTTACTTTTTAGTTTAGTTTTCTTTATTCTATTTCTCTATTTTAAAATTTCTTCTTATTGATTTGTTGATACCATATATTTACATATATCTGGGTGCTAATTCTGTATTGATTATACAAGCTGGAAATATCTTCTCGAGGCCGTGGGTTGTCTTCTCACAGTTTTGTTTTGTTTTTTAACTCTTAATATTGTGAAAATTGTCTATCTTTTTCTTCAGGTCTTGCACTTCTTTGAAAATTGATTAAAAATTTTTTCCCTACTCCAGCTTTATTAAACATTATCCTGTATTTTTTCCTAAATGTTTAAATTTTTGCCTTTTACATTTAATGTTTAAATCTACCTTTATGTTTGGCATGAGGAAGTAATCCAATTTCATATTTTACTCTATGGATAATTATCAGACTCTTCTTGGTCTTCTTGGTAAGAATAGAACTTAATTTTTGTGAATGGCCTATTAAGGAAAAATGGGCTAAACATTGAGCAACCCTCAGTAATTTGCAATAAACAGCAAGATTTAGGGCAAAATATTCAAGTCTCACTCTTCTAGTAAGCCGTTGTCTGAAATATTTCCCCTAAGATAAAGAGTTAAGTAGACCTTCTCTCTGCAACCGAACAGTGAATTTCTCTACTTGGCAATGCGTTTTTGTTTGTTCATTTAGTTTTGTTTTTTACTAGGGTTCTCTGTATGCCAATCTATTGTCCCCAATAATCCATTACATCTTGAGACTTCAGGATGTGCCTTCTGATCTTTGCACCCCTAGTGCCTGATACGTAACAGACACTAAACCTTTGGCAGATTAATGAATTAATGAGCCTATCTGAAGCACTCAGAGGGGAGCTTGGAAGAGCCCCATTCTGCTTGCTTAATGCTGGATGGAATCCTGTACAAATTCTTTACTCTTCTTATTCCTATGTCTAAAAATTTGGGAAGAGAAAGATATTCTAAGCCAGGCAACAATTAGTTCTATAAGTGTCTTGTCCTAGGCTTTTGTGAATTAATTTGGGAAGCAGCACAATGCCCCATTTACTTTCATTTTTCTTTTAAAGAGAGGCAGAGAAACATCATGCATACAAAAAGCTGCATTAGGCTGAACCCAGCTCCAAGTGGTTAAAGAGTTACAATCCAATCCTGTGCACATTATTGTAATCTTTTTTCATTTGTTTTATCCCAATGATTAGTTATTTCATACCTCACATTTTTTACCTGTCTTAACACATTTGAACTCTGTAAAATTCTCCTTTGCACATGAATTAGTGTGAAATTTATTACCATATTCTTTCCACTTATTAAAAGGGCTGTACTTTACAAATATGACTGCAGTGCAAATTTATTATTTACATCCCGAGCCCTAGCCTTCATAACTACTTAATATGGATAAGGTGTTTAGTTTTCCAATGGAGTCCAGCTGCATCACTGGAATCAAACTTGTAATTGCCTCTTTGGGATTTAAAACCATTATAGTTGTGCTTTTATGTTCTCTTTTGTTTTGCTTGAATCACTTTTTCAGGTCTATGAAGTACAGCTGGCACAATAAAAGTTTGATCAATGCATAACCAATGCAGTGTATATTTCTTCCAGAAATATAAAACCCAGGTGAAAAATGTTAATCTATGAAAATTATCTTTGTCAGCTACTTATTCTTGGAATTTAAATGGGTTTCAATCTTGAAGTAGGGCTGAGCTTGGATTTCTGTGTTAAAGTTTTCTGACTTTGGTGACATTGTACATTGATGTATATATTAAGGGCTGCAGGATAAACTTTCTATTACCAAAATGTCCACTTTATTGTCCTGAAAATACTGTATATTCAGACTGGTTAAACAATGTACACTTAGATATTCCCTTGATTAAAAAAAATGGGGGCGATGAGATGAAATTTTTTTAACTTTTTGTTGGGGAGAGGGCAATTATCACAAAATTTATTTTAAATATATAAACATTATATTTATAAATAAATATTTTCCAAAAACCTGAGAACTTAAACCTGAGTACTAGGATTTCTTTTGGTAACAAAGAACTCAGGCTAACCAATTTCACTGGAAGATAATATTGTGATTTCAAAATGGCATGATCACCTCTGATTTCTAAGTGCAATTGGGGTTAATCATGGACAGATGTTCACTATTAACTCTAAATTTCTTTGTTCTTGTCCATTAAAATTAGCTATATTATGAAGGAAATACAAAGATGTGCCTATGGCTCCTCCCTCAAGAAGAAAATCATGCATACTTACATGAAAAATATGGAAGTAATAGCCATTGCCTTAATGAGCTCTGAATCTACCACTTCTACCATCTGGGCATGACCTGGACTGTAACACAAATATGCCCATCTTATATGTGTCCCCAGCCTTTTCTTCCTGTGCCTTTTCTCCCCTCAGGGCACACGCATTTAGTTGGATTCTTTGCTCATCATCTTTATCTTAAATTTGATTTGTGGAAAGAATTGATATTAGTCATTTACTCATTAGTATGAACTAAAATCACTCGTGTATTTTTTCCCTGACATATTAAGTCTATAATTTATTATTGTGGAATGAATTGCTTTATCGCTAAATAAATAAATACATTTAAGCAGGATCCCATGAGAACAGGGAGAGAGATGCCATCCCAGAGTTTTCACAACATTTAGACAGCCATGAAATCTGCGTGATGGCAGGGTCAGGACTAAAAAGAGGAGAGTGAGGCATTTGCCTCAGGTGCACATTTATGTGGGCATGGTTATGCATTTTGTTGGCATATAATTGTTTATAGTTGTCTCTTATGGAGCTTTGTATTTATCAGTTTTCAGTGTCTGTCAACAGATGAATGGATAAAGAAAATGTGACATATCTATATATATATATATATATAGATATAAATCCGTTCTCACACTGCTATAAGGACATACCCAAGAATGGGCAATTTATAAAGGAAAGAGGCTTAGTAGACTCATAGTTGCACATGGCCAGGAGGCCTCACAATCACGGCAGAAGGTGAAGGAGGAGCAAACGCATGTCTTACATGGCAGCAGTCAAGAAACCATGTACAGAAGAACTCCCCTTTATAAAACCATCAACTCTCATGAGAGTTATTCTCTATCATGAGAACAGCATGGGAAAAACCTGTCCCTATGATTTAATTACCTCCCACCGGGTCCCTCCCGTGGCACGTGGGGATTATGGGAGCTACAATTCAAGATGAGATTTGGGTGGGGACATAGCCAAACCATATCATTATACATAATGGAATACTATTTGGCCTTAATATTAAGAAGGAAATTCTGCCATGTTCAACAGCATGGATGAAGCTGGAGGGCATTATTCTCCTTAACATACTCTATATTTAGACTGGTTAAACAATGTACACGTGGATCCTCTCCTGAACAAAAAATAAGGGCCATGAGATAAAATAATTTTTCACTTTTTGGGGGGGGGCATGCTAAGTGAAATAAGCCAGGTGTAGAGAAACAAACACTGCATGAAGAATCCAAAAAAAGTTGAACTCATAGAAGAGGATAATAGAATAGTAGCTAACAGAGGCTTTGGGGAAGGGATGTGTTGGGCAAAAGATGCAAAGTTTCAATTAGACAGAATTTCTTTTGAGATCTATTGCATAAATGAAATGTGTATTTCAAAATTTCTGAGACAGTAGATTTTTAAATATTTGTACCACAAAAAATAAGTCTGTGAGATGATGGATTTGTTAATTGACTTGATCTAATCATTTTATAACATATACATATATCAACACATCACATTATACACCAAAAATATATAAAGTTATTCTTTGTCAATAAAAATAAAGTGGGGCATAGTGGTGTGCACTGTAGTTCCAGCTACTCAGGAGGCTGAGGCAGGAGGATCTCTTGAGCCCAGGAGTTTTGAGGCTATAGTGTGCTGTAATTGGGCCTGTGGACAGCCACTGCACTCCAGCCCACACAACATCATGAGACGTTGTCTCTAAAAAATATAATTAGTTGATTTTTTAAACATTTTAATAAAATTGAATAATAAAAACTTAAGGGGGCACAAAAAATCAGTAATCAAGATAATATTTTAATGCAAGATTTGTTTTAATGTTGATATTTTGTTCATCATGGATTATGATGCCTCCCTTGAAACTGAACCTGAACTGAATGCTTCACTTGTCTCCTAGTTCTAGCCTTGCTGGGTGGTTCTCTTTCAAACATTATTGATAGAAACTCCCTCTGCCTGGGATCTGCCTAATACATCTGGCATCAGGGACAGTCTGCACCAGGCTCCCTACCGAGGGTAATCAGCTTGTCATATGGGCCCTGAAAAAATTGTTCCTTGTTACAGCATGCCTGGTAAAAATAAATGTTCAATAAATATTTTGAATAGGATTGAATGTGTGAATTCATGAATGGATGAGTCAAGATATGTTTGGTGTTATCAGTGCCTGATGAAGAAGAGACTGGTTTTTTTGTTTGTTTTTTTGAGACGGAGTCTCGTTCTGTCACCAGGCTGGAGTGCAATGGCATGGTCTCAGCTCACTGCAACCTCCACCTCCCAGGTTCAAGTGATTCTCCTGCCTCAGCCTCCTCAGTAGCTGGGATTACAGGCGCCCGTCACCACGTCCGGCTAATTTTTGTATTTTTAGTAGAGACGGGGTTTCACCATGTTGGCCAGGCTGGTCTCGAACTCCTGAGCTCAGGCAATCCACCTAACTCGGCCTCCCAAAGTGCTGGGATTACAGGCGTGAGCCACCGTGCCCGGCCAAGAAGAGACTGTTTTAATGAGTTCTCTAAATGAATGCTGCCTCCACATGGGCCTGCTACACATGGAGAAAGCAACGTAAGCAACAATAAACTTCTGTGCGTTATCTTCTGCTTCAAGCCACCAATAATATTAATTAGACCTGCAGCTGGTAGCACAAGCATAATAAAAAATAGTCTTCAATGTGTTATATAAGGCAAATAAGCCACTTATTTTTAATAACCATATTGCTATTTATTCTTGGGATGAACTTGGATAACTTTACTTCTTTGGAGTGAAAGGCACTTTTTTGACAGCAAATTCAGTTGTTAGCCTACATATTTTTATATCCATGGAATTATAGGAGTTTAACTTCCGGAAACCTTATTCAATCACAACCTGGTTCATTTTCACCCATGCCTTGAAAAACATGTCAAATCTTATTGTATTGAATGTCTCTATTAGTTAACTTGGCCACAAGTTACAGCTTAGAAATATTTATGTTCTAGATAGCTGCCAGTCAACTCTCATTCTTCATCATAAAGGGCATCAGACAATTTTAAATGGTGGAAAACCCAAGAATCAGTTACAGAGCATTCGTGTGAGCTTTTAAGATGTATTTATTTATGACACAAGGTCTTGCTCTGTTGCTAAGGTTCACGTATTTATTTTTTTACTGTTTTCTTCTGTCACACAATATGTCCAGGCAAAGGTGCATGTATTTAAATGTGCAGAGATGTGGCGCTCTTAGAATTCTCTTTAAATAAAATAGATAAAACACATAATGAAGACCTGATGCAGGAGGAGTTGAAAATTTATATCACATATTTTTCTTACCAGTACCTAGACTGTTCCCCCACCTCTCCTTTGCCATGCTGTAGTTTGGCCAAATCACCACTTAGAAAGAAGCAGGCTTCTTTTATGTTATTTGTGTTTCTGTTGAGCACATTCAATATTGACTGAGCCATGTACTTGGTCCTAAGGGGTCAGATATGAAAAAGACAAAATCTCTGCCTTTGCTGGGGAAGCCTACCAGGAAGTGCTGAGCAGGTACAGGTGGGGTGGCTGTTTCCAGCTAAGACACAGAGTGTGATGCATTGTGTGTAAATGGACGGTGTTTGGTTAGAACCGCAGAAGTGTGTGGAGACTGAGAGGGCCAAAAAAAGCAGACAGGGCACAGTCATGTGAGGTCCTAAGTCTTATCCTGAAAACATCTGGAACCATTGAAGGATTTGGGGCAGAGGGGTGATATATATGTTCAAATACGCAATTTGGAAGGATCCCTCTCGGAGCAGTGAGGAGTTTGGACTGGAGCAGGGAAAAGACTGGAAGCAGAGAGGCAGGATCACTAGGTACAGAGAAGGTCACAGAAACATAGATGAAAGCTGAGAGGAGGTTGAGCCAAGATAGTGTCTGTGGGTACAGAGGTAAATGGGGGGCACCTTTTGGCCTAGAGAGTGTAACTATTTTTACTCAAAATACCTTTTGCTGGTGGCAAGCACCAAAGGGAAGTAAGCAAGACAGGAGATGGTAAATGATGACCTAATTTTGGTAAATTCTCTGGAAAATCTCACTAGGAATTTGATGCAATTCATCTCAGATAATTTGAGGTATGAATGATCCTAAGTAGAAATGCAGATGTGTGCTTCTAGGTAAAGTCAGGTGCTAATAATTACATTGGTAATTCTTCATTATAATGAGGCTATGTCTGCACCCTGGCCACCACCTCAAAACTTTGCTCTCCTGTTAGGCTCACGACATTTTCCACTGGAGGGGATGTGAGGCCAGTTGTGCTTTGATCTATGTTCACAAGTTCCTCTCCATTTAATACAGATTTCTTCCTTCCTTCCTTCCTTCCTTCCTTCCTTCTTTTTTCTCTCTCTTTTTCTTCTTTCCCTTTCTTCCTTCTTTCCTTGATTCCCTCCTTCCTTTCTTTCTGTCTTTCTTCTAGTTGGGAAAAGTATGTCTTTTGGGAATGCAGTAATAATTATATTAAAAAGATTTTACACACACATAAATGTAATGCTAGCCACACATTCTGTGGCTGTTTGATGTGCTGCTGAAAGTTATCTCCCTGTTGGATTTAATTAATCATCTCAAAAATATCTAGGATCCTGCACCTACACAGGTAAGCACAGAGAAATTCTAAAACGACCTTCATTCTTAGCAGACAGAAGGTTTGCTGAATCACTCCCAAATGATTCCTTGGTAAGGGCCCCTTTCTTCCTCACATTGCTCCTTCTCCTCACACACAGTGGCCCCGGTGGAGGGAGGGGTTCTGTGGCAGTGGAAATGTCTGAGTAGCTACACTCTCCCTGCCCCAGCAAGATGCTGAGTTCTATTAGTCAAAATCTACCCTGTATCAGTCACCATCAGCACTTTCCTTCATATGCTCCTCTCAACTCTGGGAGGAAGACAGTAGCCTTGCCTCGTCTGTGTCCAATGCATTGGCAGGCTATGTATATCTATACATGTATCATTGAGCATGGTGGCCCCGGTGCTTGCATCACAGCCCTTCGACTCACATCTGTTTTCAGTGACAGCTTGTCTGGTTTCAGATTCACCCACCTTAAGTGTGTACCATGTGTCTCCACTTTCTGTTCTGGGGACTTCTCCACTCTGTGGTAAAATGCATCATCCTCAGAGGCAGCCCTTACTCCATATGGGACAGGAGCTGGCAGACAAATGGCCCAGCCTCCCGGAGGCACTCTACCCTGCTGAGGAGGTCTCCCTGGGCTCGAGCCTCTGCCGTGCTCAGCAGCCCCTCCGTGACATACCCGAAGGTCAGCTTCTCCTTATTCTGTGTCACCCTCAACTGGGATCCACAATTTCCAAAGAAACCACTGTATCACGTCCTTGTCTCGGGCTTTGTTTCTGGAGGAACCTCTATTAAAACAAAAGCTATGTCTGGCACCTAGTAGGTCCTCCATGAAAGTAAGTTCTCAGCCCCTTCTTCTTCCCATTGTAGAAATGAGGACACTGAGGCCCAGGGGTTCTGAGTAACTTGTCCAAGACCACACAGCCTGAGACCCACAAAGAAGTCAAATTGAAGGCCTCTTTCTGGTGGTTTCTATCTCAAAAGCTGCCTTTTGCTCTGTCCTGAACAAACCAATGAGGACCCCTAGTGGCATGAACAGAATGGACATGCAGGAACTGCAGATAGTGCCTTTGACCAGCCTGACCCCGATTCTGGGAGAAGTCTAGCCTTGCAAGTCAGCAACAGGCTCCTAATTAGGCTCCCTCCCGGGTGGTGCTGAAACCATGGGGGCTGTCCCATCAGATGATATTTCTCTTTCTTGTAGAGGAAAGAAGAGCATCTTATTCCTAGGTTTTCAGGGAGGCTCTCTCTCTGGATGTCAAAGCTCCCTTTGCTGGTTTGGACAATGTCTAGCCTCTCCGGCATCAGACAATTGCTTTGTCAATTCCTGAAGTGAGGGAGATCCCTGTCTACCTGATGGAGCATCAGCAAGGGGCAGGGAACAGGTCTACATCAAAACAGCGTTCAGACAATAGGGCATTAGCTGAGGACCAAACTGCCTTGTGTTGGGGCATCCTCCCACCAGGGTGGGCACAGAAACCCACAGGCCTCCCAGAGTGCAGTGCATTTGCAGAAACTCTGCTCCTTTCAGAAACCTTTGCAGCCCACAAGCATTCATTCAAGAGATGTTTGATGGGTGTCTTTGTCTTCGACATGCTCACACCTTTCAGCCCCCACGATGTCAACCATATGCTCCTAATGAGCAACCCGTGTTTATTATAACAGGGTCTCTTTATCGTGCATGCCCTGTAGCCAACTGTGTCACACTCTCTTCTAAGAAGCTTGGGTATGTGGAGTCATTGTTCTGGGCAGGCTGGATCAAGAGCTACCGGAGGTTGTGCAGTGTCGAGGAAACAGATGGAACAGATGGGGACGCTGTGGCAGAGCACAAACCCAAGAGAAGAGCCAACGGGTGCTGGACCAGCCGCACAGGGTGTAGGAGTGAGAAGGAGGCAGAATTTGGCTTTACTCATCTTTTTTCCCAGCTGGTGAATCCACCTTCTTCTCCTTTACCTGCTTCCTACCTAAGGTATAATTCATGTGTTAGAAGTCCAGGCTCCCCTAAATGCAGGGCAATCCCCCAATTCCTCCTCCTCTAGGACCGCCTGCTTAGAAGAAAGACAGCTTACAGACGTATAACTTGGGGGAAGCATAAAACAAAATAAGCTAAGTACAAAGGGCAGATATGAAACAGATTTTTTTCAAGGCTCCAACTGTGGTAGATATTATAAGCAGAACAGATTTCATATGGAAGACATTGACAAGGAATAAACATAGCACCCAAAGCTAGCGTTTTCAAGGATTTGCTTCTTTGAACATAAGGGCTTTTTAAAAAATCACATTTTTATCAAACAATGAGCAGCAAAATCTCTCCCCCAAAATGGCAAAGGCAGATCAAACCTAGGTATGGGTTACCTGTATTTGCAGGAACTGTTTCAAAAATCCCATTTCAATTTGCTATGAAAGCATGCGTTGCCCTGGCTTTCTAATCTATGTTGAAAGCTCAAAGGTTAAAGAGACTTGGCTGAATTTGTCTTAAGATATAGCCTTTGTTCTGATTCAATCATTTATTTGAATTTAATATTTTAAAGGACACTTCAAACAGACTTCACAATGCACTGTTACCATCCGGGCCATATTTATTGTTTAATATTTAACTGGGGAGATTTGTCAAAACCCTTAAGAATTAATGGTTGCAAACTTGTGGAGTTAAAAGGCTTGTGGAGGAAACCATTTGCTAACAACAGGGAGACAATGGCCCTGCAGGCTGGGCCACCAGAAGGCAAATACACATTTGGGGGTCTAGTGGCCTGGTGAGCCCAGCTACCCAGACAGCAGGAAGTGCAATTGCCTTTAAATAAATATTCTAATGTGTTTAACTTCTGAACTATAAAGCTCAGCTTGCGCCTTAAGAAGAGAGGTGAAGGTGAGAGCAAAACAAACTGTTATTCCATGCCTTCTACAAACACACACAAGAGAGTCCCAGGGCTCAGAAATGAACCAACTGCATTGAAATGCACCTCTGACTAAACGATCTTAAGACCTGGAGAAAAACATTTTTGATCATCAGGATCCATGGATGTTGTCTATATTTTTATGATATCAAACATCAAGAAGAAAATGAGAAACCTAAATATCTATATATAGGTGAATGGATCATGTTGCAGAGACAACATATCAGGGTGGCTTACTGAATTTGTTCATTCAGATATTTCTGTGTTCTGTAGAGCAACAAAGCTGGGATTTTTCATAGCTCTTTATGTCCTTCACAGTGTGGTCCAATCATTTCAGTTAAGTGTCCCAACTATGCCGATTCCTACGAAAATAAAAATGGGTGATAATCTGTTCACTAAAGCCGAGAAATGTTATAGAATATTTTACAGACATAGTGCCGACCACCAGACTGAGGAATTGAATGCCCAGGCTGAAATTTTCGGCAGGAAAAAATATATTTTCCTGTGAAGAAGGCAAACCACCAGCAGAACCCCATGAATACCCCAGACTGACAAGCATTGGGGCTGGGGCCAAGGGGGGGCGGCCATAGGAACAAATCTCAATTTTCTGAATGATGCCATGAAATAGTGTAGCTTGTAGTCTACACTCTTCGCTCTTAGCATGTACTTGGCCAGGTGGGGCACAAAGCCAACCTGGAGCAACTATAAATGACACTAATAGGGATCATGATGGCCTGGGGGTCTGTCTCCCACCTCTAATCTGGAGTAGCTAGGGCCTCTAGGCAGGAGTGAGCGACACAGCTGTCAGCAGGGTGAAAAAAACCACCCTGCCAGTGGCTTCAGGAAGTGTGAATGGAGCTGACAATGGCGTCATTGCTGCTGCCTGGGCTGCACATGGCAGGCCAGGTACTAAGTGAAACAGAGAGCCATGGGCAGGCAAATGCTGCTCCAGAATGCAAAATCGCTTCTGGCTATATTTCCCACTCTCTCTTCTCAAGCATCTGGAACCTTTATCTGCCAAAAATAAAACCACAGAAAAGATAAGCTGCTTTCATTTCTTTTTTGTCTGGAACTAAAATACATGTGAAGAGGGATTTATAAAATTGCCAACAATGCCATAACAACACTTTAAAATAAACAAGCATCCATCTCTGCTCCCACCCGCAAGGGTGAAAATTCACTAGACATGTGAAAAGATTCACTTGACCCAAAGAAGTAGCAGAGTCAATTTCCCAAAACAATATAGATTAATGGCAAGAAACTTAAAAACTGTATTTTTGGAGTTGCACTCTAAATTTGGTATATTTCAGCATTGCCTCTCTGCAAAAGAAAAATCTACTTCCAGGAGTGGATGCTTTCAGGTGAAAAATAGAATTTTCAAATATAAAAATGCAAGTGAAGTGGTAAACAGCAGAATAGAAAGTGCAGAAAACTGAATTCATGAATTGAAAATCCAGCTTTTGAGCTTCTCCCAGAGCTCATCGTAAAAGGACAAACATGGGACACAGGATATGCAGAAAGATCAATGACATGGATGATAGATCCACAAGACACAACGTAAGTATGGTGAGAAAAATATAAGAAAATAGAAACATGCAGGAAGCAATTCTCTAATATAAAAATAACAGCAGAAAGATTCCTGTGAGGAAAAAAAATACAAGGTGCATCTGGGTTTCATGGGTCCATTACACAGATAGTGAAGAATGGCACATAGCACGCAAATTCTACTTACGTAGTTGTATTTGAAAGACAAAGAAAAGCAACCTATACATAGTCAGACATCGGTGATTTTCTGTTGCTGTTGTTAAAGGTAATCTAGTTTTAAAAAAATCAGATTAAAACTCAAACCCAGAAAATAATTGGGAGAAATATGTAAAAATAATTTGAAGAAAAACTTAAATCGTGTTTGAAGACAAGAGAAAGCTTTTTTTTCTGACATGCAAGGGCTAAAAGTGTTTATCATTCACCTATGCTTTCTGAAAAATGTCCTCACAAAAGTATTAATATGAACAGGGGGCAGAGAAGTTCTAGGCAGAAAAGGGCAGGTCCTTGACAAAACCCCACCTTCAAACCGAAAGGCCTGAAACTGCTGCTTAAAGTGAAAACTTCTATCCCTGTTTTCCTGCTTGAATGTTGCCTTTTCCTAAATTACACATAGCCTGCCCCACCCGGCATCCTGTGCCTGTAAAGACCCCAGGCTCAGCCAGCAGAGAGGAGAAACAGCTGGATGACAGGGACTATGGCTGGACATTGGATAGAAGCGGCTTGACTTCAGAGGGACAGCTTGATGGCATAACTCGGGAAAAGAATCCAGCCAGAAACGGCCGGACTCCAGGGGAAGATTACCTACCTCCTGTCTCCTTTTCAGCTCCCCTTCCCACTGACAGCCACTTTCACTGGCAATAAAATTCCCTGCATTTAGCATCCTTCAGTTTATTCGTGCGACTTCTTTTCTCCTGGATGCTGGACAAGAGCTCAGGGGACACAAGTGTGGATACAAAAGGCTGCTACACTGGCCCTTTGCCCTCAATGGCAGAGGGCAGCTGCCTCATGTGAAAGGGCAGAGGGCTCACTGACTGTTCATACTTAAGCCGTCCACGGATGACAGAGCTAAAAGGGCACTGTAACATGCCCTCTGGGGCTTCCAGAGTCGCAGACACCCTGCCTTGACGCTGCGGCAGGGCCTGCATGTAATTTGCTCCTGCCAGCACCCAAAAGCACTTGCTCCAGCTCCTGCATCCACTCACCTGTGCACTCCCTCCCACGGTGGGTGGAACGCAGTAGGTCTGAGTGAGTGGAGTTTGATCCCACTGGCACTGAAGTGGCTGGCCAATTCCAGTGCTTGTGCACTCCAGTTCCCGCTTCATTCGCTCACCTGCTCCCTACCGTGAGGACTTGAGAGCAGCGGGCTGAGTAAATAAGACAACCCTGTCGCTAGTTCTGCAAGGGAGTCAGGGAAATACCCTGGTTCAGTATTTCAGTTCATTGACAAAGGTACCAAAATAAAGAATTTAAATGTATATAAAATGTTGTTTGAAAGAAATGACAATGAGCGATGAAAACCATAAAGTTCAGAGTTAATAGCTAAATAACCACTAACATAATTATAAACAATGCAAATGTCAAGCATTATTCTTGGAAGAAGAGATACAAATTTTATTTCAAGAAATGAATCTGAAAGCCCCAAATTATTTAAACATCAACTGACAATTGGAGATAAAAGGTGACAGTAAAAGCCAGGAAAAGTAGGGGTGGGGAAATTAGCAGAATTGAATTAAATCCTAATGTTAAAAAAAATCCTAATGCTGATAGACAATGACTGATTCAAATATTTTCAGTAAAATTGTAATGACCACTAGAGAACAATAAGAACTCTACAGCCCTTTCAAACCATTGGTGGAAAGAGATGTTAGCAACAAAAATAACAAAGTAAAAATGAAGATTAAAACCAAAATAGGATGATATATAAATACCAAATAATCGAATTGAAAACAATTCAAAATGCCCCATAACATGGGACTAGTTGGATAAATTATAGAATATCAGCACAACTGAATACTCCGTAGCCTTAAAAATGATGTGCATTTTGAAACAATGACACCAGTAAGTGACAAACACATGCACCCACACACATACGCACACACACAACAAACCAGTATGGAGAGGCTGACACCACTTTTGTTGAACAGATACCAGGTGATATTCAAAGTATGTATCACCTGTACAACACTGACTCTAGTCAATCAGAACAAGTCTTAAATAACTGGTAGAGCTGCAGCATCAATGCAAACACCAGGGTGTCAGAGACAGGTCTGTAGAGAGAAGTATGTATGTATGCAGATACTTAGAGCTCTAGATAGAGTTATGGATAAACGTTTAAAAGGGTACAGCCCAAATGTTTATAGTCGTCATCGTTGCATTGTAAGATTAAGGCTAATGTTTATTTTTCTTTTTATAAGGCTTTATTGTGATATAATTGATATATACAAATTGCACATATTTGATGAGTTTGGAGTTTTTATTTTTCTTCATGCTAAAACATGAATACGAAATAATATGTTTTAAAAGGGCATGAATTTTAAACTGCTTTTCCTGAAAACCTAATATATTTCTTCTCATATCCAGTAGCACATGTTTTTAGAAGAGGTGGCCACAGTGCGGATGTACAGAAGACAAGTTCTTAGGATATGTCATCTGGTCATTTTGGACATGGAATATTCAACCTCAACTCACTGGCATCGTCCTTTAACTACAGATGATTGCTGGGAAATGTGAGACCAAAACAAACATAAAACTCAGTATTCTCCTATTTAAAACATTGGTTAGGAAAAATAATCTATTGAAAAATATATTTTTGCTAGAAAAACATGACTCAGATACAAACATCTTACATGTGGCACAGGGTTTTTAATTAATTATCTAAAGAAACAAATTTATATTTTTTTCCACTTCACCTTCACAAAACAGTTAGTAATGACATTTATTTTGGGGTTTTAAATGGAATTGTAAAGATTCGGTTCACCAGGGTTTGAGCCATACTCATTTGTATTTTTAAAATTTGCATCACTGTTCACTTCTATCAGTCTAATTATGATCTAAGGTAATCAGCTCTCTCATACTCTCACATTAAAGAAGTAATCAGCGAAGCTCCCCCTTTTGGACTCTGCAGAGCACAGCCGTATGCCCCGCAGAGTGGAGGAAAAGGAAATCTCCCATGCACATAAACCCACAGAAGGTCCTCACAGGCTCTTCCCAGTGCTGTTCCTAGACCAGCAGCCTGGAGGATTCAAGTGAAGAAATGTTAGTCATCCAGCACAAACCATGGAACACTGGAAAGATGTTTACTTTGTTTTATCTTTGAGAAAATAATCTCCAAATTATGTTCATATCAAAATATAAAATAGAAGTAAGCTTCACTGAGAAAGATGGGGGCAGGGGCATGGAAAACACTCTTTGATCTTTGATCCACAGGCACTTATTGAGCACACGTGACCTGGCAGCACTGTCTTTGCAAACAAGGTATATACCAAGGAATATATCACTTACAGTTTATTAGCATACACTGAAATATAATGAGAAAGAAAAGGCATTTCAGAGAGATGAGTTTGGCTTTAGGTAAGTTGTGCTGGAAATGAACACAGATCATGTAAGAATGGCTTTCAAAAGTTCAGTAGGTGACCGCAAACATGGTGCTAAAACACCCAGTGGCCAGTTACCTTGAAGTAGTCAGTGGCTGTTGAAACTTTGGGGGAGACTGGACTCAGGAAGGAAAGTTTAAGGAGAGTAGAGAAAGAAGATGAAATAAGAGCCCTGGAATCAACTCCTGCATAGAGTGGAAAGAAGAAACAGAAGGGAGCCTCCTAGCTGGTCACACAATGGCAGTATTATCCAGAGAGGGAGTGAGGATTTGGGCACACTCTAGGCTAACCAAGTACTTAGCTCAGCCTGTCAGCCACCTTCTCAGCTGGAAGCTCTCCTGCTCTTGGACCTTGGTTCCACCTCTCACTTTTGTGCCCCACAATCCAGCTGGCCATTTGCTCTGGTTACTGCATGTTCCCTTTTCCCCAACCCTGGTTCTCTTGCCCTTATTGTCTCCTTCAGTTTAATTCCTTGGTTTGTCTTCTCACTTTCCATCATCCACGCCTCTTTCTTTTTCCTATTCTGCACTTTGGGCACTTGATTAATTTGGGGGAATGAAGTTAATCGTTGTTCCTATTGTTAAATGTGTTATATACGTGGACAGTTCTGAAACTTCAGAAAACTTCAAAGACACTTGAGGAATATTCCTATGCACAAAGAAGGAAAAGCATAATGGTTCTTATTGATGACTAATATTTGTAAAGCCCTATACACAGTGCTTTCACAATGGTGATTTCCTTTTACCCTCAAAATAATTATACACAGTGGTGAAAATGAGAACAATAATGAAAATGCTGAAGACAGTAACACATGACAATGCTAAGGATTCTTCATGAATGATCTCATTTATTCCTCACAACCTCCCTATGAGGACTGCAGCATTATTATCCCCACTTTGTAGATAAGAACACTAAGGAACCAAGATTTAGAGAACTTGCCCAAGCAAGGGTGTCGGGAGGAGGCACGGTCATGGTAAGTGAGTGAATTGGTATGTCCTCTATGGAGGGGAGGTTTGCAATGTTTCAGAATTTAATATATGTATCCTTTGATCCAGCAATTTTATTTCTAGGTATCTGTCCTATGGGTCTACCTCCACATGGACAAAATGTTGTATGTACAGAGACGTTATCTGCAGCATTATTTATAGCAGCAGAAAATTGAAAGCAATGTAAAATGTCCGCCAATTGGTGGCTGATACAAATACATTCCTATGTTCTCATACAATGGAAAACAGGCGGGCTTAACAGCATCAAAATAGCTCTGCATGTACTGATACATTAAGGTTAAAAAAGTTAGATTCAGAATAGAATTATGGTACACTATGATTTGTGTGTTGGGGAATATATATTATTTAGAAATACAGTGTCTACCTCTGGAAGGTTACAAAGAAGTTAGTTGTTGCCATTGGGGAAGAGAACAGAGAGGGCAGGGGTCAGGGAAGGAGACTCGCTTTTTTTTTTTTTTGAGACAGAGTCTCACTCTGTCGCCAGGCTGGAGTGCAGTGGTGCGATCTCAGCTTACCGCAACCTCCACCTCCCGGGTTCAAGTGATTCTCCTGTCTCAGCCTCCTGAGTAGCTGGGATTACAGGCACCCACCATCATGCCTGGTTAATTTTTTAAATATTTATTAGAGATGGGGTTTCACCATGTTGGTCAGGCTGGTCTAGAACTTCTGACCTCGTGATCCGCCCACCTTGGCCTCCCAAAGTGCTGAAATTACAGGCATGAGCCACCGCACCCGGCCGAGACTCGCTTTTTATTGGATACCTTATATGCTTTTTGAATTTTGTACCATGTACATGTGTCCTACATTCTAATCTTTTAAAAAGTTAGAAAGTAAATACTTTTTCATAAATAATAAAAAATGAAGACCTAAAGCCATGAAGAGAGCAGTTGCGGGGTGAGAAACCAGTGCTGAGCTGCCTGGCTGCAGAGCCCTGTCTCCACCACACCATTCTTGATACACTCATTCCTCTTGCTTTTACAGATAAGGAAACTGACTTGAGGAGGTTAAATAATTTGCTCAAAATCACAAAACCAGGAGAGGGGCAAGCCGGAGATTGAGGGCAAGTTGCCCAGCTGTAAGGATAGCAGTTTCCTCTTATTGCTCAAACATCACATGCCCCAATAGTAAGGCAAGACCACGAGGAAGTGAAGTAGACGTTTCTTTTAGAGAAAAGGAAAGTGAAGGAGGGAAATGAAGAGACATTTAACATGTGAGGATTTAAATCTGAACCACCACATTCTCACTCCTCTCATCTCCTAAACTTTTTTGTTTGTTTCTTTTGTTTTAGGGACAAGCTCTCCCTCTATCACCTAGGCTGGAGTGAAGTGGCACCATCATAGCTCACTGTAACTCCTAACTCCTGAGCTCCATCTATCATCCCACCTCAGCCTCCCAAATAGTGGGGACTACAGGCATGTTGCCACCACACCTGGCTATTTCTTAACTTTTATATAGCAATGGGGTCTCACTGTGTTGCCCAGGCTGGTCTCGAACCCCTGGGCTTGAGTGATCCTCCCACCATGGCCTCCCAAAGTGCTGGGATTACAGGTTTGAGTCATTGTGTCTGGCCATCACCTCGTAATCTTGACACCTACCCAACAATAAAGGCAATACTGGACACGAGTATCAGTTATTGTCACTATAACTAGACGAGATTTTTGAAGGCTGCAGCCATTCACTCTTTCATTCATATATTCATCCATTCATTGTGGAATATTCTATCTGGGCAAAGAGCTAGGAACACAGAAGTAAACGAGACTTAGCATCTTATCCTCAGAAAATCCACAGTCTAATTGGGAGAAATGTTTCTCACACATCACATGCATGTCACACCATCCCCCACGGTGGGCAGCTGGGAACATAGTAAGTCTCCAACAAGAATTTATGGAATAAATAAATCTGAGTATGCATCACTGCTAGCTATTGTGAAAGACTGTTTCCTCCCTCTTATACCAGCAACTCCTCACCTCTCTGTTTCCAACCCCCTCCTACCATTACACACCCCTTCAATGCATCCCAAACATGATAAAAACTTTTACTCCAAGGTCATGAAGAGCAAGATGATAACTGTAACTTAAAACAATAACAACAGCAACAAGGAACCCTGAAAACATTTGTTCCCAAGCTATCGTGTTCCAGCAAAGAAATTTGATTCCCTCTCTATATTCTCATTTTATTTATAAGTGTTTTGCTGCAAAGTGGGTGAACTGCCGAGCTCCACGTCACAGCCTGCAGCACAGCAGACTGGCTTTTTCTAAAGCTCATAATGTGATAATTAAATTGCTAACAGGCACCTTAGTGATGGCATTTGCAGAAGATGTGAAAGCCCTCGCAGAATTGCACCTTTCTGTAGAGGACTCGTCAGTGGAAGCACAGTGATCAGCTCATGCTTTCCTCTTTTTTAATATACTTTCTTCCATGAGTACATTAAATTTTTATGTGGAGTGAAATGGGACAGGACTTGTTTCCCTTCCACTGCACAATGATTTATTACCCAAAAAAGACCGCAGAACTAATTAGCAGAGTAATTAATTAATATAAATTTGCATATTTGCATTTGCAATTAGTGCAGCCGACTGATTAGTCTGAAAATGAGAAGTTTGACTCATTAGATGTTAGTGTCTGCTGGACCAGAAAGCGGCTGCCAGATGAGGCGGAAAAGGGTGGAATAAGCATGTGTGTTTCTTTTGTTAGAAGAATGGAGAATATGCTCAAATATCTGGGGCCAGACATCAGGGTTTGCAATTTAAAAAAAATAATAAATTATTTGCTTCCATTTCTGCTACTCAATGTTCCTTGCCCTTTTGCCTACAGCAAGTTATTCCAACCAACCCTGGAAGCCATTGCACCCCTGAGAGCAGGCTCCTCCTATTCCCTAAAGGCAGAGGGGTCTCTGTTGTTTGTGGACGAGCAGAAAATCTGTCCTGGTTTGATGTCCCAGGAATTTGACTCCTGCACCCAATTCAGTGGTTCTGTCAAAACAGTTCTCTAGTGCTGATGAGGACCCTCAGGGGACTCTCATGAGTAGACTACCTTCCCTTCAGGGGCTTCTCCTGATTGCAGTCTCTTTGTTCCTCCAGCTGATTACTGAGCTCAAATCTCTCATATCCAGTTGACTGAGTGAATCCCTTTCTGCAGAATGACACAGGGCAGATAAACTATAAATATACACACAGACATGCAGATACACAGACATCAAATAACAAACATCCAGCACCCATAGTAAAATGAGGGATTTGCTCAAAAATGTTCAAGGAGGTTGGGGGAAAATGAGAAATGGTTTCTTGATTTGACTTCACTGGATCTATTTTCAAGTTAAGAATTCACATCAAATTAGGAGAGAGTCTGACTTAGTATGAATGCTTTCTTTAGTAATAAGGAATATGTTTAGTCTAAAGTCAGTTCCAAAGAGAAATAAAATTATTATCATTTGTTCTCTTAACATTCTTTCTAAAAATGAAATTAATTGTATTACTTTCCTTGATGTTTATATACCCTTTATAGATGCCAAAAGAAAATTTCGAAAATATGTCATATTGACTCAATGCAATAGATTCTTTGCAGATGAAAAATTACCACTGAAGTTTGTTAATTTATAAAATAACTCTCTAAAGTATGAAATTAGATATGTTGTGGATCACTTCATTTCTTCAGGATCTGGAGAGATTTTAGAAAGAACATAAACACGCCCTTCTCTTAACAACTTCGGAGTTGTGGCATCTCTTCCTTTGCATTATATTGCCCAGGTCCAAATGACATGAAACGCCTCGCATCGCACTAAACCCTAAGCTAGGGACTCTGCACTGTATATTCCAAGAGGTACCATCCCATAGTTGTCCTACCTGTCCTTCAAACTTCACCCTGACCTCACCTCTCTTACTGACCACAGAGCAAGTTCCTTCCTCCATCCTTTGACCTCCCAGGCACCTTGTTCTTGACCCTGACACACTGCTTGCCAGGAAGTCTTACAGCCATTTCTGGAGATTTTTACTTCACTTCTTAGACTGAAAACTTTTTGGACATAGCTATCTTATATTTGCATCTTTGTATCCCATAGCCTAGCACACTACCTGGTACATAGTAGATGATAAATAATGCTTGTTGAATTACTGCATGAATGAATTAAAAAAGGGATTTATGGTTTGATTAGAGAATAAATTCATCTAGGGAGTTGCCTACAAGAAAAAAAAAGCAACTACAAAACACACACGAGGAAATGTGTAACTCAAAATGAGTTGAGTAAAATGAGAGAAAACTAAAATGACCAGTGGATCAGTGTAGTCCCCAGTTTGAACTCTTACTTGGGATTAGGTTTAGGGTTAGGATTAGGGAACCATAGAGTTCATTTGTTTTGGATTTTTTCCTCTCTCAGTGCTTTGCATAAGAAGAGTTCCTGGTGTTTAACAATTGCTCAATCAATGTTAAAATTTTAATTCCTTATCATTTTACGAGAAACACTTATTATTCACAAATTTTTTTTGAGATGGAAGTCTCGCTCTGTCTCCCGGGCTGGAGTGCAGTGGCGCAATCTCCGCTCACTGCAACCTCCGCCTACCAGGTTCACGCCATTCTCCTGCCTCAGCCTCCAGGGTAGCTGTGACTACAGGCGCTAATTTTTTTTTTTTTTTTTTTTTTTTTTTGTATTTTTAGTAGAGATGGGGTTTCACCGTGTTAGCCAGGATGGTCTCGATATCCTGACCTCGTGATCCGCCCGACTCAGTCTCCCAAAGTGCTGGGATTACAGGCGTGAGCCACCGCGCCCGGCCTGCCTGAATGTAATTTTTAACCATAACTTAAAGCTTTCATTTAACTAACAGCCCTGAAAGAATTGGAACTGGTGAGCAGGATTAAAAACCAAGGTAAAAAAAATTAGTGGGAAGGCACAATGCTTAATGTGATACTGGAACCCACATTCAAAGGACACAAGTCTTTATTTTGGTTCTTTATCAAATATTATTTTGTTTAATTTTTCTACTATCATTAATGCAGTCTTCCTAAGTGAACCCTAATCATGTTCTCCTGTGCCTAGGCACGCATCTAGCATAGCACCTACAATGCAGTAGCATTTGATTAAGGTAAAATCAATTTTGATAAGACTACCTGGAACTTCACTGAAATGTTACTTCAATCTAGTATCCTTGATATTAATGTCACCACGTTTCGTTAAAACACACCCCCCCCCAAAACACACACACACACACACACACACACACACACACACACACACACACTTGGGGAAGATTCTGGGTTATAAACCCTTTTTCCTTCCTGCAAGTTTTTGTCCACACATCATACTACACTGGTAATCGCTGAGTCATTTATGTATTTGTTGCTCTGTCTGTCTGTTTTAAATTTACCTCCAAGAAGATCTAAGGTAGCAATTGAACTGAACATTTTTATATCCTTTGTAAAGCAATTCACCATCTAAAAAGATAGATTTCTTATTTTCTAACTATGCCATAATACATATGATGAAATATATGTTTATATTTGTTTTCTATAAACTGCATGGTTTATTTTCTGGAAAATTATCAGATATACTGAGAAGATACCAGCAAGGATAGTAGATGGTAATACCTTCTGTCTTTATCACTGGAATAGAGGAAAAATAAAGTCAGAACTCAGAGGATGCACGGTAAGAATAGTTGTAATTGTCCATTCCATATTTGCTTGTTGAGGAAATGAAGAAGGATTTTTATATTCCTCTGAAAACAAATTAGGACTTGTTTATCCATTTAATCATCTCCAAATGAGACATGAAAATATAAAGACTTTCACACCTGCAAGCCCCAATATGAAGATTTGGTGCAAAGACTTCGTTGTTGTTTCTAATTTCTTATTCAGACAGTGGCCAGAAATAAAAGAGGTTTAGTTGTGTGGATTGCTCCTTATACTTGGGAAGTAATAAGTCAAAGGTGACACACAGCTCTGGAAACAGCAGAAATTTTTTTGCACCCTGGTAACTTAAACACTTTTTTTTTTTTTTTTTGAGACGGAGTTTTGCTCTTGTCACCTAGGCTGGAGTGCAATGGCGTGATCTTGGCTCACTGCAACCTCCACCTCCTGGGTTCAAGTGATTCTCCTGCCTCAGCCTCCCGAGTGGCTGAGATTACAGGCAATCGCCACCACACCTGGCTAATTTTTGTACTTTTAGTAGAGACGGGGTTTCACCATGTTGGCCAGACTGGTCTCGATCTCCTGACCTCGTGATCCACCCACATCACCCACCTCAGCCTCCCAAAGTGCTGGGATTACAGGTGTGAGCCATCACACCTGGCCTTTTTTTTTTTTTTTTTTTTTTTTTTTTAGAATCATTCCAGATCATTAGTCTATTTGGTGGGCTATTTTAGCAAAACACATTTCAGACTTTTTAACATTTTTTGAAAACGGAGGCACTTATGCCCCTTGCAGCACCCAAGTCTTCGACAACTGCACCATCTCTGTGGTTTATGCGTCCCTAGAATACTCACTGTCAGGCAGGATCCTTCTGACCACAGACCTTTAACATTTAAAATAGTATTTTGTGAATTCATCCTCTCTATCTTTCACAAACTCTAAGGTTTAATAGCGATTAACACTAGACCACAGCACTTTCAAATTAACGATAGCCCTGCCAGTTCTAATTGGTATTCTAATTAGCCCAACCGATTCAACTAATTAAGAACATTAAACTTTTTAACAAAGGCTATCTTGCTTTGTGTGTTGTAAAATGGAATTTAAGAAGGGTGGAAAGGGGTAGAGATGACTGGAGGAAGGGGGGTAAGAGCAAGCCTGGATTTCCATTGCAGACCTAGAGGAGCAGCTGTTTGGAGAGCAAGTGCAGCCTCCAGGAAGAGCCGAGGGAACGGGCTGATGCCCTGCTTTCATGGGGTGAAGGGTCACAGCAGCTTTTGCATTCCAGAAAGGCAAAAACAAGTTAATGCTGCAATGCCACCCTATGGTCCCTAGGCCTGCTGAGACTTCTGATAAGTGGCATTAAAGGACAAGCCATCCCTGTGTTCGTTCACAGTGAACTGGAACCATAAGCCATCCAGCTTTATGTACAGTGTGACCTTTGTTACAATGAAGCAGCTTGGAGCTGCATAACTAAATCTCTCTGCAATTTCAAAATGTGTTTAATTGAAGATCTCCTACTTTCAAAAGAACTCTGTGCGCTGGTAACTTGGCAATGGATCAGAAAGAGCAAAGCGGGCTACACTAGGGGCCAGCTGGGTTTACAGAAAACCAGAAATGTGGTATCATCCCGGCTTCTCTCTTCTGCTCTCACATCCCATATCCAATCCGTCAGTACAACCTGTGGGTTCTTCCTTCAAAATATATCCCAATTCTGGCTACTTCTCTCACTTTTTATTTGGAAGCCTTCTTGTCCAAGCCGCCAGGGCCAAAATTTAATGAGGTGCTCACTGGCAGGATTGTACAGCAGCACTTGCATGATCCTAGGGGTGAGTGCCTCCCTAAATCTAGGACCCCAGGTGCCTCACTTGCTTCATCTCCATCGTGGCCCTGCAGGCACCATCATGGTCCACCTGCAATAACTTCACGACTGCCCTCAACTTTGTTTCATCTCTGGTAAGCCTATTCCCCATAGAGCAGCAGCCACGGTGAGCCGGCTGAAAGTCCTCCAGTGACTGGCCACCCACTTGGGAGAAAGTTTGAGATCCTCACTGTTGCTGACCACGCCCTATAGGATCTTCAACTTGATACCTCTTTGGCAATGTGTCATATTCCTCTGTAACTTGGTTACTGCACTCCAGGCAAGAGGGTTTCCAGGGCTGAACCAAGGTGGGGATCTGCATTGTCTAGAGAGGATTTCAAAGCATTTTAAGTGGATTTCAAAAGAACTCTGTGCTCTGGCAACTTGGTGGATATAGTCTACCTGCTTTTTATAATCACTGTTTTCTAGCAATTCTAAATGAAGACAGTGATCAAATATTCCTCCTGGCAAACAAAAAACAAAAAAAAACAACAACAACGAAAACTTTTTGTTGATCTAAGTCTGTGCTGTCCAATATAGTTGCTATTGAACACTTAAAATATGGTTAGAGTTATTGAGAAACTGAATTTTAAATTTTATTTCATTTTAATTAACTTACATTTAAAAACCGATACTTGATTGAACAACTGGAAAACTTTCAGAATGTTTTCTAACACCTTGTGTATGTTAATCTATTTTTCAACCATAAATTTTGTGAAATCTGAAAACAAATCAAGTATTTCAGATGAAAATTTGTCATACAAATGGAAATGTGCTATAATGTAAAATATATACCATATTCGGAAGACTTGGAACAAAAAATAAAGAATGTAAAATACTGTAATAAATTTTTATATTGAATATATGTTGAAATGATGATAGTTTGGTTGCATTGGAGTAGTCAGCCAAACACATTATTAAAATCAGTTTTACCTTTTTGTGTTTCTTTTAACTATAGATAACAGAAAATTTTAAATTACATTTCCATTTGAAGGTGCTGGTCTAAATTCTAAACCAGGGTATGCAAATTACTGCCCATAGACAAAATTCAGTTCACCACCTGTTTTTCTATAGGCCGACAACTAAGAATGGTTTTATCTTTTTTAATGGTTGAAAAAAATAAAAAGAAGAACAGTATTTTGTGATGTAAAAACTGTATGAAATTCAAATTTTACAGTCTATAAAGTTTTATTGGAATACAGCCAGTCTCATTTGTGTCTATATTGTCTATGGCTCCTTTCACATTGCAACGGCAGAAGAGACCTTACCACCTACGAAACCTTTAAATATTTACTATGTGGCCTTCAACAGAAAAAGTTAATCCACCTCTGTTCCAAAGAATTGATTCCAGCTGGGTGTGGTGGCTCACACCTATAATCCAGGACTTTGGGAGGCTGAGGTGGGAGGTTTGCTTAAGCCCAGGAGTTCAAGGCTGCAGTGAGCTATGATCATGCCTGCCATTGTACTCCAGCCTGGGTGACCGAGTGAGACCTTGTCTCAAAAAAAAAAAAAAAGAATTGATTTTGCTGTTGCTGTTGAGTTTTAATATATTGTTCTAAAGGGAAGTAAATTCAGAGAACTCCTAGTTGCATAGTTGGCCCCTGACACACACAGATGGAGGTACATGCCAGGCAAAAGGATACAAATTTCTAAAAGGCACAGATACTTCTAGTAAGCACTAAAATGAATACCTTCCCTCATCGTGTCCCTGCCCCCTAAAAAAGCCTCCTAAAGGGCTTGTCACAGTCCAGGAGAGATACCGATAAGCAAGTAGCTACAACTCCTCATCACAAGTGTAGCAATCACGTGTTTCTAGGGGACATTTAACAGAGTCTGGGGCAAGGTCTTGGTGAACGCACCTTCAGACTGACTCGGGTATTAATGAGAGAGGCCACTTTTGCAATGCAATCATTGCTCATCTCCAGTTCTGAAATTGCTAACATATTGTGTCAGTACTTCTTAGTAGTAAATGACGAAACTCAAACCAGAATTTTTTTAAGTGATTTTATTTCTCCTACAACTAAAAGTCTGACATAGACCTTGCTTCAACCATGGCTTGATCCTGATGCTCAGGAATGCCATCAGGACCCTCCGTACATTCTTCTCAGTAAGCCCACCTTCAGGAGTGGCCGAGATGCCACCTGCAGCTCCAGGCTGATGTCCTTCCTGCTCAGCAACCTCAGAGAAAAGGAGGCCCCTTTCCCAGTAGTGCCATCAAAAGCCTGGGGCCAACTTTCGTGGGGCTCACTAGGGATCCAGGCTGATTCCCAACCAATGGCTTCATCCAGAGGATGGAATTTGTTGACTGGCCAAGGCTGGGCCCTGTGTCTAACCTATTAGCAAGGGACTTAGCCCCACAGAAGGCATGTGGGCTAAAAGTACAAGAGGGCTCACCTGCTAAAGAAAAGAGCATTTTCCTCCAAATAGGAAGAAATGGACCCTTGGCGTGCAGAAACAGCCACCACAAGTAAGCAAAATTCAAAGCAATAAACCAACAGTAGTCTAAAAACAAGAAAAAAATTGAAGCTGTGATTTGTTCAATAAGACCAGCCTCTTTTACATCACTCAGAAGTTATAATTAATCAGATAACTGTTTATTAATATTAAGAAAGGAGAAGACACCCAGAAGATAAATTAGCAGATAAAATATGTTAGGCCGCCACTTTTTTTTTTTTTTTTTGGAATTTTTCTTTGAAACAAACACTCATGAAAAACAAGTGTCATTCTAATGAGAGAATAATCGATTAGTCTTACTTTTTTCACTTCTATGTGAAGTCTTCAAGAATGGTTCCAGATTTTGCACTAGCTTTTCTCTGGGTGAGTTGTAAAACATAAATGAAGGAAATGTTTCCCTTTTAAACATATTTTTTAGAGTAAATAATGATAGAACATAACTTTTTTATTATCTTCCACTGGGCTAAGACAAAGATGAAGTGAGTGTGTCACCCACCCTGGCACATAGGGGCATCTGTTATAAACAGACTGTTTGTGTCCTGCCCCCAGTTCATATATTGAAGCTTGACCCCACAATGTGATGGTATTTGGAGATTTTTGGGAGTTTTGGGGAGGTAATAAGGGTCAGATTTGGTCGTAAGGGTAAGGCACTTGTGGAATGGGGCCTTCTTAGTGGCCTTATAAGAAGAAGTAGAATATCTTCCTCTCTTTCCCCCTCTCCCTACACATGCTCAGAGTCAAGGCCATGTGAGATTGGGCAGCAAGAAGGAGGGAGCCAACCATCTGAAAGCCAGGAAGAGAGCTCTCCTCAGAAACCTAACTGAATGGCACCTTGAACTTGGACTTCCCAGCCTCCAGAACTTTGAGAAGTAAATTTTTGTTGTTTGAGTCATCCAGTCTGTGATGTTTAGTTATGGCATCCCAAGCAGAAAAAAGCACCAAAATCAAAATAAATATTTAATACAATGTTTTTAATACAAAAATTCACAATGAACAAAATATCAAAAGTGTCTTTGTTCCCTGGGGCCCAGTCTCATGCCCTTGCTTCCTCTTACAAACTCTTGGTATATGAAGATAGTGCTGGTGATTAGCCTCTGAAAACTCTTCTTGGGGTATTCTGGGCAAGGGCTCTCTCAGCTTCTTGGCACCGAAGATGGCAATGCAGTGGGCTGGCTTCGCAGGCTGTGACCTGTGCCTTTGAACAGGGCGTGACTGTGACCTGTGCCTTTGAACAGGGCCTGGCTGTGACCTGTGCCTTTGAACCAGGGCCCACATTTTGTTTAATGCTCTGCTGTTTCCATCTTGAAATTCTTAATCATTTTTGAACAAGGGGCCCCATATTTTTGTTTTGGGCCCCCAAAATTACATACTGGCCCTATACACCAGTTCTGGATGCCCTTCATTCAACGAGAAGGTAAAATAAAGACCCCACACTGTAAACTCCAGTTCTAACTAAACCTACTCTAGTTACAAAGGGAGACTGTAAAATACTCTCAGATAAAAAAGAAATCTGGATTCAACCTGCTGTGTATGAACCACCTTAGAAGCCACTCAGCACAAAAGAGGAGAGGAAAGTAAAGTAAATCAGTAAGGCAGTTCAAAATACTCATTGAACTCATCACAAATAAAGACAGATGGACCACTGGCAGAATAGGAAGTGTGTTCTGTCAAAAATTTCAGTCCTGTGAGAAACTTCGGAAAGAAAGGAAACCACTCAGTGGTCAAATAAATTGGGGACCCACTTCTATCATATCCTGCTCTTGGATCTCCTGATGTGCATTGGCAAATGGGAGAATCCAAGAGAACCTGCATTAAAGAAAATACATGGCCGGGCATGTTGGCTTGCCCCAGTAATCCCAGCACTTTGGGAGGCTGAGGCGGGCAGATCACGAGGTCAGGAGATGGAGACTATCCTGGCCAACATGGTGAAACCTCGTCTCTACTAAAAATACAAAAATTGGCCAGGTGTGGTGGCGCAGGCCTGTAGTCCTAGCTACTCAGGAGGCTGAGGCAGTACAATCACTTGAAACCAGGAGGCAGAGGCTACAGTGAGCCAAGATCATGCCACTGTACTCCAGCCTGGGTGACAGTGCGAGACTCTGTCTCAAAAAAGAAGAAAAAACATCCACATTTTTAATCACACGACTCTTTTTCTAAAATGTGATTCCTAATAGTCTACAGAGCATTCTTTAAGAAACACTTGATTAGTGCCTAGCATATTCATCATAAAGTGTATTTTATGAGGAAGAAAGACTTTGGGTTCCAAGAATAAAGGAAGCATGTAGAGTTGCCAGGTGAAATACAGGATGCCCCGTTAAGTTTGAATTTCAGATAAACAGCAAGTACTTTCTAGTATAAGTTTGCCCCACCTATAAGTATGCCTGAAATTCAAATTCCACTGGGTAGCCTGCATTTTTATTTGCTGAATCTGGCAACCTTAATAGTATACCCATTCTGCCATGTCCCTGAATCATCTGTATATTTCATATGGAGAGTGAGAAGCTTATGAAAACTAGAGTTGGAAAAAGCAGAAGAGGCAGACACTTCCACAAATAATTCTGAAGGCCCTTGCAGGTAGCAGGTAACCCTTACACCACAGAGATTCTCAACCAGGTGGAGCTTTTAAAATGCTGTTGGTCAGACCCAATCTCTAAGGACAGGGTGGACTTATCCATTAGGCATAGCACACACAGTGCCAAGGGCCCATAATATTTTAACTGGCCCACGAGAAAAAAATCAGAATAAAAAATGAATATAACTCAGCCTGGATTATGTCTTCATACTAACATAATCATAAAATATATTTATTTTTAATTTTTATGGAGGAAGGGGCCTGTATTAATTTGTTTTCACACTGCTGTAAAGATACTACCCAAGAGTGGGTAATTTATAAACAAAGGAGGTTTAATTGACTCACAGTTCCACATGGCCAGGAGGCCTCAGGAAACTTACAATCACGGTGGAAGGGGAAGTAGGCATGTCTTACATGGCAGCAGGCAAGAGAGAGTGAAGGGGGAAGAGCCCTTTAAAACAACCTCAGATCTCGTGAGAACTCACTCACTATCATGAGAACAGCATGGGGGAAACCACCTCCATGATTCAATCACCTCTTACCAGGTCTCTCCCTCAACACCTGGGGATTACAATTTGAGATGAGATTTGAGTGGGGACATAAAGCCAAACCATACCAGAACCCAAAAAATCAAAGTGCCTAGAGCCCACAGAAGTTATAATTCCACACTGCCCAGAGATTTGGATTTAAAGGACACATCACCTCATGTGCACAATTTTCACTTTTTGTTTAGTTATGACTGGAATTTCCACGGAAAAAATAAAAATAAGTCTGGTCTCCTGAGGAAATATTAAAAACCAAGCACTCAAAAAGGCCGTAACTTGATTTGTTCTTTCTAATTGTAGAAAAATTATTCTCCTAGATTGGAATGTTCATTTTATAAAAATTCCCAAGGGGCTAGTATATGTTTTTACTGCCATCACCACTGAAAATGTCTAGGGTCATTTCAGACATAAAAGAGGCAGGCTCCTATGGCTCATACCCCACTGCTTCAGCAGTAGGTCTGCATGTGTCTAAATGCTCTTCAAGCACAGGATCACGTTCTGTTCATTGACCATGCCAGGCATTTGATAATTGTGGTTAGTTAGTTACATGCTGGTTTTAGGTGTCCTGTCTGGCCTTTAATCCCAAATGCATAACATATTTACTTATTTCGATTTCACTTTCTTCACTAATTCTCTTTCAGACTCCTCCCAACATGGATCATTTGGAAGTGAGGTGCTAATCTGGAAGGATTTTTGCTTTGGAGAACAGAAAAATGTTGTCAATATCATGTGTTTCCCATTCCTTATCAGTCCACCAAATATATGTGCTGCCTCAGCAGCTGAGGAACGAGCAGGGTCAAATAGGGCAGGATGAAGAACTGCCCCTCTGTTCTCTTCGATGTCCAACACCTTTCAACAGAAAGCAGCGGTGCAACTAATTGAGCCGGTGTAATGTAAGTTAGCTTCACCACCAACAAGCCAAACCCACATCTTGCCAGTGGTAGAAAGCCCAGCCTGGGAATGCTTGAACTCTGAATCAAAAGAACAATGATATAATGATATATTTCCTCCAGAAAAGGACACTGGCTAATAACAGAATCGAAAGCCATGTGCCACTATATTAGACTGGATCTTGTACCAGTATTGGCGGCCAAAATGCAAACTGCTCAGTGAAAAAGTTATTCTAGACTTTGAAAGAAATAATTAGCACTGGACAGCCTTGCTCCTTTGAAAAAGCCAGGAGAGAGTATGCTGGGGTCAACCTTCACATGCAGACTGTATAAAATTATGGATCATTATTGCTACTATATAGCCTCTTGCTTTCCGAAGGATTTTTTACTGCTGAAGGAATTACATAATCTACAATCTAGCTTATGGTATGTGGGACACAAAGCCTTTTGTCACTGACTTTTATTTCATTGCTTAGCCATGGTGTTAATGAGGCAAAGATCACAGCTTTTATTGACAGATGGGCCTCATTGCTCTGAGGTATTCTTCAGCCAAATCTGCTGCAACTGTAATTGATCAATTGATTCTACCATCAATATTTATTGAGTCCCTACTATGTGCAAATCAGTGTGTTATGTGATGCAGGTACTGCAAAGCCAAATGAAACAAACAGAAATCCGAGATCATTTTTGTCCTCACAGTCTAGTAGGGGAGACAGATGCAGTCACAAATAGCTATACTACAAAGCAAATTACACTAAGCACAATAATAGAAGCACAAAGTGTAGTGGGAAATCAGAGGAGAAAGATTAATTCCAACCCATGAGGATGTGAATGGATCACCACAAATTTATCACCACCCTGGGAATAACAACTTACCACATATGTTATAATAACAGTGGGTTAGGATTGCTATTTTAAAACACAAATGAAAAATATATTGTAATTAGATGAAATTTGACAACAAAACAGAGCCAACCAACCAGACGTCTAAAATACTAAAAGACAAATAATGATTTGAGCTTTTTCATTTTCCTTAGGATTCACTAGCTGTTTATTCCTGTAAGGTGTGAACCATGAAATTTTTTTTAATGTGTTCTAGGGGTTATAAGACCTAACTGCATATGTTACATCCCAGGACAAATAAGTGCATTCCCTTGGTGGTGATTAGCTCCTGCCTTTTTCCATTTGAATCTGTGGCTTTAGCAAGGTCAGCTGTTCAACCTAAAGCTTTAGTTTCCAAACTCACCTTGCCAGCTTCTGTCTGCAAGCGTGTAAACATCAGGACTGAAAATGCTTTCTGTGTGTCTTCTTGGTGTGCAATGTACTCCTTCCATCAAAGCCACCAAGAGATTTGAAAGTAGGTAGAGACAAAGAGCAAAGGCTGCAAGGCTTATGTAGGAAAGAATTGGAGTATGCACAGCCAAGAAGTTCAAGTCACTGAAAGATTTGTAGTCTGGCTCAAGCTTCACTAAGAAGTTATTTGTCCTTAAAACATTGCCATATTTCCTAGTCCAAGGTGCTGAAATTGCAAGCAGAGGTCTAGATAATACCTTCAGAATAATTGATTTCATTGACAATATAATACATGTTCTCCACCTACACCCTGAACGCTTGAATGACCAACCACAGGACATTGCCACAGACATTGCCTTTTCTTCACAAAGAGTTGAGAAATCATTTCACATAAATGCCTTATACTCAACTCTCCCACCCTTCCTCAATTTTTATTTTAAATTAATCTGTCAAATAATACGATGCTTCCTATGTAGTAGGTATCATTCTAAGCCCTTTATATCCAACAACCTATGAGATAAGAATAGAATCAGTCCCAACTGGGAGACGGAGAAGCTGAAGCATAGAGACCTTGCCCAGGGTCATCCAGCTAGAAAGTAGCAGAATCAGGGAGTCTGGTGCCATTTGCCATCCTTAACCACTATACCAGTCTGCCTATGCATATAATCCTCATATAGCTGTTGTAAAAACTACATAATATATGCAGAAAAGCTAGAACAATGTATTCAAAAAATTAGTCTTCATAATAACATTGATCAAATATTAGTTTTAATAATTTAGCCATAATGTTAGAAAACTTAAATTTCCACCGAAGTACTCTTTAAAGGCAAATATTCTGAAATATGTTCTTGGTAAACTACTGCATAATCTTAGGTTTGCACTGTCTTCCAAAAGGCTGTTAGGAAAACAAAGCAGATATTCATTTGTTTGATACTCTGTACCAGAGTGGTGCATCACAATGCTTCAAATATGTCAGTTCTATTTCCTCAACAGATCTCCAGACTCCTTGAATGAAGGGATTGTGTCTTCTACTCTCTCCAACATCAAACACAGTTGTTTGATATGAAGGAATCATTCAAGAAAAATCTGTAGATTGGTGATCAATACCCTTCTTGATAGTGTGTTTTTAGCTTTGGGAGAATGTTATCAAACTTGTATAATGATTTTAGGATGTGTGTGATTGTGCAGGTAATTAATAAAGATTACCTCTTCCCAAATGTCCCATTCTATATGAAACAAAGTCCTACACACAGAATACACGTACACATTTCTGTAGGATATATACATAGGAATGGGATGTGGCTAACATACATATGTTTACCAAATTAAATATACTAGAATAGCACTTATGATAACCCCAAACTAGAAACTACCCAAATATTCATCAACAACAGAATGGAAAAACAAAATGTGGTATAGTCATGCAATGGAATACTATATAGCAGTGAGGGTGAACAATCTACAATTGCATACAATGTGGATAAACTTCACACAAAAAAAGTTGAGATAAAGGAACCAGGCCCATGATTTCACTTATATAACGTACAAAATGGACAAAATTAATTGATGCAGTTAGAAGTCAAGTTTTTGGTTTATTTTGGGGAGGGCTGGCTGGTAGCTGTAAGACGGAAGAAGGAGGCTTCTGGGTAGCCGGTGTTGTTGTTTCTTGATCCTGTCATATAGCTGTGTTAAGCTTGGAAAAATTTAATTGAACTGTGAACTTATTGTCATGTGTACTTTTCAGTCTCTGTTATATCTCAAATAAAGGTAAAAAAAAATTCTTCACATACTTGCAAGCTCTAGTCAAATGTTTTCTTTATCCCTAACAACAACCTCTCTTATAGTGAGCTCATACTATTTTTAATTAGATGATTGTGGATGCGTTTCATGTGCCTAATTCAACTCTGACTTCCATAAGAGCTGGGCCTCTGTTATGTATCCATATTTCCTCTCATATCTATAGTAGTAACAAAAAAGTAAGGGTTTTGTTGAATGAATGAAAAACAATGAAGGAATAAAATTGAACAACTCAACCCTCAACTCTTCGGAGTCAAATAAGAGCTTGTTGTCAGCCGGGCACGGTGGCTCACTCCTGTAATCCCAGCACTTTGGAAGGCCAAGGCAGGCAGATCATGAGGTCAGGAGTTCGAGACCAACCTGACCAACATGGTGAAACCCTGTCTTTACTAAAAATTACAAAAATTAGCTGGGCGTGGTGGCGCATGCCTGTAATCCCAGCTATTCAGGAGGCTGAAGCAGGAGAATCACTTGAACCTGGGAAATGGAGGTTGCAATGAGCCGAGATCATGCCACTGCACTCCAGCCTGGGTGACACAGAAAGACTCCATCTCAAAAAAAAAAAAAAAAAAAAAGAGCTGTTGTCATGACAATTGTAATTATTGTTATATGATTTCACCATATATAACAGTCTACAACTACCTATACACATTGATCCAAAAAAGAAAAGCATCGAAAAGTGTAATATATCTGGTGACTCTTCTTAAGTCACCAGATACATTGGTAAGATAATTATTCACTTTGTAAATAGATTCACGGTCAAGTTTTGCTACTTCATCTAATGTTATTAATTCAGTATTTATTTTATACCAGAGGCAGTCCTAGGCAGTCCATTGACATTGATCATTTAATTCTTAAGGTAGCAAGGTATAGTAGTTTAAAAGGTAGGATTTGGATTCAGGCTGACCTAGGTCCAAATGATGATTCTCTCACTTGAAAACTGAGCAGTCCAGGAACATTAGTTAATATCTCTGAGCCATAAGTTCATTATCTCTGCAATGAGGACACTCACATCTACCTTACTGCAAGGAACAAATGTGCTAATGTTTATACAGCCCTTAGCCTGATCCTCGGTGCCCTGCGTATGAATGAATACTTTGTTCATCGTCATCATCATCATCCTCATGACCAGAGGTTTTATAACTTTCCTACAGGTAATCTACATCCATTCAATCAGTAAATTCTATCGATTCCATCTCCAAAATATATTTCCATGCCTCCTTTTTTCTCCCTTTCCATTGCCCCCACTCAACCTGGGGCCACAGTCATCCCCTCCAGCTCTGTCTACTCTCACAGGCTTTGTAATTTCTGTGGAGGAGGAGAAATATCTCTTTTCTTACCCATCCTAGGTTCATGGATGAGGTCCCTATAATAAAAGACGGATTAACCAGAGGAAAGCATACACATTTATTTAATAAGTTTTCTATGACATGGGAGCCTTCATAAAGAAATGACAACCCAAACAAAGAGTTAAACTTGAGTGTTTTTATACTGGATTTGATAAAAAAGAAGAGTCAAGAAGAAATATGATGTGACAAATAATGTAATCTAATGGTAATAAACTGAGGAAACTTAGCATGATCTGTTTGTTCAGATTCTAATCTGTGTTCCCATGTCTTCAAAGACAAGGGATTCCTTTCATCTGGGTGTAGGGAGGGCACCTCTCACATGCAGGTCTTCTGACCTGCTTCAGGGGAAGGTCAGAAAATCCTTCTTGGTCCAGGTGTAGTGGTTCACACCTGCAATCCCAGCACTTTGGGAGGCCAAGGCACGAGGATCACCTGAGGCAAGGAGCTTGAGACCAGCCTGGGCAACACAGTAAGACACTGTCTCTAAAGGAAGGAATAAATAGAAAAGAAAATCCTTCCTATATTTTATCATCTGCTTCAAGGGAGAAGTGGGGAAAGTCTGAGAGATCTTCCTGCTTCTAAGGCTTTCTCAAATTCCTTCAGCTTCAATATGCCAAATTTTGGGGTAGTGTGTCCTGAGCCCTGTCTGTTCTCTCCCTGTTTCTTCTTTTGCCCTCTCCAAATCTTCTCCTTGGAGCCAGCTAAAGAAAATGTTTCCAACCTTAAATTGCCTCAGGCTCTCCAAAGGCTTCCTTTGGAATATATTCGAAATGCTTTACCACGACCCAGGCACCCATGGACGATCCAGGGCTTACTGTCACGGCGCTGCTCCTAGTCTTCCCAGACCAGAAGAAACAGCACGAGCTCCTGCCTCTGCTGCTCCACCTGCTCGTCTCAGCTTAAAGGACGACTCAGAAAGGGCTCCTCAGTGCTTTAATCAAATAGGTCCTCCCATTTTTCTCTGTAGCCTCTGATGTGTACGTTCCACATGCATGTGTTTACCTGTTCATTGTCTGTCTCCCCTACTAGACTGCAAACTCCCCCACAGCCTTGTACAGCTGCTGTACACACTGCTGAATGGCCATCACTAACCCAGTGCCTGGTACACATTTCTTCGTTCAACAAGTATGTACTTCCTGGCTTTCATGGGCAGGCATTAGAAATGTAGATTAATACACACTGGAAATCAGCAATGTATTGTGTTAGAAAGTGATAAGTACTACAGAGAAAAGTAAAACAGGAAGAAAATGGATAGGGAGGAATTAGTGGGTGCAGGGCCACAGTATAAATTAGGAGGGCCAGGGGAGGCCTCACTGAGAGGGGCCATGTGGACAGAGACTTGAAAGGTATGAGAATAAGCCACGGGGATTTGCAAAAAGAAAATGCCAGGTGGAAATTCAGTGCCACGACCCTAAGGTGGGACGGTGCCTGAGTGTTCAAGGAATCGCCAGCAGCCAGTGTCACTGGAGATGAGTGAGTTCAGGGGAAAGCAGAAGATGGAATCGCAGAAGCCAGGAGAAACCTCTGGGCCTCTGCCAGGACTTGGCCTCTGCTCTGAGGGAGAGGAGAAGTACTGGAGAGTTCTGAGTACAGGAGAACACAGTCTGATTTATGTTCTAATCAGATGTCTCTGGCTACTGAATTGAGAGTCCTATATGGGATGTAAGGGGCCAAGAGTGAAAGCCCAGATGCCATCTAGGCCAGGTGAAAGGTGATGGTGTTCTCGGCCGCCAGAGTAGGAGTAGGGCAATTGCTAAAAAGTGCTCAGAGTCTGGGTGTAATTTTAACATAGAACTGAGAGGATTTGCTGACATATTGATTGTGGGATGTGAGAGAAAAAAAGGAGTCAAAAATTACTCCAAAATAGATCTTCAATAAGATTTTGATGAACTAATGAATGAATGAACGAATGAATGACATACAGCTATTAAACAGCAGGATCAAGATTTGAAACAAGGTTAGTAAAATGTCAAAATACTCTTTGTCATTCTTACCCTTTTAGAATCTGACAAAGAAAGCCTTTCCTTAGAAAAGTGCATGTATGTACATACGTGCCAATTTGCACAGCATCTTGGGAGGCTCAAGGACCTCTTCAAATCCATCCAGGAATCGTCTGTGTTAAGAGAGCCTGCACTTCATCATACCATCACCTAACATAAAACTTGATTTTCAAAAATGCACTTTGCATAAAACTTTTGCAAAAACATCTCTTGCATAAAGGTCTTATAAAATGGTCTTACTTCAATCTTACAAAATGAATGAATGTAATAGGAAAAAGAAACAAATTGTATTTCTGTCTTCTATGTTTAAAAATAATCACTACATTACATGTATTGGAATAGAACAATAATTTCTAATTCAGTATTATAAAAAGTAGTAATTAGGGTTAACACATTATTCTTAATATTTTTAAAGCCTAAAGAAAACTGTACATTTCCTTACAGTGAGATCACAAAAGTTAAAACATCATCTCGCTACTTGTGGCTGGAATTATAAGAACTCAGTCCAGTAATACTAGTTTTCTCATACTGGTAGAAGTTTTAACTGGTAGTGTTAGATGCCCTTATTTAATAACAAATGAGAAATAAAAATTAAATCTGGTTTGGTCAGTAAAATGTTCCATGGGGGAAAAATAATAAAGAATATTTCCGGAAAGAGTGCTGTTTGAGCAAAGCATAATAGAAGACTGAATATTGCAGTCTATGAGCCACATAAACAACAAATATAATTATTACATAATAATAAGATAATTCAGTGTAGTCTTCACCTTGAAGTAAATCTAATAAGTAATCCAAAAGTTGCCCTCAAATTATTACAGATTATCTGTTTAGTCTACATAATCCTCATGTGTATATATAAGCAACATCTTTGTACCATCTATGTTTAAATTATATTTTTAAGCCCTCTAAGGACTTGAGGGAATGAGGTTGTTTTATATTTTGCCTGATAATTAAAACACTTTTACGTAAATTCCAAGGACTGTTTTCCAAAGTGGGACACTGCCACAGCCATAAAACTATTTCAAGCCAATGGGGATCACAAAGTTAAAACTCTAGGAACTAACACTGAGGAGCTTGCTCACAAGCTTCATGAGCACCCTGAAGATCTGTCTAAGGCAAGAAGAAGAAGAAAGACAGAAAGACAGAAAGACAGGAAGGAAGGAAGGAAGGAAGGAAGGAAGGAAGGAAGGAAGGAAGGAAGGAAGGAAGGAAGGAAGGAAGGAAAAGAGAGAAAAATTCAAAATTGATCTCAGTGTGTGTTAGTACCCCACATCTGGGGAAAAAACTCTGGTCCTGGGCTTGTGCTGCTTGATCCTGTCCCAGTCCACATTCTGTTGCCTTATACCCTTGGAGAATTGAGAAAAATGCCTGTCATGTTTCAAACTGATCTCAAATGATGAGAGGACTGTGAAAAAGGGAGTCAATAGAATTCCCACTTGCTAAGACACAGGCACCAACAGGATGACATAAAAAACAACAACACTCGAGCCTTAATTGGGACTTTTGGTTTTTATTGTCTTACAACAGAGTCAAAATTATATCTAAATTTTCCGTGGCTCATTTTTATGAGTGAAATATGAGCATTTACCCAGTGAAAGCAAGAGATAGGCAGACAGACAGACATTGGACACGTTTTAAAAAATATAAAATTGCATGGCCCCAGAAGCAAAAATCATATCAATTAAATTAATACCAAAATGAGTTAGAGATATGAACTTTGGTATGCAGTAGTTGTTGTAAAATGAGAAACTACATTATAGAAATGGTGATAATACACTTCTCATACTCTGCATATTCATCTATAAGTCAGAATGTATTTCTGTTTGGAGTATTGGTGTTAACATGCTTTCTTAGCAGAGAGTAGAACAGCCCTTATGGTGTATGTTATGAATGCATATTAACAGCACAGGCATTTGCATATCTGGAACTATAGTAGAAAATGCATAACAAAATTTCTTTTGAAAGATTATTGTACAAACACACTTAATTCTTGCTAAATCTTGACATAACAACTTTTTATTACCCCCACCTTTTTTTTGAAAAAAAACAAAAGACTAAAGCATCCAAACAATAGATTAATAGTCAGAAAACCTGAACACTAATTCTGTTCCTCCACCCCGTCAGCACCAAAGGTTTTTCTTTCGTGTTCAAAGGCAGGAATAGCACAGCCTCAAATGTTTTTATCGATAAATTGCTTCTCATTTTTCTGCAAATGCCAAGATAAAATATAAAATCTACCCTTTCAATGAAGTACATCCATGGTAATTTTCTACTGGCATATCATGTCATCTATTCCTTGGATTTTGATTTTCATGTTTGTGATGCCTTTAATACAATGCAGCTTTTGGAGACTTTGCAAGTTTAGAATATGGTGCAATATACAAAATTCAAGACAGCACTGGCTGCTTTGTGGCTCATGACTCTGATACTTACGCTCCTTTACATTTAAAAATTAAATCATATGGGAGACCAACAAAATTCTGCAACTGGCCTTCCTATAGAAATTCTCTATGCTAATATAAAAACTGTGTGTACTTCTTGAATTAAAAGCCATCTGAAATATACTCAATGCACCCATTACCAAGTAATATATTCTTAAACAACAAATTTTACAATGGCTATGGTATATCTGGCTTTTTAAAAAACAGAAGCTAGGCCAACCTACCTATTTTAACTTAGGAGTTTATAGCCTGACTCTTATTTTAAATTTGCATTTTTTACTGGGCCATTAAGAGAGAAAAATTATCTGCTTTTACATATTTGATTCTCCTTTTTGCCAGCTTCCCCAACATTTCTAGAACTGTCCAGGAAAAGTCAAGCAACTTTTTGAAGAAGGTGGAAATGAGTGGGGTATGACAGAAGCAAAATTGAATTTAGTGTGAGGCCCTTGGTGCCAATTTGGATCCAAAGTGCATTAAAGCAGCAGAATTCTAAACCTTGCAAAACTGGGATTTATAAGGGGAATGCTAACACAGATTCAACAGTTACAGCTCTGCAGGGATTACTTTAATACCAAAAGCATACTCTCTCACTTTATAGAAAGAGATTACTCAGTTGCCAAACAACAAAGGTTGCGTTTATTTGTTTATTTTAAAACTTTTACTTATTTTTTTTAAGTGCACTTTTTACTTTACTGGCAGGCAATCCTGAAATCAAATGTCCTTTATAGGGGTGGGGGCACGGGAGAAGAGAAAACAGGAGGAAGGTGGAGTTTGTCTCTGCCTCCACAGTTCGTATTATCTATAAGGCTTTGCCAGCTTTGCTTAACTGTTTCCACCCTGCTTTTGTTAAGAAGAAACCAAAAGTGTGGAGCGGGGAAAAAAGATAAATCTGAAATACACCTGACAGGGAAAAACAACTGGACACTGATACAAGAACAAGAAGATATTTAAATTGATGTTGGTCTAGAGAAAAATGTGAGGACAAGATTTTTAAGAGAAAGAAAAAAATCTGAAAGTCAAAAAAAAAGAAAAAAAAACAAAAACAGGAAAGCTAATCTTTGATTAAAATACTCAGCAGAATGTCAGGGAGAGGAAGACAAACACCTAAGTGATAATTTTTATGTTTATTGTGTCTGAAATGAAATGAGAGGGAACAAGCAAGTTAACGCTGGGAAGAGATAAGGGACAATAAAAGAGTGAAGTTAGTGACTTTCTGCAGAGGACAAAGTATGTAGTTTGAAATCCTTAACAACGGACTTGCAGTGTCTCTGCAAAAGTTGGTGAAAGATACCAGCAAGTGTAGGAAGGGGAGTATTTGAGGATGTCTTTCACAGACCCCAGATGGAGAAGCTGTTCTTTTATTCCAAATGCCTAAGAAGCACAGAAGTCTTACATGTTAATAAGAGAACACAGAGACACACACTCATAAGTTACACGCTGTGAAACAAAACAAGCAAAGGAGACCTTTTTTGACCCCTGTTCACTTACACAAATCTTAGTTTGGTTAAACGTCTTAAGACCAGTTTCCAGCTCCTTTTCACGGCTTTCTTTCCCTGGGTACCCAGGTGCACAAATGGGATGGTGATCTTTACAAAACAACATCATCAACAACAAAAAAAACCTCTTGCTCACACAAAAGCCCACCTTGTAAATGAATGGAATATTAACGATCACCTAATACTTGCACCTTTGGCAGGGCGAAACTGAACACTAACACAGCTATTTCTACAGATTGCCAGTGAAACCGAAGCAGTTCGAGGAGAAATGCACCTACTGTACGTGAAATGCTGGTGCAGATTTTTTTCCTATCAGTCTAACCTTCTGTGTTGATGCATGAAGGCTGGTACCCACTTACAGGGATGCCAGATGATCAGTGCAGAATGAAGGTCCCAAGAGAGAGGATCACATGGCTCTCTCTGCCCTGTGACGTCACTAGCAGATGGCATGGGTACCAGCTCTGGCAGTTGGCATCAATGTCACTTTTTAGAGATCAATGAGATAGTGCAGATATACACAGATCTAGAGACTCCAGGAGACGATGCGACACTCAGCCTGAAAAGATTTGGAAGACCCAAAATGAAAACTGATTATTGAATGAAATTAAAACCTAAGGTAATATAAATAAAGATATACTTCAATTGATGCTGGCTTTGCATGCAAGTATTTAAAGATACAGTGTCACTGTCTTATAGTATTTATATGCTCTTTGCCATCTATAACTTATCATATTTCATTCTTATGATGTAATTATCACATACTTTCACTGCTATTATGTAACACTGCAAGTATGTGGACATTACTAAGAGTTTGTGTATGTGTTCGTGTGTATATGTGTGTGTTGAGGGGGCTGGAGATTGTTAAATTGAAAAGTCTCTGCTTTAATGTGCCTATTTGTTTGAAGACTTTAGATGAAAATACTTGCTGCTTCACCAGACAAAAACCAAAATGCATTTGAAACACAAATTATTTTCCCCTTTCATTTGGGATTCTGAACACACGTGCACAATTGCAGTCAGAATCCTTGGACCGTTCCTGTCAGATATTAGCTAGAGGGAGACTTCTATGGCTCGTAGAACAAAAACACTACGAGAGTGGTTTTTGTCCAGGATGATTTGAACAGCAGTAAACAGACAATTCTATTTGGAAAAAATTTAAATGTAAATAAAATCAGTCTCTATTTTTTTTAATTAAAAGAAATTGCTAGTGATTTTTATGTTTTAAATTTATTTATAGAGTTTATTCCAAATTAGCCTAATCCCCTTTTCTTTTTGAAGCCTGGGAAAATAGTGCCCTTTTACATAATTCTTTACTGATCAGAAAAAATCAGTTGAAAAATTGACTCTGATTATAATCTTTTCTTTAAATTTGTATATTCCCACACCCACTTATCTAAATTCACAGTTGTGTGATACAGCAAATAAAGTTAAGGTTTTGTTTGTTTGTTTGTTTGTTTTAAAAAAAGAACACAAATTTGTCAGCTAATGGAGAGATAGTCCATTTTAAAAACTGGTTTATCTTCTCATTTTGTGCTCAGGGGAATTGGAATTAATGAAATTCTGCATTGCAATTTCATGTTTTGCATTTGCTTGAATTCCACAATCTTTTTTGGGGGTATTAAAATCCAGTTTAAAGGCAAAGAGAAATGTAGATGGTAATGATATCACAATAATTATATGTTTCATTTTTATTTTCTTTTGATAATTTGCTCATATAAATAATCCTATTGAATGCATCAATGTCTTCATAATTACTTATCTTCACAAACTCAAAATTATATTTAATGTTAAAAAATCAGGCCCAGAATCAGTCTTTTTCACGTGTTTTTGTAATCTTATGATTAAATAATTAAATATGTTTTAAGTGTATAAACTTTAAAAATGAAAACTCTTTAAATATTGTGCTGGCATTTTTTCAGGTAATTTAAGATTAGAGAACCATGTTAACACTACCGTTTGATGAGTCTGTTGTAATGCCAGAATCCCAGATGTGCAGAAAGTTTTCTAGAGAATGCGAGGACCAGAAGCAAATTAAGAAGCCAGAAAGCTTTTCCAAACAGATTGTCCTTCGAGGAAAGAGCATCAAAAGGGCCCCTGGAGAAGAAACCGAGAAAGAAGAAGAGGAGGAAGACAGGGAAGAGGAAGATGAAAATGGGTTGCCTAGAAGGAGGGGTCTTAGGAAAAAAAAGACAACAAAGCTGCGATTGGAAAGGGTCAAGTTCAGGAGACAGGAAGCGAACGCGCGCGAGAGGAACAGGATGCACGGCCTCAACGACGCTCTGGACAACTTAAGAAAAGTGGTCCCCTGTTATTCTAAAACCCAGAAACTGTCCAAAATAGAGACTTTACGACTGGCCAAAAACTACATCTGGGCACTTTCTGAAATTCTGAGAATCGGCAAGAGACCAGATCTGCTCACATTCGTCCAAAACTTATGCAAAGGTCTTTCCCAGCCAACTACAAACTTGGTGGCAGGCTGCTTGCAGCTCAACGCCAGGAGTTTCCTGATGGGTCAGGGTGGGGAGGCTGCACACCACACAAGGTCACCCTACTCTACCTTCTACCCACCCTACCACAGCCCTGAGCTCACCACTCCCCCAGGGCATGGGACTCTTGATAATTCCAAGTCCATGAAACCCTACAATTATTGCAGTGCGTATGAATCCTTCTATGAAAGTACTTCCCCTGAGTGTGCCAGCCCTCAGTTTGAAGGTCCCTTAAGTCCTCCCCCAATTAACTATAATGGGATATTTTCCCTGAAGCAAGAAGAAACCTTGGACTATGGTAAAAATTACAATTACGGCATGCATTACTGTGCAGTGCCACCCAGGGGTCCCCTTGGGCAGGGTGCCATGTTCAGGTTGCCCACCGACAGCCACTTCCCTTACGACTTACATCTGCGCAGCCAATCTCTCACAATGCAAGATGAATTAAATGCAGTTTTTCATAATTAATGAGGAAAATGAAAATAAACAGTGGTCATTCACCTCCCCTGTCTAATTAAGACAAAGCAGATGCTTGTGGGCTGAGTAATTGGCACAACTCTATCTAAGGTGTTTACTAGTTTCTGAAGTGTGTTTCAACTATTGTGAGAATTTTCTATGTAATAATAAATCTCTTTTCGTATGAGAACTTCTTTTCCTTTCCTTTTGTCTGTGAAGCACTGTGATTCTGTTTCTACTGGAAAGATTTTTTTCTTTTTAATTTTCTTTTAAACTTATTTAATTTGTTTGAACAAGGTGTCTAAGAATATACTGTTGAATAAAGACATGCACACAGCATAATTCAATGTCTATTTTGGTTGTACAGTAATTATAAAATGCATGTTATTAAAACCAGATGAGTAAAATGATGTGTTTATAATTATTAGGAATTATATATTATGTATCTTTTAAAAATTGAAATTTTAAAATATGGAGAATATCACTAAGCTGACAATGATATTGGGAGATGAATTTGCAACAATATAAAAAGCTATGCAATTTTCTTTTTATTAAGGATGAATCTAAATGCATTCAATTGGTAACTATTCCTCTTCAAGTATTTGCAGATGGGGCAACATGATATTTGGGTAGCTGATGTCATAATTCGGGGACAATTATCTCAATCATCAAGAAAAAAATTTCAGCACTTGTTTTGTATTATTCAGAAATTAACTGTACAGGTTTGTTATCACAATGTATAATTGTGTTTTTCCACCCCACATTTTTAAGGCAATTAAATATAGATATTTCCACTCGTAAAGGACATCTACTAGCTGTGATATTTTTGCATGCTACTTATTATTTCCTGGCACACAGCTGCTTTCTGTCTCCAATACTCCCCACTCCTCATTTCAGAAATATTTCTGGATTACAAAACCGTAGGAGCTAAAACAAATTTCTTAAACAGAATGGCCAAAGCGCTTACAAGAATTTTTTTTTCAAGTGTCTTAAATGAAAGAAGAGGAGCCCATGAGGGTTAAACATCCTGGGGAAACAATGATAAATCCTGGTAACCTTCAGCTCGAGCCTAAAATCGGTGGCAAATTTCCAACAAACACCAGAGTGGATGTTAAAAATGGAAGGTTTTACTCTGCGCCGGTTAAATGTCTGGCCGATCAGAGGCTAAATTCTGTGTGATTAAAAGTTTCCTTACAAAGGCCACCAAAAACTTATTTTTAATAGCGCTTGGGGAGCTAAACCTCTTAAACAGGATTGAGTCTCTTCTACAATCATGGGCGGGGTGGCAATGACCTCGCCAAGATGCCTTCTGGTGCAGTTTTGCCTCAGGGGGAGGAGCGGGGACAGCTGCGCAGACCGATGAGGGCAGCAGAAAGTGGGTGCAGTGGTGGCGGGACGGGGCAGGTCTTGGGTAGGCCTGGCCAACGCTGCCCCTCGGGGACTTTGTGGGCACCGCCAGAGCCGGCGCAGGCCCGACGGGGCCTGGCGGGCGGCGCGGGGAGAGGTTGCTGGCGGCGTTGCGTCGCCTCGGTGGCCGCCCGGGCACAGGCTGCACTGCCCGTGTCCCGCCCGCAGTGGGCGCCCTGGGGGCCGGGGGACTGCGCCCTGCGAACCCGGGCCGCGGCGCCCACACTGACCTGGCCTGCCCAAGAAAGGGGCTGGGTGGCATGGAGAGCGGCGAGCGCACCGCCGCGCGCGGGCCTGGAGGCTCTGCCCCGCACTCGCTCGGAGAGGGAGAAAGGGGGTTGCCCCTTCACCCGCCCCTTGTGCCACAAGCAGGGACGCGGCGCAGGCGGCGATAGCTCCAGCTATCTCTTGCCCAAGTGCAGCCGAGAGCTGACCCTGCCCTGCTCCTCCCACGGCTGGCGGGACTTCCTGAGCCGAGGCTGCGAGGCCCGCGCCCCATTCTGCAAAGGACAGCGTCTCCCTCTCCCTCTACGCCTCCAGTTTTACGCCCCTGGGCCTTTGGTGCGCAAGGCAGCCGCCACCGAGGGGCAAAGGTGCCGAGCAGCTGCTGGCGCGGGTGCTGAACGCGCCCTTCTAAGCTGGTGTGTTAGCACCTGTTCATTCAAACCCCAGAGGGCGGGGGAAAAGGCCCGAAAGAGAGGAGGAACTGCGCCCCCACGCCCCAGGTAGAGGGAAATTTGCCCAAACTAGACAGCCGTCTGTCCCCTCTACCTGTCTCTCTGCACCGGAGTGACTCGCGCTTGCTTCCTCCCATATGCGCACAAAACCTGCTTTCCCTGGCACTGTGTCCGGGACTGCCAGGCCTCTTTAAGGCCCCTCAGACACTAAGAGCCCGGCCATTGCTCACCCTGTCCGAGCAAACAGAAAGAAAGTGAAGAAGCATCTGGAAATGGAAGAATCTGGCCTTTTTGGCTTATTTTTTTAAGCGATCCTGTTAAATCACTAGCAGAATAGGTGTGGCTTCCCCCACCCCCCGCCCCCATCTTTCTCCCTTGATCCTTGCTCCAAGGTGACCCGCTGCCCGACTGAGAACAGCCTCGCACCTGCTCAGAATCTTGGTTCAGACAGCTTTTGAAACCCGCACAGTCTTTCCGGGGTCACAAATTCATATTGGAACGAGAGATTGCAACAGGAGATGTATCCTCCCGCCCCCCTCTGGCAATGTGGGAGAGCTAGGAAGAAAAGCAGCTGGCTGAGTGAGGAAGAAGCAAACCTCCAGGAGCTTCTGACCTCAGAGCTTTGTCCATAAGGAACTCAAGCAAAAGAGCCGGGTTTTCGGGCACAGATCCCTGAGAATATGAAATTTCTTCAAAAACTTGGATGCAAAAATGCAATGGATGCTCCCTTCTTCGGTAACGCTTGCCATGGGGGATAGTGTGGTTGTGTGTGATGGGGTGTTGGGTGATCCTCGCGCTTAGTCCTCCTTCAGATGCCCCTGATAACCCCTGGCATGGGACCCGCCCTTTACACACCACCCTGGCTGGCTGTCAGTTTGCTTTCCCAGTAGAGCTCTTCCTGTTCTCTCTTGATTGCAATCCTAAGAAATCATACGACTTGTTCATTCAAACACCAACATCACAGAGGCCATGCACTGCAAAATCTTTTTAAGATAGCACTCCAGTAGAAGGGAAAATAGTATAGTATAAAGAACATGGAAGGCTTGGGGTTGGATAGGTTTGGGTTGAAATCCTTGCTCTCATTCTGACTTCATGATTCCCTCACCTCCCAGCATGAAAAATCTTTCTCTCTTCTGAACGCTTTAAACCATTATTGTCTTCCATATTGATTAGACATCTCTTCTTTTGAGCTGAATTATGTGAATCTTATATTTGCCTTCACACAATTTTGTTTTTTCCTTTATTAGGATTAGGTTTTACATATATGTGTGTATGTGTGTATATATATATGATCTATATCTTTTATCTGTCAGGATATATGTCTATATCTATGTCAGTGAGTGCCCTCAACAAAATAAAGATATATTTCTTTCTCATATACAGAAGTCATGGGAGGTAGTCCAGGACTGATATGGTTGTGCCGGGGCACCAGGGGCCTAGGCTCCTTCTGCCTTTCTACTCCACTATCTTTAGTGTGAGGTTTCCATTCTTATTCACCTCCTGGCCCAAGATGGCTGCTGGAGTTCTAGACATTGCATCTTCATTCCAATTAAGAAGAAAAAAGGTGGTCTGGCATGATGGCTCACGCCTGTAATCCCAGCACTTTGGGAGGCTGAGGTGGGTGGATCACAAGGTCAAGAGATCGAGACCATCCTGGCCAACATGGTGAAACCCCATCTCTCCTAAAAACACAAAAATTAGCTGGGCATGGTGGCCTGCGCCTGTAGTCCCAGCTACTCAGGAGGCTGAGGCAGGAGAATTGCTTGAACCCAGGAGGCAAAGGGTGCAGTGAGCTGAGATCATGCCACTGCACTCCAGCCTGGCTACAGAGTGAGACTCTGTGAAAAAAAAAAAGAGAGAGAGAGAGAGAGAGAGAGAGAGAAAGAAAGAAAGAAAGAAAGAAAGAAAGAAAGAAAGAAAGAAAGAAAGAAAGCCCCACCAAATGACTTCTACTTACTAATTATAGATTTAAGAGAAGCAGGGAAATATATCCTTTTTAACAAAGTATATTGCCACCTGGAATAAAATCAGGTCCTATCAGTAAGAATAAAAGAGAAAATGGATGTTAGTTAGGCACCTAGCCATGCCTTGAACTCTACTGTCCACCCAATTCCTTCCTCGCCTGTCTGGTACCTTGTACTTTTCCCAAGCATTCTCTTTTTGTTTCTATTACCTCTTTGACCATATACATTTGTGTTATGAATGTCTCTTAGGCGTCCCTTGCTTGCAGATGCTAGGTAAGGTTTGTCCTTAAGTTCAGTCTCTCTCTCACCTGCAAAATGCATGACCTCAGGCCTCTCGCTGTCTGTGTTTTAAAGGTATGAAGGGACCTGCTTTCATCTCCCATTCCTATTTCTACCTGTGCCTTTTCTTGGTCATATTCCCCATGCCCAGATTGCCCCTGTTGATGCCACCTCCAATGAAACATTCTGTGGCTGGTGATCTAGTCCAGCAGCCCATCTGATGGCACTGACCCACCTTTAACCTCAATCATCTTTTTGGGCATTTGTACCCCACTTTGAAACTGCTCTCTCTGGCTCTCATCACCTATCTCTGGTTCTCTGACCAATAAGGAAAAGCATGTTCTTATTTTACAGAGCAGGCAGAGTGCCCAAGCTCCTGCTGGTAAAATTCTCTTGCTTTAACCACCCAGCCCTCTTGGTTCCAGGGCACTCAGCCACTCCCAGGTGCTGGGTCAGGGTAGGTTCAAGTGTAGCGTCATTCGATACTCAGAGCAATTGCAACATGGCTCCCCTCAGGCCTGTTTCTGAATGTCCTCATGTATTCTGATACCTTCCCTATTTATGGGATATCCTCCCTCTTCCACAGGGGTCCTATTTCTTCATCAGGTACTCAATGAAAATCCAAATTAGGAGAAAGTTCAAGTTCTTCTCCTGAGCAGCTCTATACCAGGGACATAGGAAGAGAGGGTCTACAATCTGTCCTCTCATGCTAGAGTATATCACATGATGCTCTAACCAAGGCAAAGATGGAGCTAATTGGAGAACCAAAATAAAACAACAAACGCCTTTATTCATCCTAAAGCCCCAACTAACCTCTCATTCTTTTTCTTTCCCAAAGTTCTCAATAAATACCTGACACAGAATACCTCAACTTCTTCAGTGCCTTCTCTCTTTGATCTCCTCTTTGATCTTCTTCTGTGGTATCACCCAGTTGAGACTGAATGTTGTAACTTACTCTAACTTCTATGATATCATTCGGACAAAGAATACTGGTGGGTGCTTTTTTTTTTTAAAGGTGTTGAAAAACATTAATAAAAAGAACTAGGATATCAGATTGGAAAAGTGGGCTGGAAATCTCATGACAGAAGGCCCTGAGTGCCAACTAAGCAGCTATGGAAGATCACTGCAGGCCGTAAGTTCGAGGACCCAGCTTTGTCCACCAATACACATTAGCCTGTGCCCTTGGACAAGTGACGCAACTACCCATTCTCAATTTCCAGTCAAATAAAGATCATAAGAAGTAAAACAAGTTACTTAAGTCCAATGACTCTCCTTCAATTCTTACTCTCTTTGCTTTCCAGGTGCCCCAGCCCTCTCAAGCTATTGCAGCTCTCCTTACCCTTGTTCACTCTTCTTCAACTCTTCACCAGCGCTTAGGCCTCTGCACCTCTCTCCACTGCATCAATGATCCCACTTCCCACCTCCTGTCCCGTCTACATGAGGACTTCCCAAGCTGTGCTGCAGCCCACCAAATATCTTCACTTGGATATCCCACTCACTCTTAAAATTCACTGTGTCTAGAATGAAGCCCTCTCCAAAACACGGCCCCTCCTGCCAGCCCCTTCCAGAACATTCCTGTAGCTTCTTGTGAGTAAACTCACTGAGCCTTCTTTGATTAAATGAGATTGGGAATATGAAAAACACTTTGCAAAAAAAGTGATATTAAATATTTCTCCTATTTCCTTCTCTTTCTGGCTGTCCCCTTTCAAGTTAGTCTCCAGGTTCTGTTGATTTCTTCTTCTCACTTCACACCTGGACAAATATCCTGGTCTCCAACTAATGTCCCCTGCACCACCTTCCCTACAACCAGCCCACTTCCCAATGCCAAATTAATCTTCCTAAAATACTGCAACACACCAGTCCCTTACAGAAACACCTTTCATGGTTCTCATTGTCTATCCAATAAGTGATAAAATGCATTTTAATTTTTATTTATCTAAATCCTCTCTATTAAAACTATAGACAATTATTGACATTATATGTAACACTTTAGAATTTATAAAGTCCTTTTCACACATTCACCATATTTGGTCCTAAGAACATAATCACGAAGTAACACTTCCCATGATCTTTATTTTACCAGAAACTGAGAATTACCAAAGTCATTCCACTGTCTATAGGTACAGAGATAATGGACGTAACTGGCCAAAGCTGGCTTCTCATACTTTCACTCTCAACATTTCATAGACCCTTAGTTGGCACTGAAGGCCTGTGTAGGGATCCCCAGCCCACTTCTCTAACCCAAAATTTCATTTCATTATATCAATGATAAATGGTTTCCAGCAACTTTTTTTTTTTTTTTTTTTTTTTGACGAAGTCTTGCTCTGTCACCAGGCTGAAGTGCAGTGGCACGATCTCAGTTCACTGCAACCTCCGCCTCCTGGGTTCAAGTGACTCTCCTGCCTCAGCTTCCTGAGTAGCGGGGACTACAGGCACGCATCACCACTCCCAGCTAATTTTTGTATTTTTACTAGAGACAGGGTTTCACCATGTTGGCCAGGATGGTCTCGATCTCTCGACCTCATGATCCACCCACCTCAGCTTCCCAAAGTGCTGGGATTACAGATGTGAGCCACCTTGCCTGGCCAACTTATTTTTTTTTTAAGCAGCAGTATGTATGCTTTATTCAAAGGATATCTTAGGAGTCAGTATACACATGGAAACGTTTCTGCTCCTGGTGAACACAGGTGTGGAGGGCCAGGAACCAAGACCCCCTACCCTACCTGCCCTAGCTCTGGAGGTGTCTCTGAGGAGAAATCTTATGATCATTTTTTCTTTTTCTTTTCCTTTGTTGAGAGAGGGTCTGACACTGTCACCCAGGCAGAAGTGCACTGGTGCAATTATGGCTCATTGCAGCGATCCTCCCATCTCATTTTTTTATTTTTTCCCTAAAGATGAGGTCTCACTATGTTGTCCAGGTTGGTCTCGAATTCCTGGGCTCAAGCAATCCATTCTACCTCGGCCTCCCAAAGTGCTGGGATTACAGGCATGAGCCACCACACCCAGCTTTTTTTTTTTTTTAAATAGAACAAGAATTTTATTACTCCCACTCAGTAGTTCCTGGGGGCTTTGATGTTAAGTCATCCATAATTTGAGAAATACCAGGAATCTTAGCAATCTCAGTGACCATCTTTAACACCATCTTTACAGGGATCTCATTGACAGGTGTTCCAGGCATACCAGTCATGAAGTCACTAGTAAAAAAGGCTCAAATAACCACAGTTCTCTGGTAGGGTTTGAAGAGCGATGTTTGATGGCCTCTATTCTACAGATCCACACCCGTAAGGCTGGACCTGTTTACTGCACGTCTGTCTGCCTTCACGTCTTGCAGTGCACCATCTGTTAGAGATGGTCGCTTTTCTCTCCTTCAACTTCTGAAATTCCCATGTGCTTCAAGGTCACCTCCTACATGAAGCCGCCCTGATCCCTCCAGCCTACAATGGCATCATGTTGCTCTGAAACCACAGCCCTGTTGTTTCAACCACACAATTGTCAACTAAATTTTTGGTGCCTAAATTATGTGACATTTAAAAATCTTATTTAGAACATGTATTGCTATTTAGCTTATTGAGATAACTAGCTTGTATGCTCCTTGAGAGCAACATCAATGTTCAATCATTTTTGTGTCCCTACAGTGCCTGCACTCATTAAATTCTTGATTCATAGATTCTACTTAGGGATACAGCTCTGTTTTACTTAGAAAATAAACCCAATTGAAAGACAAAGCAGCATGAACCTTCACATCCAACAACAATTGACACTGAGCAACCATCAGAAGTTTCAGATTTTTCACCTTTCAAGTAAGAATAATGACAATTATGTCATATGAATTTGGTGAAGGTTGAATGCAATCATATAGAAAAAATACTTAGCTTGCATCATGATTCAAAGTAAGCACATCATCGACAAGACTGACTACTATTTCTGTTACTAATGTGCTATGCACATTAACCCCTGCTAAATCTGAACAATGTAAGCAACAATGTTTTTCAAAGTGAAGGTTCAATCCCAGTAGCATGTTGTGATACAAATTTGGTCTAGTGGATGTTATCAATATATTTTTTAATACAATAGAAAAGAGTCTCTTACATGTAGTAAAAGCAAAGTTCGTCTAAAACTTTGCTTTAGACACACACACACTCACACACACACTCACACACACACGGTATGATGTCAAAAAAGTTGGAAAGCCACTAATCTGGAAGATATCTGTGGTAGCACAAATGTGTGAGAAGATCAGAGAATTCAGGCTCTGCAATGCCTGAACCCCAACTTCTGAACTGTATTATGTCATGGCAAATCCTATCACACCAAAAAGGTGAGAATTCCTGGGAGAATCCCCTACAGAATCACCTGCTAGTTTCCAGAGATGACTTTTGCAATGTAGCAAGAACCACTAAGATGCCAACTCAGGAACCTTAGTTCTTATTTCTTGCCAGAGTTTGGAAAAGGCAGTACTACTGTATGTAAGAACTCTAAGTGGTGGTCTCAGCCCAAAATCTCCTTAAGCTGATAAGCAACTTCAGCAAAGTCTCAGGATACAAAATGAACGTGCGAAAATCATAAGCATTCCTATACATGAATAATAGACAGAGAGCCAAATCATGAGCGAACTCCCATTCACAATTGCTGCAAAGAGAATAAAATACCTAGGAATACAACTTACAAGGGATCTGAAGGACCTCTTCAAGGAGAACTACAAACACTGTCAAGGAAATAAGAGAGGACACAAACAAATGGAAAAACATTCCATGCTCATGGATAGGAAGAATCAATATCATGAAAATGGCCATACTGCCCAAAGTAATGTATAGATTCAGTGTTATCCCCATCAAGCTACCATTGACTTTCTGCACAGATTTAGAAAAGACAACTTTAAATTTCAAATGGAACCAAAAAAAGAGCCCGTACAGCCAAGACAATCCTAAACGAAAAGAACAAAGCTAGAGGCATCATGCTACCTGACTTTAAACTATACTACCAGGGTACAGTAACCAAAGCAGCATGGTAGTGGTACTAAAACAGATATATAGACCAATGGAACAGAACAGAGATCTCAGAAATAACACCACACATCTACAACCATCTGATCTTTGACAAACCTGACAAAAACAAGAAATGGGGAAAGGATTCCCTATTTAATAAATGGTGTTGGGTAAACTGGCTAGCCATATGCAGGGAACTGATACTGGGCCCCTTCCTTACACCTTATACAAAAATTAACTCAAGATGGATTAAAGACTTCAACGTAAGACCTAAAACCATAAAAACCTTAGAAGAAAACCTAGGCAATACCATTCAGGAAATATGCATGGACAAAGACTTCATGAGTAAAACACAAAAAGCAATGGCAACAAAAGCCAAAATTGACAAATAGGATCTAATTAAACTAAAGAGCTTCTGCACAGCAAAAGAAACTATCATCAGAGTGAACAGGCAACCTACAGATTGGGAGAAAATTTTTGCAATGTATCCATCTAACAAAGGGCTAATATCCAGAATCTACAAAGAACTTCAACAAATTTACAAGAAAAAAACAACCCCATCAAAAAGTGGGTAAAGGATATGAACAGACACTTCTCAAAAGAAGACATTTATGGGGCCAACAAACATGTGAAAAAAAGCTCATCATCACTGGTCATTATAGAAATGCAAATAAAAATCACAATGAGATACCATCTCACACCAGTTAGAATGGCGATCATTAAAAAGCCAGGAAACAACAGATGCTGGAGAGGGTGTGGAGAAATAGGAAGGCTTTTACACTGTTGGTGGGGGTGTAAATTAGTTCAACCATTGTGAAAGACAGTGTGGCAATTCCTCAAGGATCTAGAACCAGAAATACCATTTGACCCAGCCATCCCATTACTGGGTATATACCCAAAGGATTATAAATCATTCTACTATAAAGACACATGCAGGCACATGTATGTTTATTACAGCACTGTTCACAATAGCAAATACTTGGAACCAACCCAAATGCCCATCAATGATAGAGTGGATAAAGAAAATGGGGCATATACACACCATGGAATACTATGCAGCCTTAAAAAAGGATGAGTTCATGTCCTTTGCAGGGACATGGATGAAGCTGGAAATCATCATTCTCAGCAAACTAACATAGGAACATAAAACCAAACACCACATGTTCTCACTCATAAATGGGAGTTGAACAATGAGAACACATGGACACATGGAGGGGAACATATCACACTGGGGCCTGTCATGGGGTGAGGGGCTGGAGGAGGGATAGCATTAGGAGAAATACCTATGTAGATGATGGGTTGATGGGTGCAGGAAACCACCATGGCACATGTATACCTATGTAACAAACCTGCACGTTCTGCACGTGTATCCCAGAACTTAAAGTATTTAAAAAAAAAAATAAAAGAACTGTAAGGAAAAGATGATAAAGAACTGGGATCCATTTAACATTAGGAAGGAGAGGAGGAGCCCAGTAAGTTCAAAGACCTTACATTGAAGTATAAAGAAAGAACAACAAGAAAAAAATGTCTTGAAGCACCTATCAGCGTTGTCTGCAAGAATCCAATCAAGTCCTGGATTCACTAGGTCAGCATCCCCAAGCATGGCTGGGCATTGAGTCACCCAGGGATTGTTTCTGGAGTACCAGTTCTCAGGCTCCACCTCCACCTACTGAATCACTGGGCCACTTCATTATATGGCCCACATACATTCCTGGAATGCCATCAGCAGACGTATTCCACATCTTTAAACAATAAACACAGTCTTGGAAGTGACAGATAAAGGCTAGTGAAAGGAAAGCTGCCATACCTTGGGCCAAATCTTACAGCCTTTCAGCTCTCAGCAAGACAGTTGGATACAGAAAATTGGATGCAGATGATGGGATAGAACAAGAGGAGGAGGAATTCCAGGTGCCCATTTGAATTTGTGACAATGAGAAAGAAAGAGTGAAGTCAGAATATGAGCCACCCTAGCCTTTGTGAAGCAGCAGTGAAGTAATATCACAGGTGTGTGATCTGCCTAGATACAATGGCAGCTTTTCTTTCCCACCTCTGAGTAGTTAGTGCTCTAGTCAAAAAGTTGTGTATGCATATTGAAGACCCTGGGATCTGGTCATCAGAAAGCAATGATCCCCAAACATTTTGGCATTCCTCCCTGTTCAATTTTGAAATATGCCTACACTCAAATTTCCCTTGCTGAACATTCTATAATTTATTTTCAAAATATAAGTGAAGTATGTTAGTCATGAGATTTTTAAGTGTTTGTGTGTGAGACACAACTTGAGATAAAAGGGGACATCCTAGTGGATTGAGAGCTGGGACTGTCACTCCTCATTTGTGAAGGAGGAATCCAGACTCGCAGTAGCCCTGGGAACACTGAATGCAGCCAACCTCACAGCAGTGTCTCAACGGCAGTGCCACATAATAGCAATTAGGGTTGTATGCTTGTTATCATGGAAAAATTGTCTGTGTGCATGTTCTACAAGATCCTCTCACAGATTTGGAGAATAAAAAAGATATCCTCCAATTAATTTTTAAAATGTTATTCTCTACTACATCTGGAGAATTGCAAATTAAGATGCTTCAGTCTCTATAGGATGACTATGCAAGGAGTGGGGGGGTCCCACATCATAGCAAGGAGGATCTAGACAGGAATGCAGACTGGCCAACACGTTCCAGGAACTTGAACTGTGGGGAAAAAAATTTTCACTCTCCCAGTTGGCTATTTCAGGGCTCTATAGCCATATCTTTCCATTAGCTGGTGACTCAATGGTCATGAAAAGAGGTAGAAACGCAGTCAAATTTCCTTACAACAAACAAGGGCAATACTTTGTCAGTTACTGTATGTCTTCAACTAAACCTCAAAACAATAGGTCTTAGCCTTCACATTTTCTGTCTGAGCAAGGGAAGGAAACTGGAGGATTCAATAAGAGCTGTTCATTCATTGAACAATTCTTTATCGAGTCCGTACCCTAATGAATCCTCCGCAGCTCCGGGCAATAAGAATGCAATGCAGGAGGAGGAAGTGACAAGCTCCCTGTGTTTGTGGGGTTTCTAGTGTAGTGAGGATGTCTATGCGTCCTTTCACCCAGTCATCACTGTTCAGGACATCCCACACCAGGTGCTATGCAATGTGCGGGAAGAAGGTAGACTCAGTAGTGAACAGGGTAGATGTAGTCCCTGCTCTCTTGAAGGCTGAATAATCAAGGCCCAAAGTCCACCTATTTGTCCAACAAATACCTATTACTAAACTACGGTTTATCAGACACCACACTAGGTGTGAAGGATATAAAAATGTAAAAGACACAACTTCTACAATCCAAGAACAAGGAGTACAAGATGAGAGACAGATATATAAATTATAAATATAAATAAGTAAATCAAAAGATTTAGTGGAGGAGACACAGATGGGAGCACTGTCTGCTCAGCTTGGGCAGGGCCATAGAGGGGCCAGGAGAGGAGCTTCCTGGAGGAACAGGTACTTGACCGGGACCATGTGGGTCAGAGGTCAGAGATATTTCTCAGGTGGGCCAGTGTGGGAACTTCATTTCCAGATTATTTCTCCTGTTATTTCTTTCCAGACGGAAGTGTGACACTCCCAGCCTCCCAGTACCTCCTGTACCCTTTTCTCTAGGGACAGAATGCCTTCGTCTGATTGGAAGGTATTGGGAAGGAAAATTGGGCGTGCTTGGCTCAGCTCCTCCTTCTTTCCAGCCAGCCCAAGTTAAGGAACCGTGGGAGGCCTGCAGTGGTTCAGGGTCTTCTGTGATTATTTGGAATAGTCTGTCCAATTCCAGGGTTGAGTTGGCAAGTGCATGTAGCTCATGCTCCAAGAGACATTCTCTGACCTCCACTTCATCAGTTGTAAAGTTGATCTTTGGCTTCCATTTGCCTTATTTCTTATTTCTTTTTTTTATTATTATACTTTAAGTTCTAGGGTACATGTGCACAACGTGCAGGTTTTTTTACATATGCATACATGTGCCAAGTTGGTGTGCTGCACCCATTAACTCATCACTTACATTAGGTCTATCTCCTAATGCTATCCCTCCCCCTACCCCCTACCCCCACCCCACGACAGGCCCCAGTGTGTGATGTTCCCCACTCTGTGTCCAAGTGTTCTCATTGTTCAATTCCCATCTGTGAGTGAGAACATGCAGTGTTTGGTTTTTTGTCCTTGCGATAGTTTGCTGAGAATGATGGTTTCCAGCTTCATCCATGTCCCTACAAAGGACATGAACTCATCCTTTTTTATGGCTGCATAGTATTCCATGTTGTATATGTGCCACATTTTCTTAATCTAGTCTATCATTGATGGACATTTGGGTTGGTTCCAAGTCTTTGCTATTGTGAACAGTGCTGCAATAAACATATGTGTGCATGTGTCTTTATAGCAGCACAATTTATAATCCTTTGGGTATATACCCAATAATGGGATGGCTGGGTCAAATGGTATTTCTGGTTCTAGATCCTTGAGGAATCACCACACTGTCTTCCACAATGGTTCTAAGCAATTGGATTCAAAGAGAAAGGGGTTGCTGCTTATTGAGAGCTCCCTCTGAGACTCTAAGAGAAGGAGGTTTCAGGTAGAAATGTTCTCCTAGGAAGGGGGAGGTACAAATCACTTTCAAGAATTGCAAGTTCCGTTTGACTTGGGTGTTTGGAGTAGCAGGGATTTGCCTAAAGTGAGCCTGGAGAAGCTGGCCAAGGCAACATCATGGAGAGCCTTGTAGGTCTGCAGAGGAGTCAGCTGAGGGATCTTCCACAGAGGAATGCATCAGCAGATTTGCATTTTAGAAGGATTGCTGTGCTATGGTAGCAAAGTCAAAGCTGCAACCTGAACCAGGGAACCAATTAGGAAATAGCTCCAGTGAAAGATGGCAGTGAGTTAGAAAGGAGAGGAGAGGCTTCAGGGGTGATTAATAGAGAGAAGCGAGAGTATGCACTGCCTGAATCTGGAAACTGAGGAAGAGAGGAGAGGGAGAAGAACACACACATGTGTGACCTAGATCGGGCAGGTCGGGGTGGGACGGTGATGAGACCCTCAGTTTTGAACTTGTTGAGACTAAGTCCCTTGTGGAAAGTCCTGTGTGACCTCGATCGGGCAGGCTGGGGTGGGACAGCGATGAGACCCTCAGTTTTGAACTTGTCGAGACTAAGTCTCTTGTGGAAAGTCCTGACTGAGTTATGTACTAGGCGGTTGAATGGCAGCTGTCTATGTCTGAAGTTGAAGAGAGATCTGAGCTGCAGTTGTGGACTTAGGGGCATGGATGGGCTCAAAATCAGTGCAGGGCCTGAAAAGAAAAGAGAAGCAAGACCACAGTTTTAATACTTAGTGTTCTGATTACAGCTCCTCGTCTATATTAAATATTCTGGAGGAGAAGCTCTCTGTATTTGGAGTTATTATTCCAGAATTCTCCCAGAATGACTGCAGGAGCAGTACTGTAAGTGACAATACCAGGTTTTTAATTTTTTGGCTATGATTAAAGACCACATAGACAAATGCAAAACAGAATTTTAATTACAAGATTTGTGAAACAATATTGTTGTAAAGTTTTCAAAACTTCTTTGTTGTATAGTTTTGTGTCATAGAATCAGATATGGTAACAAGAAAAAGTTAGTGACCTAACTCAAAACCATTCTATTAGCTGAGCTGAATGACACATTTAGAAAGTGAAGGGAGAGATTTTTTTTCAACCTCTCTAATGATCAGTATCCTTATTTGCATTTGTGAGATCCATAACATATTTATTGATAGCATTTGGGGGTAGATTAAATTAACAATGTATGTAAAGCATTCTGTCACATAGTCAGTGCTCTATAAGTAATTATTATTGTGATTATCTGCGAAGGAGCTGAGCATTTTTGGTAATACAATTGTAATTCCTCTGCATGCAGATCACCCACAGCAACATTTTGAAAGTATGAGCTAATTTCTCTTTTGCTATGACCTCCTTCATTGCCAGTCTGTGTTTATTCTGGGAAGGCCAACTAATTTTAGTATCCCAAATCAAATAGAATTAAGAAGAAAAATGTGTAGCCAAAACCAAATTACAATACATGTTAACGGTCATATATAAACACTATATTATTTGTGAATGCAGATTTTTCATACCACTGTTCCGTATTGTCAGAGATCCCCTTTGACATGGAGCCTAAGATGAGGGAAATAGGCCACCTGACTTAGTTGAGACTCTCTCAACCCTCTCCACCCCAAATAATAGAGAAAAGGCTACTTCCCACGGAGAGAAAGGAAATGAACATTAATTGGTATTTTTGAAACTATTCCATGACCATCATTATGTTGACTTCACACTTCATCTCATATAGTCCTCTGGACAGTGCAGGGTGAGGGATATGGTATGGCAATTCCATTTTACAGACAAAGATTGAGATTCAGAACAATGAAGCAACTTGCCCAAGCTCATAGAGCCAATCAACAGTGGATCTAGGATCCAACCCAGGTCTGTGTGACCAGCAACCTCACAATCTCTCCATGCACCTCCGTTCCCCAGAGAATTACAGTAGTTCACATTTAACAAGGCTTCTTCAAGGCAGGCCCCATCTAAGCACCTCATGTGTACTTTTTCTTTAATCCTCCTAACAACATGGGGGGTACATACTATTACAAGCCACATCAGGAAACTGAGACACAAAAACTTGCCCAAGATTATACAGTTAATAAGCAGTGAGCTAAAAATTCCATCCAAGGGAGTCGACCTCCAGATCTCACACTCTTCAACTCTAAACTAAAAGGCCTCATGTAAGAAAACCAACCATAATGTTCCAAGTTTTAAGGTGACATGAAAGCATGTTGAGTTTCAACCCAGCAAGGGAGAAAAAAATGTTGTTATATGATAAAGACAGATCACCTATAAAATAGGCGGAAAAATTCTTGCAACAATTCAGCTCCCACCTGGCTGTACTAGAATAGTGACTGTTTCTAGGTATTAACACAGATATTGTTTGTCAACTAAGTTATCCAGTCTGAGCAAAAGAATTTTCTCTCCAAAAATTTTGTGTTAGGAGAAATAGTAAATGAACTCTTAAGTTTTCAAAATGATAATCTAGCATTGCTTAAAAGTCTACAAATTTGTTTCTAAATGTATTTAAATCTTACCAGCGAACATGATTCTGGTTATTAAAAAGTAATTCTGGAGAAATTAGCTTGCAGCTACAAAATTAATATAATTCATTTATTACTTGCAGCCACAAATCAAGATGCTGTTAACACTGCTACACACAATTTAATATGCACAGTAAGTTTCCATATGGCTTCAATTTTAGGTTTCTGGTCACTCCATTGAATCATTTACAGATTAGCCCATCATGTCTAGTTAGAGGGCACTTGACCTAACTGAAATGTGAAGCATGTACTTTCAAACTGTGAAATTAAAGTTTCGGTTTATGTCTCATTTTTATTGTATAAAGCAAGAATATATTTTTAAATCTATAGCCATACTATTAAATAGAGATTTAGTGATGGAGAAAAGCCCAAAGCATTCAATCTTCAATACTAGCCAAGACTCTTCTATTTTTTCTGGTTCCCAACTTCCTTCTTGTTTTCACTATTTTTCCTAAAAAGATGTAGGAGGAGGACGACACACACACACACACACACACACACACACACACACTCCTGTTTGATTTATTTAAGAAGGTTGGGATAAAAGAATTGTTCAGAGCTTAAGCCCTCAAGAACAGTATGGTGTCATTTTTTTCATAACTAGATTTCATGCCTCCATTTACAATAAATTCAAGTTTTATAATAAATGAGATACATACAACTTACATCATTCCAGAAGAGCAATAAACATGATAATTACACTTCATATCTCAGGGCTCAAAGATAGGGAATGTCTCTCACCTGTGTTTTCCTTTACTGTTTCATTTTCTGGGGAACTTATGTCTTTTGAATTGCATCCTTGAGTCTCTCAGTGTGTTTTGTAGTGGAGAATTCTTTTCTCCTTGGCCATTCCCACCATGAAGGCTGGTTGAATAGACTAGACAACTCAAATCACCTTTATTCCAGAATCTGTCCTTCATCTCTCTGTCAATCATGATGAAGTCTGTGATGACATCCCTATGTTTCACTCTATATATCCTGACAGATTCTTTTCTGCTGTCACTTTCAAAAGTTAAACTGACAATAGAAACCTCTGATTCAGAAAATAAAATAGTGGCAGTGATTTAGCTTCTCAACTTTACATTTGGCAGTTGCACACTTTTGCTTCTGTTCTATATAGGAGGGGCAGTGGATAAGTAGGAAAAGAGAAGAGGAGCTGAGAATATAAAAAGGCAATAAATCTTTGCTCTGATTTGTACCAAACAATGATGTTCTCATTAGAAAAGGAAGCAAGGCTAGATGGGAGAAGCAACCCCAGAGTTCTTATTCCCAAACTGACAGAAAGGTGCACATCTCTGCAGAAGTCTTTTTGTATTTTGATCTTAAGCTAAAAAACAAAAAAAAAGTGGAGTAATTAGAAAAGAAACATTCTATAAAGATCTGTGAAGAAAATGAGGTAACTGTTAGGGACTAGCAAAAAAGGAATTGAATTATACCCAGGAGTTTATTTCAAAGCTTGTTAAAATAATGATACGTTCCTTCTGAATGATACTTTTAAATGTTACTTTTCAAGATTATCACAACAACTATTTTGACATATTGTGGCAAATAAATGTAATTGCCTGTCTCCGATTGTGAAAAAGCAGAGAAGTTTGAGAGAAGTAAGGTGACATCCAAATTCACACTGTTAGCAAGTGGCAGAATTTAAATTAGATCCAAGTCTTTCAATATCTAGTCCCATAGTTCTGTCATAGCATTGCTCGAAAAGACCTGGTTAATGTTGAAGTTTAGTTACTTTAATAAAGTAATGCAAAATCTTGCTTTAAGAATGAGACTAGGCCAGGCACAGCAACTCACGCCTAGAATCCCAGCACTTTGGAAGGGCGAGGCGGGCAGATCACAAGGTCAGGAGTTCGAGACCAGCCTGACCAACATAGTGAAACCCCGTCTCTACTAAAAATAAAATAAAAAAAATTAGCTGGGTGTAGTGGTGTGTGCCTGTAATCTCAGCTACTCAGGAGGCTGAGGCAGGAGAATTGTTTGAACCCGGGAGTTGGAGGTTGCAGTGAGCTGAGATCATGCCACTGCACTCCAGTCTGGGTGACTGAGCGAGACTCTGTCTCAAAAAAAAAAAAAAAAAAAAGAATGAGATGACTAATCTGACTTGCATGTTTCCTGGAAACAGTGGACCATAGTATCTGTTTTATGACTTTTAAGGATTAGTTATATTTCCTTGAAAGTTTTACTACAAATCTAAATACATAAGATGCTTACAAACATCATAAATCTATTCATTTAAATATAGACTCCAGACCATGGTAAAAGGTATATTCTGGCAAGAGACTTGAGGAGGGTCATGAACAGATTGGGTGACTTAGTATAGGAGTTGAGGTAAGATACCGGTTAAGAGAATCTTAGAGAAAAAGACAATCTGCATCATGGATTCCCTTTTGTCCTCTGCAATACAAACATGCATTGCCCATCTCCCTCTCGATTCCTGGGGTATTTACTCCATCATCTTATCATATTGTATTTATTCACCTTGTGAACCTTCTATATGAACACTCTATAAATGTCTGTGTAAGGCCATATGCTTTCTGTCAAACTGTAAATCCTGGTCATATTGTTGATTCATATAGCATTTGATATAGCATTCAACACAGTATTCTGCACATAGCAGGTGCTCAATAAATGTTTAACCAAATCTATTTACATTATATCCAGAAAGCATCCTATGGGTTTACCAAGTGCTATCCCTGTCAAAGATGATGAGAATGAGTTTGATTTGTGTCTCGTATCAGTTTGAAATGCTAATTTCTTATTTGGTCGCTGAATGTCAAGTATCCAGGCTACCATATGGAGTCTGACATATAGTCAGTATTAAAAGGCACCCCACCGCAAGAATTAAACATAGTTATGTTTTGTGTGTGTCAGTTTCTACAGAGAACCCTACAAGGAAGTAGGATCTCTTTGAATGTCTTTTAAGAAGTTTAGAAAATAGCAGGCATTGCCCCTTTAAGAAATCACATGTGTCAAAAGGTTGGTAAGAGGTCGAGCTATAAAACTACAAGGAGATTAGTAAGAAGTTCTAGTAAGTATACTTTCCTAGTTATTTGTTAATGGCAGGGAAAACTCAGCTTCAAAGGGCAGAAAGCTAGGCAGGAAAATAATGAGGCGGAGGAAAATTACTCCCTTCTGATTGGAAAAGGATCATTAGGAGGGAATCACACTGAGGAGCCCTGGTGGGGCTCTGATCTCTCCCTTCCAGCTTGTCCTAAGCAATGTGGGGCAGAAAACCACGTGATTCCGAAAGCTGAAAAAAACATCAAGCCCAGTCCTTCTGTAAACAGAGAGATGGGGGACTGTGCGGTTGCACATAGAGCACTACGTGGCAAATGAGAGAGAGAAGAACAAAGGTCAACTTTTCCATCATTTGTAATGATTGCTCACCTGAGTTGTCCTAAAACCCAGATATTCAGGACAACATCTCAGAATTTAAAGCTGTAGACTTCCAATTCTTTCTGTACAGGTCTATGTTGGACACTGAATCAGGGTTACAGTAAGAGGGAACCGGTGGCAGTTGCTTGACAACAGTTGAAGAGTAATAAGAAGGTACCTACATGTTTACATGATTATATTCTTAATAACATGTCCAATTTATATCATTCTCAAAGTGTTATATAACACAGATAACAGTGCATCGAGTTTTAAACAGCTGTGTAACAAAAACTCACCATTCTGCTTAGTGTCACTATCCCTCTCTTGGAGTAATATTCCTTCGTCCAAGAATGGTGTTTTTGCACTAATATTCCAGATTCTGGCTATGTGATCATAAGCCCATTGAGTGTTCAACCTAGCCTGCCAGGGGAGGCCTTCCTCTGTGAGATCTTTATGGTTTGCTCTGTTCTTCAGGGTGGTACTATGGTGTGTTGCTTGTTAGTCTTTGTCCTGCTGACTAAGCACCTACAATTGTGAGCAATGAGGTGCACTTCTATTTGCTCAAGCCCCATAGTAGATGTTCTGTTTTATTGGGCTCCTCTAGAAGCTGGGACAGCGTTTGTTGTGCCTTCTCTGTCCCATAGGCTTGGGGACCCTGGGAATCCTGGCTATCCTGGCTACCCTGGGAATCGCACCAAAGTGCCTTCAAAACTTCTTGCCAGAGCTCAATGACTTTTAAGCAAACATGAATCCTGTATGCTTTCTCAACACGGCAGAGTTTTTAAATTGAATGTCCATATTAGGTTTTAAGATTTTATTTGCTTGTTTTAATATTTGTTAACTTTTCATGATTAGTTCTGATAGTAAAGGTATTGCATGTTCATTCTATAAATTTATAGAAGTCTAACAGACTATAAAATATGTTCTATCTTCTATCTCTACAAATTATGCCTTCATAATGACTGATAAAAAAAAAAAGCCCAAGTTCAAACAGAGAATACTCTGGCTTCTTGGAGGTTCTTCCAAGAATCTGGCAGCATGGGAAAAATCAACCCCCGGGTGTTGGCCTGTGCCTCTTTTCTTTCTATACCTGACTCCACGTGCCCACCACTTAAGCCTAAGTAAGCATGTTCCACACTGTGAGGACTCACCCTGCAGGTCAACAGCCCTGAAAACATGCTCTAAGACATTCAAGAAGGGCATTCTGGGTCCCAGGCACCTGGAGCTTGGTCTAGAGTGTGTGCACAGATTTAGGGTGGACATCTACCCATGGCCCTCTGCCCCTCTACCTCTCTCTATCATAGGGCCATTGCTCATTGATGACATTTTTGAGACCTGGCTAAGATATGTTGACATGAGGAGACAGATATTGGGTTGGTGCAAAAGTAATTGCGGTTTTTGACATTTCTTTTAATGGCAAAACCCACAATTACTTTTGCACCAATCTAATAGTTTGGGTTACTGGGATTTATTTATGCGGTTCTCAGTCATGTCATACTCTTGTGAGCATCCTTGGTATAGGAATGGCTTCCCTGGAATACTCCTACTAACCACCAAGCTGCCTGAACCCTCTACTGAGATATGAAGGTGCAGCCCCAGAGGTGGGGTTATCATAGGACTGTGTCCTGCAGCATCAGCATATGTGATAAGGGACAAAAAGTAAGAAGCCAGAAGCTAGTCAGTAGAAAGTGTTTCCATCTATCAGATGTGTATCATTATATGTGAAACTTTCAGTTACATACATGTCTGGTCAAATAGAAGTTTTCTCCTGTCAGCATTATACCTGATTAAGCTGCACATCCAAGTATAAATGCACCATGCATTTGCCCCCTTTTTGATGCAATAACACATTTGATAAAGCTAAAATAAATACCATTTTAACTGCCACCTGTAAAGACATTTTGGAATGTTCAATAAAGCAGCTGCAAAATTGCCAGATCTTTATATGAACATATGTGAAGTATATCTTCTTCTTTGCTAATTATTAAATTTATCTGTAAACACATATACACAGAGAGCAAGAGAGAGGAAGAGAGAGAGACAGAGAGACTGAAGATAAAAATTATGGGCCATTAAACAAAAGCAATATTGTGATCAACTATGGTATAAAGACTGGCTTAGCTTTCTACTTTATTAAAAATTATATTACCAAATTGTGATGAGAGGAGATAATGAACAATTATGTAGCCAAAAAATGTAGGGGAAAGGGTATTTTCAAGTTGTCAATAAGTTAATTATTAAAAATATTATACGTATACAAATTTGGATTTCATAACAGTTGTAGTGTTTTCCAACTTTAAAAAAATCTGCAATGCACTGCGATTTCTTTTCTCACTTTAAGTAAATATTCAGTTAGGACCCAGTTTTGCATTTTTCATTTTGCCTTTTTAAATTAAAGATTCCCTTTCCCAATAATCATATAAACTCCAGGTTTCATCAACCTGGTTCTGCCTCTGGGTACAGGGTTGGAACAGATGAGCAAAGGTGATGGTCCCAAACCCTGCAGGTGGGATTAAGGTCCAAAAGGCAGGATGACAACCAGAGAGTTTAAAGGGATAGGGAAAGATATTTTTAAAGTTAAGTTAGAAGGCATGAACATTGCCTTCTAAAACTCAATATATTCAGAGTAATTGGAGGAAAAAGTCAATGTGAACAAAGAAAATATTTGACTTATAAATATTTTAATAGAAATGTACTCTTCTTTCAAGTCCAAAAGTGAGCTTCTTACTTTTTGTCCCTTATCACATATGCTCATGCTACAGGACACACTCCTGTGATAACCACACCTCTGGAGCTGCCTCTTCATGTCTCAGTAGAGGATTCAGGCACCTTGGTGGTTAGTAGGACTATTCCAGGGAAGCCATTCCTGTACCAAGAATGCTACCAAGAGTATGAAGTGACTGAGAACCACGTAAATAAAATCCCAGTTACTCAAATTACATGTATCCCCAGGTCAGCAGCTCTTATCCAGGTCCCAACAATAAACTAAAATATTTGAGTACACATATCCTTAATTTAATGAATAAAACACAATTTATTTGTTATTTAGGGCCATTTACTATATTTGTACGTAAATAGTTAATATGTGGTCCTAAAACTCTAAACGAAAAGAGTGTGTGTGTGTGTATTTTAAGTAAGAGGTTATCAAAGCACAGACTCTAGATTCACTCCACATAGATGAAAATCCTCACTTCATTGCCTACCAACTGTGTGGCCTTGGTCCGGTAACTCATCTCTCTGGGCCTCAGCCTTCTCACTTGTATATTTCCTCAAACGGTAGCACCTGCCTCTTGGGGTGATGTGAGGATTAAACGAGATAATACAGGTATGTGGTCAGCATGCCTGACCCAAAATAAGCACTAAATTCATGTTACCTGTAACTTGCTAATCAAACACTTTTCTTACAGACTTTGATAAAATGAACTTCAGTCAAGCTGATATAGGTTATTACAAAACTTGAATCAGCTGGTAGCCAGATAGGTTTGGCTGAACAAATCGTTTTGTCTCCAGCCCAGTCACATGATGGCAGAAAACTCTAACAGGTCATGCCGTGTTACACTGATGAGAGAACATGGCAAGGAGGATATTAAATTAGTCATGAATGTGGCAAGTGATTGATATCATCTGTAACCCTCTAGGATTTGTGGGCATTGACATGCTGACCAATTTAAAGCACGACACTTACTCTCTCAGTCAGATGTTTGAATTCTAGATTTACGCTGAGCAACTTTCATCCACTGACAAAATACAAAAAAGAATTACAAGACAGAATAAACCCCTAAGTGGTTAATTGTCATGGCAATAAAACTAAAATAGATTTGTCACATGATCACAGGACAAGATTCTAAGTACTGTAACTGATACTCACAAATATATATTTGAGAACTTTCTGTTCTAATGCAATCATATTGCAAACTAGTAAGTTGTAGTAAGAGAATATTAGCATGCCTCCTCTTTATCTTTATAATCTATTCCTTCACTTGAAAAATTAGCTTTGGACCTACCATAACGGTGTTTTAGAAAAATAAATGATGAATACCAGTTTTATGTGAAAGGCTTGTTATTTTTCAGCCTTAGACACCGTGGCTGTCTACAAAATAATACGATCGTGCACAGAAATCTCTGAAAAGACTAACAGTCCCATAAGCTTTTATAGTTTTTTTTTAAAATAACAATTTTCTATTAAAATACAAAAAAGAATGAATGGATAAAGATACTGTGGTACATACACACACACCCACACACACACACTCATTCTGGAATATTATTCAGCCTTAGCAAAGAGGAGATTCAATATGGATGCACCTGAAGGACACTGAAGTAGTGTCAGACACAGAAAGAAAAATACTGCATAATCTCACTTATATATGGAATCTTAAAAAAAGGATGAAATATAAAGAGAGAATAACACAGTGGTTACTGTGGTTGGGGTCAGGGTGGTGGGGAGGAAATAGGGAGATTTAGGTCAAAATAAGTATTAGACAGATAGGATGAACTAGTCTAGAGATCTGATATACAACAGGAGGACTACAGTTAATAACAGTGTATTGTATTCAAGATTTTTGCTTAATGAGTAGATTATAGCTGCTCTTGCCACGGGAAGAGGTGGTGGGAAGAAGGAGTAACTGTGTGAGATGATGAATGTGTTGACATGTTCCACTATAGCCACCATTTAACTATATATGTATCTTATAACATCATGATGTAGCCTTAAATACACACAATAAAATTTATTTTAAAACATAAAAAACAAAAGAAATTAATAGAAGTAATTTAAAACATGTTCAAAAATAAAGAATAGACAAGAATTGGATAGTTCTTTTTAACGTGTCTCATCCTCCATAGTAAGCTTACATAAAAAGAATTCTTTTCTTCAATGTTGAATCTGGAAATGTGGAGTAGATGGGCAGGTCCAGTATTATGCTTCCTAATTAAAGTATAGATCCCTAGTATTTTATGTGATTAATACTATTTCATCAAACATGTATTTTAAAGCTGCTGGGCACAAAGTGTCCACAATGCTACAGTTAAATTTTGTTTTCTTCAGTTACAGGCATAAATAGTAATAACCAACCCAGAAATAAATGCTGTAAAAAAGAATAGAGGAAGACTTCTGGTTAAAGATGGCTGTGACCATGTGTTGCCATCACTCTCTCCCAAAATTCTATTAAAATGCAGGAAGACATTAAAAAATTAATTTCAGCACACAGCAGCACTGGAAATCTGGAAACTCTAGCACCGGCAGACCAGAACAGAGAACAATTTCTTAAATATTTAACTGGAAGAAAGAAAACTGCAGCCACTTCAGTTCAAGGAGAGAACTTCTATTGACCCAGTGACGTTCCCCAGGAGAAACTCATTATAGCAACTCCAAGAGTCTAGGAGGAGTCAGATGAGAGAGGCTGGCTGGTTAACAAATTAAGTGGCAATTTAAAAAAAAAAGTTAGGGCAGGCTGGGCACAGTGGCTCACGCCTGTAATCCCTGTACTGTTGGAGGCCGAGGCGGGTGGATCACCTGAGGTCAGGAATCCGAGGCCAGACTGGCCAACATGATGAAACCCCGACTCCACTAAAAATACAAAAAATTAGCTGGACATGGTGGCGCATGCCTGTAATCCCAACTACTCAGGAGGCTGAGGCAGGAGAATCACTTGAACCCGGGAGGCAGAGGTTGCAGTGAGCCGAGATCGCGCCACTGCACTCCAGTCTAGGCAACAAAAGCAAAACTTGGTCTCAAAAAAAAAAAAAAAAAAGTTAAGGCAGTTCAATAATCTTCGTGTTCTTGGATGTCGTGTTTGGCTATGGATTAAATTATGGAGGACAACTTTCTGATTTTAGAATTCTGACCTCAGAGATTCAACAGTTAGTATGGGGCAGTAGAAACAAACAGCATTGTAACAAATGTATGGTCACTAAAAAATTTGTCTCCATACCCAGAAGAAAAATCACCTGTATTCCTAGGAAGGAAGAGCCTTTCTGACTCTACTTAATGTCCTTTTCCTTCATCCAGCTATCAGAAAGCAGGGCTTCCTAAATCAGAACACAAACCCACAGCCAGACAGGAAGTAACTCTTCCTAACAATATTGTTTAAATTAGATCATCTATACTACAAACAGACCACACACACACACACAAAAAATCACCAACATGAGGAAAATTCTGGCATGAGACAATAGCAAACAGAAGAACTATACCCAGAGAACACAGAATTAGCACCAAAAACAAAACTTTAAGTGCATTATTCTCTAAGAGATCTGTAAAATGATCACATTCATAAATTTAAAAAGAGCAGGCTACTATTAAAGAAAAAGCAGTGAGAACCCTTGTCAACTAACACAGATTACTAAAAAAAAATAGACAATCTGAAGTGCAAAATGCATTTTTATACTGAAACAGAACTGCAACAGTGCTTAAGCATTGTTAGTCGCCTTCTATGAGAAAAAAAAAAAATAGCATGGAAGTGCCTGGGGCATATTCAGGACAAGAAGCCATTTAGTTTGACTGCATTGGAGGTCACGAGCAGAGAGTGGTGGGAGATAGTGTCGGAATGTGGATTAGGGGATCACCAGGGAGACACAGGTTGTCCCAGGGCTGGCGAAGAGTCAGTGACTGGGAAATGCAGCGACAGAGAGAACAGGTACAAGGCAGCTGACCCTGTAAGCCTTGGCTGCCTTTATCTTCCTCTCATTCTGATGAGAGCTAATCCCAGGAGAGCCCACGAATACAGCAGAAAACATCTGGCTGGATATTCGAGTGTAGGAGCAAGAGCAAACTGTTTTCTAGCAGCTGCAGTTCTCTGCAGGAAAGGAGCTAAGGATCCCAGGAAGCTGCCTGACCCACATTGGAAGGACCACTCCCATCCTTGGCTAAGTAACACTTGATGGTAAGGAGCTAACTAGCACAGGCAAGGGTGCTCGCCTGTCTTCCAAACGAATCCCATTCCACAGTACTCCTGCTTCCATAAACAAACACCCTACCCAAGCTAGACTTTTAGACTTTTTAAAACCTGTTTTTGTTAAAGTTCTATTGGCATAGTGCATAAGTGGGGGAGATTTATCTTAGGATAACTGCTAGAGTTCTGTGGACAATAGAGGTGGCATTTACACTTGTGTCATTGGTGAACACAGTAACAACGCTGTGTTGGCAAATGTGGCTGTGCAGGGAAAAAGCCTGGATTTGTAGCATTTGCCAATTTTTGTGGTACAAATACTCCCACCATGGCCAATTTCAAGCTACCAGTGTAACGCCACCACATGTGGTATTGGGAAGAGACGCACAGGTCAGATCCAATGTCCCACTGTATGTAGTGGTATCACTCCCATGATAACATCTGTCCTTCCAAAACAATCCCCACTACTCGCTGGGACTTTTTTGACCCTGGTTGAACCCGCAAAAACTCAAAGACACCTCAAGTGGATTGATCTTTCACCCTGTTGAAAATTAGTCAGCTTCTTGCTGACACACTTTGAAACTTACTTGCTTAATACCATTCCCACTGAAAGGAAACATAATCATTTAAACGAGTATTTAGGTGAGAATATGGATAAATGTCTAAGAGAATGGTCCATAGCAAACTCAGTTCAGAAACCTACTGAAATGACACAAAACAGGAGGGAAAAAAATCCCTCTCTGCTTCTGAAAAGCTGGAGACAAATCTGGACTCTATTCCACTATTTTCCCAGAGCTAGAAAGAAAGTAACTAGTTCATAAATTCCATCAGGAGCTTGGGGATTTTTGATGTAATGAGTTTTACAGTTTCAGAGGAGAATGCTTTGCTAATAATTATGTAACAGTAATTAAATCTGAAAAAGGCTGTACTCTAACTATGTTGATTTATTGCAGCTCCTACAAAGTACTCCTCGAGCGTGCATTGGAGTGTGGGCTGCCTCCCTCCAGTTTTCTTTAAATTCTCACAGAGCACTGGGTCACAGATGGTCTGAGCTGCTATATTTTCCCTATTAAATTCCTAATAATCTTTTTCTGAGGCTGAGTCATGGAAGCCTGGGGATTTCTCATTTTAATTAGAAGGTTTAAGGAGCTAACTCTGTTTGAAATTTTCTCCTAGGAGGGATGGGTGCAGGTGATCCCATTCAGAAGAATGACACAGTACCGGGGCCAGGACCACATTTCCATATTAGATTGCAGCTTGTTTGGCTCGACTCCTATTTCTGAGGTTGATGATGCATTGTCTGAATTTGAAGAATAAAGTTCAGAAAACAGGGTTATTCGGAGATTATTCTTTTTGGGGACATTTTTGGCATTTGCTTCCCATTTCTACTTTGCATATAGAGAAGTGATTCAGGAATGTGAATTATTTATTATCCCAAAAGAAGTTTAAATCATATTGATTTGAGCCATAGTCACCAGTGAACAGATTTGGGGACCATTTGTCCTTCTTTATCCCTATTGTTTTCTTCCTTTGGCTCACTCTGACTTTATTTTTAAATATCTCAAATTCTGGGACAGCCTCATATTAAATATGATCTTCAGTTTTACTAGCAGAAGAATGTAAAAATGTACATGAACAGACAGAACACGATATTTAGAGTAATACCTATAATTTGTTGGGTAATCAGAGAGCAGCCTGCAGGAGGAACCATGGGGCTGGGATAAAATTATCTTTTAGAGTGTACCAATGAGTTTGATCATTTGCAGGAAACCTGTTATGTAAAATGGAGTGTATGGTGCTAGGCACAGTTCTCTTGATATTATAACGTACAAAAAAGAAAATGCTTCTAATAGGGCAGCTGCTCAAGTTTCGCCTCCCCCAGTCACAGAGCTGGTTTCTCTGCTTTTGTAAGATAATGAGTATCTCATGCTTTGAATGTGGCACAATCCAGAGAAGAAGTCAAACTGAACTGCTGCTACCTTTGTAGCCCCCCGTAGTTTTAACAGAAGCACGTGCTTCAGAGCTGGCAGCAACTGCATTTTTATAAATCCAAAAAGTATAAGCAACATGGATGCATCATTTAAAAAATCTATTTTGTAAATGTAGGATGCTGGCTTTATAGTTAATTGTACCACAGGAAGATTTTTCCCCCTTTCACATGCTTTCTCTCTGTATTCTAAAATTCTCTGGCCCCTTCGGTTTCAGCAAATTGAGTCATTTCAAGGTTTGAGAAGTATCCTCATTTGGGTATTACTAATCTTCAATGATTATTTTCATGACTTCATATTGTTCATACATTTCTCAGAAAAGATTTTAGTCTTTACCGTCGCAATTTAAAATATAAGCATAAAATATTTATATTTTAAATTCCCTATATATGGAATAAAAATACATAAATATATATATACATCCCACTGTTAGGCTGTGTGACGTTTGCCATGTGTATAATGGAAATTAAATTGAGAAGGAATGTAATAGCTTCCACACTAAATTCTGCATCACATCAGAAGGTTGAAAAAGTAGAGACACGTGCAGCTTAAGAATGTTATACTAAAACCAATTTTAGTATAAAAAAAATTTTTTTAAGGTATTTAAGGCTTTTCAATCTGTAAGCCCAAGCTGATGTTTCTCGAATGTACTGGCTACAGCCATATGTTTAGTGGTTTCATTCGTGAATGTGTGGACAAGTGGCTGAGGGCTGCCAGACTGCCGCTGTGTGAGCAGGCTGGCCTGTGTGATGGGTGTGGATGATACCATGATGGCATGGAAAGCCACCCACACCCCACCATTGTGTGTGGATCCAACCAGGTTCACTCCTAAAGGCCAGATTAAGGGAAGAGGGAGCAACCTTTTTACACCTCGTTCACAAAATGGCTGGCTAGGAGAGTCAATCCTGTAGGAAATGGCCAAGTGAAAATGTATGTGGGTGTAGGGACCTAGAAAAAAATCCCAACTTGTATAGGTTTATTCAAGTTCTTAGATGAAAAACAAAAGCTTTGTCTGAAACTTCCGAATCTCCTTGTACCAGGCGTCATCAAGTTAGAGAACATTCAGTCAGGGGAACAGTTAAGGGCACTATGGCTGCGGCCAGGTTCTTGAAGGAGTTAAACAAGAAAATATATCAGACTTCTGATTAATGGCCAGGGACATTCCAAGCTGCTTTGCCTACCTCAGCAGTACATGGCTGGTGCAGCGGGGTAATATCTAATAACTAATCTTTGACACAAGAATTAAGTCATTTTGTAAGAAAGCAGATCATTAGAAGCCAAATTGAATTATAAGTAATACTATCTCTGTGGAGGATTGTAAATTAATTGGTTTTTAACAATAACATTTCTGTATTTTATTAAAGCAGTGTAAGAACTCGGTGAAGAAACGAATGTAGCAGATAAACAGGCCAGGTGCTGGTGATGCAAATGAAATAGATGACAGATGGTGAGTAGCACGCTCACTCACTGTGTGTGTATAATGGATAGAGGTAATCAAATTCCTTTGTGAATTGGTGACTTTCTTTACATCAAGAACTTTAACACAGGCTGGCGTACACTCCTCTCCGCCCCCTGCCCCTCAGCATGCACATGTGCATGCACGCACACACCTCTCTGCTTACATGCACGTCCATCCTAATTATAGACTATGCTACTATCAGAAAGATGGGCCATACCTCTATTTACATAACACCACACACAAATATCATTTCACCAAATCAACCTGTATACACTAAACAACAGATTTCTCTGATGAGAACACCTCACTGAGGAAACAAAGCCAAAGCAACCTGTTTAGATTAAAGATGTTCCATTCAGTAAGAGAAGTGATACTTAGACCAAAAGGCTGGGCTTCAATGGAAAAGAATTACCTTTGTCTATGACACTGAGTTTTCCACTAGCATCTTTAAAAAGTGATGAGCATTCTGATGGGTCTCCTTTTCACCCCCAAATCATGGTTATGGAGTCTCAAAACCCCAGAGAAAATTCTCATCCAAGTCAACTATTAGTAGATTCTTTGCAAATTCACTTTTCTCCTCCCCATTCTGGTATCAAAGAAGTTGCTTTATTGTACTGCTGCCTCTGATAAAGGGAAAAGTGTATGCAACCAATTCAAGGACACAAATTCATGTCCCATGTGGAATCCAGAAAAGAATTCCACCCAGGGTCATAACATATGAACATACAACTCTCTGAGAATTATCTTGTACATATTCAAATCTGTATTTCCTGTCCTTTATTGTGATCTTAGCTTTATTTCCATCTTTCTAACCGCTCACTGGGCATTTCCGCTTAGACGTTTAGATATTACTTTAGTATCAGTATGTCCAATATAATACTTATGTCATTCTTGCCCATACCAGGTTCACACGGAAAGTCTCCTTTCTCTGACCTCCCTTTCCCTTGGACTTGAAATTCTGGAGATATTCTGGATGCTTCTCTTCTTTATACTTCATAGGCAGTCAAAGCACATAAGCTGTTTGACTTTTCTTCTAAACTGGCATAACAATGATGATTTCCTCTCTGGTCCCATGGCTGGACCACTTCATCAACCTCCTGTGTGGTTTCTTCTCACTCTGCCTCTGACGTCTCCAATGCTCCCTGTTCCCCTTCAGACAAATCATCCCTTCCCACTGCTTTCAAGGCTTTCTGTCTTTCCTACATCACTCAGTCTTTCGCTGGCCCTCATACTTCTCCAGCCACATTCACTTCCCACAGGTTCTCAAAGCATACCATTTGCTCCACGGGGGTCAGTCTCCCAGGCTGTGCAGTGCCATGTTTGTTCCGGGCTAATCACCCATGTTCCATGCAGCCACTATGTCATGTTCCCTCAACCTCAGGACCTTCGGGCATGCTGTCTGTTTGCTTGAAATGTCCACATCCCTTTCCTGCTCCCTAACCTTACGGAGGCCTGCTCAAGCTCCCTCCTCTGTGAAGACTTCCCTAACCACTGCCTCAGAACCTCACAGTCAGGGACCTATTATTTAGTCCTTCTCAATCATTTGCAACTTTGAATTGTTCTCTGGTTGCTTCATATGTGATCACTGAGTGTGCCCAGATACACCAGGAGTCCGCTGAGATGAGGGCTGCATGTTACACGCATCTGTGTCTATTGCCACCTGCAAACACTGCCTAGTGCCTTTAAGCCACTGTGCCTGCTTTCTCACTGCACAGCAGGTACCAGGCACAGAGGCCTCTAGCATTCTTACTCTTCAGGAGCATTTCATCCTTGACTCAGACCCTTGCCCTTCTTCCCGTGCCCTCGAAATTTGATTCTCACCATGGTCCTCTCTGACTGCCTGCCCTCTTTGATTTCTGACTGGGAGCCCTCCCTTACTTCAACCGCTTTTCTCCCCTTGGTCCTGGGGCCCGTAATTTGCAACCACCATTCTTTTTCCTTTGAGGAATGTTCTCAATTGATCTACTCTAATAATGCTGAGCAATATAGTAAGAACCTAACTAATGTATGTTCATGATGGATTATTTAGGGGAAAATACATTTTTTCTGTACTTTTTCAGCTATGGCACAAATTTACCAGAACATTCTAAACTATACTTTATTTGCCCTTTCTTTATATATACATATGCCTACCAGAACACCTCCATACACCAGGCCCTGAATTTGATTCCAAGGAGTTAAAATGGCATTTGCATTGCAGGATTCTGTGCTTAAGGCAGCACAAAGCACTAGACTTTGGTCTGGTGGTGCTAATTTTGTGTTGACTCTTCCTAAGGGAATAGTGTGCCTTTGGACTGTTTCTGATTTCCTATTAGATGGCATTAAAGGAAGTGTATTATATCCTGAACCTAAAAGGATCAGCTCTTTAATAAACTAAATTGACCTTTCTGTTTTTTTCCCCGAGGGGATTGGGGTCTTCCTCCTTTCCCTGAAGCCCCCTTTCTTCCCTGGCAACAAATTGATTTTGTGACTGTTTTGTTTGGCTTTTTTACATGACAACCACATATATGGTAAAGAGTAATGACCAAAAGTCAAACTCCTGGGCAACTGGGGATAGCCAGATGAGACAATAAATATAATTTGTTGAATTACTGAGGTAGCTCCTGTTCTGCTGGATGTGTGTTCAGCTTCAACATCTTGGCAAAGAGATGATGTCATCAGAGTCATAAGGGAAGTGGCAGACCACCTGTTAAGTGTCTAGTCACAAGTTAAATCCAGGAGCCCCGAGTTTGTATTCCTCTTTATTTTTTTTTTATTTTTTATTTTTTGAGACAGGGTCTCACTTTCTCACTCAGGCTGGAATGCAGTGGTGCAATGACAGCTCACTGCAGCCTTGACCTCCTGGCTCAAGTGATCCTCCCACCTCAGGTCCCTGAAGTAGCTGGGACTGCAGGTGTACACCACCAGGCCTGGCTAATTTTTTTGGAATTTTTTGTAGAGATTGGGTTTTACCATGTTGCCCAGACCCTTTAATTCTCATAATTCCCATTTGAAGCTCTATGCTTTTCAATGAAAAGCTTTTTATTACCAAAGCTCCAGAAGACTTGATGTTTTAGTCCCTACCTACAATTCTGAATTTATCATGGTGCAAACTTCTGAAAATTGGCAGCCTTGCAACCCACAGACAATTCAAACACTAAAAATTCCTTAGCATGAATGAGCTTTATAAATATTCTAAATGTAAGATAGACTGGCACACATGTATAAGAGTAGCTGATATATATATTGGGAAATAAAGGAGTGATTTGACTATTCAGAACATAAATCACCTTTCCTGTGACCAGTAGAAACCTAGATTCTGACTGATTGCAGCAGTAATACTCAGGATTAGCACATTGAGCTCTCGCTGAAAATTAAATTTACTTATATCCCCTAGACTTCCTCCCTCTCTGACAATTTTGGCTTTTCTTTTGCACAGGAGAAATTGTGCAACTCAGTTCCAGAGCCTCGCCTTCCTAATGCATCTGTAAACAGCTGCAGCTCCCTGTTCAATATTGGCTGCAGCTGCCATAATACCCCAGAAGGACAGCCAAATGGAGAGAGTTCCCCTTAATTGCCTTGCCACCCCCGATTGAATTTATGTTTTGTTTTTAAGTAACGTTTTGTTGCATTTGCATTACTGAAATTACCAGGTTACAGTAAACTATAATCCCAAATCAATGTCCCCCCAAAGAAAGCACACGTGAACTTTATCACCAACAACAAATTCAATTTTCACATTACCTACTGACAATGAAGCTCGTGCCAGCAACACTTGCGGATTCTGGAAAAGTTCTCCAAACAAGAGGAAAACCATAAATCTTAGGTTTTAATGTCTCATAGCTTTGCTTTTAATTTAACTATTGGTTTTCACCTGTAGGTGAAAACTAATCTTTACATCTTTTGCTTTTGTTTCTAAAATCGCATGACATGACACATAAAGATATTCCCAATTGGAATCTTCACACATAGCTGGTGGGAATGCAAAATGGTGCAGCTACAGTGGAAAACAGCTTGGGAAATTCTTCAAAAAGTTAAATATAGAATTATCATATAATCCACCAATTCTACTCCTTGGTATGTATGCCCAAAAGAATTAAAAACAGGGATTTAAACACATACACCAATGTTCATTAACAGCATTATTCAGGGTAGCCAAAAAGTGTTCATAGACAGATAAATGAATAAAATGTGGTATAGACATACACTGTGCCATAAAACTGGAATATTAACCATAAAAAGGAAGGAAATTATGAGTCACACTACAGCACGGATGAACCTTGAAAATGTTAGGCTAAGTGAAGTAAGCCAACACAAAAGAAAATTGTAAGATTCCACCTAATATGAAGTATCTAGAAAGGGCAAATTCATAAAGACAGGAAGTAGAATGGAGGTTACTAGAGGCCAAAGGGATGGGATAATGGGGAGTTATTGTTTATGAGTACCGAGTTTCTAAGAAGATAAAAACAATTCTGGAAATAGAGAATGGCAAAAGGTATGCAACATTGCAAATGTACTCAATGGTGCTGAATTGGAGACTCAAAAATGGTTAAAATGGTAAATGTTATGTTTTGTATAAGTTAACGCAATAAAAAAGTTACCCCCAACCATCTAGAGTTTAAAATTATATTATACATTTTGATATGAATCCTAACAAACTGAGAAATAAAAAGGGCTAAAGTATAAGGTTCAAGGCAACAAGGCATTTTTGTCTACAAATTTCTAAAGTCTTTGTCAAAGATAAAACTAGAAAGAGCACCCAACTCTATAACAATATGAGGGATGCCTATGAGAAACAATTATACCTCTTATATAAAAAGGAAAAGAAAAAATCCATTTGATTTCTCCTATCAATGATGGATGCGCTCGACTCATCTCACCTTGGGGAAAACCAAGTGGAAAACAGTTTGTCCAGCAAACAATTTGTTCCCCTCCTTCTCACTTCCATTGTACTTCATTCCTGGGCATTGGGAGAGGGATTCTAAACCTTAAGGAAGTTTAGAATTACCATACGAAGCACACAGTCCCACCCCTTAAAAACTGTGCCCAATATGGCCGGGCGCGGTGCCTCACGCCTGTAATCCCAGCACTTTGGGAGGCTGAGGCGGGCAGATCACGAAGTCAGGAGATAGAGACCATCCTGGCTAACACCGTGAAACCCCGTTTCTACTAAAAATACAAAAAATTAGCCGTGCATGATGGCGGGCACCTGTAGTCCCAGCTACTCGGGAGGCTGAGGCAGGAGAATGGAGTGAACCTGGGAGGCGGAGCTTGCAGTGAGCCGAGATCGTGCCACTGCACTCCAGCCTGGGCGACAGAGCGAGACTCCGTCTCAAAAAAACAAAAAACAAAAACAAAAAAAACTGTGCCCATTCTATAAGGAAGCCTGTTTACCTGTCCTGCCCACTTTAAGGTATTTTGACAAGTAACAGTTGTTAACAGAGGTAACTAAATCAGGCCTACCTGAGTTCTTTAACTTGAAGCTTTACAACAGTGGTTCTCAGACTTCAGCTGCATTCGAGTCATCCAGAGCGCTTGTTAAAAAGCAGAGCCAATGGGCCCCACCTGCAGATGTTTCTGATTAAGTGGGTCTAGCGTGGGGTTAGAGAATAAGCATTCTAACCAGCGTTCAGGCAGAAGCATATGCTGTTGGCTCAGGGACTGCACGTTGAGAACCACTGCTTTAGAAATGTAACGCGGGAATGTAGAAGACAGACTGAAGTCAAATGACAGGATGGATTCTCTAACTAAATACATACATGGGCATGATAGAAATAATGAACAGTTTAAATTTTAGCATGGGTAGGGGATTAACTATTTACCTTAGACTTTAGGACTAAAACTTACGGATAAAAAGAAGGGTATTCTGATCTGGTCCTGTGTGTGTGTGTGTGTGTGTGTGTGTGTGTGTGTGTGTGTGTGTGTGTGTGTGTGTGTGTGTGATGGAGTGTCTCTGGGCAACGCAGGCTGAAGTATAATGGCGTGACCTCGGCTCACTGCAACCTCTGCCTTCCGGGTTCAAGCGATTCTCCTGCCTCAGCCTCTGGAGTAGCTAGGATTAGAGTCACGCACCACCACACCTGGCTAATTTTTGTATTTTTAATAGAGACAGGGTTTCACCATGTTGGCCAGGCCGGCGTCGAACTCCTGACCTCACGTGATCCGCCTGCCTCAGCCTCCCATAGTGCTGGGATTACAGGAGTAAGCTACCACGCCCGGCCCCTCAACTATCTTTCTAATATAATATTTGATATATTTTCCAGAATATCTGTAACCTATATGTAAATTACATAGAAAAATTATACAAACACCTGTGACCACTTCCCAGCCAAGAATCAAAACATAATCAACAACTTACAACCACCTATGTGCTTTTTTTCTCTCCCATTCCAAGTCTGGTCCCTCATTAAAAGGTAACCACTATTCTATTTTTATATTTTTTTTACTTCCTTTTGCACATTTTTGAGATTTATAAAAATGCCACTATACTATATATAGTTCCAAGTACTGTTCCAGGCAGGATTTCCTTCTAGACATTTCTCAGCAAATTTACATATTTTTCTGAATCCCAAATTCTGAGAAGAGTCAGTCAGAAAAAAATTTCTTTAAATGAGGAAAAGTACTAGAATTAGTACCTGCAGTTGATACTGCTTTGAAGGAATCTAACTGATGTCAAGTCGAAAGCAAGAGCAGGAAGAGTTGGAAAATGGAATAAAATATTAAGGTTGACTTTTCTAGGAAAGAGGACAGTAGCATCACAGAGAGAAGGATCGTGATCTGATAAGTCAGTCTTGCTTCCAGCAGTTCTCATATCCTAACTATGTGTTCCTGGTCCTGACTGCTCCTAACAGTGAATCATTCTCACAAATAAAACAGATATTAATGAGTTTATAGACATGGTGTACTTTGTATAAATCCTTTGAGTAGTGTTTCAAGGAATAACAAGTTCTGAATGCAAGATCAGTTCTTAACAACGTGAACACATGGACACAGGGAGGGAAACAACACACATTGGGGCCTGTTTGTGGGTAGGGAGGGAGAGGATCAAGAGAAATAGCTAATGCACGCTAGGCTTAATAGCTAGGTGATGGGTTGATAGGTGCACCAAGTCACCAGGGCACACATTTGCCTATGTAACAAACCTGCACATCCTGCATATGTGCCCCAGAACTTAAAATAAAATAAGATAAAAGATGAGTTCTTAAATAGACAGTTTCAACATGTGATTCCATGAAGAGCTGTTACATTGCTGGGAGACTGAATATTAAATTATTCCCATGCTATGCATAATTTCCGCTGGTGTTTTTCATTGTTTGGATATTTGCTGTAGGGTACACTTCTTGGTAAATACTACTAATCAGTATATTTTATTTGCTAAACAAACATTTTAGATATCCATAATAACAAATAAAGTATGAAATAACAAATGAAGAGTTGGCAGTATTTTTAGAATAACTATGATTTCAGGAATTTCTGAGAATTCCTGGGAATTCTGAATTCTCATGTCTGAATCCCAGAGTTTACTATAAGGATTTGAAAACACTGAGAAATTTGCTTTTTTTCACTATATATTGTAATTCTATCAATGTTGTTTAATAAATGTACCTTATTTTCCCTGCAATATAATATTCTACTAGGTTAATACACTACAGTTGATGTATCCAAACTATCAATAGACATCTGGGATTTTTTCCTTACTTGTGTGAATATGAAGATTTCTGCTATAAATAATTTTTCTGGCACATATTTCTTGCTGCATTTGTGCAATAGATGATTTCTCTAGGGAATACAACTTTTTAAGATAATGGCAAATTTACTTCCAAAGTGATTGCACAAATTTATTCTTTGCTACTATTATATAAGTGGTGATGCTGCTGTACATCCTCTCTGACACTCGAAATTATTAGACATCATTTCTCATTGTTATGAAATTTCCAATCATTGTTGTAAGATAAAAACAGAGGCAAGCCATTAAGAATTCCAGTGCCCGTAGAAGAGTAAAATGTTGAGAGAGGATCCAGTAAGTTCTTTAACAAGAACAATGAGATACAAATATGTTAGGCAATTGATAAAGCAAACAAAATCTCATTACAGATGTTAAGTAAATACAATAGTGCATTCTTGTACAAAAAACATCTGCTAAACTAAGAAACTTTCAGCTCATCTACAAGAGGTTTTATCACCTTTCTTTGTCAAAAGTAAACAAACATAAGACCAGATTTCCATTTGGCTACATTAAAATCACCAAGTTGCCATACAGTATATAAAAATTTATTATATGGAATTTCAAAGTAAATATTTGATTGCTATAGTATAATATACATAAGACATATGTTAGTCACACTTCTGTACACTGGAAACTTTACATTGTAAATGTTAGAAATAGAATTGCCACAAAGGGAGTTAATTTTAACACATTATGTACAGTGGACTGGGTGCAGCTATGGCTGCAATTAAGGTGTCAGTCAAGCCTAGGGCCTCATCTGAAGACTCAGCTAGGGAAGTATCTGCTTCTAACCCTCTGTGGTTGTTGGTAGGATTCATTCCCTCATAGGCTGTTGGACTGAGGGTCTCGGCTCCTTGCTGGCTCTTGGCCAAAGGCTATATTCTGTTCCTTGCCAGGTGGATCTCTTCAACATGGCAGCTTGCTTCATCAAAGCATGCAAGCCAAGAAAGCAATAGAGAGAATCAGCTAACAAGATCATGAGACTTTATAATACAATCACAAAAGTAACATCCTATTCTCTTTTCTATATTGGTAGTACAAATAAACAAGCTGTTAGGCATCCTAATTTTGGCAAACAAGTTGGTAACAATATCTCATTGTGATACTAATTTGCATCTCCCCAATTACTAATGAGGCCAAGCATCCTCTCATAGCTCTATTCACCATTTTTCCTTTTGTGTAAAATGATTTTTAGTGTGTTTTTTACTTTTTTCTCAATGGTTTGTAGAAATACATACATACACATATAATATTACTTTGTTAATTAAATGTGTTTCATATTTCTGGATATACGACTTGTGTTTCCACTTTATATTGTTTATGAATAAATTTTTAATTTTAATGTAGACACTATTTTTGTGCTTTATCTAAAAAATTCTTTTCTATACTGAGGTCAAAAAGATAATGTTAGATATGTTCTTCTAAACTTTTTATTGTTGTGCTTTTCATACATATATAAATTCAATAATTGGTTTTTGTACGTGGTGTGAAGTAGGATTTATTTTCACTATTTTTCTGCAAAAAACATTCTGCTACCATTTATTGAATGAAATGCTCTGTCCTTTCCCCAACAATCTAAAACACTCCCCCATCATATATCAAAGCTCGACGTGTATGTGGGTCTATTTCTGCACTCCCTCATCTGTCCAATTACTCAGTTTGTCTATTCCTGTATCAATACTATAATGTTGTAATTACATGGTTTTATAATAAATCTTGATATCAAGAACAGTATGATTTTCTTCTCATCTCCTATAATATTTTGATTCTTCTGGACTCTATGGTCATTCATATAAATTTTGGAATCAACCTCTGAGATTTCATGAAAAATCCTCTTAAGAGTTTGATTGGAAATTAATTTATTTGGAAATAATTAGCATGTGTACTATATTGGGTCATCCTATCTATGAACATGGACTACCTCACTATTTACTTGTCCTTATTCAGTGCATCTTACCAAAGTTTTACAATTTTCTTCATATAGGACATGCATACATTGTGTTAGGTTTATTGACTTATAGTTTGCTGTTGTTGTTAATGTACATCAAACCTTTCTTTTTCTTTAATTGAATTTTTAAACTGTGGTTAGAATTCATTATTTTTTAATTTTCCCCCAGTAAAAGCAAGCTGCCATGTTGTGAGCTACCCTGTGAAAAGACAAGGAACTGAGGCCTCTAGCCAATAGCCAGGAAGAAAATAAGGCCTGCCCGGAGCCAATGAGTTAGCTTGGAAGAGGATCCTACCTGGGTTGAGTTTTCAGATGACTACACACTTTTGAGAGATCCTGAGCCAGAGGACCCAGGTAAGCTTTCCTGGATTCCTGACCTATAGAAACTGTGATGTAATAAATGTTGTTCTAAAATCCTAAATTTTGGGGTAATATGTTATGCAGCAATGGATAACTAATACACATATAATGGATAAAAAAGAGACTAAAAGCATAACATTTCTAGAGAGATTTTGAAAGATCACAACTTCAATTATTGTTTTCAATAAGGAGCTAAATCCTACTATTTCAGGCGTTAATCAGCATAGTAGGAAAGCTCCATTTGGTGATAAGAGATGATCAGTAAAAATGAGAAAACACTGAATTACCATTCTGCAAGAAAACACGTCTATTAACTTTTAATTAAATCAATAAGCATGTATAAGACACCTACAATTTGTGCAGCAATGTTTTAGATGACAGAATGAAAACAACATAATTAAAAGATAGCCCCTGCCGTTGATTGAACTAGAGTCTATCGATGCATAAACTACTCACTGAGATTATGCAAGGCAGGTTTCGAAGTCATTTTCATTCTTCCAGACCATCTGGATACCTCACTCAGAAGCTCCAAATGGACAACACAGCCCTAAAATTTGGTTAGCTTACTTCTAGAAATTAGTTTATGTAATAGGAGGAGCAGCAATTAAACACCAGCATCTGGCAATATCACTGTAAGATGGTAGCATAAGCATAGATGGAAGGGAATCAATTTTCCAGCTTATTTTAGAAATAACCATGAAAATACACAAATAGAAGAACATTTGAGACAGTCATTAATTAACAAAGACTTCTTGAGCACCCACTGTGTGCTAGGGACTGTGTTATGCGCAGCCTAACACAAGAGAATGAATTAGACATGGTCCCTGTCTCCAATCAGCTTATCCCGTGGTGAAAGATATACAAGTAAATTATAAACACATATGATGATACATCCGATGAGGGAAAATATAGCATGGGGAGGATCGCTTCCCTGCAGAAGTTTAACGTAAGCTGTGACCTGAAGGAAGAAGAGAATTGAGAACATTTCTAGTGGACGAAGCAGCATTCCCAAAGGCCTGGAGATGAAGAACTTGGCCTTCAAAGAACAGAAAGACCAGTGTGGCTGGAGTGCTGGGAGTCTGCTGGAGGGGAGAGTGAACACAGCTCTGTAGCCAGCTGAGAATTTTGTATGTTACGTGAAATGCAATAGGAAGCTTCTGAAGGAATGTAACTAAGGGAGTGACCTGGTCTGATTTACACTGTTAATAGATCACTCTAGCTATTTTGTGGGTGGGAAAAAGTTGGAAGAGCAGCAGTGGAAGCCAGCACTGACCTCTGGATTTCATAAACAATGGTTCCTTTTGTCTGTCCTGCATTTATCTTACCTTTGCACCCATTATGTTCTGGTTCTTGTTCTTTTCTTCCACATTCTGAAAGAATGTACAGAACTCATCTTCCGATGAGCCACTTCAGTTTTCTGAAGTACCCAATTTTCTGCCTCTATTACAGTTGAAAATCGTTCAATTGTGCTTTTTGTCTTAACAGTTTCAAATCTCAAAACTGCATTTTCTGTGCAGTTTCAAATTTCAAAACTGCATTCTCTTCATGTCTGTTGTATCTAGTTCCATGGGTGCAAGATATCTTTTATCTTTTTAAAAATTTTATTTTTTTCCCCTTATTTACAAAATGTAGGCAAGTTCACATTTGGAAAAAATAGGAAGTGCAGATAAGCAAAAGGAAGAAAATAAAAATATTGTTTTAATTGCACACTTCACAGATCATTAGTGTGTGCATATGTGATTGTAAGTTTTGCCCCCTTTTATTGCCTGCCTTCTTTCACTTAAAATACATCATGAAAATCTTTCCATATGAACATTCATCTCCAACATAGTTTAAAGCAGAAAAATGTTTGTGTATCTATGCTTGTCATTTCAAGCAATATCTTCTTTTCCTACTTATCCCTGAAATGTCGCTGTTTCCCAGGGATCTTCTGGGGACTCTTCCTTCTTTTTATGGTACGTAATGTCCTTGAGAGAGTTTATCTATTCTCATGGCTTCAAGGATCACTTCAAATAAATGATGCAAATCACTAAACTACACTTCTAGCCCAAACAATTTTCTACTTAACTTCAGGCCCATACTTAGCCAAATACCTAATATATCCATTAGATATCCAACAGTACTCTTTCTCAAATGGTAATGCATATTAAAATCACCTGGAAGCTTGTTAAAACACAGATTGCTGGACCCTGCCCCCAGAATTTTTGATTTAGTGCCTCTAAAATGAAACCCAAAGATTTGCTTTCCTACCAGGTTCCTAGGTGATGCCAATATTGCCAAGAGGACCACACTTTGAGAACCACTGTCCTATAGCTACCTCAAATATAGAGTACTCTAAGTGGTAATCACCCTCTTTATCCCCACAGCCTCTCACCCTTACTTTTAACATTTTATTATAGCATGAAATTCAAATAGAAAAGTGTTCATATCATACATATTCTGCTCAGTGTATTTTTCATAAAGTGAATATTCATGGGTAAGCAGTACCTAGATCAAGAAACAGAACATTGCCAACGCCCTCAGCAGCCACCTCATGACCTATTACCGTTGCTAACCCTGTCTACCAAACTGATTTCAGACTCCATAGCTTGGTTTTGCCTAGTGCTGTGCTTATGGAAACTGCATTGCACACTGTGTGCTTGTTTGTGTCTGCCTTCCTTCACTCTCCCTATTATTACACTGTGATGTCCATTTCATCCTCATTTGCGTCTGTCAGTCACACAGCTAGAAAGCTTAGGCACATTCTAGTCTCCCCACTTTCACATCCAATCTATGACCTGGTCTAGCAACTCTAACTTATAGTTATGTTTTCAACTCATCTCTATAATTAAAGTCTCAAAAAGGATTCTTATCACCTCTTATGGGAACCATGAAGATATTCTCTCCACCTGTTTTCCTGCCTCCTTTCTCTTGGTCTGTCCACTTTGGTGCCAATTTGGTCATTTAAAATGGAAACTTGACACTCTCCTTTACTTCAAAGTAAAAATCAAGAACCAGGTTTTCAAATGCCACCACTTCTTTTTATTTCTTCATGCGGTTATTCTTTCTTACTGTAGATGGGGATTCTCCACAGGGCAGAAAGCAACATCGATTGCAAGCTAAAAATTTTACCTCTCTCTTCCTCCTCTACTCAGGAGGACTGATTTGCATCCTTTAGTTCAGTTTAAAAAAAAAAAAATCCCGAAGAAGAATTTTGATGAATTCAGCCTGGCTCAGGTGATCAACTCTGGATGGCCAGCAGGGATCAAGGCCTAAAAGCATAGCACAACCACAGGAAACCCATATCACAGGTGGCATCCCCAATGCCTGCAACCCACCCTGAGACCTGTACCACCCCATGTAACTGGAGTTCCTGAAGGATGAATTTTACTAGACAGACAGAAACAACTTCCAAAAATAATAGGAAAGATGAGGAAAAACTTAAGTCATCAGATCTAAAAGGTCCTGGGTAAGAATATTGAAAAGGCACTTTAGCCATGTCATAATGACATTTCCAAATTCCAAGGACAATTAACAAGCAAACTAGAAGAACACCGCACTAAATACTGGGATAAGTTATAAGGAAACAGGAATTTTATCTTAGAATTCTGTACTCAGATGGTTGTTCATATAAGAAAGAAAGTATGACATTTTTGGACATTCAAAGACTTTGAAAATATGCCACCTATGTCCATTTTCAGTGGATTAAAAAAAAGAAAAGCACTAGGGAAAATTATTGACTGTAGGGAAAAGACTGAATGTAGAGCTCATGAGAAGGAAAGTAAAGATACGATAATGAGCAATGTAACCAGTAAAACTTGTAATTATGTCTAAATAATTGTTAGTGGAGTTGTGAAGTTTAATGCTATTAATAATAATTAAGAAGGCCAGTCATGGTGGCTCATGCCTGTAATCCCAACACTTTGGGAAGTTAAGGCGGGTGGATCACCTGAGGTCAGGAGTTTGAGACCAGTCTGACCAACACGGTGAAACCCCGTCTCTACTAAAAATACAAAAATTATATGGGCATGGTGACGGGCACCTATAGTCCCAGCTACTCAAGAGGCTGAGGCAGGAGAATCACTTGAACCCAGGAGACGGAGGTTGCAGTGAGCCAAGATCACACCATTGCACTCCAGCCTGGGCGACAAGAGTGAAACTCCATCTCAAAAAAAAAACAAATTAACAATAACAATAAGAAGAAGTCTTTCTTACTTAGAAGTAGAAGATGTTAAGTAAAGGATACTGAAACTTCAATTCTGAGTTATGAAGATGATAGGCAAGAGGGCAGGTAGAAGGTAAGTAAAGCATATTAATGTTCTTTGGGGATAGTGTTGCAAACATTATTACATTCTGGTTGTTCAAAGAAAAAGTTAAATTCTAATATGCTCAATGCAAAACTAAAATCAAATTAGCAAACTGTAGCCTCAGGGCTAGCTGGCTGTTTTTATAAATAAAGTCTTATTGGAACCAGGGCTAGGACTAGGATGACGCAAGTGAGGCAGGGTATGAAACATCCTGTGATAGGAATCCTGTGTTTACTTATTTTTACTTATTTTTCATATATTGTTCATTATGGATTTTTTGCATTGATTTTGTTTTTTTATATACAGTCATGCACCACTTAACAATACATCCTGAGAAATGCATCATTAGGTGATTTCATAATTGTGCAAACATAGGGTGTACTTACCCAAATCTAGGTGGTATATCTATTTGTATTTATTTATTTTTCCTATGGAAAACCAATGTCCCAGCACCATTACTGGATATCAATCCTTTTTCCTACTTGACCTGCAGTGGCAATACCAAATGCCATATACCAGCTTTCTACATATGCTCCATGATAATCTTATAGGACCACTGTTGTATATGTGGCCTATCATTGACAAAAACTCTGTTATTTGGGGTATGATTTTAATGCATGAAAATATTATTTATCTTGACTACTGAGTTGTTGTCTCCTTTGTAAATTTGCCCTCAAGTTTTCTCATGTGTCTCACTCTTGTGTAAGCCCCGCATCAAACTATTTGAAGAAATATTATTTTAAAGCAAATCCTAAACAACATAGCATTTCATCCATAAATATTTCAGTATGTATCACTAAAGATAAGGCCTCTCTGTTTAACATAGCCATAATACCATTTTCACACATGGGAGTTTGTTATATAATTCTATTTCGTGTACGTTTCACATTCTCTATGTTAAAAAGTTAAAAAAAACTTATTTGAAGAAATAAACAAAACAGAGAAGGTTTTCCAATCCTTTAAATAAAAACTAGAGAGAAAAAAGAAAGTAACAACAATACACATGTAAATATATAAATCGGGAGAGAATTGTTAGGCAAAGTATACCATATAAAAGCTAATGAAAACAATGCAAATGAAATTAGTAAGTTCAGAAAAAGAAAAAATCAAAATAAAAGAAATATTTTCCATTGATAATACGGATATTAGTACTTTTGTACTTGATAAGAAATATCCATTTATATTTGCTAAAATTTTATTCTGTATCAAAGAGATACAGAGATATATCATTTACCAATTGACATTGCATTAAAATTTATAAATCAACAATATTAGAAAGACAAAGACATTTGATAAAACTTTCAAGGGTTTTCCATTGCTCTTAAGAGAAAATTAGAAATCCTGTCAGTCTCTCTAGACCCTGCACAATCTGCCCCTAAACAAATTCACTTTTTGAGCTTCTCTTACATGCCCACCACAGGCTTTCCCGATGTTCAAATGTGCCAAAACCTCCCGAATGGGGCTGGTTCCCAGCAGGATCACGTCCTCCTGCCAGTTCCCTCCTTAACCTGGCTCCCTAGTGAGTGATCCTTCCAGGCACACTCTCAGAGAGGCTTCTCTTGGGTCCACATTAGGATGGATCACTCTATGCTGCATCTCATAGCATATTTTATTCTCCCTCTATGGCATGTCTCATACTTTGTAAATATTCAATCTGTAGTTCACCCTCTATAGACTGAGCTGCCTGAAGGCAGTGGCTGTGTATTGTTCACAGCTCTTTAACCAGTGACTAGCATAGTGTCTGACACACAGTATGTGCCCAATAAATCATTTATTGTTGAATGATTTCAATGAGATGTTTACTATATATTCTCATGATTTATTTGCTATTTCTATTCCAGTACCATAGGATTTTTATTGCAGCCTTTTCAGTATCTATTTATAGCAGATGGAGTAAATACCTCTTACTAGTTATTTTTCAAAGTTCTCTTGACAACTGTCATATATTTCGAACTAACTTGTCCAGTTCCAAAAACAAGCGAACAGAAAGGACAGTTGGGATTTGGATTGTAATTGCATTATATGTCTATATTCATCTGGGGAAGAGCAACATTTGCATTACATTGTTTCCTGCCATAGCCAACCAGGATGCATTTTCCCCTGTAATGGTAGCCCCCAGGGTATATGCACAACATTCAGTTGGCTGACAAATTTTAGGGGCTTCTGTTATCCCCGAGGTAGAAGATAGACAGGGAGTCACGTAACATTCCTCTTCCAGTACAAATACACAAATATCTTCCAAAAGTGATGAAGTGGTAGAGCATTCTCAGGAGAGCTTTAACCTTCTTCACACTTTGCCCTGGGAGTTCTCTAATTTTGCCCAGTCCCTGTGAGCTCTTACACCTTACGTGATCTTTCCCTTCACTCATACACTAAAGCATCCAAGCATCACCGGCGTCTTGGAATACAGGTCCAGCCTCTAATATTCTAAACATACATACCAGTTAGAGGAAACCGGCATGCTCCACCTTTTCCACCTGAAGTCTTATTTACAGAGGGCTGTAATAGTTCTAAAGTCTGGAGTCAGGCACGTTTTCCTAATAGTGGAGATTCTCTAACTCAATTAGCCAGGAAAAAAAGCAATAAAGGAAAGGCAGATGTCTGGCAGTTCTAAGCATTCCGCCTTAGGATGCCTCCAGTAATGAGTAGCGGGAGGGAGCATAGTTTGACGGTTTTCTGCTTCTTTTGAAGCTTCTGTGTACTTTATTTTAATATTAGAAATCCAAATGTTTACAACGCCTAAGTCCATTTGTCCTGGTCCTATCTTATATCGTTCAGAAAAATTGCGTCCACGCTGGAGTCTCATCTCAGCCAGGAGCTGGTTTCCAAAACCGGCATTAGAGGGGACAATTGCTTATAGTCAAAATTATCCTTGAAAATTCTTCAAATTGCCCCTGAAGAACAGTATACAGATGTAATTATCTTGCAATAAATTCAACACCGCTTTTCCTTCCAGTACTGAAATAGATTACCATTTCATAAGTTGCATACCCAGTGAAGGAGTTGGCTTGCATTGGGGAGCTCTATTGCATGAAATATACATGTCTTAAAAAAAAATAACAGAAACATGTGCTGCATGGAGTAAATGAAATTTAATTTGTGTATGCTAAATGGGCATATGATATGACTCCACTGTATTTCTTTTTATGTATATTTTGTTTTTTAATCCAATTTATTCAAAAGTAGTTTATAGTTTCTGTAGCCATTATGAATGAGCTCTTATTTTTGTTCCTTTCAATTTTTTCCTGGTTCTATCTAGCAGATGGGAAGCTATTGATTCTCATGTGTTTTTTTTGTACTCCAACAATGTAATAACTTCTGTTAGCTTTATTAATAGTTTTAAAACAGATACTCTTGTACTTTGTAGGTATAAAATTATACAATCATATCAGCAGTAAATAATAGTTCTGTTCTAATATTTAGACTGCTCATTTTGTTTTCTTGTATTGTGACATTTCTTTGCAACTTCAAAATGTTTTAAAACGTAATGATGATAATAGGCATCTTATTGTTATTAATCTAATGGTGAATACCTTAATCATTTTTCCCCTATTATAATTTTTGCTCTTGGTTCCAGATAAATTATCTTTATGATGTTCAAGAAGTTTCCTTATTTGCCTTATAGTAAATATAAATTCAATATTTATTTTAAATCATGAATGGCTACATCTTATTTAAGACACCCTAGAAAGATTGCTAATAGGGTATTCCAAGGGGTGAACTAGTATATTGATTAAATTAGGTTTGTTTCCCACACTCTCAAGGTTTCAGAAGATATCAGAGAAGACATTTGAGAACATGAAGTAGTGTGGACTTCCACAATTATGCCCTTGTGCATCCCAGGCTGTGATGAAAAATACCTATCAGAAGGATCTGGAAATGTATTTTGAGTTTCTCAGAGTGTAAGCTACTCTTAATTTATTTTGAATCTCTGGGTGTTTATGCTTTTAAAAAGATCTGGCGGTCTGGGTTTATACCATTCAATACTTAGCAGAGTTTTACGGCAAGCCAACTCAGAGTGGATTAACATCTTTTACATGAAGTTATAAGCTTACATGGGTTCTGTTTGTGGCACCAACCAACAAGACAGCAAGTTGCTACGATTTCTAGACCCTCAATCTAGTTCTTAAAAATCTACCACACCAGGAGAAAGAGTTCTATCATCTCCCAATCCTAGTATCTTCTTTTAATCAGTAACAGCCACCACAAGAACTGAGAAGGTGACAGGAGTTCATGAAAACACTGACTGTAACACCACCACTGGGAGAAATAAAACATTACAGAACCAAGGGGTTTACGTGCTGCCTGTGAAATCACTTTTACTTGCAATCCAAGACCACTCTTCATGCTCTTGTCTTTTTGCCATTGCACATGTCCACTCCACCCACTCCCCAGACTTTTCCCCAAGGTAGAGAACGTGACACTGTATGTTTCTCTATCACCAATTACAATTGAATTTGTTTGCATATGGCATTTGTCCATTTTAATATTATGATCATGAGTCAGGGTTCTAGAATTGTGGCAGTGGAAAGTGGTGCCTACACAGTTGTGTGTTGCATCTGCTCCACTATCTGAACTGCAGTTGTGTTCTGGGCTCACGTGAAGCTTACTTTGAAGGATGTACGCACTAAGTAGTCTCCTTTGCTAACCCATTCCTCCCAAGGTCTTCACTGAATTCGTGAATAACATACTCTGTTTCTGCCGACTGAACCTATACGTTCTCCTCTTCCGGTAATGTTTCATTGAAACAAATTACCCGATAATATTTATTAAAATATTTAGATTTTCTTATGTTGGACTTTAGTTGAATTCTCTGTCTGTGTATGTGTGTAAACTTAGCCGTATTGCCTTCGTCTTAAAATTAGTAGTGTTTCTTCGTATGTTTAGAATCTTATTTACTCATTCTTCTCACTATTACTTATCACATGCCTTCTGGGTGACAGGTATTGTGCTAGGGAAAATGTTGGTGAAATTTATCCACTTCTCTCCCAAATGGATGATTTGGGATGTTTTGTAAGAGCATAAAATTAAAAGGGCAAACTCAGAATAAACTGTAACACATACCATAGCATATAACAGACTTTCATTTCAAAGTGAGTTTCAATGTTCAGAACAAACTTGATCATAGTCATTAGTAGAACCTGGATAAAGTTAAATTCTTAGCTATTTCAACTGGAAAAAAATAAATTTTGTTATTTATCTTATGTGTTATTGATATTATACTTAGAATTCCTGATGAGTATATTTGTTTTTAAAGATTACATATAATTCCTAAAAAACCTATTCTGAGAGGAATTCCATTTCCAGCCAGGATGGAATGAAAGGAACCAGATATAATCCTACACACACACACAGACACACACACACACGAAGCAACTAAATACCTGGTCAAGATATACTAATCGATGATTCTAGACATTGGACAACAGACAGCACAGGACAGTGGTTCTTGAGAGAGGGAAGACAAATGAGGTAAGTCATACAATTACATTAGCGAACTTCCCAGAGACAGATTACAGGCCATGGTGCAAGGGAGGGGAAAGTAGGCAGAGGCCAAAACCCTAGATTTGTTGAGGAGCCACTGCTGGTATTCTGGGGAGGCCAAGGTAGCTACAGTTCTTAGGGGAGAATAGTGGAGAGAAGAAAGCTGCATACAGAGACAGCTATGAAGAACTGCAAAGAAACCTTGGTTGGTCTTCAGCTGCATGGCGATCAGCACATATGTGAAGAAACTGCCCAAGGTTGGGGAAAGAACCATCTGAAAGGATTAGAGTGAACACTTCTCAAAACTAACAGATTTGAAACTCAGCACCACTATTTCCTAGCTGTGTGATCTTAGGCAAATCATTTATGCTCTCTGAACCTGTTTCTTCATCAGAAAAATGGATATATAATACCACTGACATCAGAGAGTTTTTGTGCAAATCAGAAAGAATCAACATTACATAGCAGGGGAACTGGCACATAATAGTTGCTCAATTAACCAAAAAAAGGTGTCCCACAAATAAAATAAAGTAAAATAAAACTAATGGAGGACTTGGAATAATTCATGTTCCCAACAACAAAATGAAAAACCATGTCATGTCATTCATGGGGCATTGCATGGAGTACTCTGAAGGCTATCGTCTTAGCAGTGGGAAGAAAAATAGCCCTAGATTAAATACTGCCCTGATCCCACCTAACAAAGCTTAAAATCAAGATTTTAAAGAATAAAATGGTTTCCAAGTAACTTAACTGCATCCCAGAACAGAGTTTAAGAATATTTATGAAAACACAAGAACATCTACCACTCACCAAGATAAAAGCCACAATGTCTGGCATCCAGTAACAATTACTAGCCATGCAAAGAAGCAGAAAAATATGGCTCATAATGAGGAGAAAATTAATCAACAGAGACTTAAATATGTCATAGATGATAAGAGTAGATAATAACTTTAAAATAATTATTATAACTATATTCCATACAGAAAGGAAAGATTGAGCATGTTAAGTAGAGACATATAAGATATAAAGACCCAAATAGAACTTTTAGAGATGAAAACTACAATGTCTAAGATGAAAATTACATAGAATGAGATTATAGCAGTTCAGACAATATAAAAGATTCATGAATATGAAGACACAGCAATAGAAATTATCCAAAATGAAATACAGTATGAAAAAGACTAAAAGAAATGAACAGAATCAATGTGTGTGAGACAACTTGAAATAGCCTAATGTACATGTAACTGATGTCTCCAGAGGTTAGGACTAGGGATCTGAAAAAAATATTTGAAGTAGTGCTGGCTGAAAATTTTCTAAATTTGATGAAAACTACAAACCCACAGGTTCATGTTCATCAAACTCCAGACACAACCTGAAGAAAACTACATCAAGTAACATATTTAAATTACTGGCCAGGCGTGGTGGCTCATGCCTGTAATCCCAGCACTTTGGGAGGCCGAGGTGGATGGATCACTTGAGGTCAGGAGTTCGAGACTAGCCTGGCCAACATGGTAAAACCCCATCTCTACCAAAAATACAAAAATTAACCAGGTGTGGTGGCACACGCCTGTAGTCCCAGCTACTTGGGAGGCTGAGGCAGAAGAATCACTTGAACCCAGGAGACAGAGGTGGCAGTGAGCCGAGATCATGCCACTGCACTTCAGCCTGGACAACAGAGCAAAACCCTGTCTCAAAAAATAAAAATAAAAATAAAAATTGCTTAAAACCAGTGATAAAGAGAAATCTAAAAAGTAACCCAAGGAAAAAATTCACATCATGGAGAGGAATAAAGATAAGAATTACAATGAACTTCTTATCAGAAACCATCCAAGCCAGAAGTCAGTGGAGCAACATATTTAACTACTGAAAGAAAAGGGAAAAAACCCATCAACCTGGAATTCTTATCCCAGCAAAAAAACTTTCAAAAGGGAAGGCTAAATACATACTTTTGCAGACATACAAAAGGTGAAAGAACGCATCGCCAGCAGATATGCACCACAAAAAAATGTTAAAGGAAGTCCTTTGGGCTGATGAAAAATGAGCAATGATACCAGATAAATATCTGATGCTACACAAAGGAATGAAGAGTAACAGAAATAGTAAATATGTGATTAAATAGAAAACACGTTTTTGTTACTTTTAAAATACCTTTAAAAGAGAACTGATTATTTAAAACAAAAATTAAAATGTGTATTGTGGTGTTTGTAACATACATAGAGGAAAAGTATAGGACAAAAATAACACATAGGCCAGGATGGAGGGAGGGAAAAATACTATTTTAAAGTCCTACTATACATGCAGTTCTAAACTTAACGAAGGTAGACTGTGATAAGTATGAGATGTATACCACAGACACCAAAACATTCACTAAAAAAAAACAGGTTATAACAAGTGAGCCAGTAAAGGAAACAAAATGGAATCATAAAAAAAATCATTAATGCAAAAAAGGCAGAAAAGGTAGAAACATGAAACAACAGATGGGACAAATATCATCTATTCTGAGAGAATAATCAGAAATACAAAAGTTAGAAACAAAGGGATTTATCATGCCACTGTCTACAATACAAAACATTGGAAATCGCCTATCCAACAATAGGGAAATGGTACAAAGGCACTAAAACTGTTGTTTATGAAGAGCATGTCATAACATGAGAAAATACTGGTGCTATAAAGTAAATTGAAATAAAGCAAAATGTAAAATTTTATATTGAACAATACCTCAACTACAAACAACCATGATAGGAAAGAAAAACAGTGTGTGGTATGACAATAGTAATTTTTGTCTACTTTTTTTTCAATTTTCTATAATAAGATTATATTCCTTAAATAATCTGAAGAGAAAAACTGCAACTAAATTTTTGAATATTGTCAGGTCCTGTGCTAGACCTAGTCACATACTATCTCATGGCTCCCCACAACAATATTGCAAAAAATAAATATTTTTCAATGTTTTCAAATAAGAAAATTGAGGCTCAGGGAGTATATGCCAGGCACACAGAGCTAATGTGTCAGAATATTGGCAGTTACTGGTGTTTTCTGCATAGATTTAATTCCTTAATCTGGGTGTTAGAAACCAGGTATGTCTGATTCCAAATACCACAATATGTATTTGTCGCAGAACTAATTTAAAAAAAGGCATATAATTCTCTTTATTTTGTATGGTTGTTTTGCAATTTGGGGGATAAACAATATGTAAGATTAGCTGATGTAATTCCATCAGATTTTTAACAATTGAATTGCCAGATATAAGCTGAACTTGATAAAATAGAAAAAATATCACATCTTACAGCTAATAAATACAAAAAACAAAATGGCTACTATAAAAATTACTCACATTCTTACAGGCATTATCTTCTTAGAGAAGCATGGATCTTAATTGATTAAAACTATCATTTGCCCAGTGGAATTTAAGACATATTAGAAGACTTTATTCATAGAAACAAATATCAGCATGCTGGTTGGAAAGTCCCTATGCTCAGCAGTCTTATAAAATACTGTGCATTAGCATATGTTGATGTTTTATACATACAGGCATACATGTTTACTAAATAAGTGTATTGTCAATTGTTATCCTTAATCACAGAGTAATTTATTTACAACAACATAATTGAAACTGATGCTAAGTACTTCTACTATTCATAAATGCAGAGAAATCTAGTTTTAAAATATATCAGTACCAAACTTGAAAGGATGATCTGTTCCAAAATCAAATGACCTGGAGAAATCTGCATACTGTAGAGATACTTATGGCCGGCAGGGACAAGGTATTTATATCGTTTATACTGGAATTTTCTTAATATGTTGAATCCTTTAGCGAAAGAAATCTGATTTGATGCAAAAAAAAAGCAAGATACTGTGTTTTTATTTTTGTTTCTCAGTGCTGGTCGCCTGGAGAGCAAACACAATGCTTCTACTGCTCTGGAAAATCTGAAGCTACAAAGATGATTTTCAAAATTAAGGGCAACTCACAGCTGAAAATTATACCTTTGGGCAAAGGGCCAATTCGGGATGCGTTTCTCTCTGATTTGGAGCCATGCCAAAGTCCCTCAGTCCCATTTGTTCAGTTTTACAGCTAACAAATAAAAAGGAAATACTGAGAATGTAGCTGAAGTGTGGCTGTGTGGAAGTCAGTATTTAAGGTCTTGCTTAAGATGCATGTTAACATGTTAGAGTTGTATGGTAAGAACAAGAACCGTTGGGCATTTTCAAAGGAGCAGAACCTTACTATGGAAAGAATGCTGCTTATTAATGAAGGGTTCCAGGGGTACCAGACCGCCAGGATTGCGAAAGGAGAAATGGGAGGGGCTAGGAAACTCTGGGCCAAACAGCACCACATTTTGACTTCAGCACGCAAACCAGGATTCGCTGAAATAGACTTGGAAGTTGACGACACCCATTTCTAAAATAAACGCATGGTATAATTGCACCTGATTACCATACTAAAATTGTTGTTTATTTTCACCTTACACTTAGATAACTGCTAAAGATCAAGCTAATTGGATTTGACAGTTTTCACAAATAAAATCCTCCAAATAACTTTATCAATACTATTACTGTTTTTCAGGTTGCAGATAAAAATATCTCACTTAATTTTTTCATTATAAACCTACATTGGAGAAACAAATTTAGCCTCCTGTGTCTTTCAGCTTAAAAAGAACTGTTCTTTTTGGAATGTTACAACTTTTAAAAGAAGTAACTGTAAAAGAAATAAAATAAAAATTATTCTGATTTAGCCACTGTTAACACTCAGAGTATTAATAACCATGTATACATAGTGGAATATGTATAATTATGTAATTTGTATATAAAAATAAAGTGTACATCAATATGTATTATATATAATATATACATATATATCTATTAATTAAAAGGCTAAAAAATTTTTTATGTTATATGTATCATACGTAAAAACATTTTAAAGCAGAATGATCCATAAGAGTGGGTCATTCCGGCCGGGCATGGTGGCTCACGCCTGTAATCCCAGCAGTTTAGGAGGCCTAGGCGGGCACATCACGAGGTCAGGAGATTGAGACCATCCTGGCTAACACGGTGAAACCCTGTCTCTACTAAAAATAAAAAAAATTAGCCGGGCGTGGGGGCGTGCGCCTGTAGTCCCAGCTACTGGGGAGGCTGAGGCAGGAGAATGGCATGAACCCGGGAGGCGGAGCTTGCAGTGAGCCGAGATGGCGCCACTGCACTCCAGCCTGGGCGACAGAGCGAGACTCTGTCTCGGAAAAAAAAAAAAAAAAAAGATTGGGTCATTCTGCTTTGCAATATCCTTTATTTTCATTTAACCATGTATATTAAACAGCTTTCTGTAAGACTGCTATGTTAACTGTAGGTAAAGAAAGACTTTGGTATCCTTTTGGAATAGGCTTTAAATGAAATGTGAATAACACCATTCAGTGAAAACTGTTTTTTCCTCTAGGCTTTACGTTCTTTTGTTTTGTTTTGTTTTTGTTTTTGTTTTTGTTTTTGTTTTAAACTTTTTTTTTTAATACTTTAAGTTTTAGGGTACATGTGCACAATGTGCAGGTTAGTTACATATGTATACATGTGACATGCTGGTGCGCTGCACCCACTAACTCGTCATCTAGCATTAGGTATATCTCCTGATGCTATCCCTCCCCCCTCCCCCCACCCCACAACAGTCCCCAGAGTGTGATGTTCCCCTTCCTGTGTCCATGTGTTCTCATTGTTCAATTCCCACCTATGAGTGAGAATATGCGGTGTTTGGTTTTTTGTTCTTGCGATAGTTTACTGAGATTGATGATTTCCAATTTCATCCATGTCCCTACAAAGGACATGAACTCATCATTTTTTATGGCTGCATAGTATTCCATGGTGTATATGTGCCACATTTTCTTAATCCAGTCTATCACTGTTGGACATTTGGGTTGGTTCCAAGTCTTTGCTATTGTGAATAGTGCCGCAATAAACATACGTGTGCATGTGTCTTTATAGTAGCATGATTTATAGTCCTTTGGGTATATACCCAGTAATGGGATGGCTGGGTCAAATGGTATTTCTAGTTCTAGATCCCTGAGGAATCGCCACACTGACTTCCACAATGGTTGAACTAGTTTACAGTCCCACCAACAGTGTAAAAGTGTTCCTATTTCTCCACATCCTCTCCAGCACCTGTTGTTTCCTGACTTTTTCATGATTGCCATTCTAACTGGTGTGAGATGATATCTCATTGTGGTTTTGATTTGCATTTCTCTGATGGCCAGTGATGGTGAGCATTTTTCATGTGTTTTTTGGGTGCATAAATGTCTTCTTTTGAGAAGTGTCTATTCATGTCCTTTGCCCACTTTTTGATGGGGTTGTTTGTTTTTTTCTTGTGAATTTGTTTGAGTTCATTGTAGATTCTGGATATTAGCCCTTTGTCAGATGAGTAGATTGCAAAAATTTTCTCCCATTTTGTGGGTTGCCTGTTCACTCTGATGGTAGTTTCTTTTGCTGTGCAGAAGCTCTTCAGTTTCATTAGATCCCATTTGTCAATTTTGTCTTTTGTTGCCATTGCTTTTGGTGTTGTAGACATGAAGTCCTTGCCCATGCCTATGTCCTGAATGGTAATGCCTAGGTTTTCTTCTAGGGTTTTTATGGTTTTAGGTCTAACGTTTAAGTCTTTAATCCATCTTGAATTGATTTTTGTATAAGGTGTAAGGAAGGGATTCAGTTTCAGCTTTCTACATATGGCTAGCCAGTTTTCCCAGCTCCATTTATTAAATAGGGAATCCTTTCCCCATTGCTTGTTTTTCTCAGGTTTGTCAAAGATCACATAGTTGTAGATATACGGTGTTATTTCTGAGGGCTCTGTTCTGTTCCATTGATCTATATCTCTGTTTTGGTACCAGTACCATGCTGTTTTGGTTACTGTAGCCTTGTAGTATAGTTTGAAGTCAGGTAGTGTGATGCCTGCTGCTCTGTTCTTTTAGCTTAGGATTGACTTGGTGATGCGGGCTCTTTTTTGGTTCCATATGAACTTTAAAGTAGTTTTTTCCAATTCTGTGAAGAAAGTCATTGGTAGCTTGATGGGGATGGCATTCAATCTATAAATTACCTTGGGCAGTATGGCCATTTTCACGATATTGATTCTTCCTACCCATGAGCATGGAATGTTCTTCCATTTGTTTGTATCCTCTTTTATTTCATTGAGCGGTGATTTGTAGTTCTCCTTGAGGAGGTACTTCACGTCCCTTGTAAGGTGGATTCCTAGGTATTTTATTCTCTTTGAAGCAATTGTGAATGGGAGTTCACTCATGATTTGGCTCTCTGTTTGTCTGTTATTGGTGTATAAGAATGCTTGTGATTTTTGTACATTGATTTTGTATCCTGAGACTTTGCTGAAGTTGCTTATCAGCTTAAGGAGATTTTGGGCTGAGACAATGGGGTTTTCTAGATATACAATCATGTCGTCTGCAAACAGGGACAATTTGACTTCTTCTTTTCCTAATTGAATACCCTTTATTTCCTTCTCCTGCCTGATTGCCCTGGCCAGAACTTCCAACACTATGTTGAATAGGAGTGGTGAGAGAGGGCATCCCTGTCTTGTGCCAGTTTTCAAAGGGAATGCTTCCAGTTTTTGCCCATTCAGTATGATATTGGCTGTGGGTTTGTCATAGATAGCTCTTATTATTTTGAGATACGTCCCATCAATACTGAATTTATTGAGAGTTTTTAGCATGAAGGGTTGTTGAATTTTGTCAAAGACCTTTTCTGCATCTATTGAGATAATCATGTGGTTTTTGTCTTTGGTTCTGTTTATATGCTGGATTACATTTATTGATTTGCATATATTGAACCAGCCTTGCATCCCAGGGATGATGCCCACTTGATCATGATGGATCAAGCTTTTTAATGTGCTGCTGGATTCGGTTTGCCAGTATTTTATTGAGGATTTCTGTATCAATGTTCATCAAGGATATTGGTCTAAAATTCTGTTTTGTGGTTGTGGTTCTTTTTTTTTTTTTTTTTTTTTGAGACGGAGTTTCGCTCTTGTTACTCAGGCTGGAGTGCAGTGGTGCAATCTCATTTCACCATGATCTCTCACTCAGATTCAAGCGAGTCTCCTGCCTCAGCCTCCTGAGTAGCTGGGATTTGAGGTGGGCACCACCACGCCCAGCTAATTTTTTGTATTTTTAGTAGAGGTGGGGTTTCACCATGTTGGCCAGGCTGGTCTCGAACTCCTGACCTCAGGAGATCCACCTGCCTCAGCCTCCCAAAGTGCTGGGATTACAGGTGTAAGTCACCTGCCTGGCCGGCTCTAGATATTCTTAATACAAAAAATTAAAATAGCTGTTGCTTTTGCAATATACAGCACGGTTTTTAAAAATCTCAGGTTTTGGAACAAGGCCTTCAGATCTATGTTGGAGTTCCAATTCCTCACAGCCATGTGACCCTTGAAAAATTATTTAAACTTTCTAAGCCTAAATTTGAACTTAAAATTTTTTAAGGATTAAATAAGATAATGCATGTTACGTGCTTAACCCCAAAATGCTATTGAGCAGCTAGCACTTACTCTGTGTTATTTAAAAAATAATTTTATTGATCTCACCTACCTTTCACTCCCGAAAAATCTCATAGGGATTTTCACTTGCAGTGGTGGTAAATTTATACTTTGAGATTGTCCATCAGTATAATATTCAATCATCTTGTATTACTTCAAGAAATCCTTTGTATACCTGGAGAAGCAGACCCAATTCAGGGTGTTCTCCCCTTCACATAAAGTACTGGTTCAGGCTGGAGTGCAGTGGCACGATCTCAGCTCACTGCAACCTCTGCCTCCCGGGTTCAAGCAATTCTTGTGCCTCAGTCTCCCAAGTAGCTGGGATCACACGCTTGCATGCACCACCATGCCCAGCTAATTTTTTGTATGTTTAGTAGAGACAGGGTTTCGCCATGTTGCCCAGGCTGGTCTTGAACCCCTGACCTCAAGTGATCCGTCCGCCTTGGCCTCCCAAAGTGCTGGGATTACAGGCGTGAGCCACCATGCCCAGCTGGTGTTTTCCCTGGGTAATGTTATTTCCGCTATTTTAAACGTGAACATTTTCTAATATATTTTCTACTGATTATTGATTCTGTAGGGAAAAGTTACTGCATTTATTTTTCAGCTTGTTACTTTATTTAAATATATTAGCTCAAGATAGTCTCATTAATTCTCTTGGCAGAAGTCCATATCACCTGTCAGTAATGATTATTCTATATCCTTTCTTATGATAATTTTACATATACCTGTTTCGTATCTATTGCATTAACTAGACTTCACAAAAATGCTCAGTAATACTAGGGAAAGTAGGAATTTTTGTCTTCTTGATTTTAATAGAAGTGTCTCCATGGACTTTGAGCTATTGGTTTTCAATATGCATTTTTTAATCGTGTAAAGGTAGTTTCCCATTATTTTTAGTTTTCTAGTTTTGTTTTCATCAGTGGTAGATATTTAATATTTTCAAATGCTACATAGAACATCTATTGGGAGAAATTTGTATTCTTAACTGCTAATCTGTTGATTTAATGAATTAATAGATATCCTAACACTAAGCCATCCCTTCTAGAATAACACCTATGTAACTATGCTGTATTATTATTTTTGATAGACTCTTTCTATTCAGTTTGGAAATATTTCATTTAGAATTGCTGACATTGATTTTCCTAAGTATAGTCATTCTCTAGTTTTCCTTTTCACACCATCTTTACCAGGTTTTGGTACTAATATTATGCTGTTTCTTAAAATGATTTAGGATATGTTTTCATCCTTTCATTTGTCCTGGAAAAGATGAATATAGGAATAACATGTTCTTCAAAAACTAGACACACTATCTGGGTTGTAACTTTTTCATTTAAAAAATTAGTTTAAAGGTTTATCTAAGGCCGAGGCGGGCGGATCACAAGGTCAGGAGATTGAGACCATCCTGGCTAACACGGTGAAACCCCGTCTCTACTAAAAATACAAAAAATTAGCCGGACTTGGTGGCAGGCGCCTGTAGTCTCCCAGCTACTCGGGAGGCTGAGGCAGGAGAATGGCGTGAACCCGGGAGGCGGAGCTTGCAGTGAGCCGAGATCGCGCCCTGCACTCCAGCCTGGGCGACAGAGCGAGACTCCGTCTCGGAAAAAAAAAAAAAAAAAAAAAAAAAAAAAAAGTTTATCTAATTAACTTGTCAAATGTTTTGCTGATTATTTGTTCAAATCTCCTCCAGAGGCTATTTCTCCTTGTCCTCTTTTCTTCAGGTTTAAATTCTGTCATTATTTTATTTTATTTTTTATTTTTACAAATTTTTATTTTATTACTATCCCTTGTTTTTTATTTATTATACTCACCTTTTATGTTTTTCAATTCCTTTCTCCCAACTTTCTTTTTTTCTGTCAACTTCTCTATTTGATTCATTTATTTTTAGCCTTTTCTTTCCTTTACATCATTGTTTATCGCAACCCAACACCTTCCTTCTGGGTTCATTTTCTTTCTTGCTGAGTGAAATCCTTAGTAGTTCTTTCAACGAGTTTTCTGTGAATGGCACATTCATGGGGGATCTGAAATGCCCTTGTATCATGCTCACTTTGTGTGACCACAGTGAGTAGAGAATTCAAGGTGGACAATTGTTTTCTCATTGCATTGTGAAGATGTTTTTTTATTGTCCTGTAACATTGTTGCTGGTGAGAAGTCTGCAATAAATCTGATGGTCGTTTCTTTACGGTCTCTTATCTTTTCTCTCTGGTGGCTTTTCAAGTTTTTTCTTTTTCATAGGTATTCTGTAACTTTACCGTGATGTGAATAAGAGATCATTTTTTAAAAATCTATCTTGTGCAGGATTATATGTTTCTTCACTCTGAGAGCTCATTTGTTTATTCAATTACGAATAATTATCATCCATAATTTCTTTTAACCTTGCCCTTACCTTATTCTGGAGTCTTGCCTGTGGAACTACTGTTACCTAACTTGCTCCCTTTCTCTTCTCCATGGCTCTTATCTTCTCTCTCATATTTAAATCTCTTGTTTTCTTTCTGAGCTGTGTTCTGATTCATTTCCTATAATCCACATTTTAATGGACTAATTCCACATTCAATTATATTTAAGCTCCTTTTGAACTTCCCTATTATTTTAAAATTATTTTTTTCCTTGACTATATTCTTTATCTCTAGAATACCCATCTGATTCTTACTCAAACTTGTCTATTCTTTTATTCATATAATCTCAATCTTGCCTTGTGGATTTGATTATTCCTAAATTTAAAAAAATATATATTTCTTTTAAAATATTTTTACTTGACATATTATCTTTAGTTCCTCAAATGTATTTTCCATTCTTTATTGTACTGGCTAACAATCTGGCAGGGTCTCTTAGGGCACTGGAAATTAAGAAAACTAGCCTTTCAGCACTCTCAGAAAAGAGAAGCATTGAATTTGGTGTAGGCATGCTTAGGTCTTTCCATGTCAGTCTTGCTATGGAATCGTCTAAATTCTTGGTCCTATGTTTCCCAACCCACAGACCCTATGGGTTGGGGGTCTATAAATCTGTAACCATTGAGCATTGTTGTAGAATAAATAAATAATGTAAGTCTATTTCCATATATATTTGACTTCTGCCTCTTTTGAGTGATAAGATTTATAGGTGGCAGGAATCTTGTTTATCATGTTCATTGTCTTGTTTGCAATCAATAAATATTAAATCAATCAATGTACAAACTGATTTCAGTGCATTTAAAAATAATATTAATGATAATACATAGTATTAATTAACAAAAACGTCAGCTGGGAACCTTCAAGGGTTCCATAAAATTGTCACTTTATGTCCTGGCTGCCTAAAGCCTTCTCTAAGACTTCTGCAAATTTTTGAGCAGCTTGCATTCTCTAGTCTTCTTCTACTTGAAGCCCCCTGCATCCTTGCAGGCTGTCTAAGACATTTGCTACTTCAACCCAGCATGAAACTTGTCTCCTTTAGTTTTCACAACCAAAATGTATTTACATCTTACATTTGCGAGTTTATAAAACATCGTTGAAATTTGCGGGTGGGTGGGAAGGTCAAAGGAAGAGAGTCATTTTAGGGACTGATACCCCTTCCCTTTTGCTAGCCACTCTTCCTGTCTTCTCTCCCCCTTTCCCACTCTTCCTCCCTGTCATCCTCTTGCAGTGCCTCTTTTTTTTTTTTTTTTTTTTTTTGAGACCGAGTCTTGCTCTGTCCCCCAGGCTGGAGTGGGCCATCTTGGCTCACTGCAGCCTCTGCCTCCTGGGTTTAAGTGATTCTCCCACCTCAGCCTCCCAAGTAGCTGGAATTATAGGCACCCACCATCATGCCTGGCTAATTTTTTTATTTTTGTAGAGACGGGGTTTCACTATGTTGGCCAGGCTGGTCTTGAAATTCTGACCTCAGGTGATCCTCCCACCTCGGCCTCCAAAGTGCTGGGATTGCAGGCGTGAGCCACCGTACCCGGGCTGCAGTGTCTCTTAAACCTCCAAATCCTATCCTCTGTGTTATGGAGAGCAGTGCCTGCCTCACATTCCTGCCATCCCCTCCACGTAATCATCAGGCTGTTTTCTCAAAGCAAATTTGCTCCCTAAAAATAATCCTAGTATTAGCTGTTTGTTTTTTTTTCTGGTGCTAATTCTTATAAAAAGTTTGTCTTTTTATAAGAATCATCAGGCTGTTTTCTCAAAGCGAATTTGCTCACTAAAAATAATTCTAGTATTAACTATTTTTTTCCTGGTGCTAATTCTTATAAAAAGTTTGTCTTATTTACTTAGTTATTAATATGATTAATACAATATAATTTTTTAAATTTAAGTATTACTCAAATTCATAGTAACTTTTTATCATTATGTATTTTCTCAAGCCAAAAATGTTAAAAGTTGACAACCACCACCGTGCAGGCACCTCTATGATGCGCATTAGTGCCGCGTGGCCAATATTTCCAGTTCTCCCCACCTTCTGAGCCTGTGCAAGGGTTGCACGTCTAGGCCCCCTTGGAGCTGGGTGGGGCCATGTGACCAGCTTTGGGGAATGAGTTGTGAGTGGAAGTGAGGACTTCTGAGCCAGAGTTGAACTATCAGTGAGAGATTCTCCAGCATTCCACTCTTCCTTCTGCTTCAGCGATCAGAGATGATGGTGGCTGCCAGAGTGGCCACAATGATCAGTGGCCTTCACTGATTCAGGACAGATATGTAGAGTGACCTAGAGACAAAACTGATGGTTTTATAAGTTACTAGCATTTTGAAGTTGTTTGTCATTGCCACATAGCCTACCCTATCCTGGCTGGTAAAAGGTCTACAGTATCTTTTGACATAAAAAGGAGCTTCTCATATTTGAAAAAAGATTGTGAGCTATTTTCTGAATAACAGACAGCCATCACGATCCCTGGAAAAGGACAGGATGATCTGGAGCACATCCAGCCTCCTAGATCTACACTGGCTTCATTCAACAAATATTACTATCAACTCTTCAGGAGCATGGAAGGTCTGATCCTTCATCTGAGTCCTCCACAACATCCCTAGTGATATTTCAGGGACCAGCACATAAACATACCCAGACATTTTAATTGGCTTATTTATAACTTGTTTCTGTCCATAAAAGCTTTGAAATATAATATAACTAAAATTACTGTCAAAAGAGTAAACAAAACAAAAATTAGAAATTAGGATTATAGAGGGAAAAGAAGACTGCAAATATACTGATGTATGTAAGTTCACAAACCCTAAAGGCAGCAGAGTAATTCTAATTTGGCAGCTGTGACAAAAAGAGAAACAGGACAATAACTTTTCCTATTGAAAATTAGGCAGCAGTGAAGGCTTTTGCAAGGAGGAACAAGAGATTGTGGGAGAGTGGAAAAACATCTCATCAATTAAAAACAGAAATACGGTGAAGGTAAAAGAGAACCCTTTTTTTTTCCCTGCTGAGTGAGACACACAGAAGATTCTACTAAGTTTCAACTAAGTTGCTAGACTCAAACACTGGGAGCCTTTGAGAAAGCCACAACTAGCCTCCGACCATTATTTTAAAATGTTCAATTTGATTTAAGTGTTTGATTTTTATATGTCAAAATTGGCTCCCATTTCTTCTTTGGGTTTTCTAGTACAAAACTGACAAAGCAAGTTAGAAAATCTTCATGTGAATAACAGCTAAGCATTAAAAAAAAAAAAAAGCTCTGATCACAGAGTCACACAAACTACAGTGAGAATTGCTATAAAACTACAATGCATAGCTAGCTTGTCATTTGTGTGTGTGTGTGTGTGTGTGTATGTATGTGTATACTCACATGTGCTGTGTTTCAATGAATTTGGGTCGTTGCATAGCTTGTCATTAGTGTATGTACATTTGTGTGTGTACATCTGTGTGTGTGCACTCACATAGACTATGTTTCAATCTGGTTCAGCAAAAACAATATCAGAAGATTATTTGAACACCTTTTTAGGTAAAAGCTACATTCTTTTGAAAAGCATAGAAGTTAAAAACACTGTAAGAAATGAGTATAAAAGAGAAAAAAATCAAAATCTAGAAAAAGAATGAGCAGAATATATTCAATACTGAAATACTAAACTTTAAAATACAAGGCACAGGCCAGGTGCGGTGGCTCATGCCTGTAATCCCCGCACTTTGGGAGGCTGAGGCAAGCAGATCACCTGAGGTCGGGAGTTCAAAACCAGCCTGACCAACATGGCAAAATCCCGTCTCTACTAAAAATACAAAAATTAGCCGGGCGCAGTGGTGGGCACCTGTAATCCCAGCTACTCAAGAGGCTGAGGCAGGAGAATTGCTTGAACCCAGGAGGCAGGGCTTGTAATGAGCCAAGATCATGCCATCACACTCCAGCCTGGGCAACAGAGCGAGACTACGTCTCCAAAAAATAATAATAATAGTAAAATAAAATACAGAGCACAGAAAAAAGAGTACAGAAAAAAATACAAACCACCAAGGTTCAACTTATCACATTTATCTATTCAACAAATATTTACTGAGTGCTACTATATGCTAGGCACAGTTGTGGCCTCTGGGGATATAGCAGTGGACAAAAGAGACAAGAATTCCTGCCCTCATGGAATTTACATCCTGAAAGGTGGGGAGGGAAACAGACAATAGACAAATAAATAAATTATAAAATATATTAGAGACAGAGATCAGTGGAAGAAAGCAAAGCAGACAAGAAGGATAAGGAGTGGGGGTGAAATTTGTCCCCAACACTTGGAACAGTTCCTGGCACAGAGGTTTCATACACACGTGTTTGAAAAGGCAGAAGTTCATAGCTAAATGCCTTAGTCTCAAGACTGAGTTTAACATTGGAAACTTTACAGACTTACTGTTGATGGTTTCCATTAGCACCTCAGGGGTGCTAACAAAGCTTTAAAAAGACAAGAGTTCTAACTTGGAACAAAGTTTTGATGTATTTCTATCAGCTTCTTGGAAATGAGGACCTAAACAAGTTGTTACTGAGTGGCAAAGAAGTTTTGTTTGTTTTTGTCTATTTTTGTTTTTCTCTTTCTTTTTTAAATCATCAGGAATGAAGTGTATTCTGTCTCTTTTGCCTTCGGGGCATCCTTTCTCCCATGTCTATGCTATCTACATGTCTACAATATCTACACTTTAATTTTTCTTTGAAGAATTGCCTTTCCTCATTCTTGGTCCACATGGCTGCAGTGGGCATCAGGAGGGGAGAAGTGACCTGGCCTGGTCAATAAGCCTATTTCAATTCCTTGGCCAGAGGATTTGGTTCAGGTGTGTTGCCCAGTAGAAGCCACTGGAGCCCTGAAATTCTGCTGGTGCTGCTGGGAAAGAGGTGTGTCCTCTTCTCTGGATGTTTTAACTTTGCAAGATGTAAGCCTAGGGTAGCCAGGGACCAGCTGGGGGAAAGATCTGCTGGAAAGTGAGGCCAACAGGAAAGAGGCAGAGCTGGGGACTGGAGAGAGTCCCAGTGACATTATATGGGTGCTTCAAAAGAGATAATTTTAATTTCATTGAGCCAATAAATTCCCTTTGATTGTTAAATAACTTTTCCATCAGCATATTTATGAGTTTGTTTATCCAGGAAATATTTTCTAAGTACCTAACATATATTCAAAGCACTGTTTAAAATGTTGGCAATACAGCACTGAACAAAACAAAGCCTCGCCCTCATAAAGCTTATATTGGTGAACAGATAACAAATAAATACATCAATGAACATTTGATGTCATGCCAAGAATTGTGACCTGTAAAGAAAAAGAAGGCAGGGTCATGGGAGAGCAAATATTGGGGAATAGTTTAGAAAGAAGAGCTAGGGAAGGCCTCTTTGAGCAGAGACCTAAATAAGTGAGGGATAAAAAAAATCCCTCTAAGTATTTATAGAAGGTTATTTTAAGCAGAGGGACAAAAAGTTCAAATTAAGAATCCAATGTGCTTTGTATATTTGAGGGAGACACAAGGAAGCCAATGTGGCATGGCTGCCACAAGGAATGACAATTATTCTTTCAGTGACCCTCTGACCCACCATTTGTTTAACCTTCACCAAATGTAGCTAGAACATATGCAAAGACATGACAACACTGAGCCACGATTAAATAAACAGATTGTAAAACTTTCTTTGACTTAGGCTTATGACTAAATCTTCAAGAAGTGCCCATCATCTGGGGTTGCCCGCAAGGCTGGAGAGTCTGATGAGGCCACTCAGACACTCCTGGTTGAGCATTTAACCACTGCAAGATTTCGCTCCTTGCTTATCTTACCGCTGCCAATTTTATAACAACTCTGAGTTTTCAGCCAATTGTTTTATTCATCATTTTGTTTTCTAGACTTTCTCAGTTACCTATAAAGTGTAGAGAGGGTAATAGACTCAGAGTCTTGCTTGGAATTTTGTGAGAGAAAACAGCACGTAGGGATGAGGTGCTTGGTAAAAATTAGTGGGTACTGAGAGAAGTGAAGAAGATACAATCAATAATTCTTTGGCAAGAGGATAACATACCCAATGTTTTCATATTATCTTCTCGCCTTTCTCCCTAAAAGGCAAAGTATTAAATTTTGATTTAATGCAGCCACCACAAATCACTGCAGAACACCAAGCTGCACGTAGGACAGTCTTCCCTCTGGTCCTCCCTCTGTTAACAATACCACCTACAAGTCATTCTCAGCATTTTAATAGGTAGTCGCATCCTGCTTATATAATGGAGAAAGCTATATTTCTTGTGTTTGTTTTGTGAACTGAACTAAAGTGTAAAGAGGAATTGATTGAAATTCAATGGCTCTCTGAAAAATGGCAGAGTCAAACTGTCAGAGTCAAAGATTGAAATCTAAATGCCCTGTGTTACTCTAAACACCTGAATTTTCATTCTAACTGTTAGACATTTTAAACTCATTTCAGGTCTTAATTTATCAGTAAAAGTGTTTCCCAATATGAATAGCTTGTTCCTCAGTCAAATAAGTTGGGAAGATGCTGACTTAAAACAAAATTGAATGGACCATACTCAATGCTAAAAGACTGAAAACTCTCTCTCTAGGGTCAGGAACAAGACAAGAATGCCCGCTTTCACTACTACTATTCAACCTTGTACTGGAAGTTCCAACCAGAGCTATTAGAAAGGTAAAAGAAATAAAAGCCATTCAAATTAAAAAGGAAGTGGTAATGATATCTCTATTCACAGGTGATATGATTCTATATGTAGAAAATTCCAAAAAAGGATGAGTTCATGTTCTTTACAGGGGCATGGATGAAGCTGGAAAACCATCATTCTCAGTAAACTAACACAGGAACAGAAAACCAAACAACGCATGTTCTCACTCATAAGTGGGAGTTGAACAATGAGAACACATGGACATAGGGAGGGAAACATCACATACCAGGGCCTGCCGGGGCGTTGGGGGTTAGGGGAGGGATAACATTAGGAGAAATACCTAATGTAGATGATGGGTTGATGGGTACAGCAAACCACCATGGCACGTGTATAGCTATGTAACAAACCCGCACATTCTACACATGTATCCTAGAACTTAAAGTATAATAAAAAATAAGAAGAAGAAAGAAAAACCAATGAACTAGAGGAAAAAAAAATTTTTAAAAAGAGAATTCCACAGAATTTGTAAGGAAGCTACTAGAGCTAGTAAACAAATTCAGCAAAGTTTCAGGGTACAAGATCAACACAAATATTAAGTTTGCTGCAATATACCAGCAATAAGCAATCCAAAAAGGAAATAAAGAAAAGCAATGCAGCCAGGCGCGGTGGCTCACCTCTGTAATCTCAGCACTTTGGGAGGCCGAGATAGGCAGATCACCTGAGGTCAGGAGTTCGAGACTAGCCTGGCCAACATGGTGAAACTCCATCTCTACTAAAAAATAAAAAAATAAAAAATAAATTAGCCAGGCGAGGTGGCGGGTGCCTGTAATCCCAGTTATTCAGGAGGCTGAGGCAGGAGAATCACTTGAACTCTGGAGGCGGAGGTTGCAGTGAGCCGAGATCATGCCACAGCACTCCAGCCTGGGTGACAGAGTGAGACTCCATCTCAAAAGAAAAAAAAAAAGAAAAGAAAAGAAAAGCTGTGTATAATAGTCACTAAAATACTTAAGAACAAATCTAAACAAGGTTTATGTTTATTACTAAATACTTAGTATTTAGTAATTAAATACTTAGGAGTACTTAGGAATAAATCTTAACTAATTAGAAATTAAATACTTATGATAAATCTAAAGAAAGAAGTAAAAGACTCATATACTTAAAACTACAACATTGCTGAAAGTAATGTAAAAAGACAGCCTACTGAATGGGAGAAAATATTTATAAGTTATATACTTAATAAGTGATGGATACTCAAAATTTATATTTTAAAAACTCCTACAACTCAACAACAAAAAGTCAAACAACTAGATTAAAAAGTAGATGAAGGACATGAATAGACATTTCACCAAGTATGATATACAAACGTCCAATATACCCATGAAAAGATGCTTAACATTATTAATCATTAGAAAAATGCAAGTCAAAATGACCATGGATAGCACATCACACCTACTAGGATGGCTATAATTTTTAAAAAGGGAAAATGGCAGGTGTTGGCAAGGACGTGGAGAAATTGGAAGCCTCATAAGTGCTGGGGAGAATCCAAAATGGTACATTTTATGTAGAAAACAATGTGGCAATTTCTTAAACAGTTCAAATAGAACTACCATATGACCCACCAATTTCACTCCTAGGTGTATATCCAAAAGAATTAAAAGCAGGGACTCAAACACATTTGTGCACTGATGTTCATAGCATTATTCACAATGGGCAAAATGTGGAAACAATTCAAATGCCCACCAACACATAAAGGGAATATGCGCATGATAGTATATTATTCTGCCATAAACATGAATGAAATTTTGATATATGCTACAACATGGATGGTCCTTGAAAACATGCATAGTACAAGAAGCCAGACACAGGATAAATATTGTAAAATTATACTTATATGATGTACCTAGAACAGGCAAATTCAAAGAGACAGGAAATAGAGTAGAGGTTACCAGGGGCTGGGAGGTGGAAGGAAAGGGAGTAGTGGACATAGAGTTTTCGTTACAGATGATGAAAACATTTTGGGTATGGATACTGGTGATAGCCACACAATGTTGTGAGTGTATTTAGTGCTACTAAATCACATACTTACAACTGGTTAAGATGATAATTATGTTATATATATATTTTTTCCACAATAAAACATTTCAAGGAATTTCTTTTCTCAGAGGCTTTTTTATGAATTGCCAAAAGGGGCAAATATATGATACAACATAATTTTTGCAGAAAATTTTATGTGAATGTCGTGATATATAGTCTGTGAAATGTTGGTCATCTACAACAAATCTATAGAACAGTGTGTTAACTTGAGGCTTTAACTGCATGAAAAATGTTCAACCTCCCCCACAATAGAAATAATGCAAATTAAAATTATAATGAGATACCATTTCTTAAGCTACCATTGACAAATGTCAAAATTAAAATAACACAGTATGTTGTTAAGCTGTGGGAAAATAGGCATGTTCATATAATCTTTGGAATATAAATTGGTATAAGTTCTACAAAGGAAAATAGGCAATGTATATCAAAATACAAATGAACATTCCCTTTGATTAAGCAATTTTATTCTAAGACTTTGTTTTATATATATTTGTATATGTGTGCAACTGTATAGATAATGCACATAGAATTATGTACATACGAAGTTACCATTAATTATACAATTTATAATGTACATATAAGTTACTGCTTTATGCTTTGCAATAGTAAACATTGGAAACAACCTAAGTATCCATAACTAGGTCCTGCATAAAGAAATTTTAGAATAGCTATACAATGGTATACTATGTAGCTGAAAAAAAAAAGAAAAGGAAAAAGGCATTCCATTTGTGACAGGGATTAATTTATAGCAGACCAAACCTCCCACTAATAACAACTAGAATAATTAGATTAAAAAGAAATTTGAAGGCAACAGAGGATTACCAAGGTAGCCAGAACTTGAAGGGCCAAGATCCTTAGGAGACAGGAAACTGAGATGACTCAAAATTGTACAGGCAAAGAAGCTGAGAAAAGGAGAAAAACAGGCTGCTAAGAAACAGAGGACAGCTTTTAGCAATCTCAAGATCTAGTGAGAAAAAAAGGTGGAGTTCAGGGCCACTAAGATATCCAGGAGTTGAGGAGCTAAGAGAAAGGAAGCAGATGTGAGACTGAAAATATGCAGCTTTTCCCCTTGAAGCATTTGCTGATTCCTGATTTCGACAGCATAGAAGAAACAAGAGAAGCTTGTCCTTCAAGAGAAGCTTAGAACAAGAGAAGCTTAGAAGAGAGTGGGAGCCAAGAAGTTCAAAGCTTTTGGCAGTCTCACAATGCTAGGAAGATATTTTTCAATGAAGTTAAGGGCCTCTCAAGAAAGACGGACAGCGATAAACACCCCAAGTTTTCATTTGGGATCCCTTAGAATCACAACCTAGGAATTAGAGAAAACACAAATAGACCAAGCATTACAAAGTCTGAAACACAACCTTAAAACTGTTTAATCCCTGATTGGAATAGGGTAATTTTCCCTATTCTGACTGTCACAAGCTAAACTCATAGAGAAAGATGTCAATATTTCATACACAATGTCTGCCATACAATTATTCTTTTCTTCCAAAAGAGAAAGAATAGAACAGAAAATAAACAATAGGAATAAATCTAAAAGTGATCCAGACAACTGAGTTTTCATAAACGGGCTTTAAAATGACTATTAAAAACATGTTTAATAAAATAGAAGACATGATGGTAAAATAAAGCTAAACAATTAGAACAATCAAGTTGAAAATCTAGAATGTAAAAATAAACATTTAATCTAGGAACTCAATAGGTGGATTAAATATTAAATTTGACACAACTGTACAGAAGATTCATGTTTTGGAAGGTGGGTCAGTAGAAAATATCTACATTGAAGAACTAAAGGGAAATTTTTGGAAAATTACAGAAGAGATCATATACACCTACGTGAGTTTTCTTTATTCTGGAATATTGGGTCTTTATGACTTGGATACCTTGGTACTCGCTAATGATTCAAGTGGCTATACTTTCGGTTTGTTTGAATTTTATCTGGCTTTTCTAATTATTGTTATCAGGAGCCTGTAGGAAATCAAGAAATAGAAAAAACAGAGAAAGAGGACTATTGAAAAAATGAAACAAATGGAAAAATAGTAATATAAAAGCTTTAAGTTAAAAAATCAGTAATTACATATATTAAAAATAAACTAAAAATTCCAATTGAAAGAAAAAGATTTTAAGACTAAATAAGGATGAAACCCAACTATATGTTGCATAATGAAGACACACTTCAAATACAAAGGCATAGAAAGTTTGAAAATATGGAAGAAGATGGCATACAAATATTAACCAAAATAATAAAATATTTTAAAGCTGGCATATCTAAATTCATATAAGATTAGTAGAATGTAATGCAAAAACATATTACCAAAGATAAGAAATATTTCATAATGATAAAAGTGTTACTTCATCAAGAATATGTAAAAAGAATAAGATAAGCTTAAATATGTAAAGCAAAAATCAATAGAACTAATAAGATAGAGAAACCCACAGTATTAGATTTTAGATTGAGATCCTTAACATACCTCTCTCAGTAACTGATAGAGAAGCAGACAAAAGTTGAGTAAAAATTAGAAATTTTGAACAAAGTGGTATAAAAATTTGAAACCAATAACTATATACAAAAGCAGAAAGTATGTATGATTCTCAACTTGTGTTTGGAACACTTACCAAAATGACCATATGCTGTACTATAATCAAGCCGAATATGTTCTCTGATCACAGTGGAATCAAGCCAGAAATTAGTTACAAAGAACCCATAAAATCTCCAAATGTATGGAAATTAAGAAGTACTCTTTGACATAACACAGGATTAAGGAAGAATCTCAATGGAAATGTTTAAAAATGTTAGACTGAAATAATAAAAATATAACATGTCAGATCTTGGGGGATACATGTAGAGTCACTATTCAAAAGTAATCTATAGCCTTAAATGCATGTTTTAAGAAATAAGAAAGACTGAAAATAAGTAAGTGAAATATTAGTCTCAAAAAAGTATAGAATAAGAGCAAATTAAACCAAAAGAAGAAAGGAAACATGTTAAATAAGAACAGATACTAATGAAATAAAAAAATAGAGTTAATCAGCAAGGTCAAAAGTTGGTTCTTTGAAAAATCTAATAAAATTTATAAGCCCCTAGTAACATTGAGTTTTTTAAAAAGAGAGAGAAAAGGCACAAATTACCAATACTAGAAATAAAAAGGAATCACATTACGGATTCAACAGACTTCAATAAATAAATAGGATATTATGAATAACTTTCTGTCAATAAATTTGAATATTTAAGTGAAGTGACAAACTGCTAGAAAAACAAAATTTACTAAAATTAACACAAGAAATAGAAAATCTGAAAAGATCTGTATTGATTATAGAAACTGAATCTATGAAAAATAATTCTGATATGAAATCTCAGATCAAGAAAGACATTTTGGTAAATTCTGCTAAATATTTAAGGAAGAAATAACACCAATATATTAAAAACAATTCGAGAAAACAGCAAAAAGAAAAGTGCTTCATAACCCATTTTATAAGACAAGCATGATGTTGATATCAAATCCTGGTAAGATATTGTTAGAAAGAAAAAAAAAATCTGACATTCTTTACAAATATAAATTTAGTAATTCTAATAAAATATTAGCAATTGAATTCAGCAACCAAGAGAACTTTATTCCAGAAAAGTTGGTTTAACATTCAAAAAGTAATTAATTTACTTTTATAGGATAAAATAGAAAATCATAAGTTAAACTCAATAAATTAAAACATCTTAGAAATCTGTAAATAGAAGAAAGCTCTATTGCTATAAGAAGACTACGGAAAACCTATGGCTAAGATTATACACAACAATGAAACAGGAAAAGCTTTCCCCTGGAGATCAGAAACAAGGTAAGATGCCTGCCATCATCATTTATTTCTCTTCAGCATTGTTCTGGGAGTTTTAGCGAGTACAATGAAGCAAGAAAAAGAACTACTGGAAAAGGAGAAATGAAAAATGATAGAATAAAAATTATGTTATCACAGATACCATATTGTGTATATGTAGTAAATCATGTAAATGAAAGCAATCCATAAGAATATGGAGACATATTATTAGAACTAATGAGTGAACTCAGCTAGGTCACTGGTTACAAGATTCACATCAAAAATCAATCATTCGTATATACATAACATATAGTCTAATGAAAACTACATAACTTTCTTAAGAAATATTTTTTAAAACCTTAATAAATGAAAGAATAAAACATATTTATGATTCTAGAGATTCAATTTTGTTACCTGGACAGTTCTTCCCAAAATCGTCAATAAATTAAATACAATCCTAGCTAATAACCCAGCAGGGCTTTCACCTGTGTGGGGTAAGTTCATATGAAATGGAACAGCCAAGAATAACAAAGATAATTTTAAGTATGAGAATGAAATTAGAGTACTTATACTTCTGGATATCATAACTTACTATATATAAAGCCACAGTAATTCAAATAGTATGATATTTGGTGCAAGCATTGATAGATAAATGGAACTGAACAGAGAATCCAGGAACATACTCTACCTGATAGAAACATTCACGTTATGACAAAGGCGAGACAGCAATGCACTATCGAAAGGATGGTCTTTTCAATAAATGGCTCTGAGTGAATTTGGTATTCATACAGATTGAAAAAACATGATATTCCTATGTCACCCCACAAACAAAACTTAATTCAAGGAGGATTGTTGATATAAATGTGAAAGGTAAAACAATAAAACTGCTAGAAAATAACATATGAAAATATCTTTATGACTTTGGGGTAGACAAAGATTTCTTAAGTGGATCCAAGAAACATTAACCATTATGAAGGAGGTTGATAAAATGGACTAGTTAAAATACTACAACTTCTGTTATTTAAAAAGCACCATTAAGAGAGTGAAAAAGCAGACTGCAAGAAGGCATTTGCAATACATGTAGCTGACAAAGGACTTATATCAAATATCTATAAATAAGTTTTACAAATAAATTTTTAAAAAACAGAGATAACTGAACGGAAAAATAGACAAAAGTCTTTAATAAACAGTACAAAAGTGGATATCCAAATGGCCAATAAACATGTAAAAAGAAACTATATTATTATTCGTCAAGGAAATACAAATTAAACAATGAGATATAAGTACACACTGTTTAGAATGACTCAAAAACACTGATAGTAAGTGATAACAAGTTTAGGCAAGAATGTATAACAAATGGAATGCTCATAAACTGCTAGAGAAAGAGGAAATTGTTACAACTACATTAGAAAACTATTTGGCACTATTTGCTAAAGTTTAATGTATACAGATGAAATGACAGCAACATGTATGGAACTTGTGGTCATTATGTTAAATGAAATCAGCCAAGTACAGAAAGACAAATATCACAGGCTCTCACTCACGTGGGAGCTAAAAAGGTAGATATTTTGAAGCTAGAGAGTAGATTGGCAGTTGTACCAGAGGCTGGGAAAGGTGGATGGGGGATGAAGAAGTTGATTATTGGGTACAAATATACAGTTTGATAGAAGAAATAAGACCTAGCATTTGATAGATTAGTAGGGTGACTATAGTTTACAATAATCTGTTACATATTTCAAAGTATCTAGAAAAGAATAATTTGAACGTTTCTAGCATAAAGACAAATATTTAAGATGATGGCTATCCCGGCCAGGTGCGGTGGCTCACGCCTGTAATCCCAGCACTTTAGGAGGCCGAGGTGGGCGGATCACGAAGTCAGGAGATCGAGACCATCCTGGCTAACATGGTGAAACCCCGTCTCTACTAAAAAAATACAAAAAATTAGCCAAACTTGGTGGCGGGCACCTGTAGTCCCAGCTACTCGGGAGGCTGAGGCAGGAGAATGGCGTGAACCCGGGAGGCAGAGCTTGCAGTGAGCCCAGATGACGCCACTGCACTCCAGTCTGGGCAACAGAGAGAGACTCCATTTCAAAAAAAAAAAAAAAAAAAAAAAGATGATGGCTATCCCAATTACATGGATTTTATCATTACAAATTATATAAATGTCTTAAATATCACATGTGCCCCAATAATATGTACATCGATTATATACAATATAAAATAAAAAAAATTTTTTAAGTCCTTCAGGTGATTCTGATGCACACTAGTGTTCGAAAATCACTGATCTGAGCTCTTCTTCTAACATACCTGCAAGTGCTAGTTGTAATAATTGTAATACACTATTTGTATTTGAGCCATTATGATGTTTCACAGCTCCATATCCCAACCACTTGTATCTCCAATTGGACTGTCCTTCACGTACATCTTTCTCCATATGACTAATTCCTGTGTATAATTTAAGATACAGGTAAACATTACCTCTCCTAGTGAGGTCTGACTTTAATCTTACTCCTAACTCCCTCTGCATACTTTTATGATAACATATACATCATATTTACTTAGCAACCTCCCCTGTTCTGGAGGACTGGATCTATATCTCATTTGACTTTATTTCCAAAACTTAGTAGGTGTTCAATAAACTTTTTTTTTTTTTTTTTTTTTTTTTGAGACGGAGTCTCGCTCTGTCACCAGGCTGGAGTACAGTGGCTGGATCTCGGCTCACTGCAAGCTCTGCCTTCCAGGTTCAAGCAATTCTTCTGCCTCAGCCTCCCAAGTAGCAGGGACTACAGATGCGTGCCACAACAGCTAATTTTTGTATTTTTAGTAGACACGGGATTTCACCATTTTGGCCAGGATGGTCTCGATCTCCTGACCTCGTGATCCACCCGCCTCAGCCTCCCAAAGTGCTGGGATTACAGCCGCAAGCCACTGTGCCCGGCCTCGATAAACATTTTTTTAAAAGAATAAATTAATGCTAACAGAACAATAGACAATGTTGAATGAAGAAATCAGACCCAAAAGAGTAGGCATAATGTATAATTGGATTTATATAAAATTCAGAAACAGGCAAAACCAATAAATGGTGATTGTGGTTGATTGCAAAAATGACTGCAATCCTCTGAAAACTCCTGCATTAAAAGGCAGAGTCTCACCCCTGGAAACTAAACTAGCCTTGTGACTTGCTTTGACAAATAGAATGTGTCAGAGCAACTTATCAGTTCTGAGTCGAGACCTCACGAAGCCTTGCAGCTTCTACTCTTGCTGTTGTTGAAATCCTGCCACTATGTGAACAAGCCTGGGTGGACTTGCTGGAGGGATTACACTCCAGCCAAAAGTCAGCCAGTCCCAAGCATCCAGCAGCCACCTGCGGATGCATGAGTGAGCCGCTGCTGAGATGAGCTGAGTCTGCTCCAGCCCCACAGAACTGCCCCGCTGAACTGAACCCAAATTGCCAACCCACAAAAATGTAAATGACTGTTGATTTAAGCCCCTGAGTTTTGGAGTGGTTGGTTACGCAGCAAATCTAACTGATAGGGTGGTGGAAGGAGTAGTAGTGATTGCGAGACCTGTTAACATGGGCTTTCAGGGTATTTATAATAAATCTGTTTCCTGATTCAAGTGCTGATGAAACATATGCATTCACATTGTTAAGATTCATTGAGCTGCATAATTATGATATTTATGTTTTTCCTATATATACATTTATTTCAATTCAAAAAGTAAAAATAAAATAAAATCTTTATGACTGAGATGAGATAATCTCATAGATATATTTTTAAGGGAAAAAATGAGAGCTCAAAAGGGGGCATATGGTATCTACCATTTGTGTAAAAAAAAGATGAAATGTGTGGGTGCATCCATATGTTTATGTGTGTGTGTGTGTGTGTGTGTGTGTGTGTTTAATGTATTTCTGTACTTACTTGTATATGCATTGTCTATATCTTTAAACATACAGTATAAGAAACTAGCAATACTGCCTCCAAGAGGGAAATGGGTAACCTGGGGATGGAATGGTAATAGAAAGACAATTTTCACTGCTGACCATTTTATGCTTTTTGAAGTTTGAACCACATGAATTTATTACCTATATTTTAAATTTTAATAATAAAATTATAACTTTAAAAGAGGATTCTCTTAGGTACTCTGTTGTAAAAGATCACATAAAAATTTGGAGAAAGCAAATATCAAGAGAATTGCTAGAGAAATATTTTACTACATGAGGTCAAGTGGTAGGATTTGGGATGGGAAATAAAATATTCTATCACTTCCACAATTGTAACCTGTCACCCAAATCTGCAATCAAGAAAAGCCATTCATGGAATTTTAATTGTTTTATACAAGAATTCTATTGGCTTGCCATCAATCAGTGGAATGAAAATGCAAAAGTTTTGAGTTCAGAGAATTGATGAGTATTGGAAAAGACAGTAAAGAAGAGACAAATTTGAGACTCCAAATTAGAAGTCGAGTACTGAACATTCAGAAAGGTCTTTTAATTGGTACTTATGCATAAGATCATAATCTTATGAATCGTGATTCATAAATCATAGCATAATTGAAATCCTTACAGACTAGTGGAAAAGTTACCATTTTTTTAAATATAATTAAGAAAATGCTGTCTTTCCCAAGGAGGGAAAAATTTACTTCCATGTAATTCTGGAAGGAAAATTTTGTTTGCTGACAGACCAAGAGATACCTCTTTTGTTGCCTTGAGCTCACGTTCCCTTTTATTATTTTTTCTTAAAAAAAAGTAAAGAAATAAGCTATCACTTCTGCTGCTTCATTAATAGTGGGCTACAGCCCTTGTTAGGACCTCTACTTCCTTGATACCTGAACTGTTTCCAAGGGCAGAGACTTCTGATACTACAATCTCCAACTTTTTTCTGCCTTTTGGATCCTTGATTCTTTCCTTACAAAGAATGAAATGTCAAGAACAAGACTCCTTTAATTTCACACCTTAGAGCTCCTGTTTCCTGATAGTGAAGCATGCCTCTTTCCTAGATATTTGACACTAGGAATACTTCAGGTGAGTCTCTGGCTGTAATTCTGCAGATTAGCCTGGTACCCATTCTCTAATGGGTGACCAAACCTCATTTGAATGTGGTTATTCAAACAGAATAACCTCAAAGTGCAATGCAAAATCATAATAAAAATTATATGATTTATATGATTAAATTATATAATAAAATTCATATAATAAAAATTAAATATACATCCTTCTTTCTTTTTCTTTCTTTTTTTTTTTTTTTTTTTTTTTTTTTTGAGACAGAGTTTCGCTTTTGTTGCCCAGGCTGGAGTGCAATGGCACGATCTGGGCTCACCGCAACCTCTGCCTCCCAGGTTCAAGCGATTCTCCTGCCTCAGCCTCCCGAGTAGCTGAGATTACAGGCACATGCCACCACGCCCGGCTAATTTTGTATTTTTAGTAGAGACGGGGTTTCTCCATGTTGGTCAGGCTTGTCTTGAACTCCTGACCTCAGGTGATCCGCCTGCCTAGGCCTCTCAAAGTGCTGGGATTACAGGCGTGAGCCGCCACGCCCGGCTACGTGCTTATTTCTTGAAGAGTTTTACGGCTTAATGTTTTAAGTTAATCATTATAAGAAATTAGAATAGATCTAAAATAAAGTTTTAAAAGGAGGAAGCAGGGTTATTTAAATGTAAATTAAACTGTTTGTGACTTGTACTAGACAGGGTAATGTTAGGCTATGTTGTGGCAACAAGCAAGCCCCCAAAATTTCATTGACTTATCACATATCACAATAAACCATTTATTTTCCATTCACATAAAGTTCTCCATGGATCAGCAGCTGGCCTGTGTCTTTCAAACTATGGCTTAGGGACCCAAGCTCTTACCATATCAAAGCTACATCACCAGAAACATGTGGTCTCCAGAGTCACCACGGGAGGGGAAAAAGGGATGAGGAGAAAAGGGATGGAGAAAGCATATTGGCCCTTCATTCCCTTGGCCTAGAAGTGACATAGTTCACTGCAGCTTGAAGTTGATTGGCCAGGGATAGTCACACAGCCCCACATCTAACTTCAAGGAAAGTTGGGATCCATAGTGGGAACATGGATATTTAGGAAGCACTAACTGACTATCTCTGCCACATGGCTTTAGCCTGGTGGTTTGGGAAGGCAAGCCATGAATACATTGACTCATTTTATCCTCACAGTCACCCCTCAAGGCAGGAACTATTAATATTCCAATTTTGCTGATATGGGAAGTGGGGCATACTGAGTTTTAAGTAAGTTTTTCTAAGTCACACAGCCATTAAGTGAAAGAGCTAGGATTCAAATCCAGCGTGGCTTCAGAGTCAGCACATTTAACTCCTACGCTTTATTGCTTACCACATAGAAGGCAAAGTACAGGGCTAAAAAATTATCAGCACAGTGGCCAGTCACCTTCTTTAATGGGTTAGTTAAAAACTTGGTAAATATGGGATTCTTTCAATCATAGAAAATTTTCTGTGCATATATTTTATTTGAAATATTTAGCTAAATTGGCAGGAAAAAAGTCAAATAATTGAACCTTGCTCTTTGCTTCAGCTATATAATCTTGGCCTTGAGGTTCCCTGAAAAGTTTTGAAGTTGGAATCCATGGTGCATTTTCTCACCCTCATCCTCTTTATACAGGTTGCTGCTGTATGGAACATATGCAATGCACTGAATTAAAAGGGTAATTGCTCTGGCTTAATGAGTAGGGAAAGAAATTCACATTTTAAAAATTTTGAATATTATTTATTTTTGTCTAGGTGTCTGTGAAAAATTGATCAAAATCACAAAGGGATAATATCAATGAATAGCAAGCGAGCAAGCGGCCCCACCTTCCATTCCAGGGGTTACATTCTGTAGGTCCAAAGCCAGATGAGCATACTTTTTTTTTTTTTTTTTGGTCCCCAAATAAAGTTGACTAGTGCTTTCAGAGTAAAAAAAAAAAAAAAGTAGGGGGGAGGGAGGGGGAGGTTCAACTTTTAGTTCCATCCAAGAACACAGGGATCCATAAGAACAAATCTAAACTTATTTTGCATGATCAGCTACACACATTAAAGGAAAACGGACTTCTACAATAAATACCTTGTGAGTCAGTGCTCACGGTGAGATTCTCTGGAACTGTAAAAATTTGTGGTTTTTCCACCTAAACTGGTTTTTAAGCTTCAGGGGAAAAAAATTAAAGACAGGACTATCATTTACTTATTCATTACTATATTTTAAATGAAATTAATTTTGGTGTACCCAGCCTAATGAATTAACAACAAAAAATATTGTTATGTCTAGAACAGGTGTTTCTATAATTGTGACATGTTAGTTGGAATTTTTGCAATGCACACTAGTTCTGAAATTCGTGCCTCTTTCTGAAAGATACAGAAAAAAGAAGTCGACTCTGCTGGAGTCAGCGATCTATAAGGATTCCTCAATCAAAGTTCCTCAAGGGCCTAACATATTTGCAAAGGCTGTGCTGAGAATCAGGGACAAGAACTGTCTGTATATTCTCATTTCTGTTTTGCTCAGTGTCCTAGAAACAGAGATAGCATTCTTTCTGTAATAAACCCTCTTCATAGCTCTTCTTTCCTGCCCTTATATCTTGTCCAACCATCCCTCAAGACTTAGCTAAAGATTTCTCCTCTGCAAAGCCATCCTTGATTCTCTAAGAAACATTTTTTTTCTAGGCTACCACTACAGTATTTTGCACATGCTCCCTTATAGCAATATTCTTAATGTATCACAGTGGTCTCTTTGGTAGACTGTAGGTAAGTTCACAGAAGCAGGAATCATGACTTTATCTGTTTAAGCCCAAGACTTCTTAAACATTTGGTTCTGACACATTTAGGTGCTTAGCAAATATGGTTTAATAAATGAATACATCCAATTTCTAGGTGGAAATAAGAAAATACATTACATTTAGATGTGGAGAAAAGAGACCTCCTATATTGGTGGTGGAAATGTAAATTGGTTTTTGGAGCACATAAAACGATTCCCCAAAACATGGCACTCTGGCATGCTGAGTGCTTTCAAAATTGAAAGCCTCAGAAATAAGCCTCAGAACCAAAGTCTCTCTGATCCTCTTTCTCAAAGCACCAGGAAGGACTCTCCCTGGAATTTCTTTATCTAAGAAAGCTTTTTTCCAAAAGAAACGCAATTGTCTTAAGACCACCTCCCTTGGATTCTCATCGAATAACCAGAAAAAAATCAACCACAGGAGAGACTGGAAGTTGTCACCACGCCCAAACAGACTTTTCATCTATTTTCCTGAGGGCAGCTCCAGAGACTGCCTGGGAGGCCTTATCTGCATAATAAGACAGCCTTTGCTCACAATGAAGTAACGTCCCTCACCTTCCCAACACTTCCCCCAGACTTCAAAGAAATGTGTCATTTACTTCTGCATTTCTATCTCCCTGCTTCTCTATATAGAAGGGTATATAAGCATCTGTGCTCCATTGAGTTATTGGGTAATCATTCTCCTGCAATTCCCCTGGGCAATGCACATTAAAATATATTTGTGTGCCTTTTCCTCCTGTTGATCTGCTTTGTCAGTTCATTTTCAGCAAACCTGCAGAGGGTGAAGGGGGAAGCCTTCTCTCTTCACTCCTACATGGTTCATCCATTAAGAAAAGCCATATAGAGGTTCCTGAAAATATTATTACCATTAAAAGTAATGTCAAAAACCACAATTACTTTTGCACCAACCTAATAAAAATGGAACTATCATATGATCCAGCAATCCCACTTCTGGGTATATATTCAAATGAAATAAAAATCACTCCTTCAAAGAGATACTTGCACTCCCATGTCCATAGCAGCATTATTCACAATAGCAAAGATAGGAAAACAATCTAAGTGTCCATCAATGAATAAATGAATTTAAATATATATATATATATATTTCTAATACATATTAAGATATATTCATATATCTTAAGTTTATGTAAGTGGAATAATATATCTTCATATATATTTTAAACATATATAGATTATAATATCTTAGGATACATATAATATATATGTATGTGTATGTGTGTGTATATATATGTGTGTGTGTATATATATATTTTTGAGACAAGGTCTTGCTCTGTCTCCCAGGCTGGAGTGCAGTGGCACAACCATGGTTCACTGGAACCTTAACCTCCCAGGCTCAAGCGATCCTCCCGCCTCAGCCCCCTGAGATGCTGGGACCACAAGTGTGTGCCACCATGCCCAGCTAATTTTTTTTTTTTTTTTTTTTTTTTTGTAGAAACGGGATCTCACAATGTTTCCAGGGCTTATTTTGAACTCCTGGGCTCAAGTGATCTGCCCACCTTGGGCTCCCAAAGTTCTGGAATTACAAGCGTGAGCAACCACACCCAGCCATAAAATATATTTATATACAATAGGGTATTATTCAGCCTTTAAAAAGAAGGAAATCCTGCCATTTGCAAGGTCATGGATGAACCTGGAGGATATTATGCTAAGCCAGGCACAGAAAGACAAATACTACCTGATCTCAAATGTCAATCTTAAATAATGAGATTCAGAAAATATGGTTGAGTATAGCATTTACTCCATTTCAAAGCTTGGGAATGACCATGCAGAAAATACAGACTTCAAAGAATGGGTCAGCATTCCTAAGTGAGGAAGTGAAGGTTTCACTTAAACAGACAACATCTTCTATTCACGATAAGTATGTATGTTACAATAATCTGTACAGCTTGCTACATTCCAAAGAATATTGCTTTAGCATTCCATAAGACTCCCATAAGGAGGAGTAATGGTCTCTAGGGGGTTTCTCTCTGGTGCCATTTGGCCTTTCCTAATCATTTATAGGACAGGAATGAGGAAGAGATTTAATCTATAAATGGAGAAGCAGAAGTTGCAGCAACCTATCATGTGACTCAGGCCACATATCCACATTCCTCTTGATACTGGTGGGCTGGAGGAGGTCCCCAAGTGCTGATGGGACCTCAACTCAGCAGGTGTCCAAGCTCTTGACACCATCCAGAAAAAGCATTCAAGGATGAGTCAGAAAATAGTACGAAGAGTTATTGCAAAGGGAAAAGTATACACTCAGGAAAGGGGCGCATAGGCAGACTTACTCAAGAGTCTTGTGATGGAGTCTGGGGTTTCCACCTTTGTGGGTTTCTTTAATCAAGGAGCGGAATATTTATGAAGATTCCTAGAAAAAGATGGAGATTTCTGGAAACTGTGGTGCCACTCGTTTTTATAACAAATACGAGAGTTCCCAGAACTGTCACGGTGCTCGTGGGTGTGTGATTGAGTATGTTAATGAGCATATAATGAGATCCTAGGAGAAACTCAGGCTAAATCCAGTGCCGTGTCGGGTCCAGTCGGTTTTAGCCAGCTCGGCCCACACCCTGGTTTTCAGGGTCTTATCAGCCCCTAGTTTCTGTAGCTATTTCAACAGTTTCCTTTTGCTAGTCGTGTGAAACTGCCGCCTGGAATTTTCTGTTCTCCAGCAACCATCCTGTATTATTCCTGTCTCACTCTCGAGGCTCAAAATAATGTCAAGTTCCAACAGCTTTAAATCTGAATTATTATAAGTATGAATTATTTAATTTCACACATGTGTAGAATCTAAAAAAACTCAAACTCATAGAAACTGAGTAAAAAAGGTGACTTTCTGAAGTTGAGGGGTAGGGGAAATGGAGAGATGTTGGCCAAAGGGTACAAACTTTCAGTTATAAGATGAATAAATTCTAGAGACCTAATATACAGCATAGGGATGATAGTTAATAATATATCACATATTTGAAATTTGCTAAGAGAGTAGATCTTATTCTCAACACACACAGAGTAACTATATGAGGTGATGAATACGTTAATTAGCTTGATTGTGGTCATCAATTCACATTGTATATGTATGTCAAAACATCACCTTAAACATATACAATTGTCATTTATACCTCAATGAAGCTAGAAAACAAAGAAAATACATTGCATTTGGAAAACAGAATGAATTCCCTACATTAATAACCAAACTGTGATTTCCTTACTGTTTGAGAATTCAAACCAATTTAAAACATAATCTATGATATAATAATTTCTATTATACAAGCCACACAGTATTTGAATGCAAGCAGTTCGATCTTCCAGTGTAGCGCAGCAGTTTCCACTATTACCCAGATTTCACATGCAGTGTTAGAAGCTGGTAGGATTAAGTTCAAGTTTGAGCTGACAAAAAAGCTGGAAGCATGCTGGCTCGTTACGAAATTAGCATAACACTTCCCAGTTAGAGTCTAAAAGGGTAGGAAGAAGCTTTCTCCCTTGGCTCATCCTCACCACTCATTAGTGAATGGTACAGAGGACAAAGAGGTAAGACAGGGATCAAGAATCAAGGCTCACCTGCAGGAGAGGTCTGTCTGCCTCAGAAAAAAAGTTGTTCTCCAGACCTGTACCAAGTGGTAGTCTGGGCTTGCCATGGTGCCTGCAGACTAGCACAGGGTCCCAGCTGTGGCCCATTATTGGGAAGCTGCAAACTTATCTTTGCAAGAAGACCAGGAGAAACCTGAAGCTTTCATCAGCTGCTGGCCTCTAAGTTTTAACAATGCCTCCCAGAGCCCATCTGATCCTCCCTGCAGCCTCTACTCAATCACCAGGAAAAAGGATGCCCGTAAAAGAGCCACAATTAAATATCAGAATTCCGCACACCCCTTTTTCCTTATTATCACCACATTTCTAGACTCACTGTGCTGCTTTCACTGGCAACCCAGAGATCTCGCTGTTCTTGCACTGACACACAGGATTACATAAGGGCACACTAGTCACCAAATTCATTCATGTAGAGAAAGGGCAGCCTAAATCTTACAAAGTACTTGAGCCTTGGAGCAGCAGTCAATGGCCCTGTGTTGTCAGAGATGATCTGACACTTCCCACATGCCCAGAAATAGGACAATGTCAGTGGCTCTTCTTTCTCCATTCCCGCTCTTAACTCCTGTCCTACCCTTGACAATCACTCTAGTGGATTTATTATTTAGCCTCCGAATTTACATTCAATGTGTCTATTTAGTTGTCATGTGCCATGAAAAACAGGGAGTTGTTTTGTGTGTGTTTTTAGATTGTATTCATGGTGTTATGCCATTAAGCATTTTTCTATTTTTCATGCTACCTCATATTTTGAAATCTATCCATGTTTCCCTATGTAAACCTGTTCCATTATTGTCGATGGAATATACCACATTTTTACACATTCCCCTCATGATCTTCAACTCTTACTTTCCACAAATCATCCTGCTATGAATATAACCTTTGGCAACCTGAACTCATGATGTTGGCTTGGTGCCTAGCTTTGAAATCAGCCTTAGCATAGAATCATATTCAGAGGAGCATTATCTTGACACACTGGAGTAATTGAAAAACTATTTAAATAGCTTTAAATATATTCCCTTCTTTATTTCTCCTCTAAACCTTCACTCAAATCCTGCCTTTAGAAATGGCCTTTTGTACTGGGGTGCTCTCCCTTTGTGGGGTCATTCTCTACTCCCTCTGTTGCCTCTCTGTTCCTAATAGAAAAGTCTCCATTCATATCCGTGCTAACACCATCATAACCAAGAATCAGGTAGATAGAGGAACAGAAGAGGGATAGGCTGACATTTCTCCCTAGCAGCTTCCCCTCCAACCTCAAGATTCTCAGTTAGCTTTCTCTGTCATAAATGACATTCCTGACCAGGGAATTTTGCTATTTACTTTTACCGTGCTCTCTTTTGGCCATTCTTAAACATCTTGAAAAAGTTGTTTTAAGAATGACATGACCATTGGTAATATGCATTAATTTATTCCTGGTGATTTTAAGTGAATTGGATGCATGCCCTCTTGACATATCCCATAAGATAATGCAGCCTCTTCACCAGAAGCCTAGAGCTCTCCAATCAACACTTACCTCTCTAATATCTGCGCCTTGCCTCCTGTGGCACTGCCAGGCCTCCTGACTCTCCTCTGAAAATAGAGCATAACAATTGCTACTTTCCAACATACACTATAATGAATGTATTTATCAAGTTTAATTCAGTCTGCCAGCCCTTTGCTTCTGAAAAGCAAGCATTTGTCTGCTTCTTTTGGGTTCTCTGGTGTATCCCAAACACCAGGAACAGTGTCTGCCTAGCATTAGGTACAAATATTTGCACCCAGCATACAGGAATGAATGAATATGAATGAGTGGGCAAGTGAGCAATCTGCACAGGTGCTTCCTGGCCTTTCTATGGGTCTTACCCTGGGGCACTTGGACAAAATCCACAGAAAGTTCTTCTCTGGGAACATCAGCCTCTACCTCTCTCAATCCTCCTCCAGGTGGCAGTTTAAGCAATCGCCTCAGCTCCTGCAACCGATGGGTCTCTTTCTGCCAAAGCCATTCCTCGCTGTAGGGAAGTCCTCCCGAGCGGAGTTTGTTTGCAAGCCACCTGCCTTCCGTGGGGCTATGTCTGATCCATGAGAAATATACCCCCCTGAATGCCTTTGGTGGAGGTGCAGCGTGCTTTCGTGCAGCCTCTCCTGGCTCTGCTGCTGGGCAGGTGGCTCTAGCCAGTTTTTTGACCTAACTCTTCCGGGCAGGTAACACACCGGCTCCCTCTGTCACCAGGCTGCAAGTGCCAAGTCCCTTTGGGCCTTTCTCAGGAGGCCTTAGTGGAAGGAAGCATATCCTCCTCTCTCCCACGGAAGAGGCAGTGGGAATGATACCGAACTCTAACAAATATCTCCAAAAGTATATCACCTGGCCTCCTCAGCCTCCCCTCTTTTATATCTTCAAGGTGTCACCAAAAATCTTCAGACATCTCCTTTTGCACATCTTATACATTTGCAACACGTTTATACTAAAAAATTATTTATGGTCTGTCTGAAATTCAAATTTAACTGGGCATGCTCTATTTTCTCTGGCAACATTACGTACAGCTGGCATAGTCCTCATGTTGAAATAAGGTCTCCTTGCCCCCTATTGTTTTTTTACTTTGGTTTGTGGGCCTCGGCAGAAGAAAGTCCCATTTAAATATTGTAATGACGCCAAATAAATCCATCACAGGACAACATACGAAACCAGATAGCACTTAACCCATATTATTTATCTCATCTGTATTATTCTTTGCTCCCTACTCTCACTGTATATCCATACAACCAGACTGTTCTCTTCATTTTTGTATTTTCATCTAGTAGAAAAGATTCATCAAGGTGTAATTTGTCCAAAGTTCAAACCTTTAGGAAAAGCCATATTGGAACTTTTTAGATGATGAAGGCAGGCATTGCTAATGCTGGACTTCGGAATCTCTCAGGCAATTTTTTTTCGTGAAGAATTTCTTGCCCAGATATTCAGAGCAGACTGAAGCCCTTTTTCCTTTGTGAAGTGCCCTGGCCTGGTCTGTAGGTATTCCTTGAAGAACTTTCTGTGCAGTGATCACTACTTCACAGCAAGGAATGAAACTGTGGCTTGTTAAATAAATGGGTCAGCTTCAAGTGATTGCTGGCCACTTCAATGCCTCATTAGAAAACCTCTGAAGAGACACAAAGATGAAAACACCTGTGAAAACTAGCACAACAAGCTTGTTGTCAAAATCTAGGAGAATCTGGCTTTAATGCCCCTAGTACCAGACTCATAAGCGCCATGCTGCAATGAGGGACCCATTGTGCTTTGTTTCTAAAGGAAAAAACAAAACACAAATTACACCTGAAAGAAGAGAGAAGAACTCTTTGTTTCACCTCCACTATATGTGATATTTAGCTGAAAAACACATGAACTGTACCAACCAGAAAACTAGCCAGCTAGTCCTTCACTAAGCCATGTTTTTTAGGACAACCAGATGGTAATTTTTCATTTCACTCACCCCCACCTCAAACCTATCTACATCCAGAGACTGCAACTCTTCAGAAAACACCTGAGCAAGACTTAGGCTGTGGGCTACCAGCATAGTAGTCTCCATAAATAAAGCACTATGGGTCTGGGAGGAGATAGAAATAGAAGCAGTAAAAACCAGGGCTAGAGTTTTCCATGTAGTCCATCTGTTCCATGTACTAGTGAGCCGGCAGTGGACGTAGGAGTGGATCCCATTTCTGTCTGAGAGAGCAGAAGTCGACAGGAAATGTGTGAGGCGCTGGGCTCACCAACCTACCCGCCATCTGCGACTCCGGCAGAAATTCAGCCGCTACAGAAGCGGTCAGAGCAGAGGGGCGGGGCCCCTCCCACCCGCATCCCACCTGGGGATAGGGCTTCCCAAAAGTCAGGAAGATTAAGGGAGAGGAAACACCTTCTGGAAGACTCAGGAAATTTTTTTTTTTTTTAAAAAAGAAGATACCTCTAGAAATTTTTACTCAGAGAAACCAAAGAAAAAAATAGTGTAAGTTGCTTGTATGTCAATAGATGATGAGATGAAGTAGAAAAATGTCAGTGAGAAAATAGATCTAAAAGGAATAAGATGAGAAGAAAGTAGGGTTTTTGTGAAGTAAGAAATGCTGTAAGGAAAAAAAATTCAAAAAAGCAGAATTAAGCCCTCATTTAAGGCAGAAATAGCAGAATTGGCACTGGCAGACTGAGTAAGTAATGTGGAGGACAAACTTGAGAATTCATTATAGAATAAAGAGGGAAAAGACAAAGATGGAAATGGCGAGAGAAAAAAGTGACAGATACAGAAATTCAAAACAAAGATCTAATCAAAGATCTAAATGATGTTCTGCCTGCACATATTGGTGGGCCAATTAGTCAAACTAATGGATCAAATTTAAATGGGAAGGGGATATATTGAAAGAAGATATTTGTAAGAGGCCTGAAACTTACAAGAGATTACCACCTGGAACAGCAAGGAATCCCTCCAAACCAGCAAGGGTAAATGGATAGATAGATGATGATAGATAGATAGACAGACAGACAGACAGACAGACAGAGAGATAGATAGACAGACAGACAAATAACCTAACTAGAAAATAGGCAAAGGCTCTGCAGGCTGAATTCACAAAAAGGGAAACCCAAATGTCTAATAAATACATGAAAAGATTATCAATCCCACTGGAAATCACAGAAATTCAATTCAAAGCAAGACATTCCTCTTCACCCATCCAAATGGTAAAAATAGAAAAGTTAGATTACTATGTATATACAAAGGGTGGGATTATAGATGTCTTTGTGGAGTACAATCTGGCAGTGAATAAAAGTGTGATCCCCCTTTCCTCATGCAAATCAGAATAGAAGGTGAAGAAGGAGAAAGAAGCAGGGAGAGAAGGGCCCAGGAAGGTACAAAGGCAGGCATCGGGAGAAAGATAAATGATGGCTGATCTGGAAAAAGAAAGTAAAATAATGAACAGAAATAATAGAAATAAGCCAAAACTAATTTTATTGCCTTCTTACTTTTCTATAATTTCCATTTTAAATAATCTATTTTATAATATATATTATGCATGAATTTTGTAATGTATCATACATAAATATCATTTAAGAAGTTATTTTTAAGCAGCCATTATCCCACCACCCAAGGTTTACAACTACTATTAACATTTGGTGTATTTCTTTTGGAACATTTTCTATGCATAAGCACTTTCTCAAATCATTTAATAGCCTTCAAAAAATGATTTCTTTTTTTTTTTTTTTTTTTTTTTTGAGATGGAGTGTGGCTCTGTCACCCCGGCTGGAGTGCAGTGGTGAGATCTCGGCTCACTGCAAGCTCCGCCTCCCGGGTTCAGGCCATTCTCCTGCCTCAGCCTCCCAAGTAGCTGGGACTACAGGCGCCTGCCACCTTGCCCGGCTAATTTTTTGTATTTTTAGTAGAGAAGGGGTTTCACTGAGTTAGCCAGGATGGTCTCGATTTCCTGACCTCATGATCCACCCGCCTCAGCCTCCCAAAGTGCTGGGATTACAGGCGTGAGCCACTGCGCCCAGCTGAATTCATCATTTTTAAAGATTGGGCAGCATTACCTTAATTGAACATACCATAATAATTTCTAATTTGTCCCCATTATAGAAAAGGTGTTCTATTTCCAAATTTTAAAATTACTAAATAATTCTTACATAAATTTTGTTAACATTTCCGATTACTTTTTTACCACGCATTCATAAATGTGGAATGACTGTATTTAAACACTGTTAAGATTCTTTATTGCCTATCATCCCATTGCCTTCAAGAACAATTATACAAGTTTAATACTTACTCCTACGGTGTGAAATCTCCATATAACATTGCCAATCTTATTTTTTAAAGTGTATGCCAATTTAGTAAGTGAAATATCATAACATTGTGTGAATTTGCCTTTATTTATTAGTAATAAGTTTCTAAATTTCACATTTGTAAGCCATATGTTGCTTCTGACCTTAGAAAAGTCCACCAAATCTGGGCTTAAGATTTCATCTTCTCCTGGGGCTCTGGCCATTCCACTCAGAGTCGCCACCTGCAGCCTTACCTCACCTGCCCCAGCACTCCCAATGCCCTTGGCCTGGGGCTGCTTTTTACTTTGCCATAGTAATCACCACCTTCTTATATGCTTCCTAATTTATGTATTTGTTGTTTCTCTTTGGTATTTTCTGTGCGTCCACCTCTTCCTTCCATTTTGTAATCTTCCCAAGAGCAAAGATTGATATGTTTTGCTCATTGACGTATCTCAAGATTCTATTATAGAAGAGGGTCTGGCCCATGGTTAGACTCTCAGTAAATATTTTTCTTTTATTTTGCTTTAATGAATATTACATACTTCTTAAGTATCTAGTTCTTTACTAGGTAAATGGGTTAAAAAAAAAACTGTGGCACATCCATACAATGGATTATCCAGCAAAAGAAATAAGCTATCGAGCCATGAGAAAACATGGATGAATATTAAATAGGTATTGCTAAGTGAAGAAAGGCAATCTGAAAAAGCTACACACTATAAAATTCCAACTATATGGCATTCCAGGAAAGCCAAAACTATAGGGGCAGTTCAAAGGTAAGTGGTTGCCAGAGGCTCGAAGGGGTGGAATGGAGGGATGAATAGGTGAAACACAAAGGATTTTTAGGGCACTGAAACTGCTCTGTAGGATGCTGTAAAGGTAGTTACATTACGCATTTGTCAAAACCCATGTAACCATATACCCCAAAGAGTGAACACAAAACGTGAACTATAGACTTTAGTTAATAATAATGCATCAAGATTGGTTCGTCAATAACAAACTTATCATACTAATGCAAGATGTTAATAATAGAGAAAACTGTGGGAGGAAAAGAGGGTATATGGGAATTATCTGTACTTTCTGTGCAATTTTTTTGTAAACCTAAAATTGCTCTAAAAAACAAAGTCTATTAGTGTAAAAGTGAAGTATCTACATTGCTCTTAATTCTCCTATGTTTTGCTTCTTTAACGTTTAAAATTTTAATCTACATGGAAATTGTATACAGCATGAAATGAGACATAGAATTTAATTTTAAAAAATTATTACCCAATTTCTGCAGTAGCAGCCCCCATTCTTACATTTATGTGAGATTCTACCTTTATTTTACCTTATGTCTTTAGGCATAACAATGCCATTAATATCTCTTGAGTTATTCTTGCATATATAGTATAGTTTCAAGAATTTTGGCTTTAATATTTAAATAATTGACATTGCTGTTTCCTCAAATTGCTCTTCTTTATTGCTTTTTCTTGGTTGCTTTCATCCATTTTTCTTCCAACCAAACCTAAGAAATACTTAAGTTCCAAGCTGAGATTTTGAATATCATTGTGTTCAATCAATATCGTCATATAGCCGACTACAGTATTGAATAGTCTCATTCAGAAATATAATCTCTCTAACTTATAGATCTTTTATGTTTTTGTTCGTTTGTTTTTCAGAAGCAGGGTCTGGCTCCGTCACCCAGACTGGAGTGCAGTGGTACAGTCATGGTTCATTGCAGCCTCGAACCCCTGAGCTCAGGAAATCCTCCCACCTCAGCCTCCAGAGTGGCTGGGAGTACAGGTGTGTGCTACCACACTTGGCTAATTTATGTTTTGTAGAGATGGAGCCTTGCTATGTTGCCCAAGCTGGTCTCAAGCTCCTGGCCTCAAGTGATCCTCTCACCTTGGCCCCCTAAAGTGCTGGGATTACAGGCACTTGAGCTACAGTGCTTGATCTGATTTCCGAATTTTAAGTAAAGCCTGCAGAGCAAGGTTTTTCAAGCTGTTTTTGTCGTAAGTAATTAGTTCCAACAGGTACTACACAATCACACACACACAAAAGTAAGAAAAATATATAGTAAATAAGTTTATTAATTGAAAAACATGCCAGAGCCTTTAATATTCTAATGAAAATAGCGACTTTTTGGAGAGATAGAACATGCAGCATTTTCTACTTCCTTAACTATGGAAGTGTTCTGTCCAGGACACCTATAATATTTCTCAGAAGCAGTGTTTTCTGAAACATACTTTGGGAAAATGTTCATTGGTTATTAACATGACATTGACTATTGGTTTGAAAGCCAGCTCCTACTAAGTCATTCGCTCACTTAAGAAATATGTATTAAGCCCCTCCTATATAACAGGACTCTGCCAACACAGAAGGCTTGATGAAGATCTGACAATGGTGCCTCTGACTTATAGACAGGTAAATACAAAATAACAATACTGTGTAGTAGAATGCTTAAGAACACAGAGGAGAGGAAACAAATTCAGACAAGGTTGGGGTGGTTAAGTTTTTCTAGAAGTAGCGATGTCTGATCTGACTTCCAAAGGATTATATTAACCTGGCAATCTAGTTGACAATAGCGATGGTATTCCAGGAAAAGGAGAATGTGCAAAGGGGGAACTACATGGCATATCTGAAAAACTTCAAGAATTTAGGAGTGGACCGTAGAAATAGCTTAAAACCAGCAAGTGACACAACAAAATAGAAATATTGTCCTGGCTGCCTCATAGAGAAAAGACTCACGGCATGCAAGATTGCAGCAAGGAGACCAGTTAGGAAGCTAGTGCAATATGAAAATAAACCAAGGCAATTCATATTTGAAAACAGAGAAAGGACATAAACAATTACTCTAGATCCTTCATGCTGTGTTGCTACATTTATTCACTTTTATTAGAAAACACATGCCTTGGCCAGGAAGTGGCTCATGCCTGTAATTCCAACACTTTGGGAGACTGAGGTGGGAGGATCCCTTGAGTCCAGGAGTTCACGACTAGCTTGGGCAACGTAGTGAGACCTCGTCTCTACAAAAACTAAAAATAAAAAATTAGCCAGGTGTGCTGGCACATGCCTGTAGTCCCAGCTACTGGGGGGCTTGCATGGGAAGATGGCTTGAGCTCAGGATGTTGAGGCTGCAGTGAGCTATGATCGCGCCACTGCACTCCAGCCTGGGCAACAGAGTGAGAACCTGTCGCCCAAAAAGAAAAAAGAAAAAAGAAAAGAAAAGAAAAGAAAAAACATGTCTTGGCTACCTTGGCTATATCTTCTCTCATCTGTCTATGAAAATACCTTCAAGAAACCTCCAACACAACTCTACATGCATAGCTTTTAATTTGCAGTTAATAAAAGAAATAGGATACAGAGGTCCTTTCTCTGTCTACTATAAAATTTCTGCTGTCTGTTTCAATGTCTCTTAAAACAGAACCAATGTAACAATTCACATTACAGGTAAACTAAAAATCATATTTCTTACTTTATAAAATTTTATATTTCATTTTATTAGAGTAGGATGTGACTATTGCATTTTGCTTTTGTTCATTTCCAAGAAGCTCACTATTAAGTTTGTAGCTCAAATAATATTGGCTTTCTTCACTTATTATTCTCCATTTATCATGTTTTTAATTCCTACTCTTTTATTTTCTTTATTAGATTCTATTTTATAAGATAACAAATCTCAGTCTTTCATAGAATATATCTGAGGGCAAGGAAGGGTAGAGAAAAAGATTTTCACGTATCTTATTTTTTGTGGGGGTAATAATAATATTGTTAATTATAAATATAATTCTCATTTAAGCTTCAGAGAAGTTAAGTAGCTTGCCCATATGCACATTTAAAGTGGACTGCTGGGCCAAGCTTGGAATCTATGTATTTCTGACCCTAAGTCTCATATCTCATGCTAGTCTACTCCCCAGTGCCTCCTAGGTAGGAGGACTTGAAGAGGCTGAATTGAATGTATAAGTCTTCAAATTCAAAATAAGGCCAGGTGCAGTGGCTCATGCCTATAATCCCAGCACTTTGGGAGGCCGAGGCAGGAGAATCACTTGAGCCCAGGAGTTTGAGACCAGCCCTGGGCAACATAAGGAGGCTGCATCTCTACAAAAATAAAAAAGTAAAAATTAGCAGGGCATGCTGGCACATGCCTGTGGTCCCAGCTTCTCAGGAGGCTAGAGGTAGGGAGGATCGCTTAAACACAGGAGGTTGAGGCTGCAGTGAGCCATGTGCAACTGCACTCCAGCCCTGGGCGACAGAGTAAGACCCCATCTCCGAAAAAAAAAAATTAAAATTAAACTAATGTTTAAATGGTAAAAATAAAAAATAATGGAATTAAAATTGTTTAGCCTAAGTCAGAGACAGGTGAGTGGTGATTTCAAATACTTAAAAGATACGTTAGTTGGGTTATTTCGGGTTGGTGGAGACAATTAACTATTTCTCATAAGGCTGCACGTGGGAACTGAAGAATACAGAAGAGTGTCCCAATAGCTTCAGAGGCAGACTCATAGATGCTGGGTTGACTTTTAAGACACAAGCCAGGTTGAGCCACCTGGTTTCCTTTTCCTCTCCATGGCAGGGAAACATTGCTTCTCATTCCAAAGACCGTCTGTCATGACCACAGCTCCACACAACTGCTCTGCATTTGTGCCTAAGATCTCTCCACCACAACCAAGCAATTCTCACACTGGTCTCTCCCTACAGTGAGGCTTTTAATTACATATGGCTTCTGTTCACCAATTGTCTTTGCTAAACTCCTTGAACAACAATCTGATTGACTCTTCAGCGTCTATCCAGATTCAATAATCTCTATTTGGCAGAGGTGCTTGTCAGGTCAGCTGGAAGATGAACAATCTTGGTCTTCAGGGCTGAATGAGGCTGAATGTAGCTCACCCATCAACTCCAAGTACCTTGCTTGTATACCCAGGTGCACAGCTTACCATCGCATTCCACTCTGAATACATTACAAACTTCAGAAGGAGGTCATGTTCTAGATATTTCTATAGGAGACCTGAGAGACAACTTTGTTCAGCTCAAAGACAGAAATAATAAAATGGTTTATAATGGCTCAGAGAAAGATATAAGTGAAAGAACAAGTCTACTTTTTATGATAATGAGGCCTCATAAGCCATGGTAAGACCAAGTGGTGTTCAAAAGTCTCATCTGCCCAAATCATTCAGACTAATAGAATTAATGCCTGAAGTGGTATGATTGAAGGCTACTTGGAAGACTACTTGGAAGTGGCCTTATTGGAGACTACTAATCCCACATATCTATAGTTTGGCTATATGATAATCACGAATGAAAAGAACATATATTAGGCATGATTCCAAGGCATCAAACTCATCTGCCTTTCAAATATCCACTCAAATCCTTACTCTCCCCCATATCTAGCACACATGTTTTTTTCTTATATTACCAAAGAAGCTGTGTCCACACAGGGAAGAGTTAGCCAGTCAGTGCTGTAGAATGAGTTGACCTGGAAAACAATGTAGACCCATTGTAACAGCATCATCACTGTCCTACCTTACCATTTCAGTGTGCAATATAGCACAGCTTCTACCTGCAGCATCTGCATCTTTTGGTTGGAGAACTTTCTCGGAAAATTGAGGTCCACTCTGCCCATAGGCTCAGCAGGCACAATTAGCAAACTCCGCCTCCACCACTAAGAACAGACTTCAACTAACAACTGGTAGTTACCCCAACTCCAATTCCCCTCAGGCAGCATGGCTCAAAGGCACATGTATTGCACTACTCTCAGTGTTTCTCAGTAGGAATAGGTTCCAGATGCCCACAGTGGCAATTGCTTTCCTATCTCATTTCTCTTCTCCCCTACCACTGTTTCCTAGGATCATCTCCCAGTAAACCACTTGCATGGAATCCTAGACTTAGAGCCTGCTATTGGAGGAATCCAAACTAAAACATCTGCTGTTACCTGCCCCCTCATGTTTACTCATTTGTTGCTGTTTGACTATAGAGATGATTCCCTGCACTTAGGGGAACAATTCCTAGTCCTATTTAGTGGGTTCCCAGGACTTGGGATCTTCAGCACTAAAAGCATAAAATTCTGGGCAAACTGGGATAAGATATCACCCTACTTGCACCTTGCCTGCCTGCACTTAATATTTGTAGCCCATTTCTTTCTTATGGACTCCATTTTCATCATCAAAAGCTTCTGACTAGATAGGAGGCTGACAGCTGGAGGTTGCTCTGAATCAATCAAGGACAGAAGAGTATTATTAGCAGGTGGGTTAATTAACTGGAAAAGAAGGAGAATTCTTTACCTATTGTATGCAATAGGCATGCTGAAGGAGGAGAATAAAAGGCCTGAGAGGCTGAGTGAACCATATGAATGATGTCATTGCCTTAAGATAGGAACAAGAGGTTCTCATTTAACAGTTATTAGTATTTCCTAGCTGTGCCTAGCAGAAGGACCTCACATTTTGCCAAAAGTCCTGCAATGCTTCATGGGATGTGAAGAAAATTGTGATATTCATTAAACTAAGTGTCACTGAGTGCAATGTTCAACTCTTAAGCACATCAAGGTATGTTAAAGTCTCTTGTGGCATTTGCTAGCTAACTTTCTTCCTAATTACTGAAATGGGCTCTTAAGCATATCCTTTTTAATGGAAAAATATAAGCACAACCAATACTTTCATGATATATCAAGACTCCTTAACCAGGAGCATTAGTCCAAATTTGAATGTTGAGCTATGTCTAGAATGTCCCCATGCTTCTGCAAGGAGATTTGGGTTGTAATGATGTGTGAAAACATTTTGCAAACCATAAAGTATCATGTAAGTTGATTAACTCATAATTCATCCATCACACATCATGTGACAATTAAAACTGTAAAATTTTATATTAATGTGCTGGAGTCATTATGTGAATTATGAGCAGGGACTTTTTCTTTTTCATCACTCCATCACAGCCCTAGAAACATGAATGGCACAGACTAGGTAATCAACAAATAGTTGCCTCATAAACACATAACTAAATAGATAAATAAGCGCTGCATTTTGAACCTAGATCTGCACATCAGAGCCTAGTGGTTCTGACTTTCCATTAATAGTTCTCTGATAGGAATTCTTTCTCTGTTCTAGGTTTAAAGGAAAGAGTGTTCTCTATTTCATCATAGTTCTTGATTATATGATAATCCATTACATTACAAACACCTTGAATTGTTTCTTCTTTCTTCCAAAGGTTAAGTCTATGTTAAATTACTATTTTTAGAATTTTTGTCTTTGCAAACACTTTTTTTTCCAGGGGGAGTGAATCTGCTTTCTCCTTTTTGATAAAAAAAAATTATGCATTTTTTTCATGTTTCCCTTTTTGCTTTGGCTCCCAGGGAACCCAGAAATAAATTTTATGTATATTCCATTCAAATTGAACTTCCTAGTGTTACTTCCTTGAATCTTAATTTTTAAAAAAAATTACTTTTGTTGTGAGACATTTTATATCTTTCCAGGAGACAGAATATGAATATACAGTTATCCCTTAGTATCACTGGAGGATTGATTCCAGGACCTACTGCTAATATCAAACTCCACAGATGCTTAAGTCTCTCATGTATAATGGCATGGTATTTGCATACAACCTATGCACAACCTCCTGTATACTTTAAATCATCTCTAAATTATTTGTAATGCCTAATACAGTGTAAATGTTATGTAAATAGTTGCTATACTATATTGTTTAGGGAATAACAATAAAAAATTTCATACATGTTCAGGACAGACATGACCAGCCATCTTGTAAAAATGTTTTCAATCCATGATTAGTTGAATCCACAGACGTGGAACCTCCAGATACAGCAGGTTGACTGTACATATATTTGGTGCCACAATTTTATAAATTTTAAAGTAGGCATCTAATTTATAAAGGCATTGCCCTAATACTGTGATATTAAGTATCACTCTTACTTCACTTCACTTTAAAAAGTAATCACATGGTGTCTACAGAGCATAATTCTTTAAGACACATGAAATCAACCAAACTTGCACACTGCAACCAAATTGCAAAACAGTACTTTCGACTTACTTAGGCAATGAGAAAGTTGTTTGGAATATGTTATTCAGGGTCCAGACAACATCGGTATTGTTCCTGCCTAACTCCCCTGACTACTCAATAGTTTGGATTGTGTTTTCTTTTTCTTTCTTTCTCTTTCTTTCTTTCTTTTTCTTTCTTTCTTTCTTTCTTTCTTTCTTTCTTTCTTTCTTTCTTTCCTTTCTTTCTTCCTTTCTTCTCTTCTTCCTTTCTTTCTTCCTTTCTTTTTCTTTCTTTCTTTTTCTTTCTTTTTTCTTTCTTTTTCTTTTCTTTCTTTTTCTTTCCTTTCTTTTTCTTTCTTCCCTCTTTCTTTTTCTTTCTTTCTTTTCTCTCTTTCCTTTCTCCCTTCCTTCCTTTCTTCCTTCTTTTTTTTTTCAGAGTCTCACTCTGTCACCCAGACTAGAGTGCAGTGGTGCAATCTCTGCTCACTTCAACTTCTGTCTCTTGGGTTCAAGCGATTCTCCTGCCTCAGCCTCCCAAGTAGCTGAGACTTACAGGTGCCTGCCACAACGCTCAGCTAATTTTTTTGTATTTTTAGTAGAGACGGGTTTCACCATGTTGGCCAGGCTGGTGTCGAACTCCTGACCTCAGGTGATCCACCCGCCTTAGCCTCCCAAAGTGCTAGGATTACAGGTGTGAGCCACCATCTGTGGCTGGATTGTGTTTTCTCTGCTGATTTAGGGGCTAGAGCTCAAAGCCCCACATGGCCAAGAAAGCAGCCAGATCTGCAATGCACTATTGTTTATAATCAATAGTTGGGCCTCTTGAATAATCATTTCAATATTGACAGTGGAGCAACGTGACTAAGAACGTAGGGTTTCACTTTTGAACAATCCAGGCTCTGCTACTTATAGAGTGCCCCTGGGCAAGTCACTTCAGTGTTGTTCACAGTGCAAGCCTTCTTGGAAGGGTGTTGTCACCCCCCTCAGCCTTTCCTGGACAAAAACACCTAACATTACTGATCATTTTCTCCAGAAATGTTTCCCAGTCCCTCTAAACTGGGTGTGCTGTCCCTGGTCTGTGCTCCCCTATCTATCTTTTGTGCTTCTCATACCGAGTTAATTGTCTTCACTTGCCTCTCTACTACTGGACTGCAAGCCTTGGAAGTGCAGGGACTCATTCACCATTGTTTCTCCAACAGGTGGTATAGAACCTGGTACATGGTAGGTCCCTGATAAATCCCAGATAAAAGAATAGATGAATGAGTGAATGAGGGACCTTAGAAGTCTTCTGATGTAGTCTATTTTCCAGAAGTATCTTAAGTTTGGGTTACAGGAGGGTCATTAGCAGCAGGTCCCTAACCCATGACTACTTCAACATTTCAAATTCCTACCCAAGCACAAGAGGGCTCTCCAATAACTGAGTCAGTGTAACTCATGTGCAAGAAATGGGATCCATTTGAGCCAGGCCATGGCCTTGGCCTTTCTCTTAAGTGTTGACCTCTCCAAGGCCAATTCTCCAAATTGGTCAAACTTACTCTGGTAATATGATCCCAGTGATAGTCACAAATATACCAGCACCAGAGTTAGAACCACCTCTATATCTGTCCTTCCTTCAGTAAGAAAAGAGAAGAGAATTGTCCACGCAATTCTCAGAAATGCCAACCAAAAGGGTATAGCTGTCGGTTCTCATCAGTCAGGGTTGGGAACCCCAGGGCCTGGACATGAGTTTGTGGGGACAGGTTAACCTGCCTGCCCTTGGGATTTCTCTTCCTGGATAGAGTCTATGGCCATCCCCTTGGTCATTCAGCCACATCCCTCAACCCCACCTCAGTGCTGGGGCGGGTTGGAGTCTCACTCCCAGCACTTCTCTGAGGAGCTCTGTGACCCTCACTGGATGTGGCTCTAAGCTCCAGCCACAACCACCACCCTAGCTGCAGGCCCACAGGTGACCAGATGACCGGAAAGCATGTGTGGTGCCAAGCAGGTGTCTGCCCTCCCCAGCAGCTAGAGGATAGGGAGGTAAAAAGTTCTAGCAAGCTGAGCAGACACAATGTTCCAACAGGTTTATAACTGATGAAACAGGATCAGGGGAGGCTGTGGGACCCTTGCTCAGACCAAAAGCTCCTGAAGAGCCACAGGGGTGGGCTCAGATATGGAAAAAAAGAGCAGATTTGGATCAATTTAAAACATATGGGCCTGTCTGAGGGTGTGGCGGTGGGGGAGGGCAGCCCATACTACCATACTTGAATGTACAGACCTGCCCAAGATGGCTGTATCTGAAACTTTACTATTAAGATCAATCACTTTTTACCATGGGTAACCAGGGGTAAAGAATAGTCTAAAATATTGTCTTTTATCCACCTTCCTCCTGGGGAGTAGAGTGGGCATTTCCTCTCCTCTGAGGAAACAGTTGCAGGGAGGTCCCAAGTTAACAAGTATTTCCTCCCAACAAGTCCAGCTGTGGCTCTTGCTCCAAGGGGCTGTTGCAGAGTGGAGCAGAGTAGAATTGGAGTGGGGGCAAGCAAACCCTTAGTCATAGCTATGATGCCAGGCCCTCGGAGAAACTTTTTGATTTGACGTATGTAACCACCCAGTACATGGGTAAAGAACTAACATTCAAGGAAACAAGTGAATTGCCAAATGAAGTCGATGGATGGTAAAACCCGGATTTGAACCTAAGCCCATTTGATTGTGCCTTTGTCAGAAGATAGAACTGACCCCAAGGTTATGCTCACATCCTCAACCCAGTGGCAGCCAGCAACAGCTCAGCATGCGCTCTGGAAGCCCTGGCCCTCAGTCTCACGCACTTGGCACTATAGCCTAGGCCGCTTCCTCTTAGAAAAAAAAAAAAAGAAAAGCCACAGAGGCACAGGTATGTCTGATGAAAAACAAAGATTAATTAAGGAATGGCTTCTACATTATGAAAAGATTCACTACAGGGTTCCTTTAAATAACCAGCTCCCCTAGTGCTTTTATTATGTAGGTCGCTTTACAAAAAAAAAGTAAATGTACAAAAAAACTTTTCAAGATGATATTTGCTACATAAAGCAAAGCACACATTAACATGCCTCTGAACCATTATCTGGGCTGCAGAAACAGACTGCAAGGCTGGTCAGCTGGGCAGAACCTCCATGGGACCAGGGAGCACAGGTCACCTACATAGCCGGCACTGGCCACCAAGGATTTCAAAGAGCAGGGTGAGAACAGGAGACCCAGGCTAACAGGAAGTCAGTGATAGGAATGCTACAAAGAAGGGGGCTCCTGGCAAGTTACTTTTTCGGGGCTGTGATTTTCTTTCCTGCCAAGAAGGAGGTATGGGCCCCTCTCTCTTTCCCAAGTCAGTGGGCACACGTTTCCCTGGCCCCATTACCTGACTCCCTGAGCCGGCACCCTAGGAAGGGAGCTGGCTCACACTGGCCCAAACTCCTTCATTCTGCAAAATGCAACTGCCTTCTTCCCGGGCTTTTTCTCACTGATCCTTTTCATCAGCTTTTCCTGGAAGAGGTCTCCTCCCTGGTCCTCCAGTGTGACTGACACCCAGACTGAACTAAGAGTCAATCCTCTATGGCCCCTGGATTCATATAGCTACATCATTGCCTTATATAGATGGTATTATGTGTATTATAATTGTGATTTTAGCTAATGATAATTTTCACATATTTAATAATTTAATGGTATAACATTATAATTATATATATGTGTATTTGTCTCCCAGCCTAGGCTATGCTTCTTCAGTGCAGGGATGACATCTGATTCACCTCTGTACCTCCACTGGCTAGGACAATACCTGACAATAAATGGGGTTGAAGTATTCTGCTTTCATAGAAAAGAACAAGAATATAATTTTTCAAGATTAGGTTATTAATTGTTGAGGCCTAATGTGTAACATCAAAAGTACAGTTTTAACATGACAGTAAGATTGTCTAACTGTTATATTTCAAATCCGGTCTGCCCCACTCCCCCAAAACGCCTTGGTCAAATTATTTCATAATTAAAATAACTAAAAGAAAACTTTCCTATTTCTTTCTATAATGTTATGCTGTTAAAGAAGGCATGTCAAAATCCCACATCACCTTTGATAGAATTCCAGAAGATAACCCTTTGCGATTCCAACCCACATTCCCTTCCATTTTCAATTAAAGAAAGAAAAAAAAAACTGAGGTGAAAAGTTAAATTAGAATAATATTGCTGTGTATACAGTTTTTCCCCCATTTCCAGTGTTTTTCTCCTCAATGCGTGCAATTGGTAATTAAATATATTTCTGCTGGTCTTGTGGCCATATGCCTACAATATGTAAAAATACATTTGCGCTTTTTTCCCTCCATTCCTTTTGTTCCCAGTGCTGACTGCTGTCAGAGTGAGCCGTCCAGATTCCCGTGTGCTGGTATCCATGGGCTCTGTCTTGCCAAGCTGCCAGTCTGGAGCGTCACACCTTACTGCCTTTAAAGATTGCCCTGCAGAGATAGAGGGAAATGGCAATTTTTACATGATGCAGTCTGGCGACCCAAGAGATTTGAAGTCAGAACTGGTGCCAAGATTTACCCAGGAGAGCAAGCAGAGGCAGAAACAGAGAACTTGGGCCAAAAGGAAAAAAATAAAAAGAAGAAAGAAGGGAAAGACTGGGGGATGGGAAACCACAGTCAACTGTCTCTGGGGGTTCTCTCAAAAGGCCTGGACCAAAGGCCACAGAGAGGGTGAAGGCCGTGTTTTTAGGAGTATATGGCTCCTAAAGAAAGTCAAAGGGAAGAGGTCGGGTTTTTTTGCATGTCCTAAATTGTAGTAGATTGCAGAATGTAAATGAGACAATTATTACACCAGCGCTCATCAAGCTGGGCTGGAAAGACTTCAATAGCCTGATGAATATGCATGCAAATTTGTTAATTAAGTTAATTATTCTGCTGAAAATTCATTTGTCTTCCAAGGACATTTTCCCAATGATTTTAACATGCTAGCGCCATTAGTCATGCTCCATGCTATTTAACATTACTTTTTGTCCACTTTCTTTCCCCCAACCCTATTTTAAAAAATATTTTAAAGTTTTAAAAAACAGTTGATTGGTTCTTTTAATTGACCCCTGCAATGTTGGAAGATGCCTAGAGCCGGCTTGGTAGGCATTCTCAGAAGCGCGTTTCAATGAAATATTTCCTTGATATATAAAATGTTTGCAAAATGTCACATTGGTGGGGAGGAGAAGAGCTCTATCTGGGATCATTAAAGCTAGGATTTGAATTGTTCTCCATAGTGACTGTAAGAGGTAATCTGTCCCTGCTGTGGGCGATTTCCCAAGCTCTGAGTGTTATCTGATGCACGGATTTACCTTGCTGTGGGAAGTGTGGTGATTCCAAGCCTCCTCTCTTCTTGGGCTGCAAGGCGAAACCCAGAGAACATGTGTGTTCAAAGAGGAACCAGAACTCTGGTACTTTTCTGTCACCCATGAGGGCCCAAACCTGTTACAATGGCAACAGAGGGGAATAGTATGTTTAAAATCACATCCAAATGACAAATTGAGATATTTGAAAGAAACAGTCGAGTTTAATTTTGATAGCCAAGAGTAGCCAACAAATAGTATGATGGTATTTTTTAAAACTGCATGTTATTTTGCTGGGTAAAGCAGGTTTATTATATAACAGGCCTTCATCGTGGCCTCGAAATTGGAATCTTTAGAGGTCTGGGTGAGTTGTATTCAACCAGATTCTTGATCTTAAGGCACATAGACACACATGAAGCAGCCTATTTCAACCTCCCAACATTCTACGTAGAGAGATTATAGCGTCCCATCCCAACTCAGAAATCAGAACGTGCGGTCTGACAAATCTAGGTGTTCTTAGTGGGACAGTAAGGTAGACATTTAAATCAAGACTATTCCAGGAAATCAGAGAAATATGGCTGCCTGCACACATAAGGCAATCATCATTAGAAGGAGAAAGATTAATCTACACATCACTTGAGGGGACAGCCATATGCATGCTTAAAGCTTGTTTTAAGATTATTTATTTTCTTTGGAATGAAGGTAAATTCAGATTCTCTATCCCTTAGTCACAAAAGAAACTCTCCAATATGATCTCAGCTTACAACCTGTATCTTCACAGTCAGGGTTGATCAGACTCCCTGCGAGCCAGGCTAATGAAAAAGGAAGAAAATAATGAAGAAAACTAAACTTAATTGAAAGAGTTAAAAAGAAATTAATTGGTATGCCATCTCTTTTGAGCCATTCGTATCTATTTTATACAGTATGAATGGCACTACGTGTCACATAGATCGTAAACCAATTAAGATGATATTTTAAACCCTGTAATTTCTATAATTCCATCTGTTTTAGAAGGTTTAATTAGCAAAGTTACAAAAGCCAAATATATTTGAATATTTTGAAAGCAGGCCGAATGGCAAAAAAATGAAAAGTTCCCATAAACATTTAACTACACAACCATGTACATTTCATGAAAATATACTTCAGATGTACTTTAAAATGATACATGTGGGTTTTTCTAAATTTTACCAACAATAAACCGCATCCGAGGGAAATTATGATCATATGTTGTTAGGCTGTGTAAATTAATTCAGTTTTGTTGTTGTTTTTCATCATACTTAGAGATTTCTTCTGATGAAAACCCCTTACCTGTGATTTAATTGTGGGCCCAAAGTAGTAAGAGCTCCATAAAACTAAACACTTATTGAATTCTTTCATTTAAATGTCCTTTCCATAGGCTTAAAAGAGAGGTTTGCCATTTTGCAAGGAAAAGGAAATATTTTTCAGATGTATCCAAAATATTTTCAGTCTACCAGTAACCTATTTTTGAGAAATAAGAGTACATGGAAGTGTGTTATCTTTAAAATGTAAACACAAAATCTAAAGGTACAAATTTGATAATTTAGCCCCTTTCTTCACTATTGAAGGAAAATATTATTTTGAATTTTTAAAATTAGGCCAAACATGAGATCCTGCCATGTCCTTTGGTTTGGTGCTGTGCTGAGCAGCTGTGCACTATCCAGGGCCTCATATGGCCCAGTCACCAATGACTGACAGTACGATAGTGATAATGTGACGCCCAATATTCTCTCTTCTCAAAATGCCTGCCGCACCGCGATTGTGACGCAGTGGGTGTCCAGTCCTGTCTTTCCTTCCTACTGGATTTCTGACATATAACAAGGTGTAATTAATTTTTTTATATGCTTGTCTTTTTCATTACCAGAAACACAGTGAGCATAATTTATCATTAATTCTATTCATATTCTGTACTACTTGGATAAACTACTTTTGTTTCCATTTGCATTAAATACTGTCAAGTGATAAAAAAAAATGGCTAATAAAGGAAAAGGGGAATCGAACCTATGTTCAGCATATATATCACTCTAGAAAACTGACGGATCTACTATACTGGCACGTGTTTTATGTGCGTCACCTCTTTTAACCCTTGCATCAACCATCCAAGAAAGGTCTAATTATCCCCATTTGACAAGTGAAGAAAGCAAAACTCAGAAAGATGAAGACCCTTGCTTAAGTAATGACAAGAAAGAAATCAAAAAAATTCCAATAAGCAAGTAGCAGGAGCAAGTTTGAGAGCCAGAAAACACATCTAGATTATTTATTTTACTCCAAAGCTTTTAAGTATTTTAATGTACCTGGCTACTACTACCACTTTTTAAAAACTCACCTTGGAAGGCCATGATATAGCCAACACTTAATATTTTTAGTATATATCAGCATCTACGTTACTTACAAAACACTTCCTGGATTTCCCATCTTTTATTTCATTTTATTATATTGTATTAACTTTTACTCTCTTATGGAGTTCCTATCTTTGAAAAGGACTATCCTTTCTACTTTGGAGCAATTTGAATTAAAAAAAAAAAGATAGTGAATTATCCCAAGAAGAAGTTTAAATAGATTTTGTTTGCAAATCGTTCAGCAGTTGCAGGGGGCATCTGCTCGTTTGCCTCACCTGCCCTTCTCATTCTTTCCATCTGCACGTCCTCCCCACCTGCCATGGGCTGTCACCAGAAGCAGGGGTACTGGGAGTCCTGAAGAGAGGAACTGAGGAAAGAGGTGCTTTCTCCTTCTAAATGATGAGAAATAAGGGTCCATGGAACTCCTGGGGGCCATCTTTGTTGCTGCGATATATGAGATCTGTCCTGATAAAACCAACACGACAGGAACACGTTTTGTAACGTAGGGAGAAAGACAGACAAAGAGAGATACAGGGTCAGAAACTTGATGTCAGCACAAGTGGTCTGAAACTTCTTAGTGACAGGAGCCTAAAAGTCTCCCCCTCCACCCCCAAACCCCCTCCCCACTTAAGGTACTTACAGTTGGCTAATTATGCTAACTAATATAGGCATCATGCAAAAATCAGAAGAAATATACACACTAATTTATATTTCTTAATTCTACAGTATTTTTTATTCAAATTTCCTAGAGGCAAAAGTGGATCAATATATCAAAAGATCCATATGCATTGATTTTTAAAAGGTTACTCCACTAACCCATCTTTAATTATCTATGTCATTTGTAATCATTTATCTCTATTTTCCAAACATTTCAATAATCATAATGAATCACCCATCCACTATGAAAATGTATCAATTTGTAATTACATGCCAGAGTCAAGTTCTTATACAAAACAGATTGGCCATGAGACAATACTGAGTCTTTTATAGTCCATACCTGAACATGTAACATTTTGAGTATGTCATTTGGAAATAATCTTTGTGAACTACGAGCTAAATACTTCTGACCGAACAATCCACTCTGCACCTTGAACTTCTTAATTTGCCTAGGCAGAATTTGCCAATGAATTTAACAAAAATTGATGTTACGCTCATCTTTCTAAAGTTCTAAACAGGATCTAAAACTTTATTACACCCTAAGGAGTTAATGTTCCTCTATTTTGTCAGAAATATTTGAACCATATTTTATAATACTTAAAGAATCTAACAATATATCATCAGAGGACTGGATTAGCAAGCAGTAGAAACAGTATAGGGTCTTAGAGACTGAAGTCAGATTACGGATTATACAGGTTCAAATTCTGAACCTATGCTCTATCACTTACTAGCATTTGGTGTGACTTTACTTCAGCTGTCTCTACCTCAGTTTTTTCATGTCCCAACTTGGGATAATAATAGTTTCCACCTCATAAAGTTGTTGTGATTACAAAATGAGTTAATAATTGTAAAGTGTTTGAAACAGTGCCTGGCACATAAGCAGTGGAATAGGCATACTAATGGAATAGACTACTTTATGGTACTCCTTCTACCTTATAGCAAGACTAAGCAAAAAGAACAAATCTGAAGGCATCACACTACCTGATTTCAAACTATACTATAAGGCCATAGTCACCAAAACAGCATAGTACTGCTATAAAAAGTGGGGAAAGGACACCCTTTCAACAAATGGTGCTGGGATAATTGGCTAACCACATGTAGGAGAATGAAACTGGATCCTTATCTCTCACGTTACACAAAAATCAACTCAAGATGGAGTAAGGACTTAAGTCTAAGGCTTGAAGAAAAATTCTACAAGATAACATCGGAAAAACTCTTCTAGACATTGGCTTAGGTAAGGACTTAAATCTAAGGCTTGAATAAAAATTCTAGAAGATAACATCGGAAAAACTCTTCTAGACATTCGCTTAGGTAAGGATTTCATGATCAAGAACCCAAAAGCTGGATGAGATTGGAGACTATCATTCTAAGTGAAGTAACTCAGGAATGGAAAACCAAGCATTGTATGTTCTTACTGACATGTGGGAGCTAAGCTATGAGAACGCAAAGTCATAAGAATGATACAATGGACTTTGGGACTTGGCGGGAAGAGTGCGGGGATGAGGGATAATAAAAGACTACAAATAGGGTGCAGGGTATACTGCTTGGGTAATGGGTGCACCAAAATTTCACAAATCACCACTAAATAACTTACTCACGTAACCAAATACCACCTGTACTCCAATAACCTATGGAAAAATAAAAAAAAGAATATTCAGCAGTTAGCTAGCTAGTGCAATCAATGCTAACAGTATATAAAATCCTGGCTAACATTCCTATTTCTCAGTAGGTATGTATTTGCAAGAATTATCCAAATAGCTGGCTCCAATCTAAATCTGTTTGAATGTAGTATTTTTCACATACCAGGTCTACTTTTTAAAAAGTTCTAATCTATTTTCTTATCATCTTAAAAATGTATTGTGGAAGATGGCTGACTAGAGGCATTTCATACTCACCTCCTCAATGAAGAAGAACTGAAATAGTGAGTAATCACCTTTCAAATAGATCATGCAAGAAAGAACACTGGAATTCCACAGAAAAGTGACAGGAAATACCTAAAGCAAGGAAGGAGAAGGAACCAGGCAGCCTGCTCAGATGGGGTAAGCTGGGAGCTGAGAAAGACTCCCCAGTCTGGGAAAGGGAAAAGTGAGAGACCCTCAGCAGTTCACATCCCCAACAGTTCTAGCCTGCAGTTCTAGCCATGGGAGATCCTCTCAACACTCACGGGGCCTGAAGCTAATAACACAGAGAGGAGCTGGGAGGTTCCCAACCCACCAGCCTAGGCTGCTGGCCACTGAAGGCAGTACCACCCTTCCCAGTGGCAGGGGCAGTGGCACAGCTGCTGTTGCCCCACAACCCAAGCATTCTGCCTGACTGTGAGCGCAGATGCCAGCCATGGCCCTGTCCCTGCCACCCAAGGCTGGCACCTGCACTCTCCATCAGGAGGCCTGAGGATAAACGCACCCAGCCAGGCTTTGCCCTCACTCCATGCCAAAGCACAGAGTCTGGCCACGGAGTCTACCTCTGTTGGTAACTCAACACTCCTGAGTGTTGGGCGTAGCACAATCAGGCTAGCACACTCTGCCCCGCCCAGTCTACCTCTGTTGGTACCTGAAGATTCCTGAGATTGGGCCTAGCACCCGGGTGCTATCACCATAGCTGGCACCTACCTGTACTTGCCATCTGTGGGCCTGGTGACTTATGTACCCAGCCCATTACAGCCATGGCCAACAGCAGCATGCATTACTCAGGACTCAGAGGGCTGCCCCACCACTACCACTGACATCACCCATGCCACACCTGCTGTCCAGGGGCCCAAGAATAGACCCACTGCTGGAACTATCGGCATCTGAGTAAGCCACCTGTAGGTCAAAGAAGTAATCTTCCTAGATCCAGTAACATATGGGCATATGCTTTCCTGGGTCCCAAGGACAGACATGCTCAGCCCACTGCTGCCACCAATGGGGCCAGAAGACTGACCTACCTGGCATCTCAGTCCCCAGAAAAACTTCACCACAGCTTTCACTAATAACAGCATTTTAAGCCATCAAAGAAATCACAGACACCACCAGTGCTGTTCATAGCTGAAGAAATCATACAGAGACTACACTGCTGCACAAAACCAGAATAAGAGCAAAAGTGTCCTACCCAACTGTATTAGTTTGTTTTCATGCTGCTGATAAAGCCATACCTGAAACTGGGAACAAAAAGAGGTTTAATTGGGCTTACAGTTCCACATGGCTGAGGAGGCTGCAGAATCATGGCAGGAGGCAAAAGGCACTTCTTACATGGTGGCGATAAGAGAAAAATGAGGAAGCAAAAGCAGAAACCCCTGAAAAACCCATCAGATCTCATGAGACTTATTCACTATCATGAGAATAGCACAGAAAAAACCAGCCCCCATGATTCAATTACCTCCTCCTGGGTCCTTCCCACAACAAGTGGGAATTCTGGGGGATACAATTCAAGTTGAGACTTGGGTGGGGACGTGGCCAAACCATATAATTCCTCCCCCGGTCCCTCCAAATCTCATGTCCTCACATTTCAAAACTAATAATGCCTTCCCAACAGTCCCCCAAAGTCTTAACTAATTTCAGCATTAATTCAAAAGTCCACAGTCTATAGTCTCATCTGAGACACAGCAAGACCCTTCTGCCTATGAGCCTGTAAAATCAAAAGCAAACTAGATACTTCCTAGATACAATGGGGGTACAGGTATTGGGTAAATACAGCCATTCCAAATGGGAGAAACTGGCTAAAACAAAGGGGTTACAGGGCCCATGCAAGTCCAAAACCCAGCGGGGTAGTCAAACTTTAAAGCTCCAAAATGTTCTCCTTTGACTCCAGGTCTCAAATCCACATCACGCTGATGCAAGAGGTGGGTTCCCATGGTGTTGGGCAGCTCTGCCCCTGTGGCTTTGCAGGGTACAGCCTTCTTTCTGGCTGCTTTCATGGACTGGCATTGAGTGTCTGCAGCTTTTCCAGGATCACAGTGCAAGCTGTCAGTGGATCTACCATTCTGGGGTCTGGAAGATGGGGGCCCTCTTCTCATAGCTCCACTAGGCAGTGCCCCAGTAGGGACTCTGTGTGGGGGCTCTGACCCCACATTACCCTTCCGCACTGCTTTAGCAGAGGTTCTCCATGAGGGCCCCGCCCCTGCAGCAAACTTTTGCCTGGACATCCAGGTGTTTCCATACATCTTCTGAAATCTAGGCAGAGGTTCCCAAACCTCAATTCTTGACTTCTGTGCACCGGCAGGCTCAATACTATGTGGAAGCTGCCAAGGGCTGGGGCTTCCACCCTCTGAAGCCACATCCCAAGCTGTACATTGGCCCCTTTCAGCCATGGCTGGAGCAACTGGGACACAGGGCACCAAGTCTCTAGGCTGCACACAGCACAGGGATCCTGGGCCTGGCCCACAAAAACCACTTTTTCCTACTGGGCCTCTGGGCCTCTGATGGGAGGGGCTGTCATGGTCTCTGACATGGCCTGCAGACATATCCCCCGTGGTCTTGGGGATTAACATTAGATTCCTTTCTATTTATACAAATTTCTGCAGCTGCCTTGATTTCTCCCCAGAAAATGGATTTTTCTTTTCTACCACATGTCAGGCTGCAAAGTTTCTGAACTTTTATGCTCTGCTTCTCTTATAAAACTAAATGCCTTTAACAGTACCCAAGTCACCTCTTGAATGCTTTGCTGCTTAGAAGTTTCTTCTGCCAGCTGCCAGATACCCTAAATCATCTCTCTCATGTTCAAAGTTCCATAAATCTCTAGGGCTGGGCAAAATGTCGCCAGTCTCTTTGCTAAAGCGTAACAAGAGTCACCTTTACTCCAATTTCCAACAAGTTTCTCATCTCCATCTGAGACCACCTCAGCCCGAACCTTAATGTCCATGTCACTATCAGCATTATGGGCAAAGCCATTCAACAAGTCTCTAGTAAGTTCCAAACTTTCCCACATTTTCTTGTCTTCTTCTGAGCCCTCCTAACTGTTCCAACCTCTGCCTGTTACCCCGTTCCAAAGTTGCTTCCACATTTTTGGATATCTTTCAGCAATGTCCCAATCTACTGGTACCAATTTACTGTTTTAGTTCATTTCCATGCTGCTGATAAAGACATCCTGAAACTGGGAACAAAAAGAGGTTGGATTGGACTTACAGTTCCACATGGCTGGGGAGGATGCAGAATCATGTCAGGAGGTGAAAGGCACTTCTTACATGGCGGTGGCAAGAGAAAAATAAGGAAGAAGCAACAGCAGAAACCCCTGATAAACCCATCAAATCTCATGAGACTTATTCACAATCACAAGAATAGCATGGGAAAGACCAGCCCCCAGGATTCATTTACCTCCTCCTGGGTCCTTCCCACAACACATGGGAATTCTGGGAGATATAATTCAAGTTGAGATTTGGGTGGGGATACAGCCAAACCATATCACCAACCAACACCATAGATACATCTTCAGGAAGTAGTTCTCCCTTATGTAAGAAAATTCCAAAAATTGGAAGAAGTGACTATCATACCAGATGTACAGATATCAATGTAAGGACACAGGAAACATGAAAAAGCAAGGAAATATGACACCTCCAAAGGAAAAAAATAATTCTCCAGCAACAGCCAATTCACAAAGTCCTGGAAAATGAATTCAAATTATTGATTCTTAAGAAGCTCAGTGAGATAAATAAAAATTCTGAAAAACAATGCAAAGAAATCAGAAATAACTGTTCAAATTATGAATGAAAAATCTACCAAAGAGACAGATGCCATAAAAAACAACCAAACAGAAATTCTAGAACTGAAGAATTTATTGAATGAAATACAAAACACATTTGAGATCTTCAACAATTGACTAGATCAAGAAGAAAGAATCTCAGAACTTCAAGACAGATATTTTGAAAAAATAAAGAAAATGAATAAAAAAGAATAAGCAATGCCTCCATGACATATGAGACACCACAAAGTGACCAAATTTTTTAATCACTCAGGTCCTGGAAGGTAAAGAGAGAATGAAAGGATTAGAAAATCTATTTAATGAAATGATAGATGAAAGCATTCCAAATCCAGAAGAGATTTAGACTTCCAGATACAGGAGGCGCTGAGATTCCCAAATGGATACAATGCAAAAAGATCTTCTCCATGGCACATTTTAGTCAAACTGTCTGAAGTCAAACACAAAAACAGAATTCTAAATATAGCAAAAGATAAGCATTAAGTCACCTATAGAGGAACCCCCATCAAACTAACAGTGCATTTCTCAGCAGAAACCTTACAGGTCAGGAGAGAATGAGATGATATACTCAAAGTGCTGAAAGGAAAAAAATAACTACCAGCCAAGGATACCACATCTAGCAAAATTATCCTTCATAAATGGAGAAGAAATAAATTTCTTTGCAGAGAAGCAGAAGCTAAGAGAATGCATCATCACTAGACCAGCCCCACAAGAAAAGTTCAAGGAAGTCCCATATCTGGATGCAAACAGTTGACACTTATCATATCATGAAAATACACAGGCCAGTCATGTGACTCATGCCTGTAGTTCCAGCACTTTGGGAGGCCAAGGTGGGCAGATCACTTGAGATCAGGAGTATGAGACCAGCCTGGCCAACATGGTGAAACCCCATCTCTACTAAAAATACAAAAAATTAGCTGGGTGTGGTGATGCACACCTGTAATCCCAGCTACTCAGGAGCCTGAGGAGGGAGAATCGCTGAAACCCTGGAGGCGGAGGTTGCAGTGAGCCAGTATCGTGCCACTGTACTCCAGTCTGGGCAACAGAGCGAGACTTCGTCTCAAAAAAAAAAAAAAAAAATACACAAAAATATAAAACTCACTGGTAAGCCAAATGTTGACACAAATGAGGAAAAGAAAGAACTCATATGGTATACAAACCACCAAACCACAATAACAATAAAAGTAAAAGAAAGAAACAAAGAATATACAAAACAACCAGTAAACAATTAAAAATATGAGAAGAACAAAACCTTACATATCAATAATCACTTTGAATGTAAATAGATTAAATTATCCACTTAGACTGGCTGAATGGGTAAAAGAAAAACATAATTTAATTATATGTTGCCTACAAGAAATGCACTTTGCCTGTAAAGACAAAAATATACACATACATGGAAATTAAATAATAAGCTACTGAACAGCAATTGAGTAAATGAAGACATTAAGATGGAAATTTTAAAGTTTATTGAAACAAATAAAAATGGAAACACAACAAACCAAAACCTGTGGGATACAGAAAATGCCATGCTAAGAGGGAAGTTTATAGCAATAAATGCCTACATCTAAAAAGTAAAAGGATTACAAAGTAACAATTCAACAATGCACCTCAAGGAAATAGAAAAGCAAGAACAAACCAAAACCAAAATTAGCAGAAGAAAAAAATAATAATAAAGATCAGAGCAGATGATCAATGAAACAAAAATTTTGGTTATTGGAAGAGTTAAACAAAATTGATAAACTGCTAGTTAGACTAATCCAGAAAAGACCCAAATAAACATACAAAAGGAGACATTACAACTGATACCACAGAAATATAAAAGATCATTAAAGACTATTATAAACAAATATAGGCTGACAAACTGGAAAACCTAGAGGAAATATATAAACCCCAGGAAATACACAACCTACTATGACGGAGTCAGGAAAAAATAGAAAACCAGAACAGACCAATAATGAGCAAGACTCAATCAGTAATAAAAAGTCTCCCAACAAAGAAAAGCCCAAGACTTGATGGATTCATAGTTGAATTCAACCAAATGTTTGAAAAGCTAATACCAATCCTCCTGAAACTATTCAAAAAAAAAAATTGAAAGGAAGGAATTCTCCCAAACTCATTCTATGAGGTCAGCATCACCCTGAGACCAAAATCAGACAAGGACATGACAAAAAAAGAAAACACGGATCAATATCCCTGATGAACATAAACACCAAAATCTCAACAAAATACTAGCAAACTGAATTCAACAGCACTGCAAAAAGATCACATACCATAGTCAACTGAGATTTATACCAGGGATACAATTATGGTTTCACATACACAAATCGATAAACATGGTACATCGTGTCAACAGAATGAAGAACAAAAGCTATATAATCAGCTCAATAGATGCAGAAAAAGCTTGTGATAACACGCAACATCCCTTCATAATAAAAACTCTCAACCAACTAGGCATAGAAGGAACAAACCTCAAAACAATGAAGAGAATATATGACAAACCCACAGCTAACATCATACTCAATGAGAGAAATTGAAAGCCTTTTCTCCAAGAACTAGAACAAGACAAAGATGTCCACTTTTACCACTCCAATTCAACATAGCATTGGTCCTAGACAGAGCAATCAGGCAAGAGAAAGAAATAAAATTCACCCAAATTGGAAAAAAATAAATCAAATCATCTCTTTTTGCAGATGACATGATCTTATAACTTAAAAAGCCAAAAGACTTCCTCAAAAAAACTCTTAGAGTTGATAGGCACATTTGGTAAAGTTATAGGATATAAAATTAACATAAAAAATTAGTAGCATTTCTATACACCAATAATGAAATAGCCAAAAAAGAAATGTAAAAAGCAATCCCATTTACAATAGTTAGAAAAAATACATAGTAATAAGTTTAATCAAGGAGGGGAAAGAGCTCTACAAAGAAAACTACAAAACACTGATGAAAGAAATTTAAGAGGACACAAACAAATGGAAAGACATTCCATGATCATGGAATGGAAGAATTAATATCATGAAAAGGACCCCACTGCCCACAGCAATATACAGATTCAATGCAATCCCTATCAAAACACCAACGCAACTTTTTACAGAAATAGGAAAAACATCCTAAAATTCATATGTAAATAGAAGAACCAGGGTAGCCACAGCAATGCTGAGCAAAAAGAACAAAGCTGGAGCCATCACACTACCTGACTTCAAATTATATTACAAGGCTATCATAACCAAAACATCATGGTATTAGTATAAAAATAAGCACATAGACCAATGGAACAAAATAGAGAACACAGAAATAAATCCACATATTTAAAGCCAACTGATTTTTGACAAAGATGTCAAGAACATATAGTAAGGAAAGGATACCTTCTTCAATAAATGGTGCTGGCAAAATTGAATATCCATATGCAGAAGAATAAAACCAGACCCCTATCTCTCATCATATACAAAAATCAACCAAGATGAATTAAAGACCCAAAGGTAAGATTCAAAACTATAAAGCTACTAGAAAAAAAAAAAAACAGAAAAAACACCAGGACATTGATCTAAGTGAAGATTTTATGGCTAAGACCTCAAAAACCTCAAAAGTATAGGCAACGAAAACAAATATAGACAAATTGTACTATATTAAACTGAAAAGCTTCTGTACAGCAAAGGGAACAATCAGCAGAGTGAGGAGACAAACTATTGAATGGGAGAGAAGGTTTGCAAAACAGTCACACGACAAGGAACTAATATCCAGAATATATGGGGAACTCAACAAAACAAAAACAAGTGATGGCATTTAAAAGGGATTACAAGGACATGAATAGACTATTCTGAAAACAAGACATACAAATGGCCAACAGGTATATGAAAAGCTGCTCATCGTTAATCATCTACAAAGTGCAAACCAAAGACACAATGAATTATAATCTTATCCCAGTTATATTGGCTATTATTAAAAAGACAAAAAAGTAACAGACTGACAAGGATGCAGAGAAAAGAGAACACGTATACACTGTTGGTGGGAATGTAAATTAGTATAACCACTATGAAAAACAGTATGGAGATTTCTCAAAAAACTAAAAATCGATCTACCATACAATCCATTAGTTGCACTACTGGGTATCTATTCAAAAGAAAAGAAAGCATATCAAAGGGATACCTACACACTCAAGTTTACTGCAGCACTATTCATAATAACAAAGATATGGAAGCAAGCTATGTCTGTCAATGGATGAATGAATAAAGAAAGTGTGATATATATATACACAATGGAATACTATTTGGCCATAAAAGAATGAAATCATGTCATTTCCAGACAAATGGATGGAACCAAAGTTCATTATGTTAAGTGAAATAATCCAGGCACAGAAAGACAAACACTGCATGTTCTCACTCATATGTAGGTATTAAAAAAAACTTGATGATTGGAAGATAGAGAATAAAATAATAAACACCAAGAGCAGGAAAGGGTGTGAAAGTGGGGGTGGGAAATAGAAGTTGTTTAATGGGTACAAACTTAAAGTTAGATAGAAGTAAGTTCTAATGTTCCATTGTACACTAGAGTAACTACAATTAGCAACAATATATTGTATATTTCAAAATAGCTGGAAGAGAGAACCTGAAATGTTACCAACACTTAGAAATGATAAATACTCAAGGTGATGGATACCCCACATACCCTGACTTGAGCATGACATATTCTATGCATGTAAAAAATGCTCATATATTCCTCTGAAATATGTAAAAAGTTTATGTGTAAATAAAAGAAAACATTCATTGAGTATTTCCCATATGCAAGACACAGTATTGAGTATTTATGGGGTTTATACAGACAGATGTCATGGAGAAAATATAGATCCTTCCCTCTCATACTGAGAAAAAGGTGGGAAACTTATATTATGTACATGAAAAACCAGAGCACAATGTCTAAAGTGAGACATGCTGCAGAGATAGGTGTTATGGGATGAATTGTGCCCCACCCCCAAGATCACATGTTAAAGTCCTTACGCCAGTACCTCAGAATGTGATATACTGTCTTTAAAGAATTCACTGGGTTAATGTGAAGTCATTAATGTGGGCCCCATAAGCAGGTATCTTTATAAGAAGAGAAAATGTGGCCATAGACATACACAGAGGGAAACCCTTGGGAAGACACAGGGAGAAGGTGGCCATCTACAAGCCAAGTAGAGGAGCCTCAGAAGAAACTGATGCTGACAACACCTTGATCTTAGACTCCTAAGCCTCTGGAATTGTGAGAAAATAAATATCTGCTCTTAATCCACCAAGTCTTTGCTACTTTGTCGCAGAAGCCCTAGCAAACTAATATAAAGATAAAAGAAAAAAGAGTTCCACCTTGAGTTGGAGAACTGGAAACATCATTCCAGCTGGAAGGACAGGGAAAGCTTCATCTAGAAAGTGCCTTCTGTAATGGCCTTTGGAATAGAAGATGGCCACATAAAGCTGGGAAGTTGGGTGCTTTTCACAGTGAGAAGAGTATGTCAAGTACAGGGCTGCAAAAAACCACCAGAGTTAATGCTTTAACTAGGCTGAGTGGGAGAAAAGGCCAAAAGTACAGCTTAAGGCCAAGACAACAAGTTTGGATTTGATGCTGAATGCAATGGAAAGCCATTGAAATATTTTGGTGACAGTATAACAAAATCTGAACTGTGCTGGAAAAAGATTAATCTGAAAGTCACAGGGTGACCAGTTGGAAGAAGGAAGCAATTTGAGTTGAAAAAAGATGCCTCATAACCCAGTACAACAGAGTAGGGGATAAAGACAAAGATTCAGAAAAGACAGAGAGAGAAGAGGTGAAATCACTGGGACCTGACAGATGACTTTGCTATGGGAGGCAGGGAAAAGAAGAAGAACTGAGAGACAACTGGGAGGTTCCGATTTTGTTGTCTGGGAGGATGGGACGATGGAATTAATTCTAGAAACAGGAAGAGAAGAGAAAACCAGGTGTAGGAAGGAAAATGATCAATATAGTTTTAGAGATACTGAGGACTAACCATTTTAAATGTGATTGGAGATACACAACAGTAGATATGTAGATCAGAATTAAAGAATATATATGTATATATATGTGTGTATATATGTGTGTGTGTGTGTGTGTGTGTGTGTGTGTGTGTATGAGATGGTTTGGCCCTGTGTCCAAATCTCATCTTGAATTGTAATCCCGACGTGTCAAGGGAGGGACCTGGTGGGAGGTGATTGGATCATGGGGGTGGTTTTACCCCATGCTGTTCTGGTGATACTGAGGGAGTTCTCACGAGATCTGATGGTTTAAAAGTGACAGTTTTCTCTGTGTTCTCTCTCTTGCCACCATGAAAGATGTGCCTTGCTTCCCCTTTGCCTTCCACCATGATCGTAAGTTTCCTGAGGCCTCCGAAACCATGAGGAACTGTAAGTCAATTAAACCTCTTTTGTTTATTGATTCCCCAGTCTTAGGCAGCTCTTTACAGCAGTGTGAGAACAGATTAATATAATTACAATCTTTGTTTAGAAATATATAATATGCTGGCATCAGCTTTTGTTAAAGTATACTTATATTTGCTTGGGGCATCCCCAGGCTTAGAATTAAGGGTGGAGGTATGGATTTTAGATCATCATTGGAGCCGTGAGAGGGAGTTAAATTGCCAAGAGAAATAAAAGAAAAACAGAAAAATTAATTTGTACAAAGAACTTGGGGAGTATTTAGTGACAAGAGTCAAAAGAAAAGTAGTGCACTCTTTGAAAGGTAATTTTACTTGTCAGAAAATATCTACTTGGCCACTGTAGTAGTTCCAGAACCTTGAAGAAGATCCCCTCCAAGTGTACCCATTAAAATGATTAAAATTTTGAATAGAACAGATAAAAGGATATCCCCTGTTTATGTAGTAAATTAGATCCCTTTACACTTGCATTACCAGAAGGGAAAACAGGAATCTCAATTTCTTCTTAGTTACAGTAAATACAAATAAAAGTATCAAAAATCAAAGAACTTAGTGTTTACTAGCTATTGCTCACCTCAAAATTTCCTTTAGGGGTAGGAAATACGTTTTTACAAAATTTAAAGAAAAAAATATTCAAAAAAAGTTTCAGAGAGTGTTGGTGCTAGAAGTTGAGCCGATCTCACCTCTTTCTCCCAAGAGGCAGAATTTAAATCAAAAAATTAAGTGTAAGTTGCATTATTAAACATTGGCTTTTTATATTTTTATCCTATCAATGCTTATAAAACTACTCTTTCTGGTGCATTACACAGTCTCCTCTCTGCTTCTCTCTGCACAAGGCTGCCCTATGGCTTGTGTGCTTAGCTACCCTCAGTTATAACCATATGTATTAACTGCCCAGTGCCCATCTGACCTGCTGTGGGCAGAGGGGCAGAATCTGTCCCAAGCTACAAACCTGATTGCCAGGAGCTCAGAGTTGTAACTGCAGAGAAGGCAATGTTCATAGAAAAGATAGACTGAGAAGGTCCCCAAAAGATAGTTTCCTCATTGATGAGGGGACTTGCCTTTAAATACTTTAGATTGCTGAAACCCTTAAGCTTAGAAGAGATAATGATTATCTCTTATATAAGTGGATTTATGAACAGTTGTAAGCTTTATAGGGTAGTGAGCTTTCTGTGCATACTTGGTTATTATAGAAAGATTTACACTAAATATCAATTAATTTAAAATTAACTTACAAATCCAAGAGAGTTGAACTTTTTATATTGAAAATCATAGTGATAACATCTATTTTACTTTCTAATGAATGTTAAACTTTAACGTGAAAGTGGTCTAAATAAACAATTAAATCAAAACCCTGCAATCCTTAATAGTCAAAGTTTCAGATAGAATTAAATCTAAAATAGACAAATTTCTATCATACTGAAAGTCATTCCACAAAGAGGCCCCCTAACATATAGGCATAGCTTGTTTTATTGTGTTTTGCAGATATTGGGTTTTTTAAAAAACAGATTAAAGATTTCTGGCAACCCTCTGTGAAGCAAGACTATCGGTGCCATTTTTCCAACAGCATGTGCTCACTTTGTGTCTCTAAGTCACATTTTGGTAATTCTTGCACTATTTAAAATTTTATTATTATTATATCTGTTATTGTGACCTGTGATCAGTGATGTTTGATGTTGCTATTTAATTGTTTTGGGGTGCCATGAACCACACCCATATAAAACTGCAAACTGAATCAATAAATGTTGTGTGTTTTGATTGCTCCACTGACCAATCATTCCCTCATCTCTCCCTCTCCTCAGGCCTCCCTATTCTGTGAGACAAAACACTATTAAAATTGAGTCAGTTAATAGCTCTACAAAGGCCTCTAAGTGTTCAAGTGAAAGGAAGAGTTGCCCATCTCTCACTTTAAATCAAAAGCTAGAAATGATTAAGCTTAGTGAGAAAGGCATGTCAAAGTCAAGATAGGCCAAACCAAGGAAGAATTCTTGAAGGGAATTAAAATTGCTACTTCAGTGAAAACACAAATGATAAGAAAGCAAAACAGCCTTATTGGTAATATGAGAAAAGTTTTAGTGGTCTAGATAGAAGACCATACTAGCCACAATTATTCTCTAAACCAAAGACTAATCCAGAGAAAGGCCCTAACTCTCTTCAATTCCATGAAGACTGAGAGAGGTAAGGAAGCTGCTGAAGAAAAGTTTGAACCTAGCAGAGGTTGGTTTATGAGTTTAAGAAAAGAAGCTCTCTCTACAACATAAAAGTGCAAGGTGAAGTAGCAAGTGCTGATATAGAAACTGTAGCAAGTTATCCAGAAGATCCAGCTAAGGTCATTGTTGAGGGTGGCTACACTAAACCACAGATTTTGTCTGTAGATGAAACAGCCTTCTACTAGAAGAAAATGCCATCTAGGACTTTCATAGCTAGAGAGGACAAGCCAATGTCTGGCTTCAGGAATTGTGATTATGTTGAACCACTGCTGAATTATGATTCTAAAAATCCTAAGGCCATTTCTAAATCTACTCTGCCTGTGCTCTATAAATGGAACAACAAAGCCCGAATGATAGCTCATCTGTTTGCAGCATGGTTTACTGAATATTTTAAGCTCAGAAAAGAGATTCCTTTCAAAATATTACTGCTCATTGACAGTGCACCTAGTCATCCAAGAGCTCTCATGGAGATGTACAAGGATATTGATGTCGTTTTCATGCCTGCTAACACAACATCCATTCTTCAGCTCATGGCTCAAGAAGTCATTTCAATTTTGAAGTCTTATTAGGAAATACGTTTTGTAAGACCATAACTACCACAGATAGAAATTCCTCTGATGGATCTGGACAAAGTAAATCGAAAGCCTTCTGGAAAGGGTTCACAGTTCTAGATGCCATTAATAACATTTATGATTCAAGGGAGGAGGTCGTAATATCTACATTAACAGGAGTACTGAAGAAGTTGCTTGCAAACCTCATGGATGACTTTGAGGGGTTCAAGACTTCAGTGGAGAAAGTAACTGCAGATGTGGTGGAAATAACAAGAGAGCTAGAGGAAGTAAAGCCTGAAGATGTGACTGAATTGCTGCAATTTCATGGTAAAACAACATCAAAGATGTTGAAATGACAACAAAGGATTTAAAATATTCCATAAACTGAGTTGATAAAGCAGCAGCAGGGTTTCAGAGGATTGACACCAATTTTGAAAGAAGATCTACTGCAGGTAAAATGCTATCAAACAGCATCACATGCTACAGAGAAAACTGTAGTGAAAAGAAGAGCCAATGGATGCAGCAAACTTCATTGTTATCTTATATTTAAAAATTGCCACAGACACCCCAGCTTATAGCAACTACTACCCAATTAGAGCAGCCATCAACATTGAGGCAAGACCCTCCACCAGCAAAAATATTACATCTCGCTAAACATTCAGATAATCATTAGCATTGTTTAGCAATAAAGTATTTTAAATTGAGGTATGTGCATTGTTTTTTTGGGGGGAATATACTATTGCACATTCAATAGACTATGGTTTAAACAGAACTTTTATATGAATTGGGAAACCAAAAAATGTGTGTGATTCACTTTATTGTGACATTTCCTGAAACTGAACCTACAATGTCTCTGAGATATGTCTGTACTTCCTGTGTGTCTGCTTATATGATACCCAGAAATAGTTAACTAATAGAATATCAATTTAATGAGTACAATTTATTATTCTTATTGGAATACCTTTAATATCAATATCTATCAATCATTTGACAATAATTATTTGACATTTTAAATAAAACTTTAAAGCATGTATAAAATATAGATTTATAGGAAACACAGACCTTATAATGCAGTTAAAGATAATTCATTTTTTCTCTTTTGCAAATGGAAAATCAATAGCCAGGAAAAATTAAAAGTTTCATTTGTTTGACCAAATCAATTCATAGTCATTGACCTGAGTGTGTCTGTATATCTCCTTCTAAATAAGATTTGAAGAACTACTCTCAACAGATAGTGTATATTCAACAATTTTATTATAGAAATAGAAAGTCAGAGCCATGACTAGTAAAATAAGAAAAACATAAATGAAGATAAATCTGTAGAGAAAAAACAGAAAGCTAGGCATTCTATATTTCAGTAAATTCAAAGGATCAAGCTTCATATAAAGAAGCAAACCCCAAAATACATTTGCTAGTGCCCAATTATAGAACCATACGTCATGACTATCACAGGGATTCAGTTAAAGGACATTGAAAGGATTTTCCCTGCACCTGCCTTGTAGTGCATAACACTGGTACCTTGGGTGCTTACTGCAACCTTTTTCAGTAAAAAAATACTGAATTCAATACTTTATTGAATTCAACATCATAACCACAATAACATACCTCATCCCAACATTTCTCCCCACATAAAGCCTTTCGGAATATTTTTATATCAACAAGAAATGTCATTTTGGCACATTTTGGCACAATTAAACAGAATTTGTATGAAACCATGCTATCTTTCCAACTGTGTATGTACAGACCATGGTGTTAAATTTTCCTTTAAAAAATGGCAACTTTGATGTGTCTACAAGCATTGGTGACTCAGAGACAGAGGTGTTTAATTATAGCAGTGAAGGGATTAGTATGCATCTGTTCTACAAAGGATAATTTTAGTTAAATTTTGTCTATGTTGAGTGCATTGACATTGCAAGAAGAAAATGGTAAAAGGTTTCTGGAGATGCTTTTTGCTTTGGGGGTGGGGGATGGATAATTGGGTCAGTCAGATTCATATATTAAAGAATTGTCTGCCGGCTACTGCATTGGCTGTCACAGCCTGTCCCAATCAAGCATAACTGCAGATCTCAGAAAGCTGTCATTGATCAAAATAAAAATCCACACTTCATTTGGGTTCAAACAAAGAGCCAGTGGTAACATTGACAGTATATTTGATCACCAAGTGGGTAATAATTTAATATTCAGCTTAACTGTAGTATAGCTCATTAAAATGAAAAAGGGAAATCTTGGCCTTCTTTGAAATACAGATAGGTTTGAATTATTAGTCTCAATTTGAGAAGAAAAAGTGAGGCTGGAAGAATGAATGTAGGAGTGCTTCTCTGATGATGTTCCACCTCCAAAACAAAAAGAGCAAGAACAACAAAAACAACAAATATGCAAACATTCCTATCACAAAAATTTCTTTCTTCCGTAATCAATCAACATTTCCTGAAGACAAACATGTTTTTCTTCACAGTCTATTTAAACGGCTCAAAAACAGCATGACAACCGACAGACTCCCTTGTTAAAGAAAACAATTACTTGTAGTATAGGTTATTTTAATGGACATATCACTTTAAACGAAACCGTCACATCTGTTCCGCCTTCTAATTACAAATGCAAAAGGAATACAATTCACCAATGCATTATAAAAAAGTAAAACACAAGTGATTTAAATGCATATGTATGTTCCTTAGTCAATGCAGCATGCAACCTGCTATGTTTTTTACATGTTCTGGGCACAAATCAGATGGAAAACCTGTTCTCTGCTGAAATGTGATTTCTTCTCCCTGGATAAGTTTGGTACTGTATGGAAGCTGTGGTTTGCATAAATGTTATATAATGCACACAACACACCTAACAAGTGTTTCTAGTGAAACTCTTCCTGGGGACTGATATTTGATGATCAATATGATGCATCACAGCACTTTGATGCTGGCTGAGTACTAAAACATATTAATCTAGAGTACAGGAGAGACTCTCACTGATACATAAGAAATAATTTCTTTCTCTCTCTTCATAAAAGGGGAAAACATGAGAAATATTTCCATAGTGCTAGCCCCAATCGTCCTTGGTCTACAAGGCTGACTAAATAGCATTTACTGCTACCAAGTGACTGTTTAAAAAATTGTGTGCACTTTTCAGAGAATAGGGAAGTGGTATAATAGACATTGGTAAATGATGATATTATTTCTTTCTCAGAGATAATTTGCTCCTATTAAAAATAATCTCATTTAAAGAAAAGTTTTAAATGATGGAGATATTTTTCTGGACCTCTGAGTGGGTCAGGAAGGCAAGAATTTGATTAGAGTTAGAGATCAGGGAAGCAAAATTCCATGGTTAAATAAATGAGGACAAAGCAGCACAATCCAAGTGCCATGACATCAACGACAATCAAACTAACAATTCAACCTTCAGGCTAGAAAAATGTTAAGTTATTCTATCTTTTCCTGAATCCAGGTTGAATTCATCCAGGTTCCTTTGCCTGCTTTGTACCAAGACTGGGAGTGTGATGGGACGTGGTTGAATTCAGTTCTCTCTCTACTGAAAAGCATCTCAAAAGAGGAGGCCATCCTTATCCATGGGTGTACCCCATGACTGAGAACAGAACTTGACAAATATTAGCCAGTCAGGAAGTGTTTTTGAATGAATAAATGAATCTGAAAGTATAAGCAGGTAATTGACTGGTCCTGACAAAATTCTGCTTCCAAAGAGCCACTTTATGTCAAAATACTAAAGCAAGTGTTAATATAGTTTTCAATATGAGAGTAATTTTCCCCCTTAGTTTATTGTGCTGTATCTCCCACAAAATCTTTTAGTATCTCCCTCCTAAAATTGTTGGGAGGATACGATGAGATAATACAAGTAAAGCACTTAAAACAGTTCCTGGCCCATTGTTTCAAAATTCACTGAACACACACAAATACACCCCCACATACACACACACACACACACACACACACACACATGCATGTGTGTGTGTGTAATTGAGAGGCAATAGGCAAACATTTCACTTACTGTGCTTGGGAAATCTTAACTATATGTTTTTGATTTTCACCATGATGGAATATCTATTAAGTGCTAAGGATGCAGGGAATAAAAGAATTGGGACTCAGATCTTGGACTCCTGACTCCTGTGCTACGGATCTCTCCTGTCCACCAGAACCCACTGAACGTTTTTCTTTTCACATCTGCTTTGGTACCAGATGAACCAAAAGAGGCAGGTTATTGATCCTCCTCTTCAGACTCAGTGAACTCATCTGTAGATTAGCTGAAGGAACTAGTGGCTTATAGGGGTCTTTAGGCATGAATATTGCGGTTTGTAGGGTTTTACATAAGCAGTAATTAATTTTACAGTACTTCAGAAATCTGAGATATGAATATATTATTACCTATAAAAGATGAGAATTTCATGGGAGCTATGATGGAATGACTACTACTATTACTAGACAGACTTCAGGGATATTCCTGATTCTAGCAGTTTCAGGTAGTTTACTGTATCTGATTTTTTTTCAAAAATTGGGAAAACAAATGCAGACAACTAACAGTAATATTGGACATTCATGAATTTTACAAACGAACAACTATCTTTTATGCATCTATCATATGGAAACTTTCTTCTGTGTGAATAGAAAGAGGCACTAGAATTTTCACAGGAAGGTTATAATAAGACATTGACAGAATTAAGTTCATCCCCAGATAGCAGCATGCATCGGGTAAACTAGATTCTAACTAGTTATATGTGCTTCACAGACAGACTTTCCACGATGTTGTGGAAAATGACAGTGCTTTGAGGCAAATATGTGTAATGTGATAGGATTAGGTAAGTTTTCAATAAAACTGTGTATGTATACACAAATTAATACTAATGTTATGGAAACATCATCAGATACATATGCCCACCAAATTCATGACAGTGATCACCTTTTGGGCACAAATGGTCAGAGAGAAAATGTAATTGTTCAGATAAAATTTAAAATCTCTATGAAATGTGGATTCTGAAGGAAATATTACTGAAGTTTACACTTTTAGTATGGGGAGTGAGTATTACTAATAATAGGTAACCTTAATAGAACATTTACTATATGTCTGGCAATATTCTAAGCCAGTTATTCTCACCCTTAATATAAGCCATGGTTATTTTGTACACTTTTATCTATGACCCAAATAACTGACCCAAAGCCTGGTCAATTTCTGTATTTTTGGTGGTTTCTTTTATTTATTTATTTATTTATTTATTTATTTATTTATTTATTTGAGACAGGGTTTCACTTTGTTGTCCAGGCTGGAGGGCAGTGGTATGATCTTCGCTCACTGCAGCCTCAACCTCACAGACTTAAGCCATCCTCCCACCTCAGCCTCCCAAGTAGCTGGAACTACAGGCATGCACCACCAATTTTTGTATTTTGCCCAGGCTGGCCTTGAACTCCTGAGCTCAAGCAATCCCCTCGCCTTGGCCTCCTAAAGTGCTGGGATTACAGGTGTGAGCCACTGCACTGAGCCAGAGCCTGATCAATTTCTTATTCAATGATTAATTATAAATGTGCTTAAAAACCTGAATTTCCTAAATTTAATGGCTGCATTGGATACAGGCAGTTTCAAAATTCATTGAAAACAATCACACACACACACGCGCGCGTGTGTGTAACTGAAAGACAATAGGCAATCATCAGGTAAATTTTATACAGAGATCATTTACCATTGAGATACAATAGAAAATGAAGGTTAGGAGTATGGGCTTTATAAGAGCTGGCCAGTACTGTCTTAGAAAACCAACTTGTCTTTTCTTCTGTATAAGACTGGGTTTAACTTGCCTAAGCTTCTGTTTCCTCATCTGTAACATAAAGAATACCATTGCATAAGGTTGGTAGTAGCGATGAATAAGGCAGTAATGCAAAGCACACTGCCTGGAAAGTACTCAATAAATATTAGCTATTTCTGTTGTTGCTACCACCCTGGCATCAAATTTCATCATTTGCTTTCAAAGATTTTAAAGTGGATTCTGTCATTTTGGTGGGCAAGAAGAAGAAAATCTTAATGGCGCTTGACAATTAAAGACTCCAAAGAAAATTCTTTCTCCTTTACATACACAACTGACTTCCTTTGATATTAATATGCAATCTACGTGTGCATAGAAATGAGGACGACCAAATGCTCTTCACATTGATTTGGCTTTCTAACTTCAAAAGCACAACTCCGAGGCAATCTGCTATAGCGTGCCGTCCCCACAGCCTCCTGGTCGGGCTCACTAACACAGCCTCAGACAGAAGCTCTGGTCTTCAAACAGCGACTCTCTACCACCTCACTGACATAAAAGGCACGTAAGATAATTCCCCCTTATCTGCAGTTTTACCTTCCACTGTTTTAGTTACCTGTAGTCTGAGAATATCAAACAGAAAATTCCAGAAATAAATAATTCTCAAGTTTGAAGTTGTCTGCCATTCTAAGCAGTGTAAGGAAATCTCATGCCACCTCACTTTGTCCCCTCTAGGACATGAATCTTCCCTTTGTCCAGCATATCCACACTGTAGACATTACCCGCCCGTGAGTCCCTAGTAGCCCTTTCAGTGACCAGATAAACTATGGCAGTATTGCAGTGCTTGTATTCAAGTAACCCTTATTTTACTTAATAATACTTTACCAATAATAATTGTTATTGTTGTTAATCTCTTACTGTGCCTAATGTATAAATTAAACTTTATCATAGGTGTGTATATGATATACTTTGGATATTTGTCTCCCTAAATCTGTTGAAATGTAATCCTCAGTGCTGGAGGGAGGGCCTAGTGGGAGGTGTCTCAATCCTGGGGGCAGATCCCTCATGGCTTGGTGCTGTCCTCACAATAGTGACTTTGTTCTCCTGCGATCTGGCTGTTTAAAGTGTTTAAAGCACCTCCCCCTCTCTTGCTTCTGCATGTGACTTGCCTGCTCTCTCTTCACCTTCCAAGAGTGTAAGCTTCCTGAGGCCTTCCCAGAAGCAGATGTCGGAGCTATGCTTCCTGTATGGCCTGCAGAACCATGAGCCAAATAAACCTCTTTTCTTTATAAACTGCCCAGTCATAGATATTCCTTTATAGCAATGCAAGAACAAACTAACACAACATATATAGGAAAGAAACATGGTATATATAGGGTTTGGTACTATGCACGGTTTCAGGCATCCACTGGGGGTCTTAGGACATATCTTGCAAGGATAAAGGGGGGCTACTGCATGCATGTATCCATTGAATACTTTCCTTCCAGCATCTTCCGCAGCCTCTCCATTCCCACTGGTCTCATGGCAGATCACCCTTCTCTAAATTACCCAAATTTCAATTCACATACCACTGTTATCCTAAAACATAGCCCAAAAATATATCTCTACTAAAAAAAAAGTTGCCACGATTTCCCAGTGACTCCAGATGCAGAAAAAAATCCTTAGCCCAAGTACTGAGTCTTCTCCAAGTCCCCTCTCCACTCTTCTCCACTCTTCTGTGTATGTCCCAGAAGCCTCACTTCTCAGGATGAACACTAGGAGCTCTTGCTTTCTGACTTTCAGTTGGGTTTAACCAAAGGGATATATCAGCACCTTGAGTGAAGTGTGGGAAAAGAGAAAGCCACCTTATTCTCTTCTGCCAGAACATGGTTTTAGAAGCAGCTGTATTTCTCTACATAAGGCCACATTCCTGCCAGGCATCCTTCTCCCACAGCACAGCTCTTTCCAGGTTCTGGTAACATGATCCTCTTGCCCATTCAGGACTAAAGGTGACAGTAGCTTCCCTCATTAAACTCTTCAATTTTATCCCGTTTTTAAAGTGTGCCGTCTACTTCTTGCCAAGACCTTGACTAATATAGAGTAGTTCTAGAAAACAGACTCTCAAAAACGGATTTGGGGATTGAGTTGCCCACATATCTCATGAAAGCACAAGCAAACTCCTTGCCAGAGAAAAACACACAGTGGTAATTTATGACATGCTATCATCATGAAGACTCAAATTATCATTATCCCCTAACTATTCCCCTAAGAAGACTTGGATGATGCTTTACCAAGGAACTTAGAAATGTATTGGTAAGGGGAGCACCAGCACCCTTGAAAGCCCCTGAGGCAGTGATGTTATGCAGGAGGCGGTGGTGGAAGTTGGCATTGAGTTTCTGGATTTTGATGGAAATAATGGGATCTCAGGGTGGTAGAAAGCAGATGGTAGTGCTTAATCATCACATGGAATTACCCTAGAAGCCAGGAAAGGGATCAGAAAAGATAAGTAGAGACAGGTTGCCTTCACGTGCAAGGGAAAACTACCTACATTATAAGGGCTCTGTTCACTCCCTGGCCCTCTGTCACAATACAGTCCAAGATGATCTTGATTGCCTTGATATCCCGCAGAATATGACACTGGTCCATTTCATCATTGACATTGTGCTAGTTGGATCTGGAAGACAGATAGTAGTGAGAGTTCCAGATGTCAGTGGTCTGGGAGAATGGCAGCGTGTCATCGCTTCAAAAGTATGAGACAAATATTTTACCTTGACTCACTTTCCACAAAGAGGAGTAAGGTTTGGGGGCCCTCTTTGGATTCTAGGAACATAAGTGTGCTGCTCTGACCCAAGTTCTGGGTCAACTGTGAGGCTGCCAGTTTTGATCTAAAAAGGCTCTGCAGCAGAGATAGACCACCATTCAAACTGCCTAGCCACCAGTCATATCCAACTGAACTGGAAGCGTTTGTTGCAGAGATGCTGAATGGAGGCTCTGGCTAGCCACAGTAGGAGAAGCACAGAACGCTTCCCTTGGGATTCACTGTATGGCTGTGCCAATTTCTGCCAACTAAAATTGTCCATTAAAAAGGCTGATCCAGATTTGATTTGCTACTAAGCCTAGTAAGGACTAAAAACCTGACCATTGAACACCAAGTGCTGCCTATCATGAACTAGATGTAGTTTGATTGACCAAATTATAAAATTGGATGTGCACAGCAGCATCTCATTGTCAAATGGAACTGGTATGCATAAGACTTGACCTGAGCAAGCCTAGAAGGGACAAGTGAACAGCATAGACAGGTGGCTCAGCCTCCCATAGCACCTGCTCCTCCTGCTGCATTCCCTCTTTCCCAGTCCCAACCATGGCATGTTGGAGAGCTCTCTATTACTAGTTAGTGGGGGAAGAGAAAGCATGGGCTGGGCTACTTGTGAGTTTTCCAGTCTACTGGCACCAGACAGAAGTCAAAGCTGATTATATTACAGCCTATTTAGGTGTACCCCTGAAAGACAGTGGGGAAGAAAAATCCTCCCAGTGATTCATATTGGGGGAAATACATCTAGCTGTCCACTTTATGAGCAAGAAAAGATGACCTCATGTATAAATCTATACTGATTCACAATTAATGCCCAAAGTGTTGGTTAGAAGGTCAAGTGTTTGGAAAGAACAAGATCAGAAAAAAGGTGACAAGGAGGTCTGAAGGAAAGGTAGGCAGGTAACTTCTAGGAATGGGCACAATGTATGAAGATACTTGAGACTCACATTGATTTCTACCATAGGACATCCACTGAGGAAGAGAATCTCAGTAACTGAGGAAGAGAATCTCAGTAATCTGGTGGACAAGGTGACCTGTCTGGTGGATGTCACTCAGCTTCTTTCTCCAGCCACCACAATGCTTGTTCAATGGTTCCATGTACAAAGTGGTCATGGTGGTGGAAATGGAGCCCACAAGTGAGCATAAGATGAACTTTCCCACACCAACACTGATTTGGTGACCTGCAGTGCTGAGTCCCCAGACAGCCATCAGCAAAGACCAACCCTGAGCATCCACTATGACATCTTTCTGGGCAGCAAAATGACTAAAGAATTTTTCATAAAATAAAACAGATCTACTTTACAAGACTCTTCTCTGTTCTGAGAATAGGTCCTTCTACTTTTTGGTGTGAAAATATGTTTTATTTGATAACATAACAATAACAGGAAATAGTAGGTTTGTCGTTTTTATTATTTGCTTGTTACTCAGTATTTATACTTGGCAAAATAAAATGTGGCCACCTTACATTGGTTTCTGGAAATTTTGCTAGTTTGTGAAATCCAAAGATCTGGAAACCATGTATTGGATGCTTTAATTAAGAGTACTGTAGCCCCTCCCAATGGTCAGTTCCAGCCCCAACTCTTCTAAGCTCTGGAGGGAATTTATTTCACCTTTTTGGACATCAGTTTTCTCATTGACCTCATGAGGTTGGGGGGAAATTAAATGAGGTATTGCATAAAATGTGCTTCTTTCACTCAGTATCTGGTACTTAATAAGAGCACAATAAACTGATATTATTATCAGTGTATTATATTTTTACAATTTTTTATTGACAAAATTATATAAATCTATGATGTTTTACAATATCTACACATTGAGGAATGGCAGTAGGTGAGAGGACGCATCTCATCTACTTGTGTTATTTTTTATTATTTTTGCTATTATTATTACTGCTATTACAATCGTTAGCAATTGGTCCAAAACATAGCAAAAAAGAAGTTATTGGAAATGTTCTGCTCACTTTGAATAGGTGTCTCAGAATGCTACATCTCCTACTCTCAGGACACAATGCAATTTCCTGGATTAAGCACCGATTTTGGAATCAAGGGACCTCTGCCTAATCACGTCTCATCTGCAACATGAGAAGATGAGAGGAAATGGTCTCCAAGGTCCTTTAAGGCATTGACATTGTTTGGCTATAGGGAACCTCTTCAAAATGGTCGTAAACTCAGTGCCTCTTCATTAGGAAAAGAAAATGATTGGGAGGCTGAGGCAGGCGGATCACGAGGTCAGGAGTTTGAGACAAGCCTGGCCAACATGGTGAAACCCTGTCTCTACTAAAAATACAAAAATTATCCAGGCGTGGTGGCGGGAGCCTGTAATCCCAGCTACTCCGGAGGCTGAGGCAGGAGAATCGCTTGAAACCAGAAGGCGGAGGTTGCAGTGAGCCAAGATCGCGCCACTGCACTCCAGCCTGGGTGACAGAGCAAGACTCTGTCTCAAAAAAAAAAAAAGAAGAAATAAAAAGGAAAAGAGAATGAGTATGGGAGTACCGCGACTCAAACAAGTTTGCTTTCTTGACCCCTTTTTTTTAGGCAAAATTTACAAAACATAAAATTAACCCACTTTAAAGTGTGCAATTCAGCGGCATTTAGCACATTTAAAGTTGTGCAACCACCACGTCTACCTAGTTCCAAAACATTTTCATCATCCCAAAAGAAAACCCAATTACCTATTAAGCAGTCACTTCCCATTTCTTCTCCTCTCTCCAGCACTTAACCACCAATCTGCTTTCTGCCTTTACGAATGTACCTATTCTGGATATTTTGTGTAAGTGGAATTATACAATATGTAACTTTTTGTGTCTGGCTTCTTTCACTTAGCATGTCTTCAAGGTTCATCTATGTTGTAGCTTGTTTCAGTACTTCATTCCTTTTTATAGCTCCATAATATTCCATTTTATGTGTATACCACAATTTATTAATCCATTCATCCATTGAGGGACATTTGAGTTGTAGCCACTTCTTAATCACTCATTTCATTTAATGATTCCCAGTGTCATTATTCCTATTTTTTTAATTTGCCTCCCTTATTTTTCAATAAAAGACATCCAAAACCATTCAACACATCAGTTAACAGTAAAGGATCCATATTCCAGCAGGGCCTTATTTCAAAAGACATTTTTTGGTGAAACAGCATCCTCCATGACCCAAATCATTTTCTCGTCTCAGAGAGTGGCGATATTTAAAATGTGTACTCTAGAAAAAGCCCTGAATGCAAGAGCTACACTGACTCCATAATTTGCAAATGACTGTATCTATAAACAAACAAACAGCAAACATGTTTTAGACAAGCAAAGAAAAACAGAGTGGCTCAGTGAAAACTTTGGAGGGCAGGTGGTACATTCTGTCGTATCAAGAGATAATTTTGGACAAGTCAGTAAGATGGCAGAGGTGGCTTGTCTTCACGGCGCTGGTCTCCTCTCTGAATGGGTGATCAGAAAGAGTTCCTCCCTGAGTATCAGAGGGTAGATACCAAAAAATACCCTTCTATCAACTCTTCTACTTCTTCCCAGTCACTCAGTCCCCTCAATGCAAACCAGCAGCATGAGGACTGCTTCTTTAATTGGATAACCAACTCCCAGAAAGAGCAGGAAGAGTGTGGTTCCACACCAGAGGTCATGTAGCCTGCTGAGTCGATTATCTGATTTGGAGGTAAACCTAAGTCCATGGCCTCTCGATACGGGTTATCCAAATGTAAGGATTTTGTTATCACTTGCTTTGAAGTGCCTTTCCCTCCCACTTAGATTCTGCTGCCTCATATGATGAATCCTGTCCCTGAAACTGCCTCACCCAAAGTTGTGTCTATACCCCACTGAGAGAAATAGAGATCTGGCAACGATCCAGTTCATTTGATCAACATAGCTGGCAGAACCAGATAATTTAAGCTCCAAATTTCCCCATTAATCAAAATAGTCTGGTGACGGATACATCTGCTTTTACTTTGGGTTGTGTAGACACAGTTTAATTGTGCATTTCCTAAAAGCAGAATTGTATCATCTGTAACATTCACAGAGCTCTTCCTGCCCACATTTCTTTCCCAGCCTGTTGACTGAACAGATAACTCAGTAATTAAAATTCATAATCAACACATGTTGAGTATTTTTCCTTTCTCCTGTCTTCACAATCCTTTCCACTAACTTCTAGGTGATTTGCCAACTGTTCCACTCCTCAGAAGCAAATAGTAGAGGTTATCTTTGCATAGGACCACCACATTGGTCATTTTTCTTAACCCTGTCTTCTTTCCTATACCTCAGCCCCAAGCCCTGCCACCTCTGGATGGAGGCACTGCAGAAACACTGACAGTTCTGACTCTATCTCAAAGCCCAGCTGGAGAATAATGCCACTGGGTCAACAGCTCTGATCCCTCTCATTGGAAGGTCTGTGAGTCCTGGACAAGTTCCAGTCCTGGGGCCACTGGAATGGAACCTGACCTGGCCAACCAGACCTTGTGTTGAACAAATTGAGGGAACCGCCTGGTAGGCTGGCAGGCAGCAAAGGTTGCAGTTAACAGGAGGTAAGAGGATTCTTTGCAAAATGTTTGCCTGGAGCCACCAAACGGAAGCATTCTGAAAAGAAAGGCCAAGTATTTGATTTTGACTTAGGTTCTCTGGGAGTTGGCTATGCAAGGGTCACAGTCAGCATCAGTGAGTGGCAAAGATTATATGACTTCTGAAGCAAACCTAAACCAAAATTATGTTCAACTTCCTTAACTGGACAGGGACCCCAAAATCAGGTCTTCTGGAGTCCCTCCATGCCTCCCTTCCACATGGCAGCAGTTTCTTTCCTCCTCACCCCTTAGGAAAGTCCTCCCCATACACAGATCTTCCCTTTCCATAACAGTCCTGAAGCTACACCTGACTGAGCTATCAGCCTGTCCCCCCTTCAATGCCCTGCAGCCTTGCTCAGAGCCACAGGGACTTTGGGCTGAGAGAGGTTGCTGGCTCTTTAAAAATTTAAAGCATCGAGATTCAAAAGCTGTTGCATAATCCAATTAGAGAACCACTTTTAACTGGCTTGTGCATTCCTCTCAGACTCACCTTCATCAGAGCACATAAATGAGGATGCTCCTCACAGCTCCAGAAATCTGTGAAGCCGAGATGGTATTTTTAACGCAGCCATTTTAAACAATGTCTGTGCCGAACCACTTTTGCTTTCGCTGTTGGCGCAGGTGAGGAGCTGCCTAACAGCTGAGCTCAGATTCGACATGTGTGGCCCAGGGTGGGCCTTGGATTTTTCAAAGGGTAAGGTTTTCACACATGGAAAAGCACTCAAGTGTTTTCAGTATTCATGGCTCAGGATAGCTCCTTCATGCATAGTTCACAGACAAACAAGAAGAATCTAACAATGGAAATTCTATCACCTTATCTGTTTTGCTCTTTCTCCCATCTGGAAAACGCATGCACACACCTGAATAAATCACTTTCTTCTTGAATTCCAAAAAACTTTCATGATTGTACATAGAATCTTCTCCACGAGTGCTCAGAAGGGCTCTGCGTGTTCCTTAAACACTGAGGAAAATGATGTCACTTGACCCCGTAGCCTAGCATTCTTGACCCTGTAGCCTGGCATTCTTTACTCCAGCCAGAACCTGACCTAGAAGCAGTATAATTTCCTGAAGTTGTGAGATAAATAGGATGCTGGCTTCCCAGCGTGTGAGAGGCCAAGTGTCAGATTCCCTAGACTAAGGGATAACATGGTGCAATGCCCCATAGCCATGCCGTAGAGCAGCCTAAGATTGATCAGGACGGGATATCCCAGAAGCAGGGCTACCTGGTGACGCTGGTTGCTCTCTGTGAGAGGATGAGGCCCCATCACTCCAGCTCTCTTCCCAGAAGCCTGTGCAGCCCCACAGTAGCCTTGATTCTCTGGTCCCTCAAACTTGGTGGCTCTAAAATTGGGAACCTTTGGTCTCCCTACAGCCCCCCACAGGTCACGCTACCTTTGGTGGTGAAGTGGTCCGGAATATATCACTGGGGCATAAAAATGATTTTAAGCAGAAGGGATTTGAGTTTCTGAAATCTGCCTAAAAGCGGAGCCTCCCAAAAGAACTCAGTTGGCATAAACCCCCTCCCAGGAGTTTCTTGCAAGCAGGGAAGATTGACTCTCCTCATCAGACATGAGCCACTATCACAAAACTACATCTCCCATCTACCCTCTTAAGTACCCATTTATCTTTCCAAAAGTCATTTTTCCTCCCATAAAAATCCTTTCTCCCCCTCCCTTTCCTTTCAGATGCTACATAAGCCCCAAATTCTAACCATCTCCTTGAGTAGCATTTTTTGTGAACTCCACACTTACATGATTAAATCTGTTCTTCTCTCTTTCTAATCTGTCTTTTGTCAGTTTAATTCACAGGTCCCCAATCACTACATCTAAGACAGGAGAGGAAGAGTTTTTCTTCCCCTACAGTGGGGACAGGAGTGTATCTTCCACTTTCCCTCCAACCCACACTCTACCCTCTGCCCTCTGCCCTGGCCTAGGAGGTCACAAGATGGACTCCCTCAGCGGGCTCCCTTATCCTCTGGTTGCCAATTTGGTTTGGCCAATAGGGAGCATCAGCAACAGCTCAGAGCACAGAAGAATGAAGTCGTGGTGTTTATGCCCCTAGCTCCCCACCAGTGCTGTGGGGTCACTGTGGCATGTGGCTCTTGAAAGTCCTGGCTCCTGTAAGGGGACCCTCTCCACACAACTCCACACAGAGCCCTTCTGAGCACTCTAGGAGAAGATTGTATATACAATCACAAAAGTTTTTTGGAATTCAAGAAGAAAGTGAGTTACTCAGGTGTGTGTGTGCATTTTCCAGATGGGAGAAAAAGCAAAACAGATACAGTGATAGAATTTCTCCTGGGAACTACAGCACCCCTTGAAGTTTTCCTATCCCTGCTCTACCTTTGTAAATGGTCCTATACAAAACCTCTTCAAATTTCCCAGTGTGGATGTGCTACTTCTTGCCAGAACCTCCCCTGATGTGTGGGGAAAGCAGAAGGTGACCAGGGACCTGGGGGTGGTCTAAATGATCTTTGTGCCTAAGCCCCATTTCTGGGGAGTCCCTGGACTTCCACTGCTCTGACCCTCACTCCTGACCCGGCAGCAGGGAGTTGGCTGACTTTTGTGTGCCCCTTGGGGTGTGAAAACATTGTCACTGCTCTTGCCACAGAGGCCCAGACCTTGTGCTGATTACCAAAATGAGGGTCGTAACAGGATAAAACACACCCCACATTCCAGCACCCATAAGGAAAAAACAACCTCATCGTCTTATGTCCCTCTTCCACAAGAAAGTTTATTAAGTCTCCCCAAGGTAAGAGGGCTGATGAGCAATGGCACTCACTATGTATTCAAAAGGGCCTCCCATAGTGACATCATCTTGGTGGGCCCCAAGATAAAGCCCCATCTTCATTGTCTTCCCACAGGAAGCAAAGTCCTCACCTAACTGGACACTTCTATTAGGGTCTCTCCCTACCCTTCCCAAAAAATATGGTACAACTCTGCTCGTAACCCACTCGCTTGCACTATTTTCTTACGGGCCACGCAGTTCCATCTAAACTCCTTGGCCCGCCATTCAAGGCCCCTCAGAATCTGACCTCAATCTATCCTTCCATGTATAGCAGGTACTCCTGATCAACAAATCAGTCAGATGATCAAGGAGCTTATAGGCTGAGTCAAGGGTCTCAGTCTGCCTCATAGGTGATAAGGCCCTGGGTGGTGCGACAGGTAAGATGATGAGAATAAAAGATCACGCAGACATCAGTGTAGTGAAAGAACAGAAAGGAATTTAGAAAAGGTGAGAGTAGCCAAGGTGGGGATGGGGAAGAGGGGGAACCACAGCTTCCTTGGATGTGACCTTTGGTGAGGTTGGAGGGGTTGTGAGTGAGCCTGAGCCCCCTGAGGAGTGGCATGTGACATAGAACAAGCTGCTGGCAGCTCCCAGGGGAAGCAAGGAGTTGGAGTATCAACTGCTGCTGTGGCACCTGCTGGAGCCCACCCAATCCTCCAACCCTCCACACCAGGGAAGCTAGGAAAGGGAGGTGGGAGAGGCTAGAAGAAGGAAGGGAAAAGAGAGGTACAGTCTTAAAAGTGAAATTCTCTGGGTTCTGACAATGTCCTCTATTCTCACACCCTCTCTGCCCTTCCTTGGCATTCAAGAACCAGGATCAGACCCTGGCACTTAGGGAGTAAAAGGAGGCATCAGGAGTCCAGGCTGGGAGGCAGGGGTCAGGGTGGTGACTGCGCTGGGGGACCTCCTGCCAACCTTTGTGCCAAGACACTGGCTGGAGCAGCTGAGGATGGTCAGGAAGCCCCCAGGTGAGCAGAGAGGCTAAGGGTCCTTGTGTCCTGACTTCAGGGAGGCATCCACCTCTTAAAGATCTCCCTGGTTAAAGACCTGAAGAGTAATTCACAAAAGAAGAAATGAGTCAAAAAGTACATGTAATAGTGATCAACTTCACCAACCACCAAAGAAATGCAAATTAAGACAGGATACAGTTTTTCACATACCAAACTCTCAAAGCCCTAGAGAAAGATACTCCTTGTTGGAGAAGGCTAAAGCCACACAAGCAGTTATAAATTGTGGGTGGCCATGTGCAGCAGAGCAGTTCAACTGCAAGCATTGAAACCCTGGAGAGGAGGTGCCCCTGCCAGCCACCATCTCAATGGAATTTATCCCAAATGACAAATTCAGGGTGTGGCCAACATACTAAATCTCCTTGGATGACTACCTTTTGTTCAATCTTCAATTCTCCATAGTAGAGAACTGAAGATGATAGTTATTCCTTTGAACAAATTTATTTTTCTTGAGACAGAGTCTTGCTCTGTCACCCACGCTGGAGTACAGTGGTATGAACGTGACTCACCACAGCCTCAACTTGCTGGCTTCAAGTGATCCTCCCACCTCAGCCTCCCGAATAGCTGGTACCACAGGTGTGCACCACCTTGCCCGGCTAATTTTTTGTATTTTTGGTAGAGACAGAGTTTCACCATGTTAGCCAGGTTGGACTCGAATGCCTGGGCTCAAGTGATCCTCCTGCCTCAGCCTCCCAAAGTCCTGAGATTATGGATGTGAGCCACCACACCCGGCTGGTGAATTTAATAAGAAAACAGTACATATATGACGAAAACATCACCTTAGTGGCCATATAAACACAAGTCTCAAATTTATTAACTTTCTACTCTAGGCCTCAGTTTTGAATTTTGTTTCCACTCTTCCTTTTCAAAAATAGTTCAACTCTTCATGCTCAACTTTTTTAAAGTTGCAAAACCTACATAATGCATATGACAAATAATTTAATACGGACTTAATCCATGCTGTGTCAGTCAGAACAGATTCAGATGTGGTAACAAATATTCCCCAAATTTCTGGGGCCTGTAACCACAAACATTATTTCTTACTCAGGCTATATGTCCCAGACAGGTCAGTGGGAGCATCTGCTTCCTGTGTCCTCACTCAAGGACCCAGTGTGCTGGAGCCTCCGTATCAGTGGCCTTGCTCATTGTCAAGGCAGCAGAAGGGAGCCTGGGAGGTATTGCACCAGCAATTACATTCTCCAGCCTGGAGACACCCTCATCATGTCAACTACTCACAGCTCTAACCAAAGCAAGTCACGTGGCCACAAAAACAACTTCAAATCTATCCTTCTAGAAGAAAGAAAGCCAGAACTTAAGTGAACCACTTTTATCTCTACCACACAGAGAAGGCCACAGAGTTTGCCTCCAGGGTACCAGACTTAGGTATTGGATGGCATAATTCATTCCTGAAATTTTCTGAGTGCATTGTGAGGAAAGAGTAAAAAGGATCAATCCCTTTAACTAATTCTTTCAGTGACTAACTCTGGAGTATTTGTGCTCAGGATTGTGCTAGGCAATTAGGAAAATTCAAAGAATTTTAATCCCAGTGTTTTTAGGTGCTGAAGCCTAGTTGAAGGGATAGAACCTGCTTTACAGAATGGTATAGACCAGGGGTCTCCAACCCCGGTACCAGTCCGTAGCCTGTTAGGAACCAGGCCGCACAGCAGGAAGTGAGTGGCGGGCGAGCAAGGAAAGTTTCATCTGTATTTACAGCCACTACCCATCACTCACATTACCACCTGAGCTCGGCCTCCTGTCAGATCAGTGACAGCATTAGATTCTCATAGGAGCATGAACCCTATTGCAGACTGCACATGGGAGGGATCTAGGTTGCATGCTCCTTATGAAAATCTAATGCCTGATGATCTGTCATTGTTTCCCACGAACCCTAGATGGGACCCTCTAGTTGCAGGAAAACAAGCTCAACATCCCACTGATTCTACATTATGGTGAGTAGTATAATTATTTCATTATATATTACAATGTAATAATAATAGAAGTAAAGTGCACAGTAAATGTAATGTGCTTGAATCATCCCAAAACCATCCCCCCCAACCCCGCTCCAGTGTGTGGAAAAGTTTTGTCTTTCACAAAACTAATTATTGGTGCCAAAAAGGTTGGGGGTCCCTGATGTAGACCATGTAAAGGGGCAGTGGCCATACATTACAATGATGTAAGCTATGTTTTCTGAACCTGCTTGTAAACTTCAGAATCACTTGGGGAGTTGTTTTAAATAATGTACACTTGAGCTCTAGCCCTAGAGATATCAAATCTGAAAATATGTGGTAAGATGAAGATCAAGCACATAAATTTCAAAAAAAAACTCCATAGGTGATTCGGGGCCCATCCCAGGTTAAGAACCCTTGAAATATTAGAATCCAACAGTCGTGCTCTTATGGGACAAAAGAATATTACAGACAGTAAACATAAGCTGGAGTTAGAGGAGAAAGAATATGTGCCCTGTGGTCTGGGAAGGCTTCAAGCAGAAGGTAGGCCCCGGGCCCTTGAAGGATGAGTACATAGGCTTTGGCTAAGTGGTCATAAAAGGTGAGGAGAGGCCAGGATTCAGGACTAAGTGTACATATCTATAAACTGTATTAAAGGAATAAAGAATATTCCAATCTAGTGAGAACTTAAATCACAATGATAGTTGGAACTGAAGCTTTTCTGAAAAGTGAGCACTCAGATTAGAATAATATCCAAATTCTATAGAAAGGCTTTGAGTCTGGCATAGTTTCTGAGTACTTCAAACAGTGGCAGGCACGTAGTAAGTGCTTCATTAATATTTGTTGAATTAACTAAATTATTAATGAGTCAATTATGAATTGAATAACTGAGGGTTCAACTTCAAAACTCAAAGAAAGTAGTTAATGGCTGTTTACAAATCTACTTCCTCCAGAGATTAAAACAAAATGTTATATGACCCTTTAGTTCTTTTTAATAATAAATATAAGCTACTTCTACTTCCATAAAGAATTCCCAAAGCTCACTGATATGAGTTGAAAAAGCAACTGAGATTGCCTAAAAGACAAAAGCATGTCACAAAGAAGCTAACATAATATAGTGGTTAAAACCAAGAATGTTGGAGTCAAAGAGAGCGTGCTTTGTCACTTACCAGCTGTGTGACCCCGGACAAAGTCCTCAATCTCTGTGGAAAGTCAGGATAATAATATCTAATTCACAAGAATATCCAAACCATGAAACCAATTTAGAAAAATCTGGTAATGGAATGGAATAGACCAGTGCATGATAACAATTACCTAGAACTATCCCCTGTGACAGATGAGGATATCAATACACGCACTCAACTGAAGCAGCATAACATCCGCATGATAAAACTCTAAAGGTCAAACCACGCAGAGGCAAGTGACCACTACCTCAGTTGATATTGAATTTCAGAGTTTATTAATTTAAACAACTGCATTCAAAATGCTGGACATTTTGCCTGATGCTTAAACTACCTTGTTGATAGCTGAAGAAAACTCCCTGCATTCAGTTTTCACAAATCACTGATACACAGATGATTTAGCCAACAAACTTTCTTTGCATTGGCCTGACCTGTATTTACAAGGTTCTCTGTTGGCCACTCCACCTCATTCTCTTCCCAGCCCTGTGCCACTGGCTTAAACAAACACATGCATCTGCTCACAAGAAACACACTCAGGTCTTTGTCTCTTCCAGGCAAAGAAACAAAACAAACAAGTAAACAGAAAAGGTTGATATGATAAACATTGAGCCAACCACAGTTGTTGGCTAAAGGACACTAAACTGGCTAAACTAATTTAAAACATCAAAACAGGCTTGAGGGGATGAATGCACAATTTCTTGGATATGAATCCAACTGAGTGGTTCCATAGGTGGCCAAATAAAAGTAATAATAAGAGTAGTTCATGTTTTTAAGCATATACCATGTATCAGGCATTATACTGTATGCTTCGTCTGGATTATCTTGTGCTACTGACATAACAACCCAATAATATGGTACACTTTTATCCACATTTCTCCACTAGGCAGTAGTAACACTGAAACATTAAGCAATTTGCCTGCAGAAGCAGAAAATCACTAAAACTCAAGTTGTGATGCACTGACCTCATTTCCTATGCTTGGCTATTACACTTGAATCTCAGGAATGCCACGGCTATCATGCCTCTTGATTTTAACACAGCATTCAACAAAATTTCCTGAAATCTTTATGGTCAAGATCCCAAAATTTAATCTAGATATAAGGAAAAGAAAGTAAATGTGTGATATATTGATGAACGACGGTCAGGTCAATGTTGATTACTGCCATTATTTTCCTTGGATTTTATGAATGGTGGTGTCTAGTTAGGTCCTATATGGCTCTGTCTTAATCAAAACATTACTAATTTGGGATGAGGAGAGAAGAACACTTTAACACACTTACATGTAACATTTATATATTATGGATAATATTGTGAGTATTTATGAATAAGAAAATTAGGATTCAGAGACTTTCAATAGGCCATGCTTTTATTCCATGTTTGTAAACCACCTATAAAATGCCAGGCACTGTGGTAGGCACTAGAAATAGAGAGTTGAGAGGCAGAATGTCTGGACTCAAGGAATTCATAGTCTGGCCAAAAAGACTAATAGTCTACAAAATGTACAAGTTGCTATTGTTGAATTAAGTATAAGACCCAGGTTTTGGATTCAGACAACCAGCTAATCAAGGACAAGATGGGGAGTAATATGACCCAGTGGCCACTGATGTAAGAAAGACTTTGGAGATTGTTTGGCTATAAGCTCCATGATTCAAGAGCAAAATACTGCCATCAGAGGCACTAATATAGTACTGGAAGGTATTAATGACAGTGTAGTCTTCCAAAGAAAGCAGAAGATAAACTAGAGCTGTGAGAAAATTTGATCCTAGCCACAGCATTGGATTTACTTCTGAGTAACAATATCTAGGAGGTGACGAGAGATATCTACAAAGGGGAGAAGATCTAGAAACCAGTGGTAACCAAGATAATGATGACTCTAAAAATCATGCCCCATGAGGAATGGTTAAAGACAACCAAAAAAAAGGAAGAATTAGAGGAGTCTTGGTAGCTGTCTTCAAATATCTCAAGACCTGCCAGGTTAAAGGAAGATTGGACATCAGCCCCTCTCCAAAGGGTAAAATACATATCAATGAGACGAAAATGTGTAGCAAGATCTTCAAATACTACAAACACAGCAAAATCAATGGAGAGAAGACAGAAAAGCCCAAAGACAGTGGTCAGCAATTGAATCAGCTTTCTCCCTGTTTATCTTATACAGGGTGTCTGGACAAAAATAATGGTACCTAAGATGGTTTGTAAGGAGGAGACTGCAGTGAGCACCTTGTCCAGCAATCTGCACCAAAGGGAAGCATTTCATAAGCACCCCTGCACAAGAAGCCAGCTGTAGGATGGAATCTCTGTTCTCTAGGAAGCTGAGATTGGACAATCTGAGTATGAACAATACACACCTAACTGACCACAGGGCAAGAAAGAACATAGCCAAAGTCCCAGGGAAGGTCCTGTTCCTTTAGAATTTAAACTTGAGGACGTTGCTAAACCCTGAGAATTCTTCCCTGGAAATGTCTCTTGGGGCAGACTTTTCCCCTCCAACACTTGCCATGCTAGTCCTTATCACCTCAATCCCAATTCCACTACCTAGTTCCCAAGTGACATTCCTTCTGCTTTAATAGGACATTGAATTTTTGTATGGGGGGTGAGGGGATGGAGGGGGTTGGTCATGAAAGATATTTAAAGAAGATGACTTTGAAAGTCATGCAGGGAAAAAACTGAAGGAGTAATGTTGAGCCCCTCAAGATGAGAAAGTGCATTCCCACCCCTCCCTCTGTGTTCAAGACTTCCCTTGCAATGTTTCTACTCATAATAATAAACAACGGCCACCAACATTCACAGAGTGCTCACTGAATTATTCTCTAGCTTTTTTTCCTGAAATAAAGCCTTGCGATTTATCCCATCTTACAGATGAGTAAACTGAGGCACAGAGAGGTAAAGTAATCTGCCTAGGACCTCACAAATAGGGGTAACTCTTGGTTTCCCTCCTCCCCCATCTGAACACAACCTGCCTCTGAATTCAACCAGCTATGCCAGTTTGCCAACTAAATACCTAACTGTTTCTTATGTCAATTCAAGGCCTTTAAAACCAATAATCCTTCATCATATTTTAAATAATGAGATTATGTATAGTGGAAATAACCCTGAGTTGAGACTTGTTTTCAAGTGACTTCAACAGTGTTTTGGTTGTTTTTCTTCCCTGGGCCTCAGTTTCTTGTGAAATGAAATCTGGTTTCTTGATGGAAAGGGCCTCACAGGTCTCAGGCCGTCTGGCTCCTGGTTGCAGTCAGTTGAATGCAGCACAAGCAAAAATCATAGTTTAATAGAAAATATCACTAAGCCATTTACATTCATCTTTTCTTTTTACCATTACAAAGTCAAGCTAACCCCAGTCATATCACGTTGAAGAAAAATCCCAACCTTTTCTGACTTTGGCAAACCCGTGTTGAGAAAGTAGAGAGAACTTGCGGCAGGGCCGCCCAGCGCGGCGGGGACAGCCGGGGGACGCACCGAGGCCACCGTGCTCGCGCAGCCCCGGGTTCTCACCCAGGCCAAGCCTGGCACTTGGCAACCGCATTATCCTCTCCCTGAGCCTCTCCTTTCGGGTCCAGAGCTGCGCGGATTCGAGACAATCCCTGGATCAGACTGACCTCTAGGGGCAGCGCGGCAATCCGCAGCCAGGCTCCCGCGCACACAAAAGGAGACACCGAAGGCTTCCAGCTGGAGCCGGCCAAGAAAATCTGCGTGGAGTGCTCTCAGATGCAGACACCACAAAGCCAAAACATTAACATTTTGCTTGCTATTTATTCAGCTTCTCTGTCTTTAATTCCCCCTCGCCAAGTAGCCTCCAAATGTGTCTCTTCGAGTATCAAAGTGATCACTTTGGATTAAAGTATTCTTTCTCAAAAGACACCTTAATTAAAATGTGTGTGGTGGGGGAGGAGGTGGGGAGAAACCTCTGTACTTTTCATTTTTCTTATGAGGAAAAGAAATGAAATGAAGTAAATGGTTAAAGGAAGTTGGGGGGGGCGCCTTTTGCAGCATGAGATAGAAAATGTTATTTTAAAGCTATTTCTTTCTCGTAATTGTTTAAATACTTTGAATGGTGATGGCAAGAATATAGCAGCAGTAGCAGGTAACATTTACTGAGTGATTAGTATGTGCTAGGCATTAGTTCTAAGCGCTTTCATTTATTATGCATATTTTATTATGAGGCAACTAAGGCACAGAGAGGCAAAGTGACTTGTCCAAGGTCACACAGTTGGCAGGCTGCAGTGAGGATTCTACTCCAAACGGTCACACTCATAGCCTCCTCTTTTTTCTTTTTTTTTTTTTTTTTTTTTTTTTTTTTTTTTTTTTTGAGATGGAGTCTCGCTCTGTCGCCCAGGCTGGAGTGCAGTGGCGCGATCTCGGCTCACTGCAAGCTCCGCCTCCTGGGTTCACGCCATTCTCCTCCCTCAGCCTCCCGAGTAGCTGGGATTACAGGTGCCCGCCACCAAGCCCGGCTAATTTTTTGTGCATTTTTAGTAGAGACGGGGTTTCACCATGTTAGCCAGGATGGTCTCAATCTCCTGACCTCGTGATCTGCCCGCCTCGGCCTCCCAAAGCGCTGGGATTACAGGAGTGAGCCACCGCGCCCAGCCGCCTCCTCTCTTGACTACTATACTGCAATCTCTTTTAAGCTGCAGCTCTCAAGGCATTTTTCAAAACTGAATTTACACTCTCAACACCTTCACCCATTAATGGAAAAGCTCTGCTAACACCTAGTAACTCAGCACCCCAGTTCACAAGGAAAAGTCAAGGTTTCTCATGGAGGAAAGGGAGTGGTGTTTTCCATAGGGCTGGATCACTGTGATAGGTAAGGACCCAACTCTAAAGATCAATCCCAGTGATTCGGGGCATCACTTACAAGTTCTTTGAGTGAAGTTCTTAAATTATTGGCTTCAGTGTTCTCATCTCTGGAAGGAGAATAGTAAAATACCTTTGTCATAAAGTTCTTGTGAAATGATACGAGATAATGCACGCTAAAGTCTTAGTACAGTGCCTGGCACAGGCTAAGCAATCAAAAAGGTACCTAGTTATTTAGCGTGGTTCTTACTGTTGTTTGTTATTAAAACCTCCCTAGGCAGGTTCAGGGTGATGGAGAAAAAGATGTTTATAAAGTTGATCTCCAAAGAGAAGAAGCAAGAGGAGATATATATATATATATATATATATATATATATATATATATATATGTGAAAGAGAGGGAGATGAGAGTGTATTTCTTAGGGGGATTAGCTCATGCTGGGTTGGGGAAGTGCGCTGAGAAGTCCCACAGTAGGCTGACTGCAAGCTTGAGAACCAGGGAAGCTGGTAGCATCCTCAGTGCAAGTCCAAAGGCCTCAGACTCAGGGAAGTAGGTGGTGTAACTCTCAGGCCAAGGCTAAAGGCCTGAGAACCTGGGGGACAACCAGTCCCAGAATCCAGAAGCTGGAGAACCTGGAGTTCTGATGTCCAAGGGCAGGTAAAGAATGATATTCCAGCTCCAGAAAAAGAGAGAAAGAATTCACCTTTCCTCTGCATTTTTGTTCTAGCTAGGCCCCCAGCCAACTGGATGGGGCCCACCCACATTGGCCAAGGGTGGTTCTTCCTTACTTAGTCCACCAACTTTATCTCTTCCGGAGACACCCACACAGGCACACCCAGAAATAACGTTTTACCAGCTATCTGAGTATCCCTTAATCCAGTCAAGTAGACACCTAAATTTAACCATCACTAAGAGGAAAGGAAGACTCATACCTACAAAGCGCTGATGCCAGGCAAAAACTTATTCTCAAGAAAATATCACTGCAGTAGACCCTGAGGAGGAGTATGCAACCTGTGGTGGGCGAGGTGACTCATGCCCCCCGTACACTGAGAACCATGCCCAGGACTCAATGATTAAAAAATATTTCTTGACATTGCCTATGAATGATTCTCTTCAAAAATTTTAAGCCTGAGCCTGATCAAGCCTGTAGACCTAACTACCAATTTCTGAGTAACACAAAAAACAGAAGAACAAACTAAACCATGCCATGGTATGCAATCAGCAAAAAGCAGACTGTGGGGGAAATCTACAGGACAAAGGATCCAGTTTCTTTAAGAAATAAATTACAAGGAAGAAAAGAGGGAGCGGGAATGTATTTATTAAAATAGACTGAAGAGACATAGCAACCAAATAAAATATGCGGACTTTGAATCCTGATTTGAATACACCAACTACAAAAAATATTTAACAGACATTTATGAGACAATTGGGGAAACTTAAACATTGACTAGATCCTTGATATTCAAAAATGACTTTACTTTTTAGAAGTGGTAATAGTATTGTGATTGTTTTTTAAATGAGTCCTTATCTTTTGGAATTACTTACTGAAGTATTTGTAGATGAAATGGCATAATATCTGGGATCTGGTTCAAAATAATCCATTTAGGGGTGAGGTTAAAACAAGATTGGCTACGTACTGGTTCATTGCAGTAGCTGGGTGATGGGTACATGAACGTTCATTTCACTCTTCTCTGTATTTTTGGCATATATATGAAATTTTCCATGTATTTTTTTGAAAGACTGATCTAACCATGGGTAAGTAAGGAATCAGGTGTAAAGTCCTACATGTCTTCAAGTACAGATGTAGGAATACCTGAGTATACTGTAAGGAAAAGGGAACAATCCAGACCCCCACAGGTGACATAAAGGGAGTTAGTGACACACATGTTTGGGTAGAAATATTAAGGCCTGATTCTGAAGAACCATGTACCAATGGTAAAAAGAGCAGCTGGCAGCCTGTGACAATTACTATATGTAAAGCATATATTTCCTCATTTAAACTCTATAACCACTCTCTAATGTTGGATCAATAATTAATTCCAGGCTCCCCACCACGGCTCATGCCTGTAATCCCAGCACTTTGAGAGGTCAAGGCGGGTGGATCTCCTGAGGTCAGGAGTTTGATTCCAGCCTGGCCAACATGGTGAAACCCTGTCTGAACTAAAAATACAAAAATTAGCCGGGCATGGTGATGGACACCTGTAATCCCAGCTACTCTGGGAGGCTGAGGCAGAAGAATTGCTTGAACTCGGGAGGCAGATGTTGCAGTGAGCTGATATCGCACCACTGCACTCTAGCCTAGGCAATACAGTGAGACTCCGTCTCAAAAAAAAATAATAATTATTATACTTTACAGAAGAAGAAAGAGAGGCTTGCAGAAGTGGTGCAACTTATGCAAGAGCACAGTTAGCAAGCTGCAGAGCCAAGATCCAACCCCAAAGAGTCTGTCTAAACAGCCCACAGTATTAACCACTGCTGGTAGGCAGTGAGGGCCAATGTAAGATCTGGGCTTGGGCTTAGTCAGAGCTGTGCTTCGTGAAGATTTATCTGGCAGTGGCATGTGATATGGCTCGGAAAGGAAAGATACTAAAAGTAGAAAAAACAAAAGATATTGTAGTTGTTCCATATGACAATAGTGAAAGCTTGAAGAAAGAATAAGAAAGAAAAGAGAAAGGCTGATATCAGAAATGAAGACAGTAACAACACATAAGGATCAACAGCAGATTGGATAGAAAAGATGAGGGAAAGGAAGCAAAGATAGCTCTGAACACTGGAGGATCTTGAGAAAGAAGAAAACTGCTGGTACTATGGGGAGAAGCACATATATATGCTATTATATTTGAGGTAGCTATGCTTCCCTGAAAATTATTTGCTATAGGGTATGCAGTATTCAGATTTCTTTTTACAAAATGATCCTTTGCTTCTTGATTTATACATCATTATCTATTTAATTTTAGCTATGAAGTTTAAAATAGACATCTCTTTTCAAGGGAGAAATAATCAGGCTTTGATATATGTTTTTGTCTCAAAATTTCAGGGACACCATTGGATTCTAGTCTGTGAAAATGGTACTCCCAGGAGCATGGGGCCTTGTGGACAGATCTGGACAAAACAGAGCCAGACCACCTGGAGCTTGTTTGTTGAGGTAGAGCCTACATGTGCAGGCAGAAAATCAGAATCCCTGGGGCTTCTGGTGATCTCTCTGTGCTTGAGTTACTAGAGGTGGAAAGAACTTTCATCTTCTACAAGATGAGTGTGAGGTCCAGAAAAGTAAGCAGCTGTCACAAAGCCACACTGCTAGATGTTGGCAGCAGCAGCCTGGAAGTCAGGGCTCCTGTTGCTCTGTGTTGTGCTATTTGAACTCCACCATCTATCCATGGGGCTTGAGTATCCTAAAACACAGCACCCAGGAGCAATAACAGTGTTCTTAAGAATACCTCCAGTGAACTACTAATTTCTCACATTTTTCAGATTAAGAAACCAAGAATCGAAAGCCACATTTGCAATTGAGGTACCAGTATGCTGACTTGGCTGGTTGACAGTTGGGCCTTCCAAGGATACATCCATTAATTTTAACAAGAATGAACATGATTAATTGTTGTCACTCTGGGGAGGGGTGCCTTAGCCCCTTGCTCCCAGGCTCAACAGCTCAGCATGAATATGTTCTCCACCTACTTGGGGAAAGCATGATGCCAGGTTCTGAAATAATGAACTTGACCTAATTCTATCTCCACTGCATGAAAAGATGATCTTAGAGAGGTTTTGTTTGTTTATTTAAGGGCCTGTTGATAAGTTAGCAAGTGCAGATTTACTAAGCCCTATACAAATGTCCAAAAACTCAGCCTGTGTTGGGAAAGTCCCCAAACTCAGGGCAGGTAGGAGAGCCTGATCCAGCATCTTGGCCCAGCATCCTGATGGAGTTACACTGGGATCAATGGCAGAGTCTTCTGGTGCCAAGCCTGCCTGAGGCACTCAAAGACATCTGGTCACTCTTTTGAAAAGGCAGAGACTCAAAACAACAGGGAAATTTATTTAAAGGAGCAGGACGAGCTGCTCCATGCTGCTGTTGGTTGATCTCAGCAGAATATGTGTGTCATCAAAGATAGGCAGAGAACACCAAGAAGTAGACCCAAGCTTCCTGTCAACCACAGCTTTGCATCTGGAGCAGGTTGAATAGTAAGCCCTTCGGGTCTGCTAAGAACTCACCGAAATGGGAAGGAAGCACACAGCAATGTACCTAACAGCAATGATCCATCATGCCAATAGGAATCAGGGTAACCTCTGCCACCTGGGATGCCCCATGCAATTTCATTCCAGAGACGTGCAGAGGAACACCTCTCCTGCAAGGACTTCATCCATGGGCAAAGGGGCAGCTTCAGGCTGAGACTGACAGTCTGCCATGTGAGAATTTGGATATAAAATTGGAGTGATAGTTGATCAATGTATATTATGGATGACTGACATCACTCATCTATTCACTTTCTGGGCCAGCTACTGTGCTAAACACTAGATACCACAAGAATAAAAAGGGTGTTGGTCCCTACCCTGGACGACTTAATAATTGAGTGAAGGGTACAAACAAACTCTTATTTATAGTGTGTGATTGGGTCTATAATAGAGGCATGAAAAAGAAGTGCTGTGGGAACTTAGAGGGGAAAGTAACTAACACTACTTGGGGGAAAAAATGGTCAAGGAAGGCTGCACGATGGGAACGACAACTGAGTAGACATCACATGAGATTAATTCACCAGATTGGGAGAAATAGCATTCCCAGGAGTAGGAATGGCATGTGCAATGGTGCAGCAGGGTTGAAAATGGAAGGAATAGAATCTTAGACCTCTTGTTATGGCTTTATAACCTTCCATATCAGATGGCTAATAGGTCTAATTGTGGTCTCTCCCAAATATATAATTTAGTTCACTCTTATCATTTTCATTAGTGCTGACTCCTACAATTGCTCATTTGTGGACAATTATAAAGTGAGCAAGGTGGTGGAAAAATGAGGCTTTCCTTTAACTTACAAAAGTACAAGGAAATAAACTTTCAATGTATGGAGTTAAAATAGCCACTATGAAGCAACTCCCTCCCACTCAGCTCCTTAGACATATCAGAACTTAAGAATTATTTGTAGCTAAGCATATACTTTGATGACCATCTCTCAGCATTGCAAAAGCAAGGAGGTCATCAGTAGCTAGAATTTTGTAGTTTCCCACAAAAATTTCCAGTCACCTTGGATTGTTCCGTCATGCCATTTTCCAGAAAAGGCTCACTGCTTGCTTATTCCTTCTTGCAATGAAAGGTGTTATGCTCTCTGCAAAATTCTATTTTTATTTTAAATGCTCAGTTGGGAACTTTAAACTTTGTTTTGCTAAGTCATTTGTAACTGAAGCTGAACAAATAACATATGATCCAAATTCTATAAATTTTTCTCCTAGCTTCAAAGACTTCCACTCCCAAGAGCTTGAACTCTGGCAATTGAGACAGTCATGTGGTTAGAACGTGTTGCAGGGATAAGGGTAAAAATTTCCATAAGAATAGCATTCAGGGCTAACACAGTTCCACCATCACAATTGGAACACTCCCCTCTGACCCCAGCCCTTCTGTCTGCATTTTTGCTATCCTTGTCAGCCATTTTGGTTCTCACAGCAACCCCAGCAGGAAAGGAGCTAAGGACAGGAGTGGAAAATGGAAAGAGAAGCCCCCTAAAATATAAAAACACTACAGAATTTCCCTTATGGTATCCCTGCATAGAGTCCACCAAATAATAGCATTTATTGACCATTTACCATGTGCCAAGCACTGGGAATACTAAGGCAAACAAAAAAGCTCCTGAGCCTCATGAAGCATACATTCCTGTGGGGAAGATAGAAAATACATACCGTACTGCCAGGCATTTATAAGAAGAAATGTCAAAATGTCAAGCTGGCTAAACAGATAGAGAGTTATAGTGTAGGAGAGGTCTTTTTTGTTCAGAGGATCAGGGCAAGCCTCTTTTGGAGATAATATTTGAACAGAAATTTGACTGAAGTGAGGAACAATCCAGGCAAATACTTGATGGAAATTACTGGATTATTTTTGGGGAGAGAACTGTTTAAGTGCCTATGCCCAGAGTAGGATAGTGGAGGCAGGCACAAGTTTCCCAGCATCAAAATCAGATATGATCACTCCTTGTGATATCCTTCCTATGAGATCTCCTGGTCTGCACCCCAACTCTGTTTTGGCCTTGATAATGGTTAAGATTAACATGATTTTAATAAGGTTAACATGTTTCATAAGCTCTGAAATTATCAAAGGAATGAATCTGTGATCCTAAGACCATATTCTACATAGAGCAGAGAAGAGCCCATTCAAATTTAAAACAAGTACATGAAGAACTTCTTTTGACATGGATCTGCATTCATTTATTTCTATCAATAAGATACATGCATGATAACGTCGATTTCTGAAGCTTGTTATGAAAGTAGTAATATATTGTACTTCCTTGGATGATTCTCCCTGCTTAACTTTTCTGTCTCTTTATTCTTTATTTTCATGTTATAGGATATATATTTAAGTTTATCTTTCAATTATTTAAAATTTTTAATTTTAGGAAAAGATGCTTAATTTCCAAGAGCTCTTTTATATTCTATGATTGTTCCTTTTTCATATCACAATGTTCTTATTTTATAGATACAAAACCTTCTTGAACCTCTCAAAGCATATTAAGTAGAGGATTTAAAAAAAAAAACTTCTTCTATTCTCTTATTTAGCAGTTTTCTTCTAGGATTACTGTTCTATTTGGTCTATCATGGATTTCATTTTTATGTTGCTGTTTTCTTTGTATCCAGTGATAACTGATGTAAAACTGGATTTATTTTTCAATGTCACTGGTGGTATACTCTTTGTTGTTGTAAATGGACATCTCCCTTTCCATCACCTTATGCCTAGGTCTTTTCCAATAATAGAAAAAAAAATCCATACATATCATTATTAATCTTGAATGTAAATGGGCTAAATGCCCTCAATTAAAAGGCACAAAGTGGCAAGTTGGATAAAAAAGCAAGACTCAACAGTATGCTGTCTTCAAGAGACCCATCTCACATGCAATGACATCCATAGGCCCAAAGTAAAGGGATAGAGAATAAAATCTACAAAGCAAACAGAAAACAGAAAAAAATCAGGGCTTGCTATTTCTAATTTCAGACAAAACAGAATTTAAACCAACAACTAGCAAAAAAGATAAAGAAGGGTATTACATGATGGTAAAGTGTTCTCTTCTATAAGAAGAATTAAATATTCTAAATATTAATATATATAGAGAGAGATGTGCCAAATACAGGGGCATGTGGATTTATAAAACAAGTTCTTGGAGACCTATAAAGACACTTAGATAACCACACACTATCAGTGGGAGACTTCAACACCTGACTGACATTATAGATAGGTCATCAAGGCAGAAAAATAACAAGGATATTCAGCACTTGAACTAAACACTTGACCAAAGGGACCTAACAGCCATCTACAGAACTCTCCACCTAAAAACAACAGAATATACATACTTCTCATCTACACATGGCACATACTCTAAAATCGACCCACACGATCAGCCATAAAACAATTCCCCACAAATTCCAAAAAGCCAAAATCTTACCAACTACACTCTTGAACCACAGCACAATAAAAATAGAAATCAATACTAAGAAGATCACCCAAAACAATACAATTACATGGAAATTAAACAACCTTCTCCTGAATAACTTTTGGGCAACAATGAAATTAAGGTAGAAATCAAGAAATTCTTTGAAACTAACCAGAACAAAGATACAACATACCAGAATCTCTAGGACACAGCTAAAGCAGTGTTAAGAAGAAAGTTTATAGCACTAAACACCCACATCAAAAAGTTAGAAAGATCTCAAATTAACAACCTAACATTACACCTGGAGAAACTAATAAAACAAGAGCAAACCAACTCCAAAGCTAGCAGAAGACAAGAAATAACCAATATCAGAGCTTAACTAAATAAAATTGAGACACAGAAAAACATGCAAAAGATCAACGATTCCAGGAGTTGACTATTTGAAAGAATAAATAAGATTGATAGATTACTAGCTAGACTAATAAAGAAAAAAAGAGAGAAGATCCAAATAATCACAATTAGAAATGACAAAGGAGACATTACCACTAACCCCACAGAAATACAAAATAAGAGACTATTACAAACACCTCTATGCACACAAATTGGAAAACTTAGAAGAAATAAGCAGGGCACAGTGACTCATGGCTGTAAACCCAGCACTTTGGGAGGCCAAAGTGGGAGGATTAGTTGAGCCGAGGAGTTTGAGACCAGTTTGGACAACATGGTGAAACCCCATCTCAACAACAACAACAACAACAAAAAGCCAAGCATGGCAGTGCATGCCTGTAGTCTCACCTACTTGAGGCTGAGGTGGGAGAATCACTTGTGCCCAGGAGGTCAAGGCTTCAGTGAGCCATGATCATGCCACTACACTCCAGCCTGGGCCACAGAGTGAGGCCCTATCTCAAAAAAAGAAAAAAGGAAAAAAGAAAGCCCAGAAGAAATGGATAAATTCCTGAAAACATACAACCTTGCAAGATTGAACCAGGAAGAAATTGAATCCCTGAACCAATCAATAGTGAGTTCTGAAATTGAATTAGTAATAAAAACCCTTCCAACCAGAAAAAACCCAGAACCAAAACAGATTCACAGCCAAGTTCTAGCAGAGGTACAGAAATGCTGGTACCATTCCTACTGAAACTACTTCAAAAAATTGAGGAGGAGGGGCTTCTTCCTAACTCATCCTATAAGGCCAGCATCATACTGATACTAAAACCTGGCAGCAACACAACAACAATAAAAAAAGAAAATTTCAGGACAATACCCTTGATGAACATAGATGCAAAAATCTCCAACAAAATACTAGCAAATCAAATCCAGCAGCACATCAAAAAGCAAATCCACTATGATCAAGTAGGCTTTATCCCTGAGATGCAAGGTGGGTTCAACATATGCAAATCATTAAATGTGATTCAGCACATAAACAGAACTAAAAATAAAAACCATGTGATCATCTCAATAGATGCAGAACAGGTTTTCAATAAAATTCAACGTCCCTTCATGTTAAAAACCTTCAACAAACTAGGCACTGAAGAAATACACCTCAAAACAATCAGAGCCACCTCTGACAAACACACAGCCAACATCATACACTGAATGGGCAAAAGCTGGCAGCATTCCCCTTGAGAACCAGAACAAGACAAGGATGCCCACTTTCACCACTCCTATTCAACATAGTACTGGAAGTCCTCGCCAGAGTAATCATGCAAGAGAAAGAAATAAAAGACACCCCGACATTCAAATAGCAAGAGAGGAAGTCAAACTCTCTGTTTGCAGACAATATGATTCTATGCCTAGAAAACCCCACAGTCTCAGCCCAAAAGCTCCTAGATCTGAAGAACAACTTTAGCAAAGTTTCAGGATACAAAATCAATGTACAAAAATCAGTAGCATTTCAACAATGTTCAGACTTCAGGCTGAGAGCCAAATTAAGACTGCAATTTCATTCACAATAGCCACAAAAAGAATAACATACCTAGGGTTACAGCTAACCAGAGAGGTGAAAGATCTCTACAACAAGGATTACGAAACACTGCTGAAAGAAATCAGAGATGACGCAAACAAGTGGAAAAACATTCCATGTTCATGGATAGGAAGAATCAATATTGTTTAAATGGCCATACTGCCCACAATAATTTACAGATTCAGTGTTATTTTTATCAAACTCCCAATGACATTCTTCACAGAATTAGGGAAAAAACTTTTAAAATTCATATAGAACCCAAAAAGAGCCTGAATAGCCAAGGCAATCCTAAGCAAAAAGAACAAAGCTGGAGGCATCACATTACCCAAATTCAAACTATACTACAAGGCTACAGTAACCAAAACAGCCTGGTATTGGTACAAAAACAGACACACAGACCAATGGAAAAGAATAGAGAGCCCAGAAATAAAACCACACACCTACAACTATCTGATCTTTGATGAAGTCAACAAAAACAAGCAATGGGGAAAGAATTCCCTATTCAATAAATGGTGCTGGGATAACTGGCTAGCCATAGGCAGAAGATTGAAACTGGGCCTCTTCATTATACCATATACAAAAATCAATTCAAGATGGATAAAAGACTAAGTGTAAAACCTAAAATTATAAAAAACCCTTGAAGATAACATAGGAAATACCCATTCTGGACATAGGGCCAGACAAACATTTCATGACAAAGATGCCAAAAGCAATTGAACAAAACCCAAAATTGACAAATGGGATCTAATTAAATGAAAAAGCTTCTGCACAGCAAAAGAAACTATCAACAGAGTAAACAGACAACTTATGGAATGGAAGAAAACATTTGCAAACTATGCATCTGAAAAAGGTCTAATTTCCAGAATTTATAAGGAACTTAAACAAACTAACAAGCAAAAAATAAACAACCCCATTAAAAAGTAGGCAAAGGGCATGAGCAGATATTTTTCAAAATAAGAAATACACATGGCCAACAAGCATATGAAAAAAATGCTTGACACCACTAATCAGTAGAGAAATGCAAATCTAAACCACAATGAGATACCATTTACACCAATGGGTATTACTAAAAAGTCAAATGGCTATTACCAAAAGGTCAAAAAATAACAGATTTTGGGAAGGTTGAGGAGAAATGGAATGCTTATACACTGCTGGTGGAAGTGTAAATTAGTTCAGTCATTGTGTAAAACAGCTAGTGATTTCTCAAAGAACTTGGAAGTACCATTTGACCTAGCAATCCCAATATTGGGTGTGTGTATATATATATTTATATATGTGTGTGGTGTGTATATATATATATGGAATATAAATAATTCATATTTATATTCCATATATGTGTGTTCACTGCAGCACTATTCACAACAGCAAAGACATGGAATCAACCTAAATGCTCATCAGTGATAGACTAGATAAAGAAAATATGGTACATATACACCAGGGAATACTACAGTCATAAAAAATAACAAAACCGTGTCCTTTGCAGCAACATGGAGGAAGCTAGAGGCCAGTATCCTAAGTAAACTAACATATGAACAAAAAACCAAATACTGCATGTTGTCACTTATAAGTGGGAGCTAACGTTGAGCACATATGGACACAAACAAGAATACAACAGATACTGTGGCCTACTTGAGGGTGGAGGATAAGAGGAGGGTGAGGATTGAAAAACTGTCTATTCAGTACTATGCTTATTACCCAGGCAAGAAAATAATCTGTACACCAAACCTCCAAGACACATAATTTACCTGTATAACAAACCTGCACACATACCCCTGAACCTAAAATAAAAGTTAAAAAAAAAAAAGAAAAGCTGACTAGTTTTGTACATATGGGTGGGGCTGTCACTGTCATCTACCCCGTAGCCCTAATTCTCTCCAGAAACCTTATCCAATTTCTTTAGGTGAAATTGATGCACTGCCCAGAATAGGCTTGGGGGTAAAAACCAAGGCTGCTTGCCCTCTGTGCGGAAAGGAAAAGGTAAGGTGGAGGGGGCAGGAGCAGTACACAAATTCTATCCAGTGCTTCTTAAATGGAGGTAGTAATAATTTTCATTTGGAAAAAGGGGCACATTTTAGTCAACTAGAAAATCATTGGTGCTAGTATTTAATGGGAGGGTCCAGGGATCTCAAATTGTAACACACAGGACTGTTCCATTTAATGAAAACTGGTACAGTATAAAATGCCAATAGTTTCTCCACTGAGAAACTGCTAGACAGGCTTTCAACTAACTGCATCCCTCTCCCCACCAGCATTTCCAGCTTTCCTTCTCACTCACACCAACATCAGCTCCTAATCCTGAAGGCCCTCTGGGTTTCGGTCCAGAGAGCAGAGTGATGCTCTCTGGTGGTATGGGCACCTCTGGATAGTCCAGGCTACAGATTTCCTGCTCTATTTTAACTATCATTGGGCTTCCACTTTTTCATTACACACAAATTCACTGAAAGCACTATTTGCTATTAATCGCCCTTTTTTCTCTTTGCTATTATGGGATTATTCCTACATGACCATTTCACTGAGGCTTCAAGAAAGAAAAAGGGATAATAACTTGGCCTCCATCCAACATCATGACTATTTTTGTTCTATCAACCTAAGTCAGTATCTTAACTTCCTTCTAAATGCAAAGAAGATATTAGTACACTTCTCATTCTTTCTAACACCCTCTCCTTTCACCTTCTACCCTGTATGTAACTTGTACTTGACCATTGTTAATTTCATTACCATTTACATTGATTTCTGCATCTGCAAACAAATCATCTATTCTTTGTTCATAAGTGGACTCTAAAAGTTGATAATTTTTAAGTTGCATTTAAATTTAAATATTATTTATAGCTGTCCAACATAGAGTTGCATCACATTTTCTGTAGACTCAATGTCCTAACTTCTGGACATTCAATAGAGAATACTTGTGGAGCAAGATTAAATGGATTCTTTCTTTGTCTCTGCCTTGTTTCTGCCTTTCTGCTTTTTTTCCTTTTTTTTTTTTTTTTTTTTTTTTTGCCTTCCTTCCTTCTTTCTTTTATTCTTCTCTCCATTGCTTGCTTATAATCCTGCCAATTTTTGTTTGCTTAATGTTTGGATTATACATTTGCAGCAACTTTTAATTCATCTTAGAGTTTCTCATGGCCATTCTCTTTATTCGTGTATAATGAGCCTTTTTCTTGGGTTTCTCTCTTCTCTCATTTATGCTGTCTTTTGCATCATTTACCAAGAGATCTCCTTCCTGGACCCTCTGCCTTCTGCACAACTCCCCCCCTGCTTGGATTTCTTTCACTAGGTATGTCCCTTTCTCTATTTTTGTCTGTTTGCTCCTTTATTTTTACTTCAGGCAAATTTATATGAAAGGCCTATGAGAAGCAATTATTCCTAATCCTTATCTATCTAGGAATGCCTTACTTCAGCTTTCATTTTTGATTGGTAGTTTGATTGGGTATGAAATTCTAAGATTAAAGTCATTTTCTCTCAGTATTTTGAATAAAGTTCCCATTTTCTTGGAGCATCAGTACTACTAATGAGATATTTGGTGCCAGTTTGATTCTCGTTCCTTTGAAGAACTGTTTTGTTTTTTCTCCTTTGAAACTTTTAGGGTCTGTATCGCATTTTATCTCTGGTGTTCTAAACTTTCACTATCTTATTTTCTCACATCTGATTGTGTTCTAAGGGAACCATGAAGGCTCATGTCTTTCTGAATTTTGAGAAATATTTTCTTGTTATTCCTCTGAAAAATCTTAGCATTCCACTTTTTCTCTTGTCTCTGTACCTGATATTAAATGAATGTTGAATCTCATGGATTGATTCACTGTCTCCTTTTATCTCATGTTTTTCATCTTATGCCATTGTTCTATGTTCTGAGAGATTGTTTCAGTTCTATTTTCAAACCTATCTATGAAGTGTTTTACTTAACAAGTCATGCCTCTAGTTTTCAATAGTTCTTTCGTATCCTGATTCTTCCTCATAGCAGCTTATTTTTGGTTATTTGTTGTTACTGTTTGTTTATTGTTTGGTTTTTGCTTAGGTTTTTATTATAATCCTCTTTAAGAACTATAATCATAATTTTTAAAGTTTTTTCTTTAAAGCTTCCTAAATTACATGCATGCTTTCTCTTATAGTTTGTTCTATTTGTTTCTCTTGGTCCTTCTTTTTTATGTTACAAGTTTTTCTCAACAAAACTTGACGATGCTTGTTTTTTCACATTCATAAATAAAGGACTGGATTGGTGACTGAGATGGATTACTTTGGGTCTCAGGAAGATATATTTTCCTAACAGACGTGTCCTCTGCATGGGACCTCTGTGCACATGGACAGCCTATATCCAGTGGCCAACTCTTCTCCATGTAAGGTTGTTAAGTGGGTTGGGTAGGTTAGACCAGGCCATCCCTGCCTCTACCTTCTCTCTGCTCGTGACAAAACAGAAGTCCAATTCCCACAGTAGAAGTCAATGTCCTCCCTACACAAATAATTTTATTTCAGTTGAGAGCAGGTTTTTAGTTTTTTTATTATTATTTGTGCAAATTTATGGGGTACATGTGCAATTTTGTTACATGCATAGTGGTCAAGTCAGGACTTTTAGGGTATCCATCACCTGAATAATGTACATTGTTAATGTTAATGAGTATTAACATTACCCAGTTGGTTAAGGGGCATTAACCAATTTCTCATCATCCACGCTCTTCCACCAGGTTTTTAGTTTTTGCCTGGGGCCAAAACCACTGCAGCCAAGCTCTCTGTAAACACAGGGCTTGCAGGAGTGAAGCTGGAGATTTGGCCCAGCTACTGCTCCAGGTACAGTCCTTTGATTAATTACTACCATTGCCCTCCACAGTCACATTTGCTCTTCTTATCGAACAGTTCTAACTCTGGAACCTCCAAGGACCGAATGTTACCATGTATACTTTGTTTTTGTTTTAACTAAAATTAGGTGCTTTTATTTCTCATGACCCAGGACATTTAATTATAAACATATGTATACAAATTATATATGTATATATGATACATGTATAAAATATATTTGAATGCAATGGAGATACTAAAGTTTCACCACATAATGAATGGCCATTACTTCAAGAGTCTTAAAGCTCACTTCTCTCTCTTTTCTTACTCTTAGCCACTGTAAAGGATTGTCAAAAAAAACTATTAGTCAACTTCTTGACCTTTCTCCTAAGCACTGACTGCTTAACTCTCTTTTAGGCTGTGTGAGTGTTATAGATGAGTGATCATAGTCATCACACGTGAACTTACTACTTTGACATAGGGGTGGTGCAGGTGGCCTGTGGCTTGCTCCCTGGGCCAACAATGTTGACAATAATAGAAAGCACATAAGCCATCACTCTTAGAATATCAGCAATCACATTAAGAAGGAAATCTGCATTTCATTTTAAATAGACTTTATTTTTAGAACAGTTTTAGATATATGGAACAATTTACAGTATAGTACAGGGTTCCCATACAGCCCACACCCAATTTTCCCCATTGGTACATTTGTTATAATTAATAAACTGATACTGATAAACTATTATTAACTCAATTGCATGGTTTATTTATATTTCCCTAGTTTTTACTTCATATCCTTTTTCAGTTCCAGGATCCCCTCCAGGACACGACATTACATTCAGTTATTATGGTCCCTCTTTGTTTTAACAATTTCTCAGGCTTTCCTTGTTTTTGATGACTTTGACAGCTTTGAGAAGTAGTCGTCAAGTATTTTGTAGGATGCTCCACTATCAGAATTTGTCTGATATTTTCCTCGTGGTTATGGGTTTGGGGGAGGAAGATCATAGCGATAAAGTATCATTTTCATCACATTATATTGATATACTATCAACATAATTTGTGACTGCTGATATTAACCTTGACAACCTGGATAGGGTAGTGTTTATCAACTCTCTCCATCACAGAGAAATCCTTTTCCGCAACCCACTCTGTACAGCCCACAGCTAAACAGTGGGTAGTTAGGTTCTATTTCTTGAGGGCAGAGTCTCTATGTAAATTATCTTTGACTTCCATTGTATGGGAAATTTGTCTCTTCCCCCTCAGAAATAACTTCTCAAAAGATAACACAATAGTATAAAGGTTTTTAAAAGAAAGATATAATGTCACTTATCTACAATGTTACTAATCTGTCCATCTGAGGAATATATTTTGAATTAGTCACTCCATAAATCTGAAATTCAATTATGCCTACAAATGAGCCGAGCCTTGTATAAAAAGGCTGAAGGATAAACGATATATGCAGTTCCCAATTCGTGGAGAAATGTTAGAAGAATCCCTGAGAAAATTCCTAAATGGGATCTGAAACCTCTGGGGCTGCCTTAAAACAGGCCAATAGACATGTAAACACATACAGTGCGGCGAAGTGTAAAAAAATTAATCACATACACTGTGACAAAGACTGACAGTACAAATACAGTATCCGGAGTGTGTTCTGGGGCCTAGAGAGAGAAACTCCCTCTGGAGGTCATTTAAGGAAACCCTACATTGTCAAAGGTGAAGAGACACATCCTGCAGGGGTGGTTGACCAGAAGTACTTTTTATTTATTTATTTATTTAATTGTGGAATAGCTGTACATATCTGGGGGGGTATATGTGATACTTTGATATCTGTATACAATGTGTAATGATCAAATCAGGGCAATTGGGATATCCATCACCTCACACATTTATCTTTTCTGTGTGTTGAAAACATTCAAATTCTTCTCTTCTAGCTATTCTGAAATAGATAATAAATTTTCAACTATCTACTGTACGATCGTAGGCTGGGACTTCTCCTTCTATCTAAGTGCCTTTTGTATCCCTTAGAAGGGCTTTTGGAAAGATCAAGTTGGTCCTGAAGAGAAGGAGGTTGGGAAGCAGGTGATGGAGATGGGGAGGCCTGGGGAGGGAGTGAGTCTGGGACAGACTGCCCGCCTCTCACTCTGCCCCTTGGCTGCCTAGCTTGTTTTTTCTTGTGAGGATGGGAGTTAAAGCCTCAGGTGGATAGAATTGAGTTCACATACTCCTTAAACTCATGGCAATGAACCATTGGTCCAGGAGAGGCACCTCTTTTGTCGGGTTTGGTTTGATGTTTTCCACATTTCCTTCAGTCCCTCCAGCCCCATGATCCTTACCCCACATGCACCCACTCTGGTCTATTCAAGCCCCATCCTTCCAACTCACCTTCCTCACATTCTACAGAATATTAGTGTTTTTGACTTTATCATTTAAAAATGTGTACAATAGTAGTAACATGCTATAAATGTTTCTTACTTTTTAAAACTTTTTCATTATTTTCACTCAATATTATTTTAAAAATCTATCCAAAGTGTTGTCTATAATTGAGTCCATTATTTCTGACTGCTGCATATTATTCTACCCTATGCATAAAGCATACTTCACCCAATTTCCTGTTGCTAGACCTCTTCCAAGTCCTTGTTCCCATAAGCTTTGTTACGGTAAAAATCCTAATAAATATCTTCATGTGACTCTGCAAGAGTTTCTCTGGGTTATATACACAGAGGTAGAATTGCTTGGCCACACCGCATAGGCATACCTAATTTTATTAAGTTCTACCAAATTGCCCTCATCAGGTTGCCAATGATCATGTTCTTGAATCCAAATGTCTATCCTCTGCACTCATCCTAAGTAACCTCTCAATGGCATTTGTCAAAGTTATTGTTGCCTCCATTTCTTTGTTGTTGAAAACAAATACTTTCTTGTTTTGTTTCCATAGAACTACATGTTATTTCTTTTATCAGTAGCCACTTCTTCTCAGTCTCCTTTGATAGTTCCTCCTCCTTTTTCTGACCCTAAATGGGGGAAACACCAGAGATCTCCCATAGGAGTGGAGCCCTACTCTTCACCATTAATACACAGGAGCGTAGGTGCTTTTGTACACTCCCTGGGACTTTTGTTTTTGTTTTTGTTTTTTGAGATGGAATCTGGCTTTGTCACCAGGCTGGAGTGCAATGGCATGACCTTGCCTCACTACAACCTCTGCCTCCTGGGTTCAAGCGATTCTGCCTCAGCCTCCTGAGTAGCTGACACTACAGGCGCCTGCCACCACACCCAGCTAATTTTTGTATTTTTAGTAGAGATGGGGTTTCACTATGTTGGCCAGCATGGTCTCAATCTCTTTACCTCATGATCCACCCGCCTCAGCCTCCCAAAGTGCTGGGATTACAGGCGTGAGCCACTGTGACCGGCCTCCCCTGGCTTTTAATACCATATCCATGTTAACACCCTCAAATATATGTGTACTGCCCTGACCTCTCCCCCAAACTCCAGACGCTTACAGCCAACTGCTAACTCAATGTCCCATCGGAACATCTGGCATCTCACACTGACTATGCCCACAATCAAGTTCTTAATTTTCCTCCACAAGCTGCTCATTCCCTTTGCTCCTCAATTCAGTCAATGGCACCTCCACGTTTCCAGTTGTCCTTGACAAAAATCTTTGAGCATCTTTGATTCCTCTCCTGTCCTCACACTCTTTACCCAATCTATTAGCAAACCCTGTCAGCTCCACTCTGAAAGCATGTCCTGGGCCAACCACACTACACCACCTCATGGACCACCATGGTGAGTCACCTTTCTCACATTCCAGAGCTACAGCAGTAGTCTCTAACATTGCTTTGCTTCCCCCTGTTCTGTTTCAGTCCGTTTTCCACACAGAAGCCAGAATGTTTCTGCTAGAATATATGTCCGATACATGTGACTCTTCTGCTTGAAACTCACCAGTGTTTTCCGAGCCACACCAAGAATGAGTGATCCTCTACAAAATCTGCCCCCTTGATCACTGCTATGCCCTCATTTCCTCCCTTTCCTACCATCCTTCCCATTCACTCTCTTCCAAGCCACCCTGACCCCTGGCAAATTCTCCAGCATGTCAACACCATTCCATCACAAGGTTTCTGCACTTGCTATTTCCTCTGTCACTTTGCATTTCTGGAATAAAGCCTACGCAATCAGAAGATGCCATTGTTAAGAAAAATCCCATCAGATTACAGTAGAGGAAGGGCAAACAAAGGTCTATGCAGGGCAACCGTCAGGACAGAATCTCCCCAAAGGCCCTGCCCTCTGTGGGTCCTGGCCTCTCCCATCCCCGCAGCCATTGCAACTGTCCATCCCCTCTCACCAGGGCCTAAACTCCTTCACCTCTCCCTACAAGGGTTTCTCATGGTGTTTAAGAGCTGATGATGGAAATGAACTCCATCAGCCTCTCTGTCTTTCACAAGGTGTGTCCAGGCATGAATTAAGGGAGGGACTCAGAAACATATGCTGTTTAACTACCTTGCGCCGGTGAGGATAGATTCATCTGGTCACTTTCTGCATATTTTTGCAAGACTATCACCTAATGCAATGTTTTACTATTTTCTGAGCAAATATGTTTAATAAGATCAGAAGAGATCCAAATATGAAGACAGTTTATAAACTGTGATAAACTGTACATATATCAGCTATATTATTCTACCCTGAGATAAATAACAAAACTAGTCTGTACTGACCAACAGCCTCATGGCTAACAAATCAAGAACTATTGCTGATAACAACTAAGAAACCTCGATTTGCAAAAGCTATACTGGGAATCCCAAGCAGGTTACATAAGTGAGATTTCAGTAAGTTAATGTAGTGTGGTGATGAGTACTTAGGCAAGAGAACATCCTTCCAGAGTGGATGTGAGAATTAAGCATGGAAAAAGAAGGCTGATTCCAAATGGAAGTAATCTTTTTCATTGGTTGAAAGAACCTGATTTTATTTCTTTTTTCTGGTTGGTTTCTTGCAAGAGAATGGACTGTTAATAAAAAGGCAAAATGGTGTTGGTATTTTATGTAGTGTTAATAGAAATATGGAAATGTAATCATTAAATGCATAATATAATACTAGTTAATAAAATTAAGTGCTCTCTTCTCCCAGTAGCCTCTGCAAAAGTTTTTTCTGCCAAAGAACCATCTCAACAGCTCAAATGAGTATGTGGATATTATGCAAGGAGAGTTTCATGCTCCTGCAGTTATCTGGCATCAAAGCATTCAGCAAGAATGGTGAAAGCATCTTTGGATGCTCAGAAACGGAGATGAATTTTTCTACTTGGAGATCTGACTGCTTTTGATCTACACGGTTTCTATTTTGTTGCCTGTTTCTGCTGGCATGCAATACTTGATGATGTTAGGCAAAGACTGAAGGCAGGAAAAATGCAGTGATGTGGGAAGAAAATGATCACTCAGAGACTCCTATGTTGAATATTGCAAAAGCCTAGGGGAGGGGTGCTTAAGGAAAGCCAGTGAGTAATCCTCATTTCTCCCATCCAAGTGAGTGCCGGTGCTCTTCCTGCATTTCCAAACTTCCTTTAGGGAAAAGAAGCATCCATTAAATGCCTCCTCACACAGGATCTGAAACACCTAGTAATGTGAGTCCCAAAAGGTTACATCTAGATGTCTCTTTTACAATCAGAATGAATCGGTTTAATAACCTCAACTGCTGGTTTGTTTCGTTTCATTTTAAACTAGCTGATTCCCATTCTGAATGAAAGTTTATATATGGGCAGACCCTCTTTGCTGCACAAAGCTAGAGAAGACCGTAAGTCAGTATTCTTACACTGTTGTGAGGCTATCAGTCATTCCTTTGAGAACCTAATTAAAGATACAGAATCTCTTCGTAGACTGTCACGTGTGCAAGTCCCCACATCCATGCACATGCATGCACATACACATAAATGCAGACATAGACCTCTCGTTAAAAATTCTTGCTCTAAACAATTTTCCACAGTGACTCACATTCCCACAGTTTGATCGCATTTGGTATGCATTCACATGAGCTTATGCACGTTGAAGCAAATTAAATACAGTCCCAAGAATCCTTGCAGGTGTCATTCCTGAAAGGCACTCAAGTGCAGGTTTCAGTTAAGAAATGAAGCAAAGTGTGGGTGAGCAAGGCAGCACAGCTTGGAGGGTAGAGCATGAGCCTCCGGTCACATGGCAGTGTATCTGCTGTGTCACTTTGGGCGAGTTACTTTAGCTCAGTTTTCTCAGGTGTGAAAAGGAGATAAAATAGTAGCACTGCATAGGATAGATACTGCCCAACATCTCAAGCACTTGGTAAGCTCTCGAAAAATTAACAATTATTATTTATGCTTTAATTGACTCAAACTATGAATCCTTTATTACTTGGCTATTCTGTGCTCTTTTATTTTCTCAAACCTTATGATTCAGAAACACATATTCGTGAGAAGAGAAAGGGAACTGAGAATTCCGTCCAAGCACAGCCCAAACAAGGGATCATCCAGTCTTTCCTGAATACTTGCAATGTGACCTCTAAGTTCCCTTATCGTGATAACTTTCATGAGCAGCTAAAGTCTCATGGTTCTCCTACGCTAAAGACTCCTAAGCAGCCCCTTCCAATTTAGGACAGGTCCTCTTTCATTAAACTGAAATCTTTCTCTCTTATACCTGCCACCATTATTCCTAATTTGCTGCTTAGAAGTGAGTAGAATCAGCATGAAAAGTGTCCAGAAGGCAGAGACATATTCATATTCTTCTCTACGTGGCCCCAGCATCATGCATGGTGCCCAACCCTGAGTTTACGCTCAGTTTTTGTTTAATCTATTAAGGCTTTAAATATCTGAATGTAGCCATGAGGTACCTCCATAGCCTTAAATGTCCCTTCTCAAAACCAATGTTCTCCTATTTCTTCAAAATTCCCACAGAACATAGTGCCCAGACTGTTCACCATCTAAGTGGTCCTTTGGTTGAGCACAATATTCCAGGGGCAGTCTGACAGGTTAGAGATGTATCATCAACCTTCTTCTGTTCACTCCATTCATTCACTCACTCAATAGCTCATTCAACAAAGAACACCTTATATGCTTATTCCCAGAAAATTCTAGGAGATTCCAAAGTGAGAATTATGACTTGTATACAGCTCAACACACTTGGCTGTTGACTAATGCTTGCATTTCCCTTCAGGAAGAAGTCACGATAATAGTTCTTTCTTTCTTTCTTTCTTTCTTTTTGAGACAAAGTCTCACTCTGTTGCCCAGGCTGAAGTGCAGTGGCACGATCTCGGCTCACTGCAACCTCTACCTCCCGGGTTCAAGCAATTCTCCTGCCTCAGCCTCCTGTGTAGCTGGGATTACAGGTGCCTGACACACCTGGCTAATTTTTGCATTTTTAGTAGAGACAGGGTTTCACCATGTTGGCCAGGCTGGTCTCAAACTCCTGACCTCAGGTGATCTGCCTGTCTCGGCTTCCCAAAGTGCTGGGATTACAGGCATGAGCCACCATGCCCGGCTCGTGCTAGTTCTTTCTAAATCCACCCTGACACTAATTTCAGTTCACATGGATCATCAAATCAGTTTTTGTTCCTCGCATTGGATGTTGAGCTTCTGTTAATGTTCCTGATTGACGTAATCTTTCTCCAAAATTAATATTTTTAAAAGAAAGCTTATTTTTTCTTTCTTTCACAGTTGTACATTTATTATGCCTCCTGGTACAGCTTCTAGAGATTGCTAATCTTTCTGTTTTTCCCTTCACACAATGGGCAACATACATCTCCTCCTCTTTCAACCTATGTAGTTGCAGAAGAATAAGTCAGGCTTTCCCAGAGGAACTCTACATTCAAATATCAATCACCAGGAACCACAGGGGAAGAGGAAATAAAAGAAATGAAAGAAGAAATGTTTTGCTAAGTAGAGATTTTTTTAAAGAAACTACTTCCATACATTTGCAGGCAAGTCAGCTACAGGAATGCCTAAAAGTTTGTTATCCTCCCAAGGAACAGCTGACAGGTTTAATTTTAACACAATCCTTGAAAGAGCTTAGGGAGTCCAGGATAAACGGTTGTGCTATAAATCTGTGATACAACAGGACAGGATGGGTGTGTGCCCCCTAATAAATATTGATACTGGTTCCCAGACTTTCATATAATGACTATTTTCAAAGGGAGAGTCTTTTACCTCAATGCTTAGACTGACAGGCAATGATGTGGAAGCTCTTTCATCAACAAAATGGGTGGAGAAACACTAGCATAATTAACTCCTGTAGCTGCTTTTTTTTTTTAGACTTGTGATCCCACAACTCACAATTCACTGATTCTCTCTCTGAAGTAACTTACATTTCCCAGGTGATCAGACAAGGTCTACCAACTTCAAGGTCAAACCACCAACCAGTGAGAGATTTGAAGTCAGGCTCCATCTGAGATTGTGGCTGGGGCAGAGGGAAGCACAGGGTTTAGCAAGTTTGACTCATTGCAGGGCCAATGAAGATCCAAAGGAGAAACAAGGTGTCCATGTGGAGACCCTGGAGAGACAAAAATTGCTGCCCCAGCAGCTGCCCTCTTCTGTCACCATGTGTAAACCCACACATGAAGGAAGCCACCAAGCATTCCAAGCACCTGGGGCTGTTCCTGCTTACATAATTTCATAGAGAACAAATGCAAAGCCAGGGAAACCTGGAGTACAGCCCCAGGGGACCTGAAGAGGAAAGCAAATGAGATTCAGGGGGTGTTTTCAACTCTTTTTCCCCCATGAAGGTTCTGACTGTGGAAGAAAGAAGAGGTTGGAATAAGTGAACAACTGGATTGGACTTTTAAGCTACATTTTACAATGCCAACATGATGACTACCAGCATAAGGCAGAGGGTGTCTAACGAGAACTGATAAGGAATTTTTGGCAATATACTCCTGAAGAGAGCAAGAAAGCTTTAAACTGTGCAAGAGAGAAAGTGCCCGCATGAAATGGTAAAAACAGAGTAGGATGGACAAATCAACATTAATACATAAAAAAAAACACACTTGGCTTCTTCAAAGAGCACATAAAAAAATCCTAAACTCTTACTATTTTTAGTAAATTATTATGTAAACAATCACTAGTATGAAACTCATGACTTGAATTCAGCAGGGGAACAGTGTACATTGTCCATTTCAAACGAATTATATATTTTTTAATAAGACCAAATGAGAATGCATAAAGAGAGGCTGCCAGCTAAAATCATTAATTCATTCATTCAATAAAGATTTACCACTTAACAACTCCATGTCACATTTTGTGCTCATTAAAATCTTATGTAGGCACAGCAGCTATGTAAGTAAATATTACTTTTTTTATTTTTTTTTAGACAGAGTCTCACTCTGTCGTCCAGGCTGGAGTACAGTGGTGTGATCTCAACTCTCAGCTCACTGCAACCTTCACCTCCCGGGTTCAAGTGATTCTCCTGCCTCAGCCTCCCGAGTAGGTGGGATTACAGGCACCCACCACCGCGTCCTGCTAATTTTTGTATTTTTAGTAGAGACGGGGTTTCACCATGTTGGCCAGGCTGGTCTCAAACTCCTGACCTCAAGTGATCTGCCTACCTCAGTCTCCCAAAGTGCTGGGATTACAGGCATGAGCCACTGCACCCAGCCTCAATATTACTTCTTGCTCTTATAAAGCTTATTAGCTAGTGAGTACCTCACCATACATGTCTTTAAAAAAGAGATACAACTGAAGTCAAAGAGGGGAAAAAGGTTCTAATAAAGATCATGTGGAGAAAAGACCCCAATGGACAGAGTCAAAGTGAGAAAGCTCGCAGGTCAGCTAAGCAAGTGTTCAGTGCAACCCAATGCAATGATTAGAAGAATCCTAAAAAATCCTACAAAATAGGAATGATAATTTCCATTCACAGAGTTGTTGCAAGAAATCAATGAGGATATACATGTCAAGTACATGGGACATAGTAAGTACCTAACAAATAGTGATTTTTAAAGAATTTTAAAACTTTATACTTTCTGTCTTATATTTCTGAATTATTTGCATTTTTACAATAAATATATAGTATAATGATAATCAGGAAAAAAGGAGGGAAAGGAAACCTGCCAAAATATAAGGAAGTATGTAAATTAATCTTCAATAAAGTTGATTTCTTTTTTAAATACATGGAAGTACAGTAGTCCCCCCTTATCCACAGTTTGGCTTTCCTCTATTTCAGTTTCCTATGGTACAGTACAGTACAGTAAGATATTTTGAAAGAGAGACCACAGTCACATAACTTTTATTACAGTATATTGCTAAAATTGTTCTATTTTATTATTTTGTTAATCTCTTACTTTGCTTAATTTATAAATTAAATGTTATCATAGATATGTGTGCAAGGAAAGAAACATAGTATATATAGGGTTCAGTACAATCCGCAGATTCAGGAATCCACTGGGAGCCTTGGAATTTACCCCCCACAGATAAGGGGAACTACTATATTGAGGTGAAATGCTGATCTCAAAAACTAGGACAGGATTATCCAAACCCAACTTCCTTCTCCCAGAGCTCATGTTACGGAAACAGTCAGGACCCAAGCACTCACCCAATCAGTACCATTACTTGAGGTGGAGCCCCATGTGTGCTCCACCCCAGCATAGGTGCCTTCCACAAAAAGAACCTGCCAGTGTCAGAAAGTGAGAAGGGAAATATCAGGCCTTCCGCAGAAGGGGCAAAGCATGGGGCTTCTGGAAGGTCAAGCTGCAGGGAGACCTTGAGTAGGGAATGTCCTCTTTCCTAAAACTCACAGCACCGGGTGATAGGGGGATGCTGTGCCACGTACAGAGGGATGCAGCTTCAGGAAACAGCTCTTTAACTCATCCAGTACAGACTGGTCCCTGTGAGTCATTGAGACCTTCAGACATTTTATATATTCTGTACACCTGAGTTTCTCAAATACACCATGTTCCATAGTGAAAAGAGTAGGGCTTAGGTTCAGACAGACCTGACTTTAAATCCTCTTTCTACAACTTATGGGGTCATCTGCATTTTACTTAACTATCTTGCTTATACATGCTGCACTGTAAAAGCAGGGATACTACTATTTGCCTTGCAAATGTCTTGGGATGAATAAATGATCTATCTATCAGTCTGTGAAATCTGCTAACTCAATTGCATTAATTAATTGGTAAATGCTTATAAATGGTGGCTATTAATATCTGGCTTTCTAGACTATGATTACTTAAGGAATCAAATATACTGAAAATTTGCTCAATCTTTACTTAAATTTGATTGTGCCAATTGAGATAGAGGATATTGGTATAAACAAAATATTGGATGTATTTTATGGCCCCAGAATAATAACCACTGACTATTAAGAACTGTTAGTCTTACTCATTTAAACCTCTTTATATGGACCTTATTCATATTTCTTTTTTCACAAATGCAAATGATTAAATCAGCGATAGCCCTCAAATATTTTTTGTACGTGGACCACTTTAGCAAAAATAAGAAAATTAAAGTGCCCTAATTGCTTCCATTTCACATCATCAGCAAATTCACTTTGCAACAAAGGTCACCATATAGACATTAGCTAACTCCCACTGATGAAGACTGAACAGGAGAAAAGAGTCTTTTCAACTTAACAGATATCCTTCTATGTGCCCAGCAATTATCCAGGATATTAACAATTATAAGCATAAACAAGATGTAACTCATGCTTTTGTGCACCTTATTATAATTTAGTGGTAGAGACATACAGGTTCACAGTTAATAACTTAAAAAGGAGGCATGAAGAAAGTATCTTGATGGAGCACCACAGCATTCACTACAGTACTTAATTTTAAAAGATACATTTCCTAGATTTGTCCACTGAACGGGTCTAGAAGTAATGACACCCCAGGGGCAATGAGCACACCTATTTACCCAGATCTTGGATTCTAATCTCAGGGATCCTTGAAGAAACAACCTTTCAGGCCTGGTGCAAGGAGAACAGAATGGCTTGTTGTACTATAAAGTAAGAAAAACACAAAAAAAATGAATGCGGATATGTTGGCAGGACTCAGGAGTTAGCTTAAAGGGGCTTCCATAGGTAGAAATTGGGAGAATTTGAACATCATAAAGGGTAATACTAATAACTTATAATATGTTTAACTTTATTTAATTTTAAAAATACTAATAACTCCAATAAATCCATAGGACCCTCAAAAGGTGGGGGAAGTGGGGAGAAAGAAGGAAAATAAAAGGCTCTTCTTTACAAAATAATTCAAACTATTAAATGTAGAAAGAATAACAGAACTCTAAAAACACCATTTTGCATCCACCTTATAATAACTGATTCACATGAGGACCATCAATGAATGTGAAATCTCTTGGGTGAAAATGTGTTGGGAAACAAGATATTCACATAGACTCTAGGTATCATTGCTCAGTTGTAATTTATTACAAATAGGGAAAAAGTACTTTACAATGAGGAAATATGGCAGATGAGTGATCACAACAAATATTTGTAATAATGGCAAACTGACATCGGATGACTCCTGAGACTCCTGTAGGCTGGTTTTGGCTGTATGATCTCAGGGTTATAAAAGACTCCCATGGGATAAACTGTGGCATATGAGACCAGGTTCCTTGTGTGGGTCTTGGTAATTTATGACCTGAAGAAGCACACACAATGTGACCAAGAACCCTGTGAGTTGTGCCTGGAAGCTTGGACCTCTTTGATGTTTGTGCCTTCTTTCTCCTGCTGTACTGTATCCTCTACTTTCCTAAAGCTCTATAAGAGTATGCCCTATGAGGTCTTGTGAGTCCCTTCGATGGTTCAACCTTGTATAATTGCTGTAGGAACTGCTCTAAATCAAAGACTTAAAATTGAGTACAATGTACACAAGTTAGATGATGGGTACACTAAAAGCCCAGACTTCAGCACTATACAATTTATCCACATACCCAAAAATCCCCTGGGCCCCTAAAGCTATATAAATTTTTTAAATAAAATAAAAATAAGAGGTAAGAAATGTGAAAACAAAATGCAATGTGTGATCTTTTATTGGAACCTAGATTGAAGAAAAAGCTATTAAGAACATTGTTGAAAGAATTCAGAAAATGTAAATATAACTTAAATAACAGTACTTTATCAATGTTAGTGTAATAATTATGTTGTGCTAATAATAGGTGAATGTTCTCATTTTAGAAGACCTATGGTGAAATATTTAAGGATGAGGTATCCTCACATCAGAAACTCAAAATTCTTGCCAAATATAAACAAGTAAACAATATACATACACGTATAGACAGAGATATAGAACAAATGTAGTATAATGTTAGCAATTAGCAAATATAGGTGAAGCATATATAGATGTCCACTTTAACATTCTTTCAATTTTTCTGAATGCTAGGATTTTTTTAATACAAGGTTGGAGAAAACTTCACTGAAAAAGTAAATTTCAAAATTTGAAATTCCATGTTTAAAGGAGTTGGGAAAATTTAAAATTCCGTGTTTAAAAGTGTTGGGAAAATTTATCTAGAATGGCCAATATCAAGACGTAGTCTAGTAATTGTATCAAACTTTGAACAATTTTTTTAAAGCATATTTTGCATATCCAGACAAAAAGACCAAGTCACTGACAGGAGAAAGAAAATCATATTGTCATTTTATTTTTGACAGTAATGTGATATAATAGAAGACAACAGAGTAACAATTTATGATACTTAAGAAAATAAATAAAAGCCAAAGTTTTTTCATCCAACCAAACTGACCTCAGAAATAAAGAACACAGAAATTTTAATGTTTTATTTTTAAACAGTTTTACAGTTACAGAAGAGCTGAAAGAAAAATAATGCAGAGAGTTTCTTAAACCCATTCCCCAGGCCTCCTTCATCTTCACATTATCCACAGCCGCAGTGCAATTATCAAAATGGAAATTAATATTGGTACAATACCATGAACCACACTATAGACCTTATTCAAATTTCACCAGTTTTTCCACAAATGTCTTTTCTCTATTCTGAGATCCAGTCTAGGGTCCGACATGGCATTTAGTTAAGTCCCCTTAGTGTCATCCAACTTATGAGAATTTCTCAATCTTTCCTTGTCTTTCATGACTTTGGCATTTTTGGAGATACTAGTCAGTTGTTTCATACACAGTCTTTCAATTTAGGTTTGCCTGATTGATTTCTCATGATTATATTAAGGTAATGCATTTTGGACAAGATACATAGAAGTGATGTCAGTCTGTTTTCAGTTCATTGTACCAGGAGGTGAATGGTATGTCTTACAACCTGTGATCTTAACTCTGGTCATCTGGCTAAGATGGTGTCTACCAGCTTCCTCCACTATAAAGTTAACTATTTTTCCCTTCGCAATTAATAAATATTTGGGGAAAATACTTCGACAAAGGAAATATCCTGTTTTTCCTCTACTGATTTTAGCATCCACTAGGGGACCCTGCTTACAACAAATATTATTGCAGTGTTTGCCTAACAGTGATTTTTTATTTTCTAATATCTTCTTCATTTTAAAATTAATATTCTTCTATAAGGAAGAACTGTCCTTTCCTCCCTTTTATTTATTCAATTATTTATTTGTATTGGTTCATATATATATATTGTTCTACCAATACTATCATTATTTATTTTGTTGCTCAAGTTGTTTTAGTTTTGGATATTTGGAGCACCTTCTGATTGGCTCGGGGTCCTAGATAAAAGACTTCTTAAAGAGACATAAATATCACTAACCCTTAAAGAAAAGATTTAAGCACTTATCATTAAAATAAGAAAAAAAAAACACATTCATCAAAAGAGATCATTGAGCTACAGAGTAGTAGATTTTTGCATTACACATTATATCCAGAGTAGCTTTTTTTGTATTATACATTATATCCAGAATAAGCAAAGGACTCCTAAGTCAGTAAGAAAGTCAGATGACCAAGACTAAACATCTGAATAGGCACTTCACAAAGGAGGAAATTCGAATGGCCAATAAACAAATGAAAAGGAGCTCAACCTCATTAGGAATCAGAGCAGGGCAAATTAAAACCACAAGGAGATATCACTACACACCTGCTAGCTTGCTTTAAAATGAAATACAACCACACAGGAAGCCAAGCTGAATTCTTCAGTACAGTTCAACATACCTGTAAACTATTACCTGCCAATTCTACTTCTAGGTGTATATCTTACAGAAATGCATACTTATGTGTGCCCATATACATATAGAGTGATGTTCATAGAAGCATTATTTGTAATAACCACCAAAAAAGTGGAAATAACCCAAACATCCATTTATGTAGAATGGATAAATTGTAATATCTTTACTTAATGGAATAGTATACATTTAATGAAAATGAATAAACTATTACTCTGCACAACAATGTAGATGAATCTTGAAAACAAAGCATTAAACAAAAAACCAAATAAATACACATAATATATCAAATGGTGATAACTGTTGTGGAAAACTGAGATTAAATCAAAAAATAACTTTTAAAAATGATTATAAACATCGAAAAATAGATTAGCAGTGAGTCCTGAAATCAGTTAAAAATAAAAATATGTTTAGTGAATTATAAATTATATGTATGGTGGAAAATAGAATCCAAATTCAAATGATGTGCTTAAAAGAGAAGATATATATTGTAAAAAAAATCATATATTAGATTTGACATATTCTACAGTAAGGAAAAACCTAGTAATTCCTATGTGAGTATAATTTACTTATGATTTTATGTTTTAATGAGTAAAGAAAGTCATCCCCCATCTCTTTTTCAAAATATTCTTAGTAATTTTCTTCCATTTATTATTATAAATGACTTTCAAAATTATGTCGCCACATTCTGAAAAAGGCCCATATATTTTACAAAGTTTTTCAATACAATTAGCATAAAGCTGCCGCTCAAATTTGATATGGCCAATATCCTTTTCCTGATTTCTCATTTCTAAATCTGTGTTTGTGTTTGTCTTTTCTTGACAAAGCTGGAGGCTTATCTATTTTATTTTCTCTTTCAACAAAAGAATTTTTGAGCTTATTTATTGGTTTTATTTATTTTCAATAACTTCTGTTTTTATGATTACTAGCATTGTCTTGTTTGGTTTAATAAAGTAGCCACAAATTGGGACAACTTCACGACTCCCAGCAGTAGCCTCGTCTGTGCAATCCCATCCTCTCTTCCCATAACAGACCTATCCTCTAGCCATAGGAGTGCACACATAATCCAGATTGAGCCAGTCATACTACCTTATCCTGCTGTCCCCATTGATTAGTCCAGAGATGACAGATAAGCCAACATGGTTCCAACAGAATCCATCTTCAGGATTTTCTCAAGCTGTTGGGGAACATATCCTTGTCACTGTAGTATCAGTTTATTTAGACAAGCATCGGTTATGCTAAACAATGTCCCAAATTCATTCCTCACTACATGAAGTCCTCAGCAAGTCCATCAGCATTCCAGACCAACCCCTTCACAAGTCATGACTCAAGCATCCCTGTAGCTTTGCTTCTCGACACAGGACTTGCAGGGTCACCATGTAAGGGAGGAGAGAGCATGACAACTCATGCCTGCTCTGAAGTCCCTCCAACCAGAAGTGACTCGTTTCTCATCCACGGAGCTCACTGACAACAGGACTCCAAACTAACTGCAAAAGAGGCTGGAAAACGCCATATTCCTTGTGTCAGAAAGCAGCTGCAGGGTAATGAACCCATAGTGACTGTCTCCACTACAATCATAGATAGTGCATGCATCTGGACGGGTCACAGGCCACTCTAGTGAATCCTTATAATTTTGTGTTACCTCAGCATCCATTTGGAATACAGATTTAAGTTTCTCATACCAGTAGCAGGGCTCAGTCACACATGACACAGTTTTTGAGTTCTATACCACACCCAAAAGCTTCAAGCTAGTGACCAGAGATAAGAACTTAGAGGCACCTCTCCTGTCCAGCAGACTGGGCATTCCATTTTTCCCACTGCTTCTTTTGAACTGACCATTCAGGCATCTGCTCATGAACTTAAAGTATGCCACACTCTATCCCCTTATATATCCCGCAAGTTGCCAAGTGCATGCGCATGCCCTCTCAATCTCTCTCTGTCTCTCACTCGCTCTCTCTCTCCCTCTCCACCTGACTGTTTATTCCTGCTTTCCATGACCCAAGGATGGTGGGCTGCCCTCCCAATTCATTGCAGCCTCTCTGCCCAGGATCTGTAAGTAGAAATCGTTGAACTTGTTTCCTATTATGATGGTGTATTGAATTGATTGCCTTCTATCTGAAGAACCAGGGGCTGCCCCAGGTCTGGATTTTCTGGGATGTGGGAGGGGTGGGAGGTGGGGAATGGGACACAAGGGCAGGTTCCTAGCCTACAGCAATGTTCAGGCAAGCACACACTGGGCAAGGGTCAGACAAGAACCACAAGGGCATCTGCCAGTATAAACAAGTTTCCCATGTGAGGGACCCTCTGCTCACAGGCAGAGGCATAAGGCCGTGCACCAGGTAAAAGAAGTATCCTGGGAAAGGCACACTCTAAACACCCATGTCCAGCTCCCTTTCACTTCCTGTGAGAGCAAGTTTGCTAGCTACTTGGTACTGAAATCTCAATTTAGCTAGGAGCTCCCAAGACAGCCAAGTCCCCCACCATAGAGAAACTCTATGTGGAAGGAATGATAGGAGAGTGGAAATGAAAAATAATGAGGGGAAGTCTTATGGCTTTAGATATAGGTTTAGGTAAGAGCCCTCTTATCCCTACAGCCAGCTCCACCTCATCTTTCCACAATCTGGGAAAGTGTCCATAAATCCTTCTTCTTGACTTGAGCTAATTTGTGCTGCATTTCTGTCTTTTGCAACCAAAGAATCCTGAATAAAGTGGTCGAGATTGTTATAGGTCTTTTCCTAGTACTAATAAAACACTTAATTCATTGACAGTCATTCTTTTGTCTTTGTACATAAAAAAATCTAATTTAGTCAAGAAATTTTTGAATCCCCTTTTTTACATGCCAATTAAGATTTTGGTAGAAAGTGAGTTTCTGGTTGTGTATGAAAATTTTTATGTACCTATTAAGTACATAAAAATTATATTGAATAGATATTAAGTACATAAAAATTATCTTGAATAGATAAGAATAAAACATTAATCTTGAATGAATAGATATCCTATATTCTTATTCTGGGCTTATGAATCTATCAGAGGCTTAAAGGGGCTTGTTAAGGCCAGGAACAGTAGCTTACGCCTGCAAATTCCAGCACTTTGGGAGGCCGAGGTGGGTGGATCACCTGAGGTCAGGAGTTTGAGACCAGCCTGGGCAACATGGTGAAACCCCATCTCCACTAAAATAGAAAAATTAACTGGGTGCAGTGGAGGGCACTGTAATCCCAGCTACTCAGGAGGCTGAGGCAGGAGAATCGCTTGAATCTGGGAGGCAGAGGTTGCAGTGAGCCAAGATCACACCACTGCACTCCAGCCTGGGCAACAGAGCAAGACTCCTAATCAAAAAAAAAAAAGGCTTGTTAAACTGTCCAGAGACAATTGTGTGTCTGCCAATTTGTCTTCATATTTTAACATTATATTTATTATATATGATACTATGTTATTCTCTACACAAATATTTATGATCATGATTATATACTTTAATTGTGATTGGGTTCTTTAACAGTGTATGGTTTTTATTTTGGATTGGGGTCGCCCGATGTATTTTGATGCATTTCTTTAAGTTTACGTGGGTTTAAATGTTTCCTTTGTATATAGCATATAAGTGGGTTTCTTGCTCATTTTTTAAAAGCCAATCTGAAAGTAATTGTTAAGAGATTAACTTGTTTATGTTAATAGTTAATATTCTAGTTATTCGACTGAGTATTCTGTTTTGAAATTTTCTTTTATTTCTGTGTTGTTTCCTTTGATTTTGATCTTTTATGCTACTAACTTTTTAAAGCTTTTTAAATATTAAGCACTGAAGGTTATACATATCTCTTTAAAAATTAAAGGGTATTCAAATAGGAAGAGAGGAAGTCAAACTATCTTTGCAGATGACATGATCCTTTATCTAGAAAACCCATTGTCTCAGCCCAAAAGCATTTTTTTTTTTTTGAGACGGGGTTTTGCTCTTGTTGCCCAGGCTGGAGTGCAGTGGCGTGATCTCAGCTCACTACAACCTCCACCTCCCGGGTTCAAGCGATTCTCCTGCCTCAGCCTCCTGAGTAGCTGGGATTACAGGCATGCGCCACCATGCCTGGCTAATTTTGTATTTTAAGTAGAGATGGGGTTTCTCCATGTTGGTCAGGCTGATCTCGAACTCCCAACTTCAGATGATCTGCCCGCCTCAGCCTCCCAAAGTGCTGGGATTACAGGCATGAGCCACCGTGCCTGGCCCAAAAACTTCTTAAGCTGATAAGCAACTTCAGCAAAGTGTCAGAATACAAAATCAATGTGCAGAAATTGCTAGCATTCCTATACACCAACAACAGGCAAGCAGAGAGCCAAATCATGAATGAACTCCCATTTGCAATTGCCACAAAAAGGATAAAATACCTAGGAGTACAGATAACAAAGGAAGTGAAGAGCTATTTAAGGAGAACTGAAAACCACTGCTCAAAGAAATCAGAGATGATAAAAACAAATGAAAAGACATTCCATGCTCATGGATAGGAAGAATCAATATCATGAAAATGGCCATACTACCAAAAGCAATTTATAGATTTCAGTGATATTCCCATTAAATTACTATTGACATTCTTCAGAGAAATAGCAAAAACTATTTTAAAATTCAAATGAAACAAAAAAAGAGCTTGAATATCCAAGATGAGCCTAAGCAGAAAGAACAAAGCTGGAGGCATCATGCTACCTGACTTCAAACTGTACTAAAATGCTACAGTAATCAAACCAGCATGGTACTGGTACAAGAACACACACATAGACCAATGGAACAGAATACAGAACTCAGAAATAAGACTGCACACTTACAACTATCTGATCTTTGACAAACCTGACAAAAACAAGCAATGGGAAAAGGATTCCCTATTTAATAAATGGTGATGGGAGAACTCATTAGCCATATGCAGAAAATTGAACCTGGACCCCTTCCTTGCACCATATACAAAAATCAACTTGAGATGGATTAAAGACTTAAATGTAAAACCCAAATCTATAAAAACCCTAGAAGAAAATCTAGGCAATACCATTCAGGACATAGGCACATGCAAAGATTTCATGACAAAGACACCAAAAGCAATTGCAACAAAAGCAAAACTTGAGACATGGGATCTAATTAAACTAAAGAGATTCTGCGCAGCAAGAGAAACTATCATCAGAATGAATAGGCAACCTACAGAATGGGAGAAAATTTTTGCCGTCTATCCATTTGACAAAGATGTAACATCCGGCATCTACAAGGAACTTACATTTACAATAAAAAAAAAAAAACCCACTAAAAAGTGGGCAATGGACATGAATTGATACTTCTCAAAAGAAGACATACATGTGGCCAACAAACGTGAAAAAATATTCAACATCACTGATCATTAGAGAAATGCAAATCAAAACCACAATGAGATACCATCTCACACCAGTCAGAATGGCAATTATTGAAAAGTCAAAAAACAACAGATGCTGGTGAGGTTGTGGAGAAAAAGGAACACTTTTACACTGTTGGTGGGGGTACAAATTAGTTCAACCATTGTGGAAGACAGTGTGGTGATTCCTCAAAGACTTAAGAGGCAGAAATACCATTTGATCCAGCAATCCCACTACTGGGTATATACCCAAAGGAATATAAATCATTCTATTATAAAGATACATGCACACATATGTTCACTGCAGTACCATTCACAAGAGCAAAGACATGGAATCAACCTACATGCCCATTAATGATAGACTAGATAAAGAAAATGTGGTACATATACACCCTGGAATACTATGCAGCCATAAAAAGGAATGAGATCATGTCCTTTGCAGGAACATGAATGGAGCTGGAAAGCCATTATACTCAGCAAACTAATGCAGAACAGAAAACCAAATACTGCATGTTCTCACATATAAGTAGGAGATAAATGATGAGAACACATGGACACATGGGGGGAACAACACACACTGGAGGCTGTCAGAGGGTGGGTGCAGGAGGAGGGAGAGCATCAGGAAGAATAGTTAATGGATGCTGAGCTTAACACCTATGTAATGGGATGATCTGTGCAGCAAACCACCATGACACATGCTTATCTATGTAACAAACCTGTACATCCTGCACATGTACCCCAGAACTTAAAAGTTGGAAAAAACATAAATAAATAAATCTCTTTTTAAGTACCATGTGCTACATCCCACAAAGTTTAATGTATTATACAAATTTTAATGTATATTTTCATTGTACATAGTTCTAAGTATTCTTTATTTCTATTAAGTTTTCTTCTTTGATATATTAATTTTTTAAAGTGTGCTTTTTAATTTCAAATGTGTGGGATTTAATTTTTTATTTCTAGTCCATCTGAGGTCAGAGAACAAAATGTTGTTGAAATTATTATAGATTTGTATACAAGTTTTATTCTTTGAGAAGAAAGTATATTCTACTTGTCAGTGCAGAATTTTTATAAGCTTCACTAGTTCGAAGTTGTTAGACTATATTGTTCAAATATTCTCCAGCTTTAATAATTTTTGTTGGCTTATTTGTAATTGAATGTGCTATGTTGAAATCTCCCATTATGATGATGACTGTCAATTTATCCTTACAATCTTATCAATCTGGCATATGTATTGACATTTATATATTTTTATTTCTCTACATTATTTTATAGGCATATAGAGTTTATAATGATTATGTCTTCCTGGTGAATTAAAATTTTTATATTATGTAGTGACCCTCTGATATGGTTTGGCTGTGTCCCCACTCAAAATTCAACTTGAATTGTATCTCCCAGAATTCCCACAGGTAGTGTGAGGGACCCAGGAGGAGGTAATTGAATCATGGCAGCCAGTCTTTCCTGTGCCATTATTGTGATAGTAAGTCTCACAAGATCTGATGGGCTTATCAGGGGGTTCTGCTTTTACTTCTTTCTCATTTTCTCTTGCCACCACCATGTAAGAAGTGCCTTTCACCTCCTGCCATGATTCTGAGGTTTCCTGAGCCATGTGGAACTGTAAGTCCAGTTAAACCTCTTTTTCTTCCCAGTCTCGGGTATGTCTTTAACAGCAGCAAGAAAACGGACTAATACACCCGCCTTGTCCTGAATTATTTTATTTCACTTAAATTATATTTTGTATTTGTCTAAACGTAATAGTGCTACCGTAGTTTTCTTTTGGTTAGTGTTGCAGGGTATATATTTTTCTATTCTTTCACCATCACCTTTTCAATGTTCTTCTTCTTTTACTTATGAATAAAATAAACAGATTTTTAAAAATTTTTACCCAACCTGACAAAGTTCATCTTATAACTGGTGGATTGAGTCTACTTTTATTATGACTTCTGGTATACTTTGTCTGGTTTTAACAATCTTAATTATCAAATCTATATTTCTATCTCTTTTTAATGCTTGTTTTCTCTCTCTTCTTTTTCTTTTTATAGTTGGTAAGCCTTTATTCATCATTTTCTTAATCCATTTTTGCTATTCCACTGGCTTAGAATTTTATACCCTTATATATATTTTGATTCTGTCTTTTTTAACTCCATAAATTAGACATTGTTTAAATAATATATGTTTAGATTTATACACTTATTTTTATTAATTTTCTTAATCTTTCTTCTTACATCTTAGACCAAAGACAATTCAGATCATTTTCCTTCTGCCTGAATCAAAATTTCTTTAGTGAATATTTCTTGAAGGCAAATGACTTCTATTTTGGTATACCTGAAAATGTCCTGCAACATGATTTTCTAGGTTGGCAATTATTTTCTATCAACAAATTGGAACTATTCCATTGTCTACTGTCCTCTGTTGTTGCTGCTAACATCTGCTGTCAATCAAATTGTCCTTCTTTTGTAAGACATGTGTTCTATTTCCAGCTGCTGTAACAGTAACAGAAACAGACAAAGCCCAAGCCTCTAACTTCATACCAGGTACTGTCTAAATCTACTAGGAACACATAGATGATAAGCAAACATATGTATGTGTGTGTGTATATATATACATATATGTGTGTGTATATATATGTGTGTATATATATATATACACATACACATATATATGCATGTATATATATACACACACATACATATATATGCATGTATACACACACACACACACATATATATACATATATATATGAAGAGGGCCACCATCCTCCAGACCCCAGAATGGTAGATCCACTGACAGCTTGCACCGTGAACCTGGAAAAGCTGCAGACACTCAACGCAAGCCCATGAAAGCAGCCAGCATACATACATATATATATGCCATATATATATTTATATTTATTTATTTATTTTTTAGTATTTATTGATCATTCTGGGGTGTTTCTCAGAGAGGGGGATGTGGCAGGGTCATAGGATAATAGTGGAGAGAAGGTCAGCAGATAAACACGAGAACAAAGGTCTCCAGTTTTCCTAGGCAGAGGTCCCTGCGGCCTTCCGCCCTGTTTGTGTCCCCAGGTACTTGAGATTAGGGAGTGGTGATGACTCTTAAGGAGCATGCTGTCTTCAAGCATCTGTTTAACAAAGCACATCGTGCACCGCCCTTAATCCATTTAACCCTGAGTTGACACAGCACATGTTTCAGAGAGCAGGGGGTTGGGGGTAAGGTTATAGATTAACAGCACCCCAAGGCAGAAGAATTTTTCTTAGTACAGAACAAAATGGAGTCTCCTATGTCTACTTCTTTCTACACAGACACAGGAACAATCTGATCTCTCTTTCTTTTCCTGACATTTCCCCCTTTTCTTTTTGACAAAACCACCATCATCATCAATGGCCCGTTCTCGATGGTCGCTGTCTCTTCGGAGCTGTTGGGTACACTTCCCAGACGGGGTGGCCTGGCAGAGGCGCTCCTCACTTCCCAGATGGGGCGGCCGGGCAGAGGCGCTCCTCACTTCCCAGAGGGGGTGGCTGGGCAGAGGCACTCCTCACTTCCCAGACGGGGGCAGCCAGGCAGAGGTGCTCCTCACTTCCCAGTCGGGGCGGCCGGGCAGAGGGGCTCCTCACATCCCAGACAATGGGCGGCTAGGCAGAGACGCTGCTCACTTCCTAGACGGGGTGGTGGGCGGGCAGAGGCCGTAATCTTAGCACTTTGGGAGGACAAGGCAGGCGGCTGGGAGGCGGAGGTTGTAGCAAGCCGAGATCACACCACTGCACTCAATGGGCAACATTGAGCATTGAGTGAGCGAGACTCCGTCTGCAATCCCAGCACCTCGGGAGGCCGAGGCAGGCAGATCACCCGAGGCCAGGAGCTGGAGACCAGCCCGGTCAACACGGCAAAACCCCATCTCCACCAAAAATACAAAAACCAGTCAGGAGAGGCAGCGCGTGCCTGGAATCCCAGGCACTTGGCAGGCCGAGGCAGGAGAATCACCAGAGCCCGAGGGAGGGAGGTTGCAGCGAGCCGAGATCATGGCAGTACAGTCCAGGCTCCGCAAGAGAGGGAGACAGTAGAAAGAGGGAGACGGAGAGCAAGACCGAGAGGGAGAGGGAGAGGGAGAGGGAGCTGTATATATTTATATTTATATCAATAATTAAGTGCTCTGAAAAAAGATAATAAAGCTGCATGAGAAGGCAAAGAAAGCGACAGCGAATTCTCTTTTGTATGCGATGATCAGAAAAAAATTTCACTGGCAAAGATCTCGTTGCACAGGGACCTTAGGGCAGTGAGGGGAGCCAGCTCTGTGGCTATCTAAAGGCAAAATGTCCCAAGGACAGAGAATAGCCATTGCAAAGGCCCTGATGTGGGGGGAATGTCACTTCTTATATCAGTTTGCTAGGGCTACCATAACGAACTATCACAGACTGAGTGGTTTAAACCACGGACATTTATTTTTTTCACAATTCTGGAGGCTGGAAGCCCAAGATCAAGGTGCCAGCAGGGTCGATTTCTCCTGTGGCATCTCTCTTTGGTTTTCAAATGGTTGACTCTCCCTATGTCAACCTCTCTGTCAGAAACACAGGAAGAAAGCCAATGTGAATAGAGTGAAGCATACAAAGGTGAAATGTTCTGGAGAAAATGTTAGAGAGGCAGCATTGAATGCACTGAAGATTACGGGCCATTTTAAAGACTTTGGAGAGTTTTAAGGAGAGGAGTGTTACGGACTGAATTGTGTCCTCTCCCCACCGAATTCATATGTTAAGAACTAAATACGACTGCGTTTGGAGATAGGAACTTAGTAAAGGGTAAGTGAGGTCATAAGGGTGGGACTCTAATCCAATATGACTAGTGTCCTTACAAGAAGAGGAAGACACACATGAGATTTGCACACACAGAAAAAAGGCCACACATGGTTGTTGGGAGACTCAATCACATGCAAACCAAAGAGAGTCCACAGGAGAAACCAACCCTGCTGGCACCTTGATCTTGGGCTTACAGCCTCCAGAATGGTGTGAAAATAAATGTCCATTGTTTTTAAGCCGCCTAGTCTGTGACATTTTGTTATGGCAGCCCTAGCAAACGAATACAAGCAATGACATGATCTGGCTGCTTTTTTGATGCAGCCAGTTCTTTTCTCCTAGTCTCTGCCCTTCAGTTTAGGATACCTTACTATAACTTTGCCAGAATATTAACCTCTTACATCCAAGGATCTTGGGTTCCTTGGAATGGTCCAGACACAGATTGATTCTTTGTTGTCTTCATTTAATCTGGCATTTTAAATCTTGCATAAAATTCCTTTATGTTCCTAACATGAGGAGGCAACCTCTCTAGTTCCCAATACTATTGTATGTTCTATCTGTTTTATATTTGAAAAATCCATTTCACTGAGAATCTGCAAAGATGGTATTATATAGATATGCTTACTTCAACTCTCTAGGAAGTCTGATAAAAGCCTTCTTAAATGAATATTGGCTATAGTAACAGATTTACTAAAGGTTTCTTGATGTAGCAAGGTTGTGTATTTAATAGTCTTTCTAGTTTATGAAAGTCTTCTAACCTACCTGGTAATGAAGCAGCAGACAAACAACATCTGGGCAGATATTTATCTTGTTAAGTTAAATATGCACCTGGCCCCTTAATTATCAACTGTAATTGACAACTTCATCATCGCAGAGTACTTTTCTGTCCCTGCCACAGTGGTGCAAGCAATTAGGTAATAATTAATGATTCTTTAAGTGTACTATTTCCTGTGAGTTCAATTTTTACTGTACCTACATTTAAAGAGCAACAACTCTGTTTGGTTTACCCATATTGACAAATGTTAGAATGAATGAAAATTGCCATGCTTATTATGAGTATCTCAAGGGATCATCTATAATCATTTCTGACCTTTTATCAACTCCTCATAGTGCTTGCTTTATTTACATCAAATCTTATCAAATAACCATTAAGCATTAGAGTAATTCATAGGAACCAAATGCATACATTTTAACAAAGATGCTCATTACCATATTATATATAAGGAAATATGTAAATATGTAAATGACCAATATTGGGGAAAGGTAAGTAAGTTGTTATACCTGAACTAAACATCATGCAAAACTTTTAAATTATAATTTTGAAAGTAATAAAACAAAATGAAATATGTTATATCAAAAAAGACATAAAATTCTCTAATTATATCAAATATGTATTTTAATAAAGAAATGAAAAAATAGATGGGCTAGACCTATCCCCAAATGAAAACTGTATCACTGGAGGGCAGTAAAATATACATTTTATTTAAGTAAAAATTTTATTTACATTTTGAATAGGTAAAACATGCCCACAATACAACATCCAAAAAATACAAAAGAATATGCATTAAAAAGTTAATATTCATCTTGGACCTGTCCCCAATAACCTTGTTTCATTCCCTAGAAACAGCTTTTCTAAAAACTGGCAGCTTTTACTAGCTTTGCATTTTATTCCAGAGACAGTCTATCCACTTATAAAAATATGTATACAAAATCTTTTTTCACACAAATGGTAGCAGTAATACCACACACATTGTTCTACACTTTGCTTTTTTCACTCAGTAATATTTGGAATAGTTCCATGTCATTACATAGAAAGCTACCTAATTATTTTTAATTGCTATGTTTTATTAAATGAATTTATCATAATTTATTTAACCATCTTGTATTCATGTACACTTAGGTTCATTCCAGTCATTTGCTATTTGAATTAATATATCACACAGTAGCCAGAGAGATCCATTTAAAATATAAATGAGGTCAGACTTCTGATTTAAATATAGCATTATAAAGTTAGAATTTCTCCATTCATCTTCCTGGAAGTCTTTGTAAGGTTAAAAAAAAAACAATTAGAAAAATAGACACAGGAATCATAAGCACTTTCTTTGTAGCAGTGGGTAAAAAGGAAAATTCCACAAATGTTTATCCAGTTTATAGAAAATAAATTAAGTTAGATGAACTTATACACCAAACCCTGGGTCAGAAAATTTTACCTAGTTTGATAGAGAGCCCTGATTGTTCTACACAAGCCTCTTATAAGCAATTGGTGTCAGAAATTTGTATATACTTCAAAGATTAGTAATCAGAGATTTATGCTTCTGGTAATGACAGAATAGCTGGTTTCAGACTAACTCTCCCTACTAAAGACAACTAGAAATGTTTAGAATCCATTTTTAAAATAGGTATTTAAAAATACTCGAGAGCTAAAAAGGTAGTGAGAACTTAAACCAAGATCCTTGAGAAAAATAATTTATAAAGAGGTGAGCTTGGCAGTGATTTCATATGGCAAATAATTTTTTTTAATTTCACTTTAAGTTCCAGGATACTATGTGCATGGTAGTTTGCTGCACCTATCAACCTATCACCTAGACATTAAGCCCCTCATGCATTGGCTATTTGTCCTCATGCTCTCCCTCCCCTTGCTCCCCACCAACAGGCTTCAGTGTGTGTTGTTCCCCTCCCTGTGGCCATGCATTCTCATTGTTCAGCTTCCACTTATGAGTGAGAACATGTGGTGTTTGGTTTTCTGTTCCTGTGTTAGTTTGCTGAGGATGATGGCTTCCAGCTTCATCCATTTCCCTGCAAAGGACATGATCTCATTCCTTTTTATGGCTGCATAGTATTCCATGGCATATATGTACCACATTTTCTTTATCCAGTCTATCATTGATGGGCGTTTGGGTTGGTTCCATATCTTTGCTATTGTGAATAGTGCTGCAATAAACATACGTGTACATGTATCTTTATAATAGAGTGATTTATATTCCTTTGGGTATATATCCAGTAATGGGATTGCTGAGTCAAATGGTATTTCTGGTTCTAGATTTTTGAGGAATCACCACACTGTCTTCCACAATGGTTGAACTAATTTACACTCCCACCTATTTCTCCAAAGCCTTGCCAGCATCTGTTGTTTCTTGACTTTTTAATAATAGCCATTCTGACTGGTGTGAGATGGTATCTCATTGTGTTTTTGATTTGCATTTCTCTAATGATCAGTAATGTTGAGCTTTTTTGCATATGTTTGTTGGCTGCAAAAATGTCTTCTTTTGAGAAATGTCTGTTTATGTCCTACGCTCACTTTTTGTTGGGGTTGTTTTTTTCTTGTAAATTTGTTTAAGTTCCTTGTAAATTCTGCATATTAGAACTTTGTTTGTTGGGTAAATTGCAAAAATTTTCTCCCATTTTGTAGGCTGCCTGTTAACTCTGATGATAGTTTATTTTTCTATGCAGAATCTCTTTAGTTTAATTATATCCCATTTGTGAATTTTAGCTTTTGTTGCAATTGTTTTTGGTGATTTCGTAATAAAATCTTTGCCTATGCCTATGTCCTGAATGGTATTGCCTAGATTTTCTTCTAGGGTTTTTGTGGTTTGGGGTTTTACCTTTAAGTCTTTAATCCATTTTGAGTTAATTTTTGTATAAGGTGTAAGGAAGGGGTCCAGTTTCAGTTTTCTGCATATGGTTAGCCAGTTTTCCAACACCATTTATTAAATAAGGAATCCTTTTCCCATTGCTTGTTTTGGTCAGATTTGTCCAAGATCAGATAATTGTAGACATGTGGTCTTATTTTTGAGGTCTCTATTCTGTTCCATTGGTCTATATATCTGTTTTGGTACCAGTATCATGCTGTTTTGGTTACTGTAGCCTTGTAGTATAGTTTGAAGTCAGGTAGCATGATGCCTCCAGCTTTGTTCTTTTGGCTTAAGATTGACTTGGCTATACGGGCTCTTTTTTGGTTCCATATGACTTTTAAAGTAGTTTTTCCTAATTCTGTGAAGAATGTCAATGGTAGCTTGATGGGAATACCATTGAATCTATAAATTACTTTGGGCAGTATGGTCATTTTCACGATATTGATTTTTCCTATCCATAAGCATGGAATGTTTTTCCATTTGTTTGTATTCTCTCTTATTTATATTATTTTATAGTTCTCCTTGAAGAGGTCATTTACATCCCTTGTTAGCTGTGTTCCTGGGTATTTTATTCTCTTTGTAGGCATTGTGAATGTGAGTTCATTCATGATTTGGCTCTCCGCTTGTCTATTATTGGTATATAGGAATGCTTGTGATTTTTGCACATTGATTTTGTATCCTGAGACTTCCCTGAAGTTGCTTATCAGCTTAAGGAGATTTTGGGCTGAGACGATGGGGTTTTCTAAATATACAATCATGTCGTCTGCAAACAGGGAGAATTTGACTTCCTTTCTTCCTATTTGAATACCATTTATTTCTTTCTTTTGTCTGATTGCCCTGGCCAGAACTTCCAATACTATGTTGAATAGGATGAGAGAGGGCATCCTTGTCTTGTGCCAGTTTTCAAAGGGAATGCTTCAAAGGGAATATGGTGAGAGAGGGCATCCTTGTCTTGTGCCAGTTTTCAAAGGGAATGCTTCCAGCTTTTGCCCATTCAGTATGATATTGGCTGTGGGTTTGTCACAAACAGCTCTTGTTATTTTGAGGTATGTTCCATCAATACCTAGTTTATTCAGAGTTTTTAATACGGAGGGATATTGAATTTTATCAAAGGCCTTTTCTGCATCTATTGAGATAATCATGTGTTTTTTGTCATTGGTTCTGTTTATGTGATGGATTATGTTTATTGATTTGTGTATGTTGAACCAGCCTTGCATCCCAGGGATGAAGCTGACTTGATCATGGTTCATAAGCTTTTTGATGTACTGCTGGATTCAGTTTGCCAGTATTTTACTGAGGATTTTTGCATAAATGTTCATCAGGGATATTGGCCTGAAGTGCTCTTTTTTTGTATGTCTCTGCCAGGTTTTGGTATCAGGATGATGCTGGCCTCATAAAACGAGTTAGGGAGGAGTCCCTCTTTTTCAATTGTTTGGAATAGTTTCAGGAGGAATGGTACCAGCTCCTCTTTGTCTTACGTGGGCAAGGGTTGGTCTTTGTGTTCTATTCAGACCTTCATCTGATTGGATGAGACTCACCCACATTGTAAAAAGTAATCTGCTTTCCTCAAAGTCCACCAATTTAAACATTAATCTCAGAGAGAGGGTAGAGCGAGATGGCTGAATAGAAGCCTCCACCATTCTCCCCGCCACCCCACATGAACACCAATTTAACAACGATCTATACAAAAAAGCCCCTTCATTAGATCCAAAAATCAGGTGAGCAATCACATCACCTGGTTTTAACTTCATATCACTGAAAGAGGCACTATGGAGGGTAGGAAAGACAGTCTTGACTCCCCAGTGCCACCCTCCCCACATCCCCCATCAGTGGCTGTGTGGTGCGGATAATCTGTGCAGTAGGGGAAGGGAGAGCACAGTGATTGTGGGAGCCTGCATTGAACTCAGTGCTGCCCTGCCACGGCAGAAAGCAAAACTGGGCTAAACTCAGCTGATGCCCGCCCATGGAGGAAGCATGTAGACCAGCCTTTCCCAGAGGGGAATCACCACTCCTAGTGGTCAGAACCTGAGTTTTCGCAAGCCTCTCCACTGTGAACTAAAGTGCTCTGGGGTGTCAAATAAACTTGAAAGGCAATTTAGGCCATAAGGACTGCAATTCCTAGGCAAATCCTAGTGCTGTGCTGAGCCCAGAGCTAGTGAATATGGGGGGCACATGACCTACTGAGACACCAGCTAGGGTGGCTAAGGGAGTGCTTACACCACCCCTCCCCCAACCCCAGGCAGCACAGCTCACAGTAACAAAAGTGACTCCTTCCTTCTGCTTGAGGAGAGGAGATGGAAGAGTGAAGGGAACTTCATCTTGCATCTTGGATACCAGCTCAGCCACAGTAGCATAGGGCACTAGGAAATCATGAGGCCCCCATTCCAGGCCCTAGCACCCAGACAACATTTCTAGATACACCCAAGGCCAGAAGGGAATCCGTTGCCTTGAAGGGAAGGGCTCAGTCCTGGATGATTCATCATCTGCTGACTAAAGAGCCCTTGGGCATTGAAGAACCAGCAGCAATATCCAGGTACTATGTCAAGGGCCTTATGTGAAGTTCTGAGATATGCTGGCTTCAAGTGAGACCCAGCACATTCCCAGCTGTGGTGGCTATGGTGAGAGACTCCTTCTGCTTGAATAAAACAGAGGGAAAAGTAAAAAATGACTTAGTCTTGTACCTTAGGTACCAGCTTGGCCACAGTGGGGTAGAACACCAAGCAGGCTCTTGTGGTCCCTGATTCCAGGCCTTGGCTCCCAAATGGCATCTCTGGACCTGCCCAGAAACTGAAGGAACTTACCACCCTGAAGGGAAAGACACAAGCCTGGCTGGCTTTGCCACCTGCTGAATGTACAGCCCTAGGACCTTGAGTGAGCATAGATGTTAGCCAATTAGTGGTTACAGTGGGCCTTGGGTGAGATGCAGCACTGTGCTGGCCTCAGGTCTGACCTAGTGCAGTCCCAGTGGTGGTGCCTGGAACTTGTGTCCAAAGGAGTGCTTGTGTCACCCCACTCCTAGCTCAGCTCTCTCAGAAAGAGATATTCTGTTTGTTTGGGAGAAAGTAAGGGAAGAGAACAAGAATCTCTGCCTGGTAATCCAGATAATTCTTCCAGGTTGTATCCAAGACCACCAAGGCTGCTATGAGTACCTCTATGAGTCTGCAAGAACCACAGCATTACTGGGTTTGGAGTGCCCCCTAATGCACATACAACTTAGCTACAACTCCCAAGTCCCTTCAGATACATGGAAAACCTTCCCAAGAAGGATGGGTACAAACAAGCACAGACTGTGAAGACTATAATAAATACCTAACTCTTCAATGCCAAGACAGCAACAAACATCCACAAGCATCAAGACCATGACTTCACCAAATGAATTAAATAGGGGACCAAGGACCAGTCCTGGAGAAACAGACATATGTAACCTTTCAGACAGAGAATTCAAAATAGTTGTTTTGAAGAAACTAAATAAAATTCAAGATAGCACAGAAAGGGAACTCATAATTCTATCAATAAATTTAACAAATAGATTAAAATAATTAGAATTGAACAGAAATTCGGGAGTTGAAAAATGCAACTGACATACTGAAGAATGCATCAGAGTCTCTTAATTGCAGAATTGATTGAGAAGAAACAATCTGTGATCTTGAAGACAGGCCATTTGAAAATACACGGTCAGAGGAGACTAAAGAAAAAATAAAAAAGAATGAGGCATGCCCACAAGATCTAGAAAATAGCCTCAAAAGGGCAAATCCAAGAGTTATTGGCCTTAAAGAAGAGGTTGAGAAAGAGACAGGGATGGAAAGTTTATTCAAAGGGATAGTAACAGAAAACTTCTCAACCTAGGAAAAGATCAGTGTTCAAGTACAAAAAGGTTATAGAACACCAAGCAGATTTAACCCAAAGAAAACTACCTCAAGGCATTTAATAATCTAACTCCCAAAGATCAAGGATAAAGAAAGTATCCTAAAAGCATCAAGAGAAAAGAAATAAATACCATACAATGGAGCTCTAATGCATCTGGCAGCAGACTTTTCAGTGTAATCTTACAGGCCAGGAGAGTGTGGCATGCCATATTTAAAGTGCTGAAAGAAAAAACTTTTATTCTGGAATACTATATCCAGTGAAAATATCCTTCAAACATGAAGGAGAAATAAAGACTTTCTTAGACAAAAAAAAGCTGAAGGATTTTATCAACACCAGACGTGTCCTAAAAGAAATGCTAAAGGGAGAAAGAAAGCCAAAAGAAGGAAGGGAGGGAGGGAGGGAAAGAAAGAAAGGGAGGGAGGGAGGTAGGGAGGGAGGAAGGAAGGAAGGAAGGGAAAGAAAGAAAGAGAAAGAAAGAAAGAACGAAAGAACAAAAGAACGAAAGAACGAAAGAACGAAAGAAAGAAAGAAAGAAAGAAAGAAAGAAAGAAAGAAAGGAAGGAAGAAAGGGAGAGAGAGAGAAAGAAAGAAAGAAAGAAAGAGAAAGAAAGAGAAAAGAGAAGAAAAGAAAAGAAAGAAAGAAAAGGAAGGAAAGAAGGAAGGAAGGAAGGAAGGAAGGAAGGTAGGGGCATTAATGAGCAATAAGAAATCATCTGAAGGTACAAAACTCCCTGGTAACAGCAAAGACACAGAAAAACACTAAAACACTGAATATTATAACACTGTAATTAATCTGTGTAAACTACTGTTAGAAAGACTAAAAGATGAACCAATCAAAAATAATAACTACAACAACCTTTAAAGATATAGACAGTACAATAAGATATAAATAGAAGCAATAAAAAGATTAAAAGTGGGGGAGTTTTGTAGAGTATGTCTCCTTTTTGTTCATTTGTTTCTGCAATCAGTGTTAAGTTGTCATCACTTTAAATTAATGGATTATAATATAGTATTTGCAAGCCTCATCATAATCTCAAATCAAAAAGCATACAGCAGATACACAAAAAATAAAAAGTAAAAATTAAATCATACCACCAGAAATAATCACCTTCACTAAAAGTAAGATGGGACGGAAGAAAAGAAGGAAGAGAAGACCACACGACAACCAGAAAACAAATAACAAAATGGCAGCAGTAAGTCTTCACTTATCAATAATAACACCGAATGTAAATAGACTAAACTCTCCTATCAAAAGACACAGAGTGGCTGAGTGAAAATTAAAAAATAAAAAAAATAAGACCCAATTGCCTGCTGCCTATGAGAAATACCCTTCACCTATAAACAAACATAGACTGAAAATAAAGATATGGAAATAGATATTCCATGCCAATGGAAACCAAAAAAGAGTAGGAGTAGCTATACTTACATCAGACAAAATAGATTTCAAGTAAAAACTGTACGAAGAGACAAAGAAGGTCATTGTATAATGATAAAGAAGTCAACTCAGCAAAAGGATACAATAACTGTAAAAATATGTGCACCCAATACTGGGGCACCCAGATATATAGAGCAACTACTATTAGAGCTAAAGACAGAGATAGACCCCAATACAATAATAGCTGGAGACTTAAACACCCACTTTCCTCATTGGATGGATCTCCCAGACAGAAAGTCAATAAAGAGACATCAGACTTAATCTGCACTATAGACCAAATGGACTTAATAGATATTTACAGAACATTTCATCCAATGGCTGCAGAATACACATTCTTCTCCACAGCACATGGATCATTCTTAAGGATAGACCACGTTAGGTCATAAAACAAGTCTTAAAACATTCAAAATAACTGAAATAATATCTAGCATCTTCTCTGACCACAATAGAATAAAACTAGAATCAATAACTAGAGAAATTTTGGAAACTATACAAACACATGGAAATTAAGCAATATGCTCCTGAATGATCAGTGGGTCAATGAAGAAATTAAGGAGACTGAAAAATGTCTTGAAACAAATGATAATGGAAACACAACATAAGAAAACCTATGGGATAAAATGAAAGCAGTACTAAGAGGGAAGTTTATAGCTATGAGTGCCTACATCAAAAAGGAAGAAAAACTTCAAATAAATAACTTAATGATTCATCTTAAAGAACTAGAAAAGCAAGACCAAACCAAACCCAAAATTACTAGAAGAGATATTCAAGATCGGAGCAGAAGTAAATGAAATTGAATTACAAAACATCAATGAAACAAAAAGTTGGTTTTTTGAAAAGATAAACAAAATTGACAAACCTTCAGGCAGACTAAGAAAGAAAGTAAAAAGATCCAAATAAATAAAATCAGAGATGAAAGGAGACATTACAATCAATACTGCAGAAACTCAAAGGATCTTTAGTGGCTACTAGGAGCAACTATATGCCAATAGATTGGAAAATCTAGAAGAAGTGGATGAAATTCTTAGACACACACAACCTACCAAAATTAAGCCATGAAGAAATCCAAAACCTGAACAGCCCAATAAAAAGTAATGAGACTGAAGCCATAATAAAAAGTGTCCCAGCAAATAAATGCCTGGGACCTGACAACTTCACTATTTAATTCTACCAAACATTTAAAGAAAAACTGATACCAATCCTATTCAAACTACTTCAAAAGATAGAGTGAATACTTCCAAACTCATTCTACAAAGTCAGTATTACCCTGATACCAAAATCAGACAAATACACATTTTTAAAAAAATCCACAAAACTACAGGCCAATATCCCTGATGAATATTGATGCAAAAAACCTCAACAAAATACTTGCAAACAAAATTCAACAAAATACTAAAAAAATCGTTCATCATGACCAAGTGGGATTTATCCCAGGGATGCAAGGATAATTCCACATACACAAATCAATCAATGTGATATATCGTGTCAACAAAATGGAGAAAAAAATCTATGTGATTATCCCCATTGAAGCTGAAAAAGCATTTGATAAAATTCAACATCCCTTCATAATAAAAACTCTCAAAAAACTGGGTATAGAGAGAACATACTTCACCATAATACAAGCCATACACAACAGACCCACACCTAGTATAATACTGAATGGGGAAAAACTGAAAGCCTTTCCTCTAAGGTGTAGAACATGACAAAGATGCCCACTTTCACCACTGTCACTTAACACAGTACTGAAAGTCCTAGCTAGAGCAATCACAGAAGAGAAAGAAATAAAGGAAATCCAAACTGAAAAGAAAGTAATCAAATTATCCCTGTTTGAGGATGATATAATCTTACATTTGGAAAAACCTAAAGACTCCACAAAGAAACTATTAGAACTGATAGACAAGCTCAGCAAACTTGCAGGATACAATATCAACATACAAAAATCAGTAGCATTTCTATATGCCAACAGCAAACAATCTGAAAAAGAGATGAGGAAAGTAATCTCATTAACAAAAGCTACAAATAAAGTTAAATACCTAAAAATTAACTTAACCAAAGAAGTGAAAGATCTCTGTAATGAAAACTATAAAATCCTGATGAAAGAAATTGAAGAGGACACGAAAATAATGGAAATATATTCTATGTTCATGGATTGGAAGAATGAATATTGTTATAATGTCCATACTACCCAAAGCAATTTACAAATTTAGTGCAATCCCTATCAAAATACCAATGATATTCTTCACAGAAATAGAAAAAAAATCTTAAAAATTTTATATAGAACTGCAAAAGACCCAGAATAGCCAAAGCTGTCTGGAGAAAAAAGAACAAAACTGAAGGAATCACAGTACCTGACTTCAAGTTATACTACAGAGCTTTAGTAACCAAAACAGCATGGTACTGGCATAAAAACAGACACATAGACCAATGGAACAGAATAAAGAACCCAGAAACAAATCCACACACCTACGGCAAACTCATTTTTAAAAAGAACATACACTGGGGTAAAGACAGTCTCTTCAATAAATGGTGCTAGGAAAACTGGCTATCCATATGCAGAAGAATCAGACTAGACCCCTAACTCTCACCACATACAAAAATCAAATCAAAGTTGATTAAAGACTTAAATCTAAAACCTGAAACTATGAAACTACTACAACAAAACATGAGGGAAACTTTCCAGGACATTGGAGTAGACAAAGATTTCTTGAGTAATACCAGACAAGCATAGGCTACCAAAGAAAAAAATGGACAAATGGGAACTCATCAAGTTAAAAAAAAAATCCCTCTGCACAGCAAAGAAAACAATCAATAAAGAGAATAGACAACACACAGAATGGGCTAAAATATTTGCAAACTACCCATCTGACAAGAGATTAATAACCAAAATATAAAAGGAGCTCAGACAACTCTATAGGAAAAAAATCTAATAAGCCAATTAAAAGATGGGCAAAATATTTGAGTAGACATTTCTCAGAGAAGACATACAAATGGGCAACAGGCATATAAAAACGTGTTCAACATCACTGATCATCAGAGAAATGCAAATGAAAACTACAATGACGTATCATCTCACTTCAGTTAAAATGGCTTTTATCCAAAGACAGGCAATACAAATGCTGGCGAGGATGTGGAGAAAACCTCGTACGCTGTTGGTGGGAATGTAAATTAAGACCACCACTATGGAGAGCAGTTTGGAGATTCCTCAAAAAACTAAAACTAGAGCTACCATATGATCCACTACTTGGTATATACCCCCAAAAAAGGAAATCAGTATATCAAAGAGATATCTGCACTCTTATGTTTACAGCAGCACTATTCACAATAGCCAAGATTTGGAAGCAACCCAAGTTCCACCAGCACACAAACAGATAAAGAAAATGTGGTACATATACACAATTGTGGACTATTCAGCCATAGAAAAAGAATAAGAGCCTGTCATTTGCAACAATATGGATGGAAATGGAGATCATTATGTTAAGTGAAATAAGCCAGGCACAGAAAGACAAATTTCACATGTTCTCAATTATTTGTGAGAGCTAAAAAATAAAACAATGAAACTCATGGAGCTAGAGAGTAGAAGGAAGGTTACCAGAGGCTGGGAAGGCTAATTGGACTGAGGGGTGGGCAGGAGGGGGAGGGGAATGTGGGGATGGTTAGTGGGTGCAAAAAAGTAGAAAGAATGAATAAGACCTAGTATTTGATAGCACAATAGAGTGACTATAGTCAATAATAATTTAATGATACATTTTAAGATAACTAAGAGTATAATTGGACTTTTTGTATTGCAAAGGATAAATGCATGAGGGGATAGATACCCCATTTACCCTAATGTAATTATTACACATTGCATGCCTGTATCAAAATATCTTATGTACCCCAGAAATATGTACTCCTACTGCATACTCACAATTAAAAATAAAAAATTTTTAAAGAAAAAAATAAAATAAAATAAATGTTAATCTCATCCAAAAACATTCTCATAGAAATACACAGAATAATGTTTAACCAACTATCTAGAAACTGAGCCCAGCCAAGTTGATACACACAATTAACCATCACATTTCCTAATACTGAACAATTCTAACATTATCAGAATAAACACAATTCATGGAATATTATTTGCATCGATCTGCTACTGAATTCTTTTCACAATTTTTACATCAATATTCAAAATAAAGATTTATCTATCATTTTCTATTTCCTCTTTGACAGGCTTGATATTAGCATGTTTTTCACATCATCAGATGAATGTGAAGGATTTTTCTTTTTTTCCATTCTATTCTGCAGATATTTAAAGTGCATTAAAGTTCCATGTTCAGCAAAGTTATGGTCATATAGTTTCATGAAATCATCTGGGCCTGGTGCATTTTGTGGAGGCTAGCAGTAACTCTTTGGCAAATTTCTCTATTTCTTCTACTGTCTTTGGCCTATATATGTTTTAACTCTTTTAAGATACATTTTGGGCCGGGTGCGGTGGCTCACGCCTGTAATCCCAGCATTTTCGGAGACTGAGGCGGGTGGATCACCTGAGGTCAGAAGTTCGAGACCAGCCTGACCAACAAGGCGAAACCCGTCTCTACTAAAAAGACAAAGATTAGCTGGGCGTGGTGGCCAGTGCCTGTTAGTGCTAGCTACTCGGGAGGCTGAGACAGGAGAATTGCTTGAACCCGGGAGGCGGAGCCTGCAGTGAGCCGAGATCACACCACTGCACTCCAGCCTGGGCGACAGATCAAGACTCTGTCTCAAAAAAAAAAAAAAAAAAAGGCCAAGCGCGGTGCTCACGTCTGTAATCTCAGCACTTTGGGAGGCCGAGGCGGGCAGATCACGAGGTCAGGAGATCGAGACCATCCTGGCTAACACGGTGAAACCAGGTCTCTACTAAAAATACAAAAAATTAGCCGGGCGTGGTGGCGGGCGCCTGTAGTCCCAGATACAGGTTGAGGTAGGAGAATGGCGTGAACCCGGGAGGCGGACGTTACAGTGAGCCGAGATGGCGCCACTGCACTCCAGCCTGAGAGACAGAGCAAGACTCCATTTCAAAAAAAAAAGATACATTTTGTTACTTCATATTTTCCTATAATGTCAACCAATTTCATATAGGTATATTTGTAAATATTAAGCAAAAATCATGTTATGCTGGTTCATTTACTTTCCTCTGGTTTTGCAATTAGTTCTACATTGTCATTTCTAATACATGGTTTTAGGTATTCCTTTTAAAAAACGATTAGATGACCTAATAGTTTATATATTTCTCTGATTTTTCAAACAAACTCATGCATTTATTTAGTTTCTATAAATGTTTCTAGTTTCTAACATATACATTTCTGCTTTTATTTTTTCTGCTTTTCTTGGGTTCGATTATTTTACTCCTAACTTTTTAATTCAATACTTATTTTTTATGACCATAAGTATGTGGAGTGTATTTTTTTCAAGTTCTTTCCAACTATTATTGGATTATACTATTCAAAAAATGCATACACATAGAACAAAGTTTTCTAAGAAAGTACATTAAATCTATGTTCTATTTTCAAGGCTACTGAAATAGTAGCCTCGACATATATAAAAGACATGAATAGTAGCCTTGAAATATATAAAAGATGGGTGATCATTTCCTTTTGTTACTCTTTGGAAATAATGGCAAAACAGCATAATAACAGTATAGCTTATGGCTGTGAACTTGGACTCTGCCATCTTGCAGCTCTGGATTAAACTCTCGACCTTATTACTTACCTGCTGTGCGATTTTTGGGAGGTTACTTATATTCCCTGGGCTTCTGTGTCCTTACCTGAAAAAATAAGGATTTAAAAAACAAAAAAGATATTTATTACAGAGGACTGTGGCAAGAGGTGAACCTGGCTGGGCTTTTGGGTAGGGTGGGGACTTGGAGAACTTTTCTGTCTAGCTAAAGGATTGTAAATGCACCAATCAGCACTCTGTCAAAACGGACCAATCAGCTCCCTGTAAAATGGACCAATCAGCTCTCTGTAAAATGGCCCAGTCAGCAGGATGTGGGTGGGGCCAAGTAAGGGAATAAACGCAGGCCACCCAAGCCAGCGGCTGCAACCTGCTCGGATGCCCTTCCACAGCGTGGAAGCTTTGTTTTTTTGTTCCTTGCAATAATTGTTGCTGCAGCTCGCTTTTTGGATCTGCGCCACTTTTATGAGCTGTAAGGCTCACTGGGAAGGTCTGCAGCTTTACTCCTGAAGGCAGCGAGACCACGAACCCGCCAGAAGAAACAAACTCCAGACACATCTAAACATCTGAAGGAACAAAGTCTGGACACACCATTTTTAAGAACTGTAATGCTCAGCGCGAGGGTCCGCAACGTTATTCTTGAAGTCAGCGAGACCGAGAACCCACTGGAAGGAACCGATTCTGGACACATCAGGATGATGAAAAGTAAAAATCATTTTGAAAAGCATAGAACAGTGCTTTGTCACACAAGTTCAATTACTGTATTTGCTTGTTTATGAAGTAAGTGAATATTACACTTATGGTTTATTTCAGAAGGCTGATAGCATATCAATATTGATTTACAGAGGTCTGGACAAGAAGGCCTGGTTCAAACCCATGACAGAAATGGAGCCTATTCATTCACATATTTGTGAGGGTCCATACCTCCTATCAATGGTTTTCAATGGCCCTTGGAATAGAGTCTCCAGTGGCTCCAATATCTCCAGTTACTTCCATTGGCCTGGGGAGAGAGTACAAACTCCCAGGTGCAGCTCTGCACACCACGGTCCCTAGTCACATCTCCCAACCTTCATTCCCATTCTAAGAAAACTTTCAGTTTCTCAAAAAAGCCATGTTCTCTCTGCAGCTTTCTCTATTACAGGGTTTCTCAAGCTTAGCACTACTAATATTTGGAAGTTAATATTTGTTGTGGGGGGACTGTCCTGGGCATCGCCGGATGTTTAGAGCATCCTTGGATTTCCCCACTAGATGTCAGGAGAAAACCCCACTCCTTCCCCAGAGCGTAACAACCAAAAATGTCTATGGATATTGTCAAATGGCTCCTTCCAGGCAGAGTCACTCCCAGCTGAAATCTGCTCTATCAAGAATGCTGTTACCCCTATTTGCCTGGCTAACTTCAACTCATCCTTAAAGTTTCAGCTTGGAAGTCACTGCTGTATCCCCAGTGTGAATACCAGGGCTTGTGTAATTAAATAGATGATCCCAAAACCGGCGCCATTATTCAGTACAAACGGAAAGGGAGGGGTGGGGGCAGACATGAAGTTAGGGAGCATTATGGTAGCAGATTGGAAAAGGCGCTAGACTTATGTAAGAAAACAGGATGACTTTTAGCTTCCAGAAATGATTAGGTTAAAAGGTGACATGAGACCGCCCGGTGGCTCACGCCTGTAATCCCATCAATTTGGGAGGCCGAGGTGGGTGGATTGCCTGAGGTCAGAAGTTCGAGACCAGCCTGGCCAACATAATGAAACCCCGTCTCTACTAAAAACACAAAAATTAGCTGGGTGTAGTGGCGGGCCCTGTCCCAGCTACTCGGGAGGCTGAGGCAGGAGAATTGCTTGAACACGGGAGGCGAAGCTTGCAATGAGCCAAGACCGCACCACTGCACTCCAGCCTGGGTGATGGAGAGAGACTTTGTCTCAGAAAACAAACAAACAAACAAAAAATTCACATCAGTGAGGATGGAACTATAAAAAGAAGAATGGATTGGGATGAGAGAGGGTGGAGAGAAGGAAGAGTTCAATTTTTGTGTTTTATTTGATGTGATTTTATTATTTTTTTTTATTTTTTATTTTATTTGAGACGGAGTCTCACTCTGTCGCCCAGGCTGGAGTGCAGTGGCGCCATCTCGGCTCACTGCAAGCTCCGCCTCCCGGGTTCACACCATTCTCCTGCCTCACCCTCCCGAGTAGCTGAGACTACAGGAGCCCGCCACCACGCCCAGGTAATTTTTTGTATTTTTAGTAGAGACGGGGTTTCACCGTATTAGCCAGGATGTTCTCGATCTCCTGACCTCGTGATCCGCCCGCCTCGGCCTCCCAAAGTGCTGTGATTACAGGCGTGATCCACCGCGCCAGGCCTATTTTATTTATGTTTGAAATGGAGTCTCACTCTGCCGCCCAGGCTGGAGTGCAGTAGCGCGATCTTGGCACACTGCAACCTCTGCTTCCCAGATTCAACCGATTCTCCTGCCTCAGCCTCCTGAGTAGCTGGGATTACAGGTGCCTGTTACCAGGCCAAGCTAATTTCTTTTGTATTTTTAGTAGAGACGGGGTTTCGCCATGTTGGCCAGGCTGATCTTGATCTCTTGACCTCAAGTGATCCACCCGCTTCGGCCTCCCAAAGTGCTGGGTGGCATGAGCCACCGCGCCCAACCAAGAATTCAGTTTTTGAAGTAACAGTGTGAGGGGTCTATTCAACAGCTCAGCGGGGTTGCTTAAGAGAGGCCAGTGCTCATGGCGCGAGAGAGGGAAGCAGTCGCTGTGCCTTTCTTGCCTGGAGTTCGATCTGTGTCCTTAGCGGGCACCTAAGGTTCTTGTGGAACCCACAAACTCCCTTTCTTCCACCGGCACCCCACCATACGAAACACACGGTTTCCCTACCTTTGAAATCACGCAAACACCGCTGCTGGAAGGAATCTAATGTTTAAATGGGATGAGGAAGGGATGAGAAGTGAAGAGCGAAGTGGGAGAGAGAATGACGGTGGCCGAGAGAAGCTGTCTTCAGACCCTGCCTGCCCTCGCCCTGGGCCCGTGGAGCTCAGGAAGGCACTTTAATCCGAACATCTAGTGCCATCTAGTGGCCGATTGTTAGAACTAGAGGAACGGTTTCCTGCGGCCTGGACCAAAGAGGGCAAAAGCCGCCGGGAGGAGAGGAATGAGGGACTTGGGGAAGCAGGAAAGGATACAAGCAGTGATTGGAAAAACAGACATGAGCTCTTCTCTTGGATCCAGGATTCAAACATCCATCTTGGGACAGGGCACATGCACTATACTCAGGCTGTCTGTTGGCGGTCCTTCATCGGCAGCAGCCCCTCTCAGGGAGGCCAGCTGCTCAGAGCCAGATCACTGCCCTGCAATCCTCCCCAGACTCCTAGGCCTCTTTCTTTGCCGGATCATAAGATCCCTCATGCCTGGTTGATGCTGTTCCTTGCTGAAGTTTTTCTCCCAATTATTAGCAGCCTGAATTACCAGTGCTTGTGTATGTTATTTCTTATTTGGAAATCCAACAAGCTTTTAATTAGAGAAGCAACAGGAAGAGATATTAAGCTATATTAATGCGTCTGAAAACCCAGCACAGCTAAAAGAAAAGTAATCTCATAGATAACAGCACTGCTGAAAATTACAGAACAGCTTCCAGTAAATAACTAAATGGAAAGTCCCAGAGAGGGTCAATTGTTGCCGGTTAATATTTGTAGTAAAGTACAGCACTTGATAATGCTGCTGTTTCTTATTCTTACGGGAAGCAAACAACAAGAGTTGGGATTTCCCCTTGAGATCCTAATTCCCAGATCCTGCTACAATGAATTTAATGAAAGTTTATCTTCTAAATACTTCCTTCACCAGTAACTCCTAGAAAGGTCTCTAGGATGCTTTTCTTTCCAAGGAATGTCACAAACATGACCATATCTCAGGTCTGAAGATAAGCACCGAAGCAGATTGTTTGCAAAAATGCCTACGATTATTCCCCTCCTTGTATGCACTCCTTGAATCTGGGCTGCCTTTGACTTACTTTGTCCAATTAAATACCATGGAAGGCACTTGTTAATGCTAAGCCTGGGCTTCAATAAGCTAGCCAAGGCACCAGGACATTTGAGAGAGCTCAGCCAAGATCAACAAAGCCATCTGTAGCCAAGTAGAGGACCCAGAAGGAACCAGAAGAACCCAGCTGTTCCCACCCCAAATGGTCAAATCTTCAGAATCATGAGCTAAGTAAACAACGGTTTTGTTTTTTGTTTGGTTGGTTGGTTGGTTGGTTGTTTTTGTTTTTTTTGAGACAGAGCCTTGCTCTGTCGCCGAGGCTGGAGTGCTGTGGCACGATCTCAGCTCACTGCAACCTCCGCTCCTGGGTTCCAGTGATTCTCCTGCCTCAGCATCTCGAGTAGCTGGCATTACAGGCACCCACCACCATGCCTGGCTAATTTTTATACTTTTAGTAGAGATGTGGTTTCACCACGTTGGCCAAGCTGGTCTCGAACTCCTGACCTCAAGTGATCTGCTTGCCTCGGCCCAGGATTACAGGAGCAAGCCACGGCGCCCGGCTGATGGTTGTTTTAAGACCCTAACTTTTGAAGTGGTTTGTGATATAGCAATAACTAATAGATATAAGCATTATGACTAAATTGCATCCTAGAAAGTTTATGTTTCCTGACTGCATGGAAAACCATGATACACATTTTCTTAAAAAGGGCATTGGAGGAACTGGCCAAATAGGATTAAGGAGGTTGGGGGCCTCCTCATGTTGCTGATCAGGGAAGTCTCTGGATTTCCCTTTGGAGTCATCCGAAGTAACCCTGGCTATAAGAAAATCTATTCAATCATTAGCAGATTCTAGTTAAGCAGATAGATGAAATTTTAATAAGGTATAATTCTGGTTGTTACCATACTTACCTAAATTCCTCATTTATTTCATGCCTAATTTATTGTAACAGCTAATTTCTCTTACCCTAGATTTATTTCTACTTCAATTTAAATTGTTGTCTACAATCAAACCAATTTTTATCCTAATGTCTCTTTTAATATGTTGATCCCCTGCTCAAAATTCTTCAATATCTCCCTATTTCCTGCCACACAAAAATAGTCCCTGAAAACAAAATTAGCAAAATTAATTAATTAAAAGTTAATAAATTAGACAAAAATTTTAAAAGTCTTTTCTTCTAAAAATACAGTTAAGACAATGAAGACAAGCAACAAACTGGGGGAAGATATTTGTAAATCACATATCTGATGAAGGTCTTGTATAAATAATATGGATTTTAAAAACTCTCACAATTCAATAAGAAATCAAATTAGCCAACTTTTAGAAAAACTGGAAAAAGACATGAACAGATATTTAGCCAAAAAGATATGAGTAGCAAATAAACACATAAAAAGATATTCATCAGCATAATTAGAGAAGTGCAGATCAAAACTATAATTAGATCTTGCTGCACGCCTATTAGAATAGCTGAATAGCTTTTTTTTTTTTTTTTTTTTTTTGAGACGGAGTTTCACTCTTGTTGCCCAGACTGGAGTGCAATGGCGTGACTTTGGCTCACTGCAACCTCAGCCTCTGGGGTTCAAGTGACTTTTTTGCCTCTGTAACCTCTGCCTCTGTGGTTCAAGGGATTCTTTTGCCTCAGCCTCACGAGTAGCTGGGATTACAGGCGCCTGCCACCACACCCAGCTAATTTTTTGTATTTTTAGTAGAGACGGCGTTTCACCATGTTTGGCTAGGCTGGTCTCGAACCTGCCTTGGCCTCCCAAAGTGCTGGGATTACAGGCATGAGCCACCGTGCCTGGCCAGAATAGCTTTTTAAAAGCTAACAACATAGAGCGCTGATGAGGATGTAGAGCAGCTGGAACTCTGTTATATTTCAGGTGGATATGCAAAATGGTACAACCACTTTGGAAAATGGTTTGACAATTTCTTACAGGGGATAGGGAGAATTACTACATAAACTTCAGCAAATTCACTCCTTGAAATTGTAGACAGACTTTTAAAATAGCTAATTACAAAAACTGAATTGAAATATTAGAAAATGCTGAAGACGTTAAATATAAAAAGTGGAGCTTATTCTATTATAGTATTAGTATAAAATACAGTTTACATTGGATAAAGATGAGTAAAACTAAACTTTTAATGTTTAATATTATTATATTGGTTAAATCTGAATTTACAGATCCTCCCAAATATGTCTGACTCATGTGTATTCAAAGGTACTTACAGCAATGTTTCTAAACACTTTTTAACTTTTTAAAAAACAACTTTATTGATATGTAATTCAGATACCAACCAAGTCACCCACTTAAAGTGTACACTTCAATGGTTTCAGTATATTCACAGATATTTGCACTTATCACCCCAGTCAATTTAGGAGCATTTTATCAACTCAAAATGCAACCTCATACCCTTAGCAATTATCCCTGTATCCACCTCCCCGTCCTCCCTCAGCCCTAAGTAATTACTATTCCACCTTCTGTCTCTGTAGACTTCTCTGTTCTGGAATTTCACATGAATGGAATCATATAATGTATATTCTTTTGTGACTGGCATCTTTCACTTAGCATAGCATTTCCAAGATCCATCCATGCTTTTGAAGGTATCAGTACTTCATTCCCTTTTCTGGCCAATTAACAATCTATTGTACCATATAGCACATTTGTTCATCTGTCAGTTGATGGCATTTGGGTTGTTCCCACTTTGGGCTATTATGAAGAATGCTGCTTGAAACATTTACATACAAGTTTTTTAATTTTTCTTCTTTCTGAATATAGACATTTACAATGATAAATTCTCCTATAAGTTTTGCTTTAGCTGCATCCTATAAATTTTTGATATATTGATCTTTATTTTCATTTACCACAAAGTAGTTTCTGAATTCTTTTTTCTGTTTGTTTTTGTTTTTGTTTTTGTTTTTGACAGAATCTTGCCCTGTCACTCAGGCTGGATTACAATGGTGTGATCTCGGCTCACTGCACCCTCCACCTCCCGGGTTCAAGCAATTCTACTGTCTCAGCCTCCAAAGTAGCTGGGACTACAGGCACAGGCCACCATGCCCAGCTAATTTTTGTATTTTTACTAGAGTCAGGGTTTCACCATATTGGTCAGGCTGGTCTCGAACTTCTGACCTCAGGTGATCCACCCGCCTCAGAGTCCCAAAGTGCAGGGATTACAGGTGTGAGCCACCGCGCCCAGCCACTTTCTGAATAGTTTTTTTATTTCCTCCTTGACTCATTTATTATTTAGGAATATTATATCATATTTGTGAGTTTCCTGATTTTTTGTGCTATTGATTTCTAATTTTATTCGTTGTGACTGAAGAGCACACTTTTTATTATTCTACCCTATTTAATGTATTGATGTTTATTTTATGCCCTAGCATATGATCTTTCCTGGACAATGTTTTATGTGCACTTGAGAGGAGTATATATTCCGTTGTTAGGTGACATGTTCTATAGATGTTGCTAGGTCTAGTTGGTTTAGAGTATTATTAAAGTCTTCTATTTCCTCAGCAATCTTCTGTCCGGTTGTTCCATCTATTATTGAGAGTGAGGTACTGAAGTATCCAACGATTGTTGAATTATCTTTCTCTTGCCTTTCTGTCCATTTTGCTTCGTGTGTTTTGACGTTTCAGTATTAGGTGCATATCTATAGCCACTTCTACTTTCTTGTGGTTGTTGTTTACCCGCTACGTCTTTTTTTCCATTATTTTACATTCAACCTACTAGTTTCTTAGAATCTAAAATTGGGTCATGATTTTTAATCCAGCCTGACAATCTCTGCCTTTTGATTGGATTGTTTAACTTTTTACTGGAAAATAAATACATATATACACAGTATGCAAAAATGCATAGCTTGATGAATTATTATAAGCTAAATACCCTTGGAGCCCAGCATGCAAATCAAGAAATAGAACTTTTCCAGGCCACCCACAGTCCAGTCTCTGCCGCCCAAATTAACAATGATTCTGACTTTTACAGTAATCACTTCCTTAATTTCTTTGAAGTGTTATTATGCAGTATAAATCCCTACACACTATAGCCTCTCCCATTTCTTTATTTTTCTAGTAAGCTTCTTTATGATAGCAATATGGTTTGGTTCAAGCTGGCCTACTGGAAATGAGAATGGAAATGAGGCTCAGGCTTATTAAGAAGGTCTAGGTATTCAATAATCAGGAAACTGAACATCTTGCAGAGTTGCAGAATGTCAAATGTCTGCCGTGTGCTAAATGTCTGCCGTGTGCTAAAGCCTATACATGAACAGAGGCAGAAGGTGGGAACAAGACAGGAAATAAGACTGGGGCCGGAGAGGAATCGCATAAATGGGCAAAATGAGATCTTCAGTCCCCTGCCACCCTCTGCTGTCTGCCAGAGATAATGTCTCTTGCCATCATGGAGTGCCAACCCTAGAAATGAGGCCTGGGGGCAAGGAACAGCTGGCTTCTACCCTCTGCTACTATTGTTTACCTTCAGAAGCAGAGGAAAGCCGCCACCTAGCTGAGACCTAGGATATGCCAAGAGACAGGACTCTAAGGGCAGGATGCCCAGCTGAGGGCCACAGTGCAACATGCTTTCTGAAATTAGAGAGTAGAGCAGAGTCCCCAGGAATCAGATTGTTGATCAGCCTTTTAGAAAATCCTCAGAGCTGTAAATGTGGGGGACAGGGGTTACTTATCCCCAGATCTTGCCTGGCTTTCCGAACAATGCAAACAGGAAGTGAGCTGCTGGTGGAGGAGAGTCCTCCTGAATCCCACTCTCAAATGAAGCTGTGGAGAAAAAGGGAGGAGGGAAACCCCTCCAGGGCCAAGCTGGAGGTCAGCCAGGTATGCTGTGTTGGAGAGGGAGGCCCACCAGAATCTGGAAACACCACTCTCACCAGAGCAGCCGAGAATACGTGCTGCCTCCAATGGGTTCCTGTTCCGCGTGGACAGCTGTTCTCAGCTGAGCCAGCCCAGCCATGCACTGCCATATCCAAGGAATGCTGTGAAGGCACTGATGCGGTGGCGACCCCAGAGATCATCACAGGAGGTAGGAGAAGGCCTTGTGGATGAGGTCTCACAGCCAAATGGGGGAAACTTAGAGATGCTCTGGAAATATACATGGCACTTGGGGGTGCTGGCCCAGAGGGCATCTCTGTGTTATCCAGCCCTTGGCGTAGCCACTGTGCTGTCCTCTGTCACGGGCCCCAGTCACACCATCACAGATAGAATCCTGGAGGCTCAGTCCATAGCAACAACCCTTCATCATGTGCTGGCGAGACAAACCTGGCTTAACAGAATCGGCTTTAAAGACTTGGTTCAACAGAGTCAGGAAGCTACCTCCAACCCAACTCAGTGCCGGGTGCTATTATTAGGCATCCAGATGACACATAGGTGGCATCCTTCTTCAAAAAGGCTTCGGTGCTCTTCAAGAAGGGAAAAACCAGCTTCTAAGGGCCACTTTGGCAATACTGGGGGCATTTTTCATCATCATGACAGTTGGAGCTGGGGTGTTACTTGCATTATCCGGCAGGGTCAGGGATAGTGGATGTCCTGCAGTATTCAGGGCAGGTCACACTAGAAAGAACTGTCCCATATCCTGCACAACTTTCCAATGTCCTAACAGACCTTTACATAGGCAAAAACACGTAGGGTTTTACTTAAAACCTAGGCCAAGTGTAGGTTTACATTTAAACCTAGATCAAGAATACAACTCCTGGGCCAAGCACGGTGGTTCAAGCCTATAATCCCAGCACTACGGGAGGCCGAGGCAGGTGGATCACCTAAGATCAGGAGTTTGAGACCAGCCTGGTGAAACCCCGTCTCTACTAAAAATACAAAAATTAGCCAGGCATGGTGGCGGGCACCTGTAATCCCAGCTACTCGGGAGGCTGAAGCAGGAGAATCGCTTGAACCCGGGAGGCAGAGGTTGCAGTGAGCTGAGATTACACCACTGCACTCCAGCCTGGGCAACAGAGCCAGACTCCAGCAAAAAAAAAAAAAAAAAAAAAAAAAAAAGAGAATACAACTCCTGTTTGTACTACTTAGGGTCCCCTAACACAAAGTATTTGGGGCATAGTTTCAAATCCACTGCATTTTCCCAGGAATGTAACTGCTTTGCCAATCGAGGAAGGATTAAACTCTCTCTTGTCAAAAACTTTCCTAAGATGTGTTGGTATTTCTGGGTAATCATGTCAGTGACAACAGTGGTCTTTGAGTCACTGGCACATCGGCAAGAGTCTGCACTTGCAACTGCTGCGTTGAGGTGATGAGATATGTAGGTACAAGCATCTACTTCCTTATGTCTCCTAGTGTTGTCCAATAAGAGCATTTACTTACTGGATATAAAGCATTACAATTTAATGCCCCCTCTTTCTCCTTTGTTTGCAGCCAGATCATTATAATCCCTTTAAAAAAATAAGTAATATATATGCATACTCATACAGACACATACACAGACACATAGATACTATAGATTTCATCTCAGGAGAGTAAACTGGGTGCAACAGTCATATTGAGCTACATTGTGCTGAAAAGGGTTATTTCTGGCTCAAATTACATGTGCACATTGTTCTTTGCTCCAGCAGAGGGAACAAGAGCATGCCAAATATACAGGTTTTTAGTGTTTTAACAACAAAGTGGCTCAGCTTCCTGCTGTTCATTGACCACTGTATGCCACATGGTCACACCCAACTTCAGCGACCTTGGGCCAAAGTCACCCAACTCTGTTCCCTGAAAGAAAAGGATCAGAATATTTGGAAAATCCCTAATGACAACCCAAGTGTTAAAAAAAGGAATGTTCAATTTTGTGGAGTTGTTAAGTCTTACATTAGGAAGATCCTATCCCACACAAATTAGAGAAAAATAACTTCGAATCTAAGGTGAGTCTGCATCAGAGTCATCATAGGAGCCTTTTTGGAGGAGGTGAGATTTGCAAGGTGGGCTGCTAGGTTATGGGAACAGAGGAAGACTTTTCAAAAGTGGACTGGGTGGCCATCAATGACAGACTGGATTAAGAAAATGTGGCACATATACACCATGGAATACTATGCAGCTATAAAAAAGGATGAGTTCATGTCCTTTGTAGGGACACGGATGAAGCTGGAAACCATCATTCTGAGCAAACTATCGCAAGGACAGAAAACCAAACACCGCATGTTCTCACTCATAGGGGGGAATTGAACAATGAGAACACCTGGACACAGGGTGGGGAACATCACACACCGGGGCCTGTGGTGGGGTTGGGGGAGTGGGGGAGGGATAGCATTAGGAGATATACCTAACATAAATGACGAGTTAATGGGTGCAGCACACCAACACGGCACATGTATACATATGTAACAAACCTGCAGGTTGTGCACATGTATCCTAGAACTTAAAAGTAAAATAAAAAAGTCTACTGGGTGGAAGATGGATATCATTCAGGGTGCTTTAAAGAATACCAGAGAACAGGTGGCTTATAAGCAACAGAATTTCACTTATAGTTCTGGAAACTGAGAAGCCCAAGATCAAGGTGCCTGCAGAGGTCCAAGATCAAGGTGTCTGGTGGGGACCCACTTCCTGGCTCATCCATGGCCGTCTTCTCTCTGTGTCCTCACATGGCAAGAAGGAGGAAGGGAGCTCTTTCGGATCTCTCTTATAATGGCACTGATTCTATTAATGAGGTCTCCACCCTCATGATCTAATTGCCTCCCAAAGGCCCCACCTCCTAATACCATCCAACGGCGGTTAAGTTTCAACATACGAATTTGGGTGGGGAGGGGGCCGCAAACATTTGGTCTGTTGTAATGTGGAAAGCTAGAGAATGAAGTATCTTGAACACCTACTGTATACTGACAGGAGCTGGACACTGTATGCAAGATTTCTATGGAGAAGCCATTTGCCCTAAGTTACACACTTTGGGGTTCCTTTCTGTTCTACCAGGCAGCCTCTGAGCGGGAGAACAGGCTGAGCCAAGGCACACTGGCTGGAAAGCTAGAGGCTTGTTTAATAGAGACAGGATTCTGGCCTGGCTATTGGGATCCTAAGAAGGAAAAGGGCAAGTGGGCATTATGGAGGACCCTGAAGTTCACTTATTTCCACCAACTTCACTGGTTAACTCCTGTGTAATGGGATTTTGCTGTGCCCATGAGGCATAGGAAGATGAATAAAATACATGCCTGCCACCAGGCTTATAGGTCAAAAAAAAAAGGACATTTTCTCTCCTGAGGCTGTAGGCCTTAGGAAGGCTTATGGGATCAAAGGACAGTGTGGCTGCAGGACATTGGCATGGAGAATGGAATCAAGAGAGCAGCTATGCAGGATGCGTCAACCCTGGGCTCTCTCAAAGGCACAGTTCCTTTGTCCCAGGGGCATCTCTTGGGTAGTCACAGGTATTGGCTGCCTTCCTTTAGACCAGAGGACCTGGGCTGCGCAGCAGGAGGGAGTGGCAGATGAGCAAGCATTACCGCCTGAGCTCCGCTTCTTGTCAGATCAGCAGTTGCATTTGATTCTCACAGGAGCTCAAGCCTATTGTAAACTGCACAGGGAGGGATCTAGGTGCATTCTCCTTACAAGAATCTAATGCCTGATGATCTGAGGTGGAACAGTTTCATCCCAAAACCATCCTCCTGCCACCCAGTCCCTGGAAAAATTGTCTTCCATGAAACCAGTCCCTGATGCCAAAAAGATTGGGAACCGCTGCTTTAGAAGGCTGCCTCTCTGCGGTGAGTCCAGAACCCAAACAACATGCTTCAGTGCTTGTAATGTTACATGGAAAGCCCAGAGAATGTTTCAAGATCCCAACTACAGACTTTGGTTTATTTTGGGTTTTGTTTTTTGTTTTATTTTGCTTTGCTTTGTTTCATTTTGTTTTGTTTTTGAGACAGACTCTTACTCTGTCACTTAGGCTGGAGTGCAGTGGTGCGATCTCAGCTCACTGCAGCCTCCGTCTCCCAGGTTCAAGTGATCCTCCCACCTCAGCCTCCCAAGTAGCTGGGACCACAGGCATGCACCACCACCCCTGTCTAATTTTTTTTTTTATTTTTAGTAAAGACGAAGTCTCACTATGTTGCCCAAGTTGGTCTCAAACTCCTGAGCTCAAGGGCTCCTCCTGCTGGGGCCTCCCAAAGTGCTGAGATTACAGGTGTGAGCCACTGTGCCAGACCCCAAATACAGACTATAGAATAAGTTTGGTGTCAATGCCATGATTTAAAGTGAGTATCCTCAGCAGGAACTCAATGGAAGTTGACGTTGACTGAGCCAGTACCATCAGAGATGAAGAATTATGACAGGAGAAAGGTTCCAATTGTTATAACTAGATAAATGAATCACCTAATTTCTCAAGGGTAAATTTTTGGAGAATTGTAGGAAAATGGATCTGGTGACAGTATCTGGTTGCCATATTTTATTTTCACTATTGAACATAAGTTGTCTAGGTACGGTGGCCACATCTGTGATCCCAGCACTTTGGTAGGCTGAGGTGGGTGGATCGCTTGAGCCCAGGAGTTCAAGACCAGGCTAGGCAATATGGAGAAACCCCATTTCTAAAAAAAAAAAAAAAAAAAAAACAAAAAAATTAGCCAGGTGTGGTGTGGTGCACACCTGTATCCCAGCTACCCAGGAGGTGGTGGGAGGATCAATTGAGCCCAGGAGGTCAAGGCTGCAGTGAGCTGTGGTCCAGTCCCTGCACTTCAGCCTGGGAGACAGAGTAAGACCCCGTCTCCAAAAAAAAAAAAAAAGAACTTAACTGAATTCATCTTATTCTCCATTATTTGTTTCCTGTTTCTTTCCCTCTCTGCTAGAATTATTGTGCCAGCGATAACAAGATTGTCATATCTGCTGCTATGCCCCAAGGCCTGGAAGAGTGCCCAGCTCATTGAAGGCACTCAGTCAATAAGTGTCAGTAGGCTAGATGAACAGTTCTTCCATGCCTAGATCTAACCTGACCTTCAAGGCAAGTTTTCCCTAATCCTGAAACTGGACCTTATCTTTTCTGGGCCTTGTTGATGGCACATGTTTTTGTCTAGATTCTGTAGCAGTAGAGCCTGAAGTAGAGATCCTTGAGCAGGGATCTTACAGAAGGAGTGCATGGGGAGACACTGAAGGGCAGTGAGGAAGCGGGGATGGGTGGAGGAAGGAGCCAGACCTCAGCAGAATCAGCCTCATGCTGATCCAGCAGGAGCCACTGATGTCAACCACAGAGGTGGTCCCAACCAGAGGCAAGGCGGCTGGGCGGTTACCCCTACATCCCTCAGTCACTGGCTACCGGCCACCCTGGATGAGAAAGGTGAAGGGGGTAGTCTTACCCCTCAGAAATCTGCCAGCAATTGTCTGCAGAAGAGGGCAGGGTAAGCTCTTAGCAACCCAACCTGCAGCCGCTGGACTGGGGAAGGCGCCTAGTCCTGGCACTAGCAGCTTTGGGGAGGATGCATTTCCCTGTTTGCCTTCTTTTTAGAGTCTTTATTAACATTCTTAAAAATAATAAAGCTTCTTGAGATCAAGATTCTTATCTCTTTAACTTTCATGTCCTCAAAAGCATCGGATGATGGACTTAGTAAATATCTCAATGAAAATCCAAAGATGGATAGATCAGTTATGTTAGTGTTTACAATCTAGTGTGAAAATTCTTAGACACATGTTCACTTTCTAAATGACACCAAAGCCATGCTTCTTATATTTATGTGGTCTCAATAAATAAGTTTTCTGTATGATCAGAAAAAAAAAAGTAAATGTGTGCTTTATCAAAAAAATATAAAGGGTTAAACCACTGCAAAATCCTCTGTAGGACACATTCTTTCTACAGGCAATGTAAGACTAAAGTTTTTCCTCCAAATGTAAATTATAGTAAATATTTTAACTTGTTCTTGCCCTTCATTATCTCACTTATGAGTCATTGTGTGGAAACAAGCCTGGTTGGCAGAAAAATCGGAACTGGAAAGAGCTCCTGCTATTTCCAAAGGGGAGCTCTTGGCTGCTCGTGTTACCAACCAAATGACCAGAAGAGGGCAGTGCACACCCAGACGCTGAATTTTGCCCTAAGAAGCCAAGATGGGGAACTTGTTGAGGGGCAGCTTGGCTGGGGGAGGAGTGGCTCTGAGTTCCAGACATATTCTGTTGTCTGCTGCCTCACCCGCCACTCAGGCTAAGTGACTGTGGTTGGGTCACGGCCCGCTGTAAGTGTTCCTCTGCTTGGGATCTGCCTTTCTGTGCTTCCAGGTTTGCTACTGTAAACCAAAAGGTGCCTGCAACAGGTCTCAATTTAGAAGTTTATTTTGTCAAGGTTAAGGATTCATGCCCGAGAGACAGGTCTGTGCCTTTCTCCAAAGATGATTTTGAGGACTTCAATACTTAGAGGGGAAAGGGTAGCTACTGGGGGAAGAGGAAGACATTTTTAAAAGGTGTGAGTTCATAAGAGGCAAACAGTCGCATTCTTTTGAGTTTGATCAGCTTTTCTCTATGCCAGAAGGGGTAGAGGAACAGTCACTTATGAATTCATCTAGCTCAGTGGATCTGCACTTTTACCTAAGATAAAATAAACATAGGGCAGAGGAAGCAATCAGATATGCATTTGTCTCAGGGGAGCCGAGGGATGGCTTTGAGTCCTGTTCTTTGTCCCGTACCTATGAAGAGAAGCTATCAGTGTACTTTGTCGGGGTGAAATTCAACAGAACTGTTTCAGGGTTGAGACACTGGGTCCCAGAAGGAATTTCCCAGTGGGCAAATTGTGAGCGAGGGAGGGAGGGAGGATTTTTTTTTTTAATCTTTGTAGCTATCTCATTTAGCAATAAAATGAGAGACAGGTTTGCCCCCAGTTCCCAACTTCACTTTTCTCTTTGGCCTACTGATTTGATCCTGAGATTTCTTTTCCTTTCACACTGCCCCATGGGCTGGGCCCAATCTCAGGCCTGGTGTTGCTGAGAAGCTCAGTGCAGCCTGGGTCTCCCATAGGCCACAGGGCAGGCAAACCTCTCCTCAGAGCTGAGTGTGTGGTTCCAATCAGGGATGGGGCTCTAGCCAGTCATTGGGGGGCCAGTCAAAGCTGAAGATGGGGACATTCTGAGGACCAGGGCTGGGTCTGATATTTTGATTGCTTGAGTGGGCGACAGAGAGCAGTGTTTCCTTAAATTTCCCCCCAAAGATATAAATCATGCCCTTCGCAACCTAATCCTTTCCTCTGTATCCCTTTCACTCTGGTGGGAGGACTCCTTTCCAGCAAAATTCTTTCTTGGGAGCAAATAAGGACTGCAAACTGCCAGGTCCCTTTCCCAGGGAGGGGCCTTTCCATTGCCACTACATCATTTCCAGGGCCTAAGTGTGAGGCCTGGAACCTGCCTACTCCTTTCCCAGGAAGTGAGGATGAGGATGAGGATTGGGCTTTCATGGGAGAACTCTCCATGGCTTCTACCAACCCTGGGGCCAGTCCCAGTGGATTCTAGGGGCAACAGAAGACTCCCAACTAAGCTATCCAGCTCTGAGCCAGCTGCCAGCTCTTCCCCACCCAGTCATTTCCGCTGCCTGGTTCTCAGCCAGCTCTGGAGCCATGGGGCAGGCTGGGATGAGGTCTGGGCTTTGGTGAGAGTAGCCCCTTGGTTCCTGAAGGTGTGAAGCCTGCCCCTAACTGCAAAGATAAATGAGGACTGCAAAAGGACCAACCAGCTCCCCGACTCACCACTTCAGATGACTTCTAGGTCTAGAAGCCCTGGGGAGCCAGAATGAATCCCGGATCCTCCTGGGGAAAGCTACTCTGTTTTTTATAACATTGTCCTGTGGGCCAGACCCAAACTCAGGCCTGGTGTTGCCAAGAGGCTCAGTGCAGCCTGGGTCTCACACAGGCTACAGGGCATGCAGACCTCTCCTCCAAGCTGAGTGTCAGGTTCCAAACAGGGATGGGGCTGTAGACAGTCCTGGGGGTGCCCAGTCAAAGCCAAGGATGGAGGCCCTCAAGCCTTCCCCTCTCAAGCCTGGGGCAAGAGATGACCCAGCCACCTTCCTCTCAGCCAGTTGCTGGTTTCTATTCCACTCTTCATAGACCATTAGCAGCATTTGATCCAGATGACTGTCCTCTCCTAGAAACCCTTTCTTGGCTTCCCTGTCACTACACTCCCCTGGCTTTCCTCCTACATCCACACTCTGGATTTCTGTTGTCAACTGGCATCGTTCAAATATATTCTGGTAAAGAATTTTCCAGAACTAAAGACTTGAATTAACAGACTGGCAAAAGTATAACATGTGCCAAACAGGGTAAGAATGAAACTGTACATCAATAATAAAGACCAAGCTTAAAGGCAACCAAAGAATGAAAAAAAGTGTCAGGCTATTTTTATCTTCAAAAACAATAAATGTCAGTAGCAATCACAGTATAAAAGTGTTGAAAGAAAATAACTGCCCAACTAAAATACACAGCCACTTTCTGAACTCAATCTTATAAAGACTGAGTGCTCTCCCCTACACAGAACTACTTCAAAAGATTAACTTCAACAAGAAGGAAAGATTGGAAATCAAATATTTTAAGCAAAGAAGTATATTGATAGAGCTCAATAAGCTCAAACTACAAACAATTGTAGGAACTATATTTAGGATTTTAAATAAGGTATGTCTAAAAGAGTAGACAACAATAACAGATTCTGCAAATGTAAATCTTGGAGAAAGTTACACATGCTTAAGTATGTATCTTGTTTTGGAGAAGGAAAGAAGGATGATCAACTTTCAAGTTTTATGGAAAAACATAAAATTAGGTATTTTGTTAAAATTGTAAATGTAAACAACACAATTAGAATAGAATGTATATTTGCCATATCAGTAAAAGAAAGGGAAGGGAAATAAGATAATGCAATGGAAGGCAAAAAAAAAAAAAAAGAGAGAGCAGATGAGCAGGTAGGGGGTGAAACAAAGGCATGGCGTATAGACTGTAAGGTCATGAAATAAGCTCAAAATGTCCTCAGTCGCAGTGAATAACCATAGACTAATTATGCCCATCTAAACACAGGCTATCAGTTGGGATTAAAATAAATTTTTCATCAATATGTTACATAGAGAAGATATATCTAAAATATAAAAAAGACAGCCCCTTCCACTCTATGAGGACACGGTGAGAAGGCACCATCTATGAACCAGACAGCAAGTCCTCTTCAGACACCAGATCTGCCAGTTCCCTGATCCTGGACTTCCCAGCCTCCAGAAGTATTTAAACAGTCAAGTAAAATCAAGCTGGATAATCATGGCAGAAAGTGAGCTTGATCCCTATGAATATGTTCTCATGAATATGCGATGAGAAGGCTGACCAGTCTGTTGTGGCAGCCCCAACTCTGCTGCACAGAGACAGATGCTTGCAAGAATGACCAGGACCCTGTGATGATAATGGCATCAGCGCTACTATGATCTTGATGGCCTGGCTGGTGACTGCAGTGGTCTTGTTCCTACTGAGACCTCCTGATTGAAGAGGATCCGACGTACCTGAAAAGCCAACCAGTCCTCATAATGAACAAGATCCACCTGCTCCTCTTGTGGCTAATTTTGTGACATGGGAAGTGAAGGTGGTTAACACCTTGCAGGACCAAATGAACAACAATGACCAGAGTACTCTTAATTCTATGAGAACTGTTTTTCCTTTTGCATTTGCAATATGGGATGGGATGGTTTCCATGAGCTTCTAGAAATTTCACTCGCAAGCTTATTTTTGCTTCCTGTATTCTTGCCATTTCTAGTTACAGTATATTTGAGTAAATTATTGCATTTTTAAAAGTCACATGGGGTTGGTTGTCCTAAATTTAAACATTCCTTTCATTCTGCTTGTAACTGTGATCATAATTTTTGTGATGATTTCTGGTCTGATTGAAGGAAATTTGACCACTCTGCCTTTAAATATTTTAAATAGTTTTGATAGCTTTGTAAATTCCTTTTTTATAAAGTTATTTGGGGTTGTCTGGGATTGTATGAAAGAAAATTAGAATCATACTGTATTTATATTTACTTTGGTAGGTTATTTGTGGGTGGCAGTTTTCTCTAGTTCTTGGGACTATGGCAGTTCTTGGAATATTTTACAAATTGCAGCTGAAACCTGTATCATCCATTACAACTGGCTTATGTGGCTAAAGTAGAAGAAGAGAAGAAGCGAAATGGTTGTTTACTTTTTTCCTACCCCCATTAAATTGTCTAATATTAAGAAAACTTTAAATAAACATGGTTAATCGGTATGGTAGGTGATTCACAGTCCATTATCTGACTTTGTAACGTAGCCTTACACAGTTCATGAACGGAGGAAAGCATTCATTCTTTCTGTCTTTGCCCAGTATAATCTGTATAGTAGTAATTTAAGCTGTGATTTATGTTTAAAATGAGTCCCTCTTGGGAAACTTCTTTTCTGTGCTAATATTTGCCTGTTAATATGAAACTATCTGAAAGCTGTATTAGGGCCTGTTGGGTTACTAACATTTGAATGCTTATTTACTTATTTACTATATAATTTTATTTTAAAAAGTCTTTGAGGCTTTTATTATCCTTATAATGACTTATTAAAATTGTAATGAATTATTAGTTTATTTCAAGGAAAATGAGAAGCAGTCAAGGATCTTCTCCCCTTTTATCTCACTCCCGTTTTATTGGTAATGGGATGAGTTGAAATGAGAAGGAACATTAATATAATTTTGAAATGTATACAAAAGTAAAAGTTGCACTGTTTTGCTCAGTTTGAAACAAACTGAATACAAATAGCATTTTAAAAGTCTGCATGACCTATATGGTTGTGGATATTTTTTCTATCAAGTGATTGCAGATGATTTATGGGGACTAGAAGATATTTTGATATCAATGTAAGGAATTTTTCCTCTGGCAGTCTAGCTTTTTACTTTATAAATCTGAGAAATTACTTGTATAAACTGAATAAACTTCTGTATGTCATTGTACAGTTAAAAAACATAAAGAGGGAAAAAATTGCAAGTGAATGGGTAGAAACAGATAACATCATGTGTACATTAACCAGAAAATTGTTGCAACTATATTACTATCAAACAAAATAGAATTTAAGGCAAAAAGATAAGCATTAATAGAAACACAGTGAGGCATCCCTTAGTAGTAAAAATGAAATGCTATCTGCCTCTCCTTCCTTCTTCTCTGAGAATTGTTGAAAATTTCACACCCTTGGATCCAGCTCTTTCAATTCTAAGTCTAGAGAAACTCCTGCACATGTAAATAATGAGATCTTCGTAAGACATTGTTTGAAATAACTTCAAAATGTAAAGTACATACGTTTCCACAGGGAGGACAATGACTATGCCTGGCAAGTTTCTATGATGTAATATTATACAATTAAAAGGGAATCATCTAGATCTAAATGTACAAGTATGAATAAATAAGTAGCACATAGAATTACTTAGAAAACAAAGGCAGAATGATAGATCTAGTGTGATGCCATTGATGGAACTTAAAAGCACACAGTCACACATGCTAAATAATGTTGATGGATATTTACTATAAGTACAAAAACATAAATGGTATGGATACATACTAAGTTCTCGTTAGTGGCTGCCTCTGGAAGGGGAGAGGGAGGGAAATCAAACTGAGAAATACCACAATGCAGACCAAATTCCATCTGTCATGTGTTCCTTCATTAAAAAAATTAAAATATCTGAATCAAGCATAATAGCATATTGTTAGCTCTGGGGTGGACACAGAATTTGTTGTATTGGTCTCTGTACTTTAGTGCATTTATTTTAAAAATTCATGATAAAAGGATGCCTTTTCTATATCTTGCCCATTCAAATAACCCTCCTACCCATCAGTCCCTAGGAAAGTCCATAAGTAGATCAGTCAGGTGAGGCCTGATCAAGTGGTTCTGATGATAATGCCAAGGACTCCATTTCCTTTTGTTATTCCCCTCTGCCTCCCTTGTTGTCTGATTCATCTTGAGGATCCCTACCACGTTCTCTGAACAGCTCCAGTTGTTTCCCTCATAATTGCAAATGACTGTGGCACCTGCAAGCCTCACATTCTCGTGTCATGCTTTCCAGGGGACAAGCGGGTGTCTCTCCAATAAGCTTCCTCACAAAAAAGAGGAATCCCTCTTTCCCAGAAACCCTAGAAATAGACTCCTCACATGGCCTGTGTGTCTGTCCCTGGGCCAGTCACTACAGCCAGAGGAATGAGTGATAAGGGCCATGTGGCCTGGCTTGTTTATCTGGACCCACCCCAGAGGCTAGGAGTGTAGGCACCCAAACCTTGTGTTTGATCATGAGGTGGGCAGTTTCCATAAAACAAAATCAGGGAATTATTGGAGGGAGCCGAGGGCAACGGAGGCTGAAGCAGCAATTACAAATATTTATTAACCCACAGATCCCTTAATACCTTAATTATACCTTATCACACACCATGCCTGGTTTATTTATTCTAGTCTTCACCACCTGACTATGAAGACAAAATGTTTCTGGTTCATTCTTGATGCCAAACTGTGCCCTCCATGCCTCTACCACATAGTTAGTTTCCAGTAAGAGATTCTTGAATGGAGGGGTAACAGCCATCCATCTAAAGAGTGACCTGAATGCTCCAGAGAGCACATGATATCATTTGAAAGCAGGGACCTCAGAAATCTCTGGTTCTCTGCATTACGGGCTTCAGTCTTGTAAAACTGAAAAATATCTTCCTGTGATGACAGATAAATGTGGGTCATATACAGCACTTTCCAAGCCCCTCTCTCTCACTTGGATCTCAGAAGTGTGTTCACAAGATCTTATGTTTTTGGAAAATTTGGAAAAGTAAATTATTTGCCCCAAATTGGATAAGCCTACAGCATCTCTCCACCCTAACATCTCCTCTACCACACCTTCTTACATGTTGGGTAGCACTCAACTGCCAGGAACACTTTGGGGATCCAACGAAGGGGAGGTTAAGTTAGAGAGACACTCAGTTTGGTTCAGTGGGTTTCACATGAGTGTGTGTCATTGCTTCATTATACAGTGATATTATACTGTCCTTCCAGGAATACTCTTGTTGTTCACTCAGCATTATGTACAAAGGCAGAGAGAGGGCCAGAGATCATATCATATCATCATATTAAAATGTCATACAGTGCCTGGCAGTGTGCACAGTGCTGCAGAAACAAAGTTGGATGTGTATGGAGCCAGGTGCCAGTCTGTGAAAAAAATCTGCCAATCATCATATGTGTAACACTGTAATTGGAGGATTCTGTTTTCATTGGTGCTGAGTCCAAATGTTCAATAATAAAACACACATTTTGATTAACTATGTGACTAAATTATATTCAAATTTTATGAACAGAAAATGATATAAATGTTATCAGCTAATAAAGAGATTATCAAAGAGTAAGCAACCAAAACAAGTAGGCAAAAAGCATCAGAGAGTAATTAATACAAAGATGATGTTGTTTTTCTGGATTTCATAATGTTTATCATAGTTGTCAACTTTTCTCATTCAAAAAAACCCTTATTTTTATACCTAATTTTAATTAAAAATTTTTCAGTTTGTATTAAAGAGGACTCCCCAAATTATATGAGTTTCCAACTTCATAAAACCTAAATCTGTCTTTGTTCATATCAGATAAAAATAGGCCACACAGACTGCCAAGTAGGTACAGTCTTGGAACTGTCTGTGGTGCTGGACCCAAGGTTCACTTGGCTCTCTCCATGGTACTTACTGCCCAAGCCAAAGCTGCTCCTGGTGGTGAATAGTTGGGTTTATTAATGGAAGTGAGGCTTAATGTCATAGGAATGGATGCTTTTGTCCATGGAAAAAGTGTCTCAATAGGGTTAAGGAGAACACTACAGATGATTCTCAAGTATTGGGGACACCCAAAAGATAAGGGCATCAAGAGTATCAGCTCAAGGAGAACTCACCCCAAGCCATGTCTGAGTTTACATCAGGGGCAGAGGGGAGGAGGGACCTGGGGTGAGGGAGAGGAACCTAGAATACAATACACTGCAGGTGGGGGCCTTCTGAAAGGGGAAGGGAGAAGAGGGTGACTGAGAGGGGTGGTCCTGAGAGGGCCCTGAGGGTCAGAACAAAGGCCCTGCCCACTGCGTTGGTGGAAGATTTGCTGACTGAAGCTGAGATATCACTGCAAAGTCCCCATTCAGCTGAAAGCCTGTATGAATTGGAATGGATACATATGATGTCTTTGTAAAGGTCTGCCATCTGCTAAAGACTGCCTCTCTGGCCTAGAAAGAGCATATGGAAGAGCTCCTCATGACTGGGTTTCACCCACAGAATTTACAACTTTGCATCCAGGACAGTGGCAGAGGGAATTTCCAGGTTCACACCAGAATAACTACTGCAACAGGCTACCCACAAGGGCACAGTATAACAACATTGGGAGGCTCAGAGCATCTACATTAGTTCATTTTAGGGCAACTGACAGTCAGAAATTACAAGACCTTCATCCCTCCCAACACCCCCATCACTACTCTGAGGATCCCCCAAATTAAAAAGAGACTACTTAATGTAGAAAGCACCAGGGCACAGAATCCACTCAGGAACTGCATCCATGAGGGAGAGCCTACCAGAAATGGTGCAGACATGCTCTCACCCCTTGAAACTAGACTAGTTTCAATGTGTGGGAAGACACAGCTCCCCACTTCTGATCAGGGGGCTTTATGGTCCAGGCTGGAGACTGTATTCCTGAGTTTGTTCCCAATATAGTAAAATAGGACATAGAGCCATATGACTCTGGTTTTCCACAGGTGTTGAATGAACCCAACTCACCACTAAGGACTGCCCAAAGATTTTTATGACACAAACTACTTTTTGCCAGTCAATATCCCTTCTTCCCTTCCAATGTTATTAAGGTTGCACTGCATTGCCTGCCTTGCAGTGAGGTGTGGCCATGTGACTACACACAGGATAATGAGATGTAAGCAGACATAGGCCTCTTAAAAGAAGATGACTGAAGAAGGGGAAGAGTTCTTTTGCCTTCTCCCATTTGCTTCTAAGTCCAGTGACATCCAGAGCTCCAGGGGCCCTGGAGCTTAGGGTGCCCTCGAGACTAGAACTCACCTGTTAAAGATAGAGGAGCAAAAAGATAGAAGCTTGAGTCCTCAGAGAGACCACAAAGCCACAACACCTGTTCTGGACTGTCTACCTCTGGACTTCATATGAGAGAAGTAAACTTCTGTCTGCTTTAAGCCACTGTTTATTGGAGTTTTTGCTGTCATATCCCACTGAACTTGATACTAGTTGTTTCAGAGACAGTCTAATACTTACGCTGATTGAGACTGAATGGACATCTGCAGGCTGATTTCCTCTTGGAACGTTTTGCTTTCTGTTCTAAGACACTGGCCTGAGAGGAAAAGGAAATTAAAGCTCCTGTTGTGAATGTCTATGCTTGTTCTCTGCCTCCTGGGAAGGTAATCATTGCCCAGGCCCATGGTTCACAAATAGGGACTATGTTGCCCTTCCAGTGTCCTCACTTAGAACCTGTAGAACAGTGGATCTCAAAGTGCTGTCTCAGGACCAGCAGAACAGCCACAGCTGAGAACCTTTTACAAATGCAAATGGTCCAGCCCTACCTCAGACCTGCTGAATCAGAAATTCTGGGGGTGGGTCCCACAATCTCTGTTTTCACAGCCCCTCAGGTGACTCTGATGCAGGATAATGTCTAAGAACCACTGGGTTCCCAAGAGGAATTATACACAATACCAGTAAAACAGACAGCACCATCAGGAACAGCCAAGATTCAAGGCATTTTTAGAGGGTCTTGGGAGAAATGAGGGCTTAGTCTATCAATGTTGGAAAGTGGACAGAGGAAACAGGATTTAATAAATGCTCACATGGACCCAGGAGTTTGATGATCTTCACTGTTGCCAAGAAATTCAAGCTTAATGTGAAATTCAAGGCTTTCAACTAAATTTTGGCTCTTACCTTTGCTTTTTGGACGTGACCTCTTTCAAAGGATGAAACATATGGAAGCTCAATTCATTATGGTCACATCAGTGAAAGTAATATTTTTCTAAACACTAGGGAAGTCTTCCTTAGGATCAGCCAGCAGAAACTGACACAAGGAGACTAATTTTCAGCCTTGAGCATAGGTTCCATTTTGGAAGCAACTCAAAATATCTGCTAAGTGGGTCATATAACATAGCCTGGTCATCTCCTTTAGGACTAAAAGAAGAGGTGGGTCTGGAGAAAGAGGAGCGGCACAGCCTCTGAAAGAAGAACTAACTAGTGTCCCAGCTTGGGAACACCCCCCTGAACACCTGGGGGCATCTGGTGAGTGATCCACACAGCCCTAGCTGATTGCAGGGCTCACACACTATTAGGCTAAAATCCATCTTTTCATTGACTTGACTTCTTCAGAGTGGCCCACCTGATTGCTGGAGGAAGCTGGCCCTGCATTTGCTGTAGACCTCAGGCCTGTTGTAGCGGGCATTTATTATTCCCAGGATTTTATTGTTATGTTTAGAAAATCTTCAGGCTTGTGACCCTGACCTCAAGGTAGAATCCAGAAAAGTCCAATTTCCAGTCTTCCTTGTAGCGAGGACACAGCCAATCCAATGGTGTTGAAACTTTGATGCAGAAGTGGGCAACTTGAGGAAGAGGGCTGAAAGTGGAATCTCATTTGATGGTGAGAACAGCAGCAAAGCTCTCTGCTTTCAGAGGTGGCAATAATTGCGAAGTCATGTCCCTGGCATGGAAGAGACATCACTGGGGTGGCAGCAGCAACAGTGGCAGCAGTTTCATCATCAGTCATGCAGCATGCTATGGCTTCAGATACCTTTTCTAGTTTCTCCAGCCTTACAAGAATTCTATGACCAGCTCAACATCTTTTTCATAAACTCATTTTCTGACCTAGCAAGAATTATCTTCTTTTGATAGCAATTAACATTATGACCAATATGAAAATGGACACTGGGATTGTGACAATCAACAGAACCTCGAGGACATGAGGGTTACCTTGAATTGGTTATCTGGTCTGGCTGGGACTGATGGTTTGGAATATCCAGAAGTATTAGGGGATGGGATCCTGGAAGCCAAGGATATACTTGTAGTTACCTGGGATGAAATGCTCTCTGCAGTCAATGTTTTGGGATATCTGGTAGGTGCTCCCAAGGTACAATAGGAAGGTCATGATTCCACTCAGTTTCCATGATCCCTGGAGATCCTTTAAGGCCAAGACTTCTAATTTACTTTTCGAGTTCCATCCTAGGCTCACTCAGGCCCACTCTCATATTTCTCCTTTGGAATCTTAAAGTCCACTGGGCCTTGTATACACTGGATTACTCTTGGATGATCAAATTTTGGGGGTAGTCCTCTCCCCTTCCCCCTCCTCTCCTCCCTTCCCTCCACTTATGCCAAGTTACAGCCACCAGGAAAAATGGCAAAACATTTATTGAGTCATCTACAGCAGTCTGACATCCTTAAAATCCTGGACAAGATAGTGAGCACAGCATTAATGGCAGCAGCAGTAGCAGTAAGGTCTGTGGGGCTTACTTAGCTTTACTGTGGGAGATGAAACCCAGGCTGGTCCAGCTCCCACAAGTGAGGCAGGAACCATGTCTGAGATGCCAGGGGCTGCACCACTCCAGCCCTGATAGAGGCAAAGCTACAGAAGACAGACATCAGACAAGACACACATAGCCAAGTGCAGAAACACCCCAAGACTGTGAGTTCAGGAAAAGAAGGAATGGGCACACCAAAATGTCCCAGATCCTTGAAGTTGACTCCCAGGGGCATGGCTGCTATCACCCATATGGAAGTATCCTCACTCTGATCCCAACAGAAAACTGAATCAGCGGATGCAGGTAAAGCTAGAATTCTGTGTCCATCTGAGCCCTCTGGCCTCCCCCTTACTCCTGATGCTGGTGGTTTTACAAATGAGGCACAGGTTAACTTAGGAGGGCTCAAAGCAGTAGATAAACAGCAAGGAGTCCCTTCCAGCAGTCTTCATCCCAATAACAAGCCCACATCTGTGTAATTTCCAAAATCTTTTCACACACAAGCCGTCTCATTTCAACCTTATCCTTGGCCTGTGGGACTAACAATGCCAATGAAGTCCTCCCCATTACCCAGATTAGGAGGCCGAGGCCCAAAGAAGGTAAGCCCTGGATCACAGAGCAGGTGGCTAAGCCCAGGTTAAAAAGTAGGTCTCCCCACACCACACTGACTCCATTGCTTCTCCTGCAAGAGTCCTGGACAACCTTCGGTCACCAGAGCCCCACTCCTGTGCAAGGTTACATGCGTACTGCATGGATGCTTTGAGTGTCACATTCTGCTCATGTGCAGGGCTATGCATAAATTGGTGAGCCATTTACTCATTCAGATTTATAAAACATACTGGATCCCACCATGGTGGCAGGCACCATGCTAGGCCTGCGTGTATTTTCTCATCAGCCCAATGGGGAGGTTTGACCTATAGATCTCCAAGTTTCCTCCCAGCTTTAGTATTTTGTGAGCCTCCTCAAAGACATATGGGGAATGAGTCAAGGTCAAACAAGCCAGGAGCAAAGCGTGGAGAAGCCCAAGTCCTTGCTCCTTGCTCAGGGCTCTTCTAGCTGACTTCCATGGTCCCTGGGCTCAAGGAGGACTTTATGACAAAGTATTAATACTTTATGATAATACTAAATGATAAAGTATTATCACTTTGCTGGCTTCACTTTGAAGTGGCCATGAAGAGGGCAAGGGTACTACTCAAAAAAAAAAAAAAAGAGAGAGAGAGAGAGAGTCCCTTTGAGCTTTCCCTTCCACAAAGAGTGAGGATCAGATGAGAGAGGTGAGTGGGCATCCTTGGCGGGGATTATAGATGCAGGTGTCTCTCAAGCCTAGGGCTTGGCTCTAGCTCCCTGTCCTTCTTCCACAAAGAACCCAGCTTGGAGGGGGTGGGGTTAGAGAAGAGTCGCTGTAGGCCACTGGATGTGTCAAGCAGGGTGACAGAGCTACACACTGGGATAGACAATGTGACTTGGACTTAAGTGGGGAGTCATGAAGTCTGCAGTGCTAGGAACTACCACAGAGCCACTGAACCACAGAGCCACCCACATCCCGCACTTGGACCCCCCTCTCTGGCTCCCTGACAGCCTCAGCATCCTTGACTTGGAATCCCATTTCCTCCAGGATGAGAGTCCCTCCCTGACACTGCCTCCCTGCTCCCTGGCTGGACACTCATGACAGGGAAAGAGAAATTTCTTCATCCCAAGGAGAATTCGGCCTCCCATGGGTGAGTTTCGTCCTTTAGGATTGCATAGAACGAGAAACCCCTTCCCAGGAATGATCATCAACAGGGGTGGAGTCTGACAAGCCTGCTTCTCCCCAGCCCCACTTTTCTCAAGCCTCTCAAGCTGTCTTCACATGACAGGATTTCTTATCCTTTCCTGGCCCAGGCAAATACCACAGTCCTGGGGCCCATTCCAAGTAGATGGCTGGTGTTTAGACAGAGTTCCAGAGATGCATTGGGCTATATACAAATCATCTAGTCTTATTGCCCATTTTACAGATTTGAAAACAGAGGGTCAGAGAGGGAAGGGTTTTACATAGACCTTATGCTGTCCCCCTACTGCCTGTGACCCTGAAGGCCAGAACCTCTTGGAACATTGAGAATACATCAGGTACATCTGCTCACAAGACTGGCAAAAATTCACTCAGACGGAAAAACAACCAACTAACCAATAGGAACCCGGCACCTCTATGAGGATGCAGGGCCAGGCTCAGGAAGCAGCACAGTGCATGGGGTTCAGGGTTGATTTTGTTTTTACTGTTTTGTGATGATGTCTCTATAATGCCAAAGTTTCTTCTTCCACAATGAAAACTGTTGGGAGTCATGATGAATGAATGGGGTCCATCCCCAGGGGGCTGCTCCTTGGATCTGGAGCTGGCCACTGGAGGTGGCACCCCACCCCAGCAAGGTATATATGACTGCATCTATACATCATGCCCAAGGCACCTGTTCAAATGTCCATGACCTAATCCTTCCTTCCAGGCCACCAGCTTCCACTGTGGTGTCCAAATGGAAGGGACAGAAGGTCCATTTCCAAGAAAGGGAAAATAAACAGCATCCTGTCCATCCCTCTACACACACACACACACACACACACACACACACACATATATTCATCAAAACCTGATATGAGGCACAATGATGAATGCCCTTTTACCTGTCTTGACTTTGAACTGGAAAAATCACTTACGTGCAGGGCCTAGAGAAGCATTGGAAGTTGCCTCATCTCACAAATGGGAAAACTGGAGCCCAGAACAAGGAGCATCGTGTCCACAGTCACAGCAGTCTGAACCCAACTGGGATAGAGTCTAGTTCCCTGAACCCTAGGCCATGGCTCCTTCCAAGCAGCCCAGACCCCCTAGCAGTGCCCAAAATGCAAGATGTCCACAGGACCCTTGCTTCAGTAATGCACACCAGTGCAGGTGGAGGGGATCATGAGGTCAGGTGCAGGGTAGAAGGGCCACTGCACACTCCAAGATCAATCTGAGTCACCAAGCATGCCCAGGAAAGGGCAGGTAGCTCCTTTCTTCCTCTGGCTTTGCCAAAGATCCAGGAACTTACTTGACTGGCCAAGGACACAGAGCTCCTCTCTAAATTACAGCAACAAGAGCCTTTTCCAGCCACTCTGAAAGCCTCTCCAGAAACATTTTCCCAAGTCTCCCAGGCCCCTTCCTCTTTATAAAATGAAGTAACATCCTCCTCCACCCAAAGTCCCCAAGCATTCCAGAGCATCATCATGAAACAAGTCTGCAAACAGAATTTGGACAGGAGTAACACCAAATGCTGACATGGAATGAGCTAGGCCACACACGGACCATGTACTCTAGCACTTTCCTCTACCTCCCCAGCTGGGCACTGCCCTATTTTACATTCTCAGGCTGAGGGTGTGCAACCTGCAGCTGGGGAGCCAGGGCGGGTGGTAGGGAGCAGCTGCCACATCAGCAGCAGCCTCTGCTAATGGGCATGTTGGGTGTGGCTTCTCCCGACACCCCAGCAGCCCATGGTGAGTCAAGGTCAAGGGCATAAAAGGGACATCTTTGCAGAGGTCTCAGAGAGATTTCAATAGTTGAGTCCAGGCCAGAGGAGCTGGTGTCTGGGGCTCCTCATCATCCATGGGAGTGGGGGTCGGGCAGCCCTGGGCCCCAGATTCGGGTGCAGGTGCTTCAGGATTCGCCGACATCAGAGGCAGGTGGCTGGTACATCCTAGTCATGGCTTTGACTTAGGGGAAATGGGGAGGGGAGGGCTTAAGGGCTCTCTGTGGTGTGCATGGTTGGAGACAGCTTCTGGAAGGCATCCATGAGGGTGGAAGAGGTGGAAGGGAGATGACCAGAAGAACCCTGTCCATCTTGAGCTGGGGGTAAAACAATGGAGATGGCGAAGGTTTTCTTCCATGGGTCTCCCAAACTCCGTCTCTTTCGCAATCACAGCCACATTTCTGGCTCTCAGCTCCTTTTGGATCAAACGAAAAGCACCAGAACCTTCCCTGACCTGCAGACTCCCCACCCAAACTGAAGTCTCTGATGAGAAGAGCCTGGGAGCTGTCCCACTGCCCTGGGACCCAGGAGCTGAGCACCCGGACACCAAGATGCCAGGCGAGTGCCAGGAGGCCTGCACCAAGGGGTGTTCTGGCCACCCGAGCTGGCCCTCTGCTAGGCTTCAGGGACTTGGGCCCAGGACTGAGAAGAGCCCCAGGGTGGCATGCACACTCGAGGGGTCACACCCAAAATCAGATGATGGGGGGCTGTTGGGGCAGGTACCACCCCAGCTCCCACAGGCAAGGTCTCTTCAGCCTTAGCTCACAAGGCCTCACAGCTGGGGTCAGGCCATCACTGAGGCTGACCAAGAAACAGTGGGGTGGAGCTGAGACCTGACTGGAAGTGAGCAGGGACACTGGGGCAAAGGGGGAAGGGATGGGACAACTTTTCCAAATTTGAGGAGTATTTACATGTCTGGGGTCAGGGCCCAGGGGACCACAGTGGGTGGGACCAGTACCAAAACAAGGAGGGGACAATTCCAGTCTGTGCCCTGCCTCCTTCTCCCCCCTCAGGAGCCAAGCTTCCAGCCCAGGGCCTGCCCAAGGGGAGGGAAGAGGCGCAAACATGCGTGGGCTGGCACCTGCCTGCGGTCCCAGCCTGTGGATGGAGGAGAGGAGGAGGAGGGGAGCATGGCTCAGGTGGCCAGATTGTCAGCAGGGAGGCCAGACATGCGGATTTGGGAGCTGCTCTTGCTCAGGATGGAGAGCTGGGTGCCCCCATTCACCCCACTGCTGGCCAGAGACGGGTGTCGGTGCTTGAAGTCCACAGCGAAGTAACGGTTCACCTTCCAGCTTCGCCATTTTCGCTTGATCTCCGCTTGTACCTGCAGGGAGCAAACTGGGCGGTCACTTCCAGATGGACATCCTCTGCAGCCTCCAGGCCCTGTCCTGGCCTGGGGCCCTTCCCAGGCTGGCAGTGCCACCCTCAGCACCCTCCCCACTCCCCAGTTGCAGCCTGCGGCCCTCAAGGTCTCCAGTGGGGGCTTTTAGCAGCTGTAGGCAAGGAAGCCTCTGAGGAGCTGACCGGAACAGCCCCTTCCCTTGCCACTTTCTGAGCAAGGCCCTCTAATGGCTCCCTGTTGTTTTCAGGCCAGGCAGAGAATAGTCCATTGGGTCCTTCAGGAAATCTTTAACAAGCAGTCCCACAGGGCAGGTGGATCAGGAAAGGATCCCCACTCTTGGCTGACCAGTAAGAGTGGGCTACACATTAGAATTACCTGGGGGGCTTTAAAAATTCCAGATGCCCAGGCCATACCCCAGAACAATTATATCAAAAGTTCTGCACAAGACCCAGACATCATATTTTTTAAAGCTTCCCAGTCAGGGTTGAGAACCATTAAATAATGCACCCCTCTGGGAAAACACACACCCATGTAGCTCTTAGCATGGTGAGTGGGGGCCATGCTGAGTCTCAGCCTCCATGTGCCTTCTCAGTCAAGCACCTTCGTGCAGTGCACAGACTGCACAACTGGAAGCAGCGCCTACACCCACCCTCTCCAGTTCCAGCTCCTACTTTCACTGCAAGCTCTGAACAAGCTACATACATGCCCACTTCTAAGCTCTCCTGGCCACTACCTGCAGGGCCCTTTCTGCCTCTCTTGTCTGTCCTAATCTGATCCTTCTGTAGGTTGTCTGGGCGATCACAGAGCCCAATCTCTGTTGCTCAGATGCAAAAGAGGGAGGAGCCTGCCAAGGTGATGCAGCTAAGACCCAAGCACTGGTGCAAAGACTCCCGCCTACTCTCAAATCCACCCTAGCCATTCAGTCCCCACCGCTGCCCCAGCACCTCTGTTTTGGGTTGTGCTCAAGCGCTTTACCCCAATAGGGTACAGAGGGAGCCCCCGAACCACAGCTCTGGCAATGGAGTATTAATAGAAGGTTCCAGGTCTCTCCCTGGGGTCTCTTCCAAATTCTCACAGTCTCCCTTCTACCAGGGGACAGTTTGGGCCAGGCTGGCTGGCCAGTTAAGGGCAACCCTGAGTGCCAGGCAGCTCCTGGCTCAGCAGCTCTGCCTAGCACAGCCTCATGGCCTGTAGGTCCTATGTCCTGTGCCCCACCCTTCCTTATTGTCAATTCCTCCTCACCACGGAGTGTCTTATGGAGAGGACCCTCCCAGGGAGATCTGCGCTCAGCAGAGCCGACGCTTTTACCAGGAGCTTTGCTCTTTGGGTGGGGCCTTAGCTGCACAGCTGGCAAAGTGGGACAGATTCCAGCACAGGGTGTGGGTATCAGGAGGTCCTGGCACCACACAATGCCAGGAGCTGTATGACCAGCCCCTCCTCTCAGTGCTGGGAGCCTGGCAGAGCCCTCTCTGAAGAGTCAGTCCCATGTGGCCAACAGGTGGTTCCCCTGTCTGCTCCCCAGAAAGCCCCACTTCCACTGCCAAGAAGCCAGAGGGCCAAGGTCTTACCTCACCATTCAGAAAACAGTAGAGAACAGCCACCACAAAGCCCTGGGAATAGAGAAAATAAGCCTGAGGATGCTAGCAAAGGACTTTCTGAAATGCTGTGTGGGGCATGGAGGGGATGACTCTAGGAAGCAGAAATACACCATGACCTGGATGGGGGCACCTGCCCAGGGATCTGGGGTAAGATGGGACAGTTCTACTCTACCAAGATGGGCACACCCATGAGGCCACGTGGCTGGTGGTCAAGTCCTGTCCCACAGATACATTCTAGCTTTGGATCTCACATTCCCTTGGTCAGATCCTTCCCATTCCCAAAGGCCAGCTCTATCCCACTTCCTATAAGAAGCCTTCCCTGAATGCCCTAGAATTTCTCTTAGCTCCTAACCATCCTGCAGGCTTCTGAGGGTAGGAACCCTCCAGGACAGAACAGACCTGTGCCATCCTTGTCCACCATCATCTCCCCAATCTGCCCTCCTTGGGCCAGATACTATCATACACAGCAATGCAGAACACCACGCAGAGCGAGTACTTGGCACAGCGTATGCACTTAGCTATTCTCTATATATTCTTTAAATCCACACCAAAAAAGCAGGAGCATTTTCTTGAATGCTGCAAATTAGTTCCTTGCAATCCCTGTGCCCTGTGCTGTCGTTTGAAGGTGTTGGAAGAATGATAGCTCAAGGACCCCAGAACTGGTCAGCAAGCACAGAGACAAGAGCCCTGGGCTCTCACTCCTGGGCCAGGGCTTTGTCTATGAGCCCATGAGGCCAGTCTCAGGTGAGACCCATAGTCAGTCTCACCAGACTAAGAACCTGGGCCCGGTTAAATGGCCTTGGATTAAAATGGTGGAGAAGGTCAAGTCAGATATGGAGAGTAACTTTCTGACCATCAAGATCAAATACTAATTCAAACAGCTGGCTTAGGGAGAGGCGCTCTATCCCCAGACACTCCAGGGAGCTGCCCCTGCCTTCATCCACCTACTGCTGCTCCTGCCTGCTCATTTCCTCATGGTGATTCACCTAGCCCCTTACTCATTTCCAGTCCATCCACTCCTTCCTCCAGGCACTAAGGCAGCATTCTGTTCACCCTCTCATCCCCCCACTCACTCATGTCTGTTTGCTCATGCATTTGTGCAGCTCACTGGGCTCTCTGTGGCCAGGCCCTGTGCTGGGGATCTAGATGTAGGTAAGACAGAACTCAAGGGGTACATGGCCTAAAAAGCTGAAGGCAGGATGTGGACACACTGGGCTCTTGAGGACACTCCACCCTGCACCCCAGGCTGCTGGGAGATGCCATCTCAGGTCACCCAGGGTGGGGGCCAGGAGTGGGGGCAGCTGGCTCAGGATACTCAGATGCAGTGATGGGCAGACACCAGTGTGTCTTCTTACAGGAGCCCTAAGGGTAGACAGCAGACAGGGCTCCCTCATCACCTCTACTCTAGCACTCACTTTACAGTCAAGATTAAAGAGGCTCCAGCACCACTTGCAGGTGAGCAACCAGGCCCTGGCTCCCAGTGAGTTCTGTCCTCCCCATGTGCCACACCTACCTGGAAGGAGCCCAGCCCCAGCTCAAACACGAGTCTTTCCCTTTTGCTGACATTCTCTGGGGAGAAGGCAAATACTGTGTAGTGGATTCCGAATAGTGGGATGAGCAGCAGGGTGGACCGGGCCAGTCGCCTGTCGGAGGAAAGCAAAACATCTGCTCTGGGGACTTCCAGGGCTCGGGGCCAGAGCCACGGAGGGCAGAGAACTCAGCCCCAGTCCCTTATTCTCCCTCCAAGCTGGGGCCCGTGTCCACAGACCCCTCAGCATTCTCTCCCAGTACAAGTGGCCTGGGCTGCCAGGACTCTGGGATATTGTGGGGAGACATCCCCAGTCTGCAAGACACTCAGTCAATAGCCTGTAGAACCACTAAAAATGTGCACACGATTTACAGGGACCCCTTGGGTGACGTGCAAAACCTTCTGGAAAAGCAAAGTCAGGGCAAAACACAGGGATCAGACTGACAAGCTTGTGGGAAATGCAGGGTCCTCAGGCAGAGCAGCCGCTCTCCTGTTCTGGAAGAAAGCTCTTTGTGCCTGAAAGAAGCAGCCCTCGATGGGCCACAGAGACAGTTGGCTTTTTGGAGCCTGGGGCTAGCCGGGACACTCACCAAGTGATGGGGAAGTGCTGATGGCAGGGAGGGAGGAAAGGCTCAGTGAGTGGATCACAGAGGAAGAAACTCGGGAGGGATTCTAGGAGGAACTTACGGACCCTGGGCATCGGCAATCTCCAACTGGGCAGGAGGAACCTCCTGCTGGGAAACTGAGTCAAAGGTGGAAGAGAATGCTCTGAAGTGGGCCAGGCAGGGGAGGAAGGGCCGGAGGACTGCAGTGCTTCCTGAGGCAGCTCTCCTGGAGTTCCCCTGCCTGCCTCTGGCCCTAGGCTGACAGCACGGTGGGGCTCTGTTCTGAAGCCACAGGGCCACAGAAGCCCACAGCTAGGACACCTGGACCATGTGCACTTGTGGGTCCTGCTCTATAGGGGACACTCACAAGCATTCACCCAGAGTGGGCACACTGGCTCCCTGTGGGTCTCCCCCAGAGAGTCCAGCTCTGCCCTGCAGATGTGGCCTGCCCCGCAGATGTGGCCTGCCCCCAGGCTGCACCTGGCCCATCTCCTCCAGAGGATCAGCCTCCCCATCTCCCAGCACAGCTAAGTCCCCCGGGGTGGACAGCAGGCATGAGGCAGTCGTTTGATTTGGGGCAATTACACCATGTGTCCCTCTCTCCCGCATTCAGCCTTTCTGGGAGAGAATGTTCTGTTGAACATGGGAGCTCCAGATCTCTAGAGAAGCTGAACTCTTGGAGTCTGTGTGAGGCCCTTGACTTCCTAGCTTACATTCAGAGAGGAGAAGGAAGGAAGGAGGAGACACAGGGGGAGGAGGAGCAGCCTGAGGAGATCTTTAGGCAGAGGGAGCTCAGCCCGTAAAGGAAGAGGACCATGAGTGTGGGTGTCCACCCTTTCCGCCCTGCTCACAGACAAGGGCCACCAGGATCCGAGCAGGTTCCTGCTAAGCCCAGATGCAATCCTGACCAGTCCATCCTTCCATCCTTCCTCTTATCTGTCTATCTCTGACTGTGACTCCCTGAAGGTGGGGGTGGTGCCTCATTTATCTGGGGCAGGGAGCTGCCTGTTCCATGAAGAAATCCATGTGGCACACAGGCCTACTTTGAGAGCCTCAGCATCCTCAAAACTGAATTCTCTCTTGGGCGCTCGGGTCTTGTTCATCTCTGGTTATCCATGCCTGGCACCAGAAGGCAACAGAGGGTGCTTGCAGAAGGAATGAAAGTCGGGAATGCAGAGGAAAATGGCCAGAAACACAGGGACATGGATGTCTTGGGGACTCCTCTGTGGCCCTACCTATAGGGGCTACTTTTAAAAAGATATCTATTGAAGGAGCCCAGGAAAGGAAGCTGGCCCCAGAACATGCCTGTGGCCCCTGCCTTCCTCCTCCTGGCATCTGTTCCCATAGGTGGGACCATTTCCAAGTACTTGTCCCTGTAGTCTAAAAAGGGCCCTGGAAACCAATAAGTCAAATCTCTCCAGCTTCTGTGGTGGAATTACATGGGATGGATTCAGAGTGTGAGAAACAGTGACCCTTCAGGCCTTTCCCAGCCACAAGGTGGATGCAGTGATGGTAGTGAGGGCATCCCACAGCACAGTCCAAGGGCAACACCTTCCCTCCCCAGCAGCCCCACAGCAGCCCCAGAACAGACAGGGACTTCTGCTGGGGAGCCAGGGCATCCCGGTGGCCACTTTGGCAAATGGGGCAGTAGGGACAGACAAGGAGTCTCTAGAGCCCAGGGTTCTGGGACTGTGCTTCTAAGCTAACTGACGTCTTGCAACAGAAACATATGATGTGAGCCATTACCCAAAATGACACGGGGCCTAGGCCTCTGTCCTCCTGCCCTGAGGAGCCAGCAATGGGCAGAAGAGTCCCAAAATACCAAGAAGGGCATCAGAGATGCCCAAATAACAGTGGGCTGCCCAGGGGAGCAATGGCACCTTAAGTAAAAGGGATGTCCAAATTGAATAAATCTGATATTCCAGCCAGAGACTCCTTGGGGCGAAGTGCTTAGGATTCTCTGGGTTCAAATCCTCCCTCTGTCAATTAGGGGTCCTTGAGTGAGTGACTTCATCTCTCAGCACTTCAGTTTTCTCATTTGTAAAATGGTGATGATACCAGGACCCAGCTCATAGAGTTGTTGTGGGGATTTAGTGAGTTAATGCTGACTCACACACAAAGTGCTGTGGACACTGGAGTGAAGTTCCCTGCCCTGTGTGGGGGAAGGTCTATACGAACTCAGGCTCTAAGACTCTTGGAAATAATTTGGCAGTTGAAAACACTGAAGCTCAGAGAAGTTGGGGACTGAGGAAGGCCACACACCAGGCAGCAGCAGCAGAGAACATGGGGGTGCTGCTTCCTCAGGAAGCACCCACAATGGCCGTAGATCCATCCCCACACCCTGCCCACCCACCCCATGACCACGAGGCTGCAGAGAACTCACAAGACACACAGACACCAACATGCAACAGCCGGGAATGGGTTGGGGCTGGGAGGCAGAGGCTGGCTCTCCACTCTCCTCCAGCAGCGGCAGTGGCAGCATGCGTCCCCCACCCCTCCAGGATTCCCGGCCACAGCCTCGGCCACGCACACTTACAGAGTAATGGTGGACAGTTCTGACATCTTGCAAGAGTGCTGCTGAGCCCGCTGTGGCTTGCAGTAGCATTTCTGCACGCAGCTGCTGGGTGTGACAAGATTAGCACTTCTGTCAGCTGGGGGGCACCAGGCAGTGAAGAAACTCAGTTTACAGGGAAAGCAGAAAAGAGGAGGGTATGGAGACAGGGCCAGGGCAGTCATGTGGAGGAGAATGAGGGAGCCAAGGGCCAAGACATGGGCAGCTCTGGACAGAGAAACGCACGCCTATACGTGGACATGAGTGTGCATGGCTGCACACGCACACACGCACGAACACTCACACTGGGACCACTGCTAGGTGGGTGGGTTTAGAGGGAAGGTGTGTATTCAGAAGGTGGCCTGGGCTAGGTCTCACACAGGGAGCCAGAGGCTGCCTCCAGAGTTGGCTCCAAGCTTAGAGCCCCGCCTCGTCAAGGTCCCACTCAACAAGATGAGAGCTGGAAACTCACACTGCCGATCTTCTGCACTGCCTAGCACAGGCAACCTGAGCCTCAAATCAGGCCAGTTCTGGGCTTGGCTGTGAAGGTCAACTTGGGTGTCCGTCCACTGGTCTTTCCCCTCTACCCTCTCCCTCTCCTCTGGTCCACAGCTTCCTCCCTGTGAGCCCCCCAGCAACTCAGAATCAGCACATACATAGGGGACAGAGGTAAGTCAGATTGAATGAATTGTTAATTCATCCAGACCTAAACTATTCCAATATGATAGCCACTACCCATATGTGGCTATTTGAATTTAAATTAATCAAATTAAAAACCCACATCCTCAGTTGTTCTGGCCACATTTTAAGGGCTCAACAGCCACATGGAGCTAGTGGTTATCATATCGGACAGCACAGACATAGGACATTCCCATCACTGCAGGGAGTTGTAGGGGACAGTGTTGGGCTGGACTTCTTGATACAAGTTCAATGGGCAGGGGCTGAAGACTGAGAGGAGCACCTTTGGGCACTGCCCCATGGCTTGCAGAAACAAACCACCTCAAGGAGGGGGGCCCAGGCTGCAGTCTCACTCTACATTCTCCTGGGTGGACCCAGGACTTCTGTCTCCTCAGGGAGGTCTCAGGCTGACTCTCTGTGTCTCCAGCCCACAGTGGTCCTGCTTGGACTTGGGCTGACACAAGCCATGAACACTTTCCCCTTCTCTGACAGATGTGTCAGAGATAGATGATGAGCTGTATTATCTTCTCAGATTGCAAAAGACTTGCTACTTCACTAACTCTCCTCAGGTACCACATGGCTCTGAGTCTCCCGGTGCTGGTCAATGAATTAATAAATCAGATTGGACCTGATGCAAATGAGGACAGCTACAGAGACCACACCCTTGGCATTCAGGATCTGCCTTGTGTGATTCCAGCTCTTTAAGAGTAAGCCTGAAGGTACCTGACAGGTGGTGACATGTCATTTCGCTGAGGCCAGAATTTGTGTCACACATTTCCAAGATGGGGCAAGCCCAGGTCCCCCCCCCCCCCCCGCCCCGCTGCATCTGTGCATAATGGATTTGGGGTTCTCATTCAACAAACAGCACCATTCAATTCACACCACACTGTGAGGTGGGCACTACAGATCCCCTTTTCCAGAAGAGGAATGTCGAGGTTTGGTTTGATGCTTTGCTACTCAGACTGCAGTCCCCAGACCATCAACACCAACACCACCTGAGAGCTTCTTAGAAATGCAGAATCCCAGGTGCCACCTCGGACCTGTGGTCAGAATCTGCATTTTAACTAGATCCCTGGGGGATCCACATGCATGCCAAAGCTTGAGAAGCGCCATTAGGAGGTATTCATCTATCTGAGAAGTTTCTTCATGATTCCTCAATGAATGTCAAAAGTCTGTTTCACAGTCATACAAAGAGACAGACTCAAATAAGTATGTTTTTCTCAATAATTAAAATAGCTTAACTGGGTATACAGAAATGGTACCTATTCTATTCTTCAAATTTATTATGTACCTTTTCCTAGCTGAAAAGTTGGTTAGTCTCAGGCTGGGCGCAGTGGCCTGTAATCCCAGCACTTTGGGAGGCCGAGGCGGGTGGATTGGCTGAGTTCAGGAGTTTGAGACCAGCCTGGGCAACATGGTGAGACCCTGTCTCTACTAAAATACAAAAAAATTAGCCGGGCGTAGTGGCAGGTGCCTGCAGTCCCAGCTACTTGGGAGGCTGAGGCAGGAGAATCACTTGAACCCAGGAGAAAGAGGTTGCAGTGAGCCAAGATCTCGCCACTGCAATTCAGCCTGGGCAACAGAGCAAGACTCTGTCTAAAAATTAAAAATAATAATAATTGGTTATTCTCTCCTACGGCCAGTGACCCCTCAACCTTGGCTTGGGTAAACCACAGAAATCAGGGTCCAGGAGACCCCCCCCCAACTGTATCTGTTGCCTCCTACATGCCAAGCTTAAACCTTCACCCCAAATTCTGAAGTTCTCCTCTGCAGCCCTGCTTTCTTTAGCTTCAAGATTGTTCCTGTCCCTCCCGGACCCTAGATGTTTCCATGGTAAACACAGACTCCTCTGATTTTTTTTAAGGATTTTTTGAAAGTATTCCAAAGACCATTTAGTGACAAGTTCACTGGGAAACCCTGCACCTGGTAAAGTTGTGTGGCTCTGATGGGGGTCAGGGAGGGCAGATCAAGGAGCAGCTTGGGGGAGGACTGGCCCTGGAGGGCTCTTGAAGGAGATGGGTCTAAAGAAAAGGCTTTCCCCAAACCTTCAATGGCTCTGCACAAAAGGACTCATGGAAAAGAAAAAGAACAAATAGTGCAGGAAAGCCAGAGACACGGTGGGAGAAAGGAAGATGTCAGAATGTCTTAAAAGTCACGACAATTAGGGAAAAGGGAAAATAAATTAAGTCAGGAAGAAGGGATGAACCTAGACTGACTGATGCGGTAAATTCTGAGTTGGATCCAAAAGAGACTAAAAGCTCAGGCAAGGGTGTTGGGTGGGGCTGTCTGGAGAGCAGAGCAGCCTGATTCAGAAAGTGGGAGACCCTATCACAGGTGCAGGGCTCACCCCCACGTCTGCCTTTCAGAGAGCCTTGGCCTCTGGGGCTGGCTACGCCACAGCTTCATTGTGTGTCTGCAGGAAAGTCACAGCTATTTCCATGTCTTAGCACTCACATCTGTCAGCCGGGGATCCAGCACAGTTTCTATGAGGGCCAAACTCCAGAAATGCTTCCGCAGCTGTGGTGTGCAGGGTTGGTTGGGCTACAGCCCTGGGAAACACCCAGAGGAACGCTAGACAGAGACACCTGCAGGGAGCCCTTTGCAGGCAGCATCCCTGTCTTCTTCACGTCTGCATTCCTAGGGATCACTGTGGTGCTGGCCACTTGGCGGTCCACAGAATGTGGTGGACTGAGCTGAACACACTCCATAGGGTCTCTCCTGATGCTAAGATGCTGTGCACCCCCGGAGCCCTGCCCAGTCCTCGAAGTACTCCCTACCACACTGGCACCCCAGCTAGCAGCACAGCTCACAGATCCTGGGAACTTCCTGCCCACCACCACCTCCTCCGCAACCACAAGGACGAGCCACTCCTCCATACTCCCAGCCGGTCTGGAGGGGTCCCAGCTGAGAAGTCTGGGCACCCTAGCTCAGGGTTTTGCTCAGCCACTGACTGCTGGGTCATCTTAGGTGGTGCCATTTTCCTTCTCTGGGCCTCAGTTTCTCTGTCTGCAACATGAGGGTAACTAGTCCCTACTGCCAGCCCCTAACATGAACTTTGAGGATCAGGTGCTCCTTGGCAGGGGAGGAGGTGCTGTGGAAGTGGAAGATGGAGGCTTTGTGAGCTGGAAGGCTCTGGATGTGGAGGAAGCCTCTAGACTGAAAGCTGCCTGGCCGCACTTCTGCCTGGCCCCGGCACAGCCATCTCCAGAGATGTGTGCATCCTCCCCAATGGGGCCAAGGAGACCCCATGGGAGTACAAATGGGTTTTCCCTCCTCCACCCAAGCTGCAGCTTCCAGTGCTTGTCTTCCAGGGAGGAGACCCCTAGAATGAAGCCGGCTCACTTCAAGGCAGGGGGCTGAGGCTCTCCCCGAACAGTTAATGTCTACCCTGGAAGCCTCACCTCTCCCCTTTCTGAACCAGTTACCTGCTCACAGAGGTCAACTCCAGTTAACCCTGACCTACCCGAGGCTTAATGCCAACCCCAGCTGAGGGCTAAGCCCTAACCCCCCTCACCCCTGCCCCAGACCAAGTCGACCCTGAGCACATGCTAAGCCCTGACCCAGCCCCTGATGCCCACTGCCCAAGTCCTGTCCCCAGCCACTCATCCTACCAGGAGCATCAGGTCAGAGAGGACGAGTGGCTCAGTGCCACCGTCCCCCCGCAGAGGCCCCAGACCCCATCAGGTGCTTCTGAGGCTGGGCCAGGAATACCGTCTTGGTCTATGGAGGACAAACCCTTATCACCTGAGCAGCTGGAACCAACCTACAGGAAAGGGAGTGAATGCTGGTCTGAGGGCACAGGCAGGGGGTCCTCTCGGGCTTTCTTGGGGACTCGCGGGCTTAAATTTGTTCTGGAAATAAGAGGAAAAAACCGGAGAGCTGTTGTGGGCAGATCTGAAGGGGCTTCTTGGCCCCACACATAACTCTGGTACCCCAGGGGACTCTGGCACAGCCCTGGAATCTCCCTCTCCCCCCATTCACTGCCCTCTCACCTCCCCTGCGCCTGACATTCTCCCCTCCTCCCAGTGCAGACACCTCCCAGCTCAAAGCCAGCTCTGCCAAGCACTCTGGGCTGAGGGGGCTTTCACACAGGCTGGAACCCACCAGGGGCCTCTTCTTCCAGGAAGCCTAATTTTGCACACTTGTTTAATGCTATCTTTTCATCTGTGCATTCCTTGAGGACAGGGATGACGGTGCTGTCAAGCTTGGGGTGAAAGGCCTGCCCGCACCACAGCCATGGCATCCTCCTTCCTCCTGGATTCACGTCACTTCACTGATAACTAGTTCCCTCAGCTGTAACATGGTGATTCTATTTGACAGTGATTTACCTATTCCACCAGATTCACTGGATGTTTGCAGGTGTTAAATGTGCATGGATGTGGTCGCGAGTATTTCCAAGTGCTCTACAGTTCTTAGCAGTGTGGTCAATTGGATTACTACTCACTTTGGCCGACAGGGTCTCCTTGACCCTGTCACTCAAACATGCTGCTGGACTGAATGGGATCAAGCTGATTCCCTGTCCTGTGTGGGCACTCCCACTCTCACAGACTTTGTCCATCTGAGTTTTTAATCATGGGCACTCAAGACTAGCAGAGGTTTGACTTTCTCTAAAAAAAAAAGATTTGCTGAGATTGCAAAGGGATTTTTTTTTAATGCCAGAAGCAAACCAACTAGCTGGATCTTTAAATGTCCCAGATTAATACAGTACTTAAATGTATAAACCATGTGCTAATTACAGGTAGCTCTTATCTATGCATGAGGAAGACCTAACAAGACTCAAGGCTCCTGGTCCGTGGAGAACCTGAAACCTTGGCGGGCACTTCTTTCCCACCAGGCCCTGGGGGTTCTTGCTGCCCAAAGCAGAATGTCTGAGTTGGCAAAGTATGTTCAGGGTTCAGTAGGGTATCCTATTTAGTAGGGAAAGCTGAGAGGACCCCCCCAGAGAAGAGGTTGGGGGGCCCTCAGTAGAAGAACAAATCCTACCAGGAAGGGGAGGAAATCAAGACCACTAGAGCTCAAACGAGAGATGAGGTTGACTTAGCTCCCTGCCAGCTTCAAATATGGGAGACAACTATTAGTGTGTGACCTGATCCACGCCCAAGCAGGAGAAACTGAGGCCAGACACAAGGGCAGTGTCCAACACTAGACAGGAGATGAGGCGAGCAGCGGGGCCCTATTTTGTGAATCCTTGAGATGAAGGCAGGAATGCTATCTCTAGGGCAGGTTATGTAGTAGCAAAGGGCTGGCCCCCCACCCCACAGGGCAGGGCCTCTAAGACTTTATGATTTATATTGATGAATAATTTTCTACTACATAATATACACATATAAGCAAGAATTGGTAAAAACTTGCAAAAACATGAAAGAAAAAACAGTAAATGGATAGGAAAAAAAGCACTTTTTCCAATGTAATGTAATCATTGTATAGGTAGAAAAAACCTGGCTGAACACCCCAGGCCCTGTGCTAGTCCCCCACCCCTGAGGAAGGGTTTCCACATGGGGAGTTCCCCAGGCTGAACAGATTGACAGACCAAGAACAAGCTCCACCTCCCTGAGGAAGCCTCAGGGAGCCTTAGGGAAGGATCTAGGATTTGGTCTCCGAGCAGTTCTTGCCTCTCCCTCTAGGAGAATGGCTGAGGAAGGGGACCCTGGGGGAACCCTGTACTGGGATCTCTCACTGTCCCACTTGTCATCTACTGGGCAGCCAGTAGATGCTGTGACCCCAGCATCTACTGGGGTCTCTGATGAAGGCAGGACCATGGACCCAATGAGGCACCCAGTGAAGATACCTCAGCTCCTCCTCATCTGCTTTCTTCTGAAGGAGCGGAGAAGCCACACATAGGGCTTTTGCCTTACCAACAGACGGACCCCAAGGACTGCCCTCAGAACCAGAGTGTGCCCATCCACCCCTCCAGCCAACCACAGGGGACAACCAACCTTCCTCCCCAGCATCAGAAATGTCCTCATACCCCACACACCCAGCTGGTCATGCTCCCATTCACAGCCAGAGATGGGAGGTGGAAGCTGCTATGTCTGATTTCATAATGAGACAGGGCGGAGAGAGAAATGGGAAAGGGCAGGCAAAGATAGGCTGTTAGGGACATGACTGCAGAAATACTTCTTGGAAATCAAGTGGCCATGGAAGTGGAGAAAGCCCTACGCTCTATGGTAAGAGGCTGCCCTGTAACCCAATAATCCCCAACCAATTAGATGTTCATCAGAAAGGAAGGAGTTGAAGAAATAGGACCACATGCAGAGGTAGAGCTGCCCCGAGGGCCTGTGGAGGAAAGAAAGTACCCACCTTCCAACACCCAGACCAGTGAGAATGTGTCCGCCTGACTCGCTAGTGGGAACTGGGCAACTTCCACAGTCTGGGCTGGGGGTCGGAATATCAGGCAACAATGTATTCAGTGGTATTCATGAGCTTCCCACAGAACCAGGAACCCCAAAGGAAACTCAACTTCTAACCAACCAAGACCCTACCTCCCTTAGGAAATCTGATGTTTTCCTTCTTGACTTTCCTAGTCAGTCTCTCTCTCAGGCTCTCTCTCTCTCTCTCTCTTCCTGCCCATCCATATGATGGCCATGCAGCTGAGGAGCTCCTGGGTTTGCTGAATTCTGGAAGGGCAACTATATTAAAGGCTCTTTAATCAGAAGAAGATCTGCAAATGCTGATGCTAGGTCACCCTATCAGCAAAGCCCAGGCCGCCTTCTGCTGTGACCTGAATGCAGGGCCCGCTCGGCTGTCAGAAATGGCTGTGGCAGCCACACAATGGTACTTACAAGTAGATGCTGGACTCATTGCCTCCCATGTCTGGAGACTGAAGTTTCTGCACAAGGATGACGATAATGCCAATAAAAAGCACAAAGTTAACCTAAGGAGCAAAAAAAAAAAAAGCAGATGGACATGATTCTGGGCAAAGATGCTATTATTTCCCCAGCAGGACCCTCCCCCACCTAGTCAAGATCCCATCTACACTTCTAATCCAAGATGGCGGTGTGATAATTCCCATTTATCTCTCCAGCCTCCCACAGTATCATTAAAATGAAGGAAGAGATAGAAGAAAAAGGATTCCATAGAAGTACGGGAAATAGGAAAGGACATCATGAGTAAGTCAGAAAAGTAAGCCATTTCTAAAAGAGAAAGAGAAAACAGGATCAGGGTGATGGGAAAACTACAGCCCAAAAGAGATAAAGTAAGACTATTGCAGAAGTGAGAGTTGTTCTGTAGAGAAATTCCAAGTTCAGAGTCATCAAATATGGGGAACCAGAATGGACAGCCATAAGCATTGCTAATTAAAGGGCTGCCTGGGAGTGGTAATAGTAGCATTGCCTTCAGATAAAGACTAGGGACAAAAGCTTCCTAAACAAAGTAGGAAGCTATGTGAACGGTCACAAAGGAGGAGGAAGGGAAGCAAAGAAATAGAAACAAGGCACAATGACAGGACTCCACAGGACTACACATCAATGTCTTTCAGGCATAGCCAAAGCAGCCCTTGGAGAAAAAAATGAAGAGCCAAAAACTAACTGATTAAAAAAACAATAAATACTGAAAAACACTTAAGCATTCAAATCAAGAGCTAGGGAAAGATTACCACAAACGTAACTTATATAAGAAAGAAATTAATAATTATAAAAAATTATCAGAAAGAAATAAGAAAAAATAGGAGAACTGATCAATAAAAATAAAGTTTTATTTTTGCTTTTATCTTGTTTGTTGGTTTTTACAGATGAATTGAATGACAAAGGCTGTTTCATGAGGGCAGGATTCTGTCAATCGTGTTCTCTGCTACAATGCCCAGTTTGATCAGTGTCTGAAGTTTACGAAAATAAGCAACGGGGAAAGGACTCCCTATTCAGTAAATGATGCTGGGATTGCTGGTTCACCATAGGCAGAAGAGTGAAACTGGACCCCTTCCTTACACCATATTCAAAATTTAACTAAAGATGAACTAAAGACTTAAAGATAAGACCTCAAACTATAAAAGTCCTAGAAGAAAACCTAGGAACCACCATTCTGGACATAGGCCTTGGGAAAGAATTTATGGCTATGTCCTCAAAAGCAATTGCAACAAAATCAAAAATTGACAAGTGGGACCTAATTAAACTAAAGAACTTCACAGCAAAAGAAACTGTCAACAGAGCAAACAGACAACCTACAGAATGGGAGAATATATTTGCAAATTATGCATCCAACAAAGGTCTAATATCCAGCATCTATAAGGAACTCAATTCAAAAGCAAAAGACAAATAATCTTATTAAAAATTGGGCAAAAGATATAAATGGATACTTCTCTAAAGAAGATGTACAAGCAGCCAGCAAACATATGAAAAAATGCTCCACAGCACTAATCATCAGAGAAATGAGAATCAAAACCACAATGAGATACCATCTCACACCAGTCAGAATGGCTATTACTAAAAAGTCAAAAGACAACAGATGCTGGGGAGGCAGCAGAGAAAAGGGAACATGGAAACACTGTTGGTGGGAATGTAAATTAATTCAGCCACCATGGAAAGTAGTTTGGAGATTTCTCAAAGAACTTAAAACAGAACCATCATTAGACCCAGCAATCCCATTACTGAGTATATGCCCAAAGGAAAATATATCATTCTACAAAAAAGACACACGCATTGGTATGTTCATCACAGCACTATTCACAGTAGCAAAGACATGGGACCCACATAGGTGCCCATCGATAGTGGATTGGATAAAGAAAATGTGGCACGTATACACCATGGACTACTACACAGCCATAAAAAGAATGTAGCCACATCCTTTACGGCAACATGGACACAGCTGGAGGCCATTATCCTAAGTGAATTAACAGAGAAACAGAAAAACCAAATACCACGTGTTCTCACTTAGACGTGGGAGCTAAACATTGAGCACTCATGGACATAAAAATGGCAACAATGGACACTGGGAACTACTAGACAGGGTGGGAGGATCGGGGCAAGGGATGAAAAACTAACTGTTGGGTAATATGCTCACTACCTGGGTGACGGGATCAATTGTACCCATAACTTCAGCATCATGTGATATACCTATGTAACAAACCTGCACATGTATTCCCTGGATCTAAAATAAAAGTTGAAATTATTTTTAAAAAAAGGAAAAACATCAATACCTGGTACTTAGTAATACTGCTAACTGTATGTGTTAGTCAATGAAAAAGGAGAAAATATAATTAAACAAATTTAGGAATGAGAAAGATGGCAAGACAATAGACATACACAATATTTTAAATGATGAGAGAAAATTGAATAAGATGGGAAAATAAATATCAACAAAATCAACGTAAGAAGAAATAGAAAATCTAAGTAGAGCAATAACCTCAGAAGAAGTTAAAAAGTAGTTAAAGGTGTATGCATTAAAAGGTACCAGGTCCAGATAATTTTATAGACCAGTTCCAGAATAACATTAACAAAGATGTAATTTACATACTGCTTAATTGTTTCAAGGCAAATAAAAAAAAGAAAACCTTCAGGATTACCTATGAGGCTAACAAAATTTTGCTACAAAAACAGAATAAGGAGAGAAAACACACAGATACACACACACGTGTACCTAAGACCATAGAATTTTATGAACAATGCCAAAAACTTTAAACAAAATATTAAAAAACAAAATTTAGCAATACAGTAAAAGAATAAACAGATCATGTTAATAAAGGTTTTATCCCAGAAATGCACCCCCAAAAATCTAATATTTGTTACAATAACAGATTAAAACAAGCTTCCATTATCCTCCATAAGACCAGCAAGTATAATTCAGCAACAGAAACATCAACAAAGACATGGGAAATGAGCGCTCTTGTACCTTGCTCATTGAGAGCAATCTGATCTGCATGAAAATGTTAAATGTACATACCCTTCGTCCCAGAAATTCCACTCTTGAGATTTATTCTAAGGACGTATTCACGTATGCTCAAGATATGCACAAATATATTCATTGCGGCACTGCTCATAATGAAGGAAAAGTGGAATACTATAAATAGCCATGACTAAATAAATCATTACTTGAATGAATGCCTCCAAAACACATTTGATACAATTCAATACCCATTCCTGATTAAAAAAAAAAAAAAAAAACTGAAACAAGCCAAGATGAAAAACTTTCCCAATTCAATGAAGGGTAACTGCCAAAACTAGAGCAAACATCATCCCTACAAAACAAGGGCCAAGAGATGTAAACACTGGAAAGAAAGAGCAAAATTTATTTTCATTTGAAGATTATATAATTTTCCACCTAGAAAATCCATGAGAACCAAGTGAAAAGGGATAAAAACCAATAAGAGAATTCAGAAACACAACTAAGAAAGGACACAATACATAAAAAACAATAGCTTTCCTGTACACCAGCAATAGCCCATTAGAAAATACAATGAAAGAATGATTCCTAGACTCACTTAAAGCCCAAACTGGAAAACACCTTAGAGGTAAACATAACAAGAACAAGGAAGAAAACTAAAAAACTTAACCAAAATGACTCTATAAGAAAGACTGAATACATGGAGAATCATGCCACATTCTTGGAGAGGATGACTCAATCTTTTAAGAAAATAAATTCTCCTCCAAATTAGTCTGTAAACGCAATGCAATTCCTACACAAATCTTAACTAGACATTTTTGGTGCAACTTGACAAGGATATTCAAAAGTACACCAGAAACAGTAAACGTGCAAGGAAAATCTGAAGAAAACAAAAGAATAATGAAGGGAAAATCTGCATACCAGAACATGCTACAAGGTTACAGTAACTAGCATAATGGTGCATCTGCCATGGGAATGGACAAATACATTAGTAACACAGAATAGAAAGTCTGGAACCAAAGACCAGTATATTGAGTGTTTATAATAAAATGACATTTCAACATAATGGAGAAAGGATTCAATAAAAAGGATTGAGAGGGTAGAATGTCCATCCATTGAAAATTAGATAAAATTGAATATCATTTCAGACCAGACAAAACAATAAAATTTCAGCTGGATTGAAGATGCACATGTAATAGTCCACAAAAAGTGTAGACTTTGTTTTACATCCACAAAAGTGTTACAAACAAGAACAATATTTTTATGTCTTGGGTTGGGAAAGGCCTCCATCAACCAGAAATAAGGCTTGGAATTCACTAAGGGAAATCTTGACCATTTGACTGTATAAATGCTATGCAGAAATGGAAATATACTTGCAACATACACAACATCGGAAGTGTTAACTATCCTTTAAACTGTAACTAATAAAATCTGATAGAAAACTGAACAAGAGAAATAAACAGGAATATTCACGATAAAAACAAATTGTCAATTAATGTTTGGAAACAAGTGCTCAGTTACGCTAGCGAGATGGAGAAATGTACATTAAAATTATAAGCCAGCATTATCCTCCAGAAGCCTGTGCAAAAAATTAAATTATTGATTAAGCGTAGACAATGAAATGGGGAAATGAATCACTCTTCCTGAGGAGGAATAAATTGTTAAAGGGTTTTTGCAAAGCAATTTGGGATCTGAAATTTTAAATGTGTACCCCTTTCAACCCAGCAATTCCACTTCTAAGGATTTATTCTAAAGAAATATTTCCACATGCTCAAAATTATGCACAAAACTATTTCTATTTTTTGTAATAAGGAAAAAATGGGACAATATAAATCTCCAGTGTTAGGGGAATAGCTAAAGAGTTTGTGCATCCCTGTTACAGATTATAATGCAGCCATGACAGAGGAGGAAGTCAGGTTGTGTGGGGACTCTTTCATTTCTCTTCCTCGCGTGCCTTTCTGCCCAAGACCCTGTCTCTTCCCTTCCTCTTCATCCCAAGGACACTCACCATGATAGAGCCAACCACAGGGCCTTTGATCACCCACCACAGAGCTGTGCTGTCATTCATATCCCAGCAGCTGAAAGATGGACAGAGAGAAGCAAGATCACGTCTGTGAGTCGGCAGCATAGAAGCCTGCGGGACACTGCCCTGCCTAGCTGGGTGCCCGACACTTTCACCACCGCAGCTCTCTGAGGAGGGGCTGGCTGGAACAAGAGCTCTCCAGCGGGCTACAGACTCCAGCCTGGTCCTGGCTCTGAAAATCCCCTCCTTCTGAGCCTCTATCTTTCCCTCTGCTCACCTATCAAGGCAGGGCATGAAGCCCAAAAGTCAGTATCACCAGTGAGCTCCTGGGAAAGGACCATTTTTCCCCATAAGACCTACAGCTCTTAGGATGTGACCTCCCCCTCAACATGCTTCATCCCCTCCCTAAAAGCAAAACAGACACTCAGCTGAGTACAGAAGTAGACAAGGGCTCAGACACCTAGCACATTCTCTTGCTGGGTTGCTGGCTGAGACGCAGCTGGGTGGGTCACCTGCATGGGGCCATGGCTCAGGTGGTGCCCAGTGCTGGGCTTTAGTCTGGGCCTGGCATTGAATGGTTTGTTGCGGGCAGTTCATGTGAAGTCAGGGCAGCTACTGAGAACCCATCTGTAAGAATCTACTCTGTGCTGTGGCCCTGACTCTCGCGCATGTACTAACCCTGTGTCATCAAAGTAGAGTCTCAGCGTAGCCCACACTGTCACACACACAGTTGGGGTCCCTGGGAGAACAAGAAAAAGAGGTCCGTGAGAACAGGAAAACCAACATGTCCAATGTCCACCGTAGACCTGGGGCTCCGAGAGGCTATTGCTCCCCCATGAGACTTGGAATTCCTGGGAATTCTAACTGTCCCTCACACCCAGGCCTCCTGAGGGTCTATATCTCCCTCAGACCAAGGGCTGTCTTGTCTCTCAGAGGACTCCTGGATTTAACTCCTCCCTGAGATAGTGGGCTTTCCACAGGCAAGAAGATTGAGAAAGAGTCCAAGACAGAGCCTAGGCCATTAGACTCGGGCAGGGCAGTGGCCCCTCCTCACCTGACACTTCCTGAAGATGGAACCAAAGACACACCTGGACACACCTGACCACGGGACCTGAACCTGTCCAAGCCACAGCCAGGAACCTACCCCAGCCAATGATGGTGTACCAGTAGAAGTATCTCCTTTCAGGGAAGAAGGTCTCCACCAGCAGAGTGAAGAGGTACAGGCCCTCGATGAACAGCCAGAAGTAGTTGGACACAACACAGTAGTGGAAGAAAACCATGACGGCCTTACATTCCACCTGCAGGGAGAAGCGCCAGGGTGAGGGGCGTGAGCCCAACAGGAACAGGAGCAAGGGAGAATCCTAGGGCCCGTTGGCTCTGGCATGCTCAGGTTCAAACATCCCAAGGATCTAAGAGAGTCAATATTCCTGGATCAAAGAGTTGAAAATTGCAGCATCCCATGATTCTGAGTCAAAGCTGCCCATGGAGGCAAAACTGCACACACAGGACAAAGACGGGTGGCAGACACAGAGCCTCCCCACCACCAGCTCATCCTCCTTCACTTTCCTGCTCCTTCCCTATCTCCCACAGAGGAGAGGAGTAGGGAGAGAAGCAGCCAGAGGACCCTGCAGGAGGCTCCTTGGTATAATGAGGATTTGGACACCTTTCAGGTGGGGGGATACATATTCCTAGCTTCCAGAAATCTCTACTCATAGAGGCTCCCCAAGCATGTCCTCCTGGTCAAGGCCCTGGACTTTACACTCTTCTTCCTAACCTACCTCCTCAAAGACCAGCTTCTCCACATGCTACCTCCTCCAGAAGTGTGAGACCTGGGGAGGTGTCTGGAAAGACCCCTGGCCAATCAGCACCTGGGCTCCATCCCAGGCTAGTTAAATGACCAGGGGCTAGGTAAGCCCTCTCTCAGCATCAGTTTCCTCTTCATTCAAGTGGGACTTGGTGTTCCCACCTGACCTTCCTCTTCTGCCTTGCCAAATGCAACACCCAGGCCAAGAGACAGGAAGCATTTTGGCTGGAAGTGATGTCGTACATTGGCTCATCAGCTACTAGTAACTTAATTCGTGAGTTTTCACATAAACCGGGGGGGTGGGGCAATGCCTTCACCTGCAGGGACACACTTGATCTGCAGGGTGTCAGGCAGGTAATGTGCGTCCTGGGGAACCAAGGGGATGGTGCGGGACCTTCCCGGCAGAGCCCTAATGGGTCTGCTTGGCTCACTCACAGTGGAGATGAAGCAGTGGTTGCTGTCCTGCTCCGCATACAGAATCCAGTCTTTGATGAAGACGGAGATCGCCCTCAGCATGAACGACACAAACAGGTTCATGTGGATGAAGTTGCGTGTGCAGTGCAGCTTCCTACATGAGTGGGCCAGGGGAGAAAGAAGCCTTGGACCCCACAGCATTTCACACCCTCCATGTGGGCATCTGTGGTGGGCCAACTCTGTGGCTTTATCTCAGCAGGTCTCCCACCCAGGCCACCCTCCTTCCTGCCACCTCTCTAAATCCTCACTGACTTCCAGGCCCCTATAACCCAGCTCCACCACCCCACATGGCCAGACTTCTCCCTCCTGTGGCCTCTGTCTTTCTAGACCAGGAAGACAAAAGCAAGGAATGCAGATCTCCTGCCCAGGCTCTGCCTGGCTGCATAGCCCTGGACAAGTCAGTTGCCCTCTCTGGAGTGAAGTTTCCCATCTGTTATCCTTGGGGTGGGAGAAATGCCTTCAAAGGGGTCTTCTAGGGCTGACATCAAGGGGGGAGGGGAGAGATGCACCAAGGCCTCTGAGGCCCTGGCCAGCTCTGGTGCTTGCTTGAATGTTGCTGAGGGTCTCACCGGAAGCGACAAAGGATGACCATGGCAGTGGTGAGGGTGACGAGGGATGTGCTGTAGCCAACCGTGTAGAGGGCCTTCACTGACAGGTAGTAATAATCCTGAAGCAGAGCACAGGACATGCAGGACTTCATGTGAGACCTGCCCACAGCCAGGCTGCCTCAGGCCTGCACCCAGTCTCCCAGGCCAGGGCCTGCCCACCTCCAGGCCTAGCTCCTCCTTCCTCTCTTCTGCTGATATCATCTCCACCACCTCCCACCCCTGGCCAAGCCTCTTGGTCCCCTTTGCACACTGTCAGCATTCTGCAGATGCTCAATATATGCTGTTGAAGGCAAGAGCGCTGTCCAATCAGAACAGACACAGCCTTGGACTACACAAAGGTCCAGGAAGCCCCTTGCTGGGCCTGGCATTAACCCAGTGGCATTAATTCCAGTATCCTGTAAGAGTAGCCAGGTGCAGGTGGGGAGGAGTAGGCAGCATCCCAGTTGCTTCTCAGCCCCAGCAGGTGCTCATGAATGCTGCCTACTGACCTAAATTTCCTCAGCCCTACCCTCACCACCTCTGGGGAGCAGGGTGCAGACACTCACCTGGTCCCCAGTCTCAGATTCATATTCATCAAACCCACAGGCATCAAAGTAATGAGGGAAGGGTTCCGACCAGCCATCCTCCGTGCAGTTCCGGCTCACCACTCCCATGTCTGCAGCAAAAAGAAAACTCAGCGAGGCCCAGAAATGATTAAGAGGGCCCTGAAATTCTTATGCAAAAATTACGTATTCAGTGGGAATTCCTGGAAACCCCTATGACCAACTGGGAAGCATGGGGAAAGGTTTCAGAAATCAGTGATTGCTGATCAGAGGGATGGAGAGACAAAGAGCAAGCTCATCTCAACCAAAGATGGGGAGACTGCGCCAGCTGAATCCAGCATCCCTGCATCCCTCCCCTCTCGAACATTTCCAAATGCTCATCAGGGATGGGCCTGAGTCCTCCCCTGGGCCCTGGATCAGCACTTCTCAAATGTCAGTGTGCAGAACCACCTAGGAGACTGATCACAAATGCAGATTCCAGGCCTGCCCTTAGGGATTCTCTGTCAGGAGATCTGGGCACTTTCAGGAATCCCCTCTGGTGACTGCAGGGTGTGGGTGGGGTCCTTGGCACACCTTGGGAACACAGCTTGATGTGATGCTTTCCCTCAGAGCTCTAAGCCTCACAGCAGCTGCAACATCTCACATCAAGGGGACACAGGGCTTGCTTCATTAACAAGGTCCAGATTTCCACTAACGTAGGGCCGGATCTTACGAAGATATATATTTGGGTTTCTTTTAAAGTGTTGTCTTTCAGAGTTTGGGAGGGCTGTTTCCTGTCACTAATGTACTTTAATTTGCTTTTGGTTGACTTTAAGGCCATTCAGTGGGACACTCGAGGGGGTGGGATCAGTCATGGCCATTAAATGAGTCATTTGCTGGCTGCACAGTGAAGTCCAGGCTGGTTTTTGCCCTGCCCAGGGCCATGTTAGTCTTTCATGATTGCTTTTTCACTCTCCCTTCACCCGATGGTTTATAATGGTGAGCCACTCATGTCCAGGGCAGGGGGGTGAGCAAGCAGCTCCCTTTTCCTCCAGCCCAGCACCTGAGTGTGGCCCCCGCCTGACACTGGGAGCGTACCCGGTCTATCAGGACACATGTGGTTGGTTCTTCCCTTCACAGCATTCAAAGACCAAGACATTGTATAAAACAAGAGACACCTGCAGAAAAGGGGCTCCAGTACCCATACTGCTGGACAGAAACCTCCCCTCTGTGGCCAAGGCCACCTCCAGGGAGCTCAGGAAAGAGGCAAGGAGGGCAGCAGGTCAGCCTCTGTGGGAGGCAGAGGCCAAGAGAAGAGATCCTTCCACTTTTCCAATCTGTGTCCCTCGCTTCCTGCATTAGAAGATCTAAGGCCAGTTCTCTTTAGCCAAGAAAGTCAGAAATGAACTTCCTGGGATGGGTAACTCTGCCCGAAAGGAGAGTTCTGCCCACAACAGGGAGACTCCAACAGTCCTTCTCCAGCTCTGAGTTCTACGGCACAGGCTAAGGGGGAAGTTTGGCAAGCCCAGAGAGAGCAAAGGAGCTCACTTCTGTCCCACAGCTGATGCCAAACTGTCCCTTCTTCCAGCAAATCTGTCTCAGGCAACCTCCTTTTAAGTCCCTCTGAACACTTCTTTCAGAAAGTCTGAATGTCCCAGGGAAATCACCACCGTGGCCAAGTTCCTTCCCCTCCCTGGGCCTCATTTCCTCTCTGCTTTGCTCACATCAGGATGGTGGGAAGAGGAAAGGGAAGCTGCTTTGAAAAACAATTTTTTTGAAAACAGTGTTCTAGAAGGAAAAGCGGTTTCCTTTCTTTTATTTTCCTTCTTTCTTTTTTTCCTTTTTATAACACAGTGTGGGCTCAGAGAAGTATAAACCCTTTTGTTCAGAACTGTTCTGTGAATTTGCCACTGTATTGTTCTGATAGAAATCTCCGGAAGATGGAGTGCTCTTGAGATTGTCAAAACCCCGCGGTCATTGTGCCTACTTCACTAGGCTGATTCGCCCCAGTAACTGCACAGGAACACGAAACTTTTGGGCAGCGTTTCCCGAAGGGGTGCCCGTCCCGGATCAGCCCATCAGCATCACCTGGGAGACTGGCGAGACAAGCACATTCTCAGGCCCCACCCCAGGCGGAATAAATTAGAGACTGCCAGGAACCTGGGTTTAACAAGTGCACAAGGTAGCTGTGATGCACGGTTAAAGTTTGAGAGCTACTGTTCTAGATGCTGGAGTTCAGAAACAGTCAAGGATCATCCAATCCAGGAGCTCTTTATTTGAAGTCCACAAAGGGACTCTAAGACATCTGTGGCCCCCCTGAAATTCTACACACGATGTTCTATCTGTGTGCTTTTCCATGAAGATAATCTGTACCTTTATCAGAGAAAAAAAGTCACCTGCCAAAGATCACACAGCCACAGAGGAGCAGAGCCCAGCCTGGGATGGGGTTCTCAAAGCTCACATGTCAGCAGACGCCCTCCCTCCAGCCAGTCCATGGTCAACCCCAGCCTAACCCCTTACCTGAGAGATCTAAGGAGTTACTGTCACCAAAATCAGACTCTCCTGAAAAATACAGACATAGGCATATATCAAAATGCCTGGCTTACAGTTAGCTACTGTTTACTCTCCACCCTGGAAGGCTCAGGCTACCCCTGGTCTACAGGAAGTAGGGGATGGAGTCCTGGCCAAGAGGCAATATCACACATAGCAGCCGCGCACCTTTCTCACACACTACACCTTCTAACACCACTCTCACTTGCTTTGCATTTCTGTGACGTTCAGGATGGTCCAGGACTCAGTTCTCCACCACCACAGGTAATGGAAATGGGCACTGCCAGGAGGATGGGAGGGCCTCCAGAATGGAGAGGAATGGGAGAAAATGAAAAGGGATGGTTGGGCCTTTTCAAAAAAAGGGCAAACCACAGCAACGTGGGCCCAGGGCTTGGGGTTTCCTTTTTGGTGCTCGACCCTCCACCTCAGCCTCCAAAACTGCTCTCCGTCAAAGGGAATCCAGAAGACTTCATCTTCAGACAATTTTTCTTCTCTCCCTACCCTTTATTCCCATTTCCACCCTTTTCTTATGCCAAACCCCCTGTTAGCAATGAGACCCCATTTCCACCCCATCCCCGCTTCTCAAAACTCCTTTCCCAAGGTCCAGCTGACATGCCACCTCTTCCTGGAAGCCTCCCCTGACTTCTTCACTATTCTGCCTGCATGCTGCATCATTTGCTCTTCTGTTCTCTTGCTCACTGTGCATTCCGGCTTCTTAGCTGTCAGGGATGTCAATATCTGCATGGACTGATGCACATGTTCAGGTCTGGGCATATGCACATATATGCAGCTACACTCATGCGTGAGCTTGTTTCTTAGCCCCTCCATTGGTAAGTCCTGTCCTCCCAAACAAGCCTGTGAGGGACCTGAGGTCGTGCTTGTGTTGTGCATCTTCCTGTGCCCCCCGACCTCCAGAATGGCCAAGGTCGGGGAGAGGGGAGGAAGGAAGGAGGAAAGAACCTGATACCCAGTGAGCCTCTTACTCCACCCCCACCCCAATCCCAGCAGCCGGAGCCTGGGATCTCCTGAGGCTGGGCTCCTGCTGGATGGACAGAAAGACAGCGGTCTATCCTCACCAAGGTTCCTCTTACCAATGGTTTCGGTCTCCCAGACTGAAACAGAGAGAAAGAGAGAGAGAGAAAAGTCAGAGGTGAGCAGCGGGGTGAGAAAAGTCAGGGGCTGCTCTCCTTGGGTCTTGCTGATCACTTCCTCCTCCTTCCCAACCCCAAACATTAAAGAGGGGCTCTGGGGGACCCAGAAGGCATCAGGACTATAAGCTGGGGACACTGGAGACCTCCAGAACAGAAACAAGCAGAGGCATTTGAGAGGAGGAGGGAGATCCGTGCTCCCACATCTCCAGTCTCTCCAATATCCTACACAGCCACAGTCATCACAACAGGCTACCTGGGAACTGAGAAGAAACACAGGAATCCCATTCTCTCCTTGCAAAGTATTCAAGGCAAGTCTCACCAATCAAGTTTTGTGAACAGAGGTGCTAAAAGGCCCTGCCTTAATGAACCATTAAGAATCAGGTGTAAATAACACCTTCATTGTGCCACTGCCAGAGGAAGGAGGGAGTGTGGAGGAAAGTGTGTCTTAAGAAAATCTTATTTTACCATTGATTCATTTTGCCTTTCGTTGTTGAGAAGACGGAGTCTGGCATGGAATCTGACCCAGAGTAGATGTTCAATAAACAAACTTTAAATAAATGACGGAACGAAAGAAATACATGAATGGAGGAAGTGATTAAGTTGGCTTCTACAGGAATGAATTGGAAATCAGGCTGAATCACTCACTGGCTGCCACCATGCCTGACTGCCCCCCAGTCCCACTGTATCTCTCACTCCAGCACTTCCGCTGCCTGTATCCCCTTTCAAAATTCACTCTGGACTGCTCAGGTCACACCCAATCCCCAGGCCCTCAGATGGGAGAGTTCAATGCCACCCTCCTCCCGGGCCGGCCGGTGGTCTGGAGGTGGAGGTGTTGCTGCAGAGTGCAGTGCATCTTAGACAAACCTTGGGGTGGGAGCCAGAGACGGGGGGACCTGGGACCCCCAACACAGGCCACTGTTTTCTCTGCCACCTCCTGCAAGCCCCTCCCCCTCCAGGACAGAGTCAGTTATTGGAATTCGAGGTTTGACAGCAAATTAGCAAATTTGCCTTTTGCCTCTCAGAGAAGACAGGGGACTGCAGCAGGCAGGACTCAGTGCTGGAGTGGAGCCTGGAAACTCGCCCCTTCTAGGACATCAGCCTAAGCCTTAGGCTGGAAAAGAAGAACGCTAAGGCCAGGTCACATGGCCACACACAACTCAGATCCCTCTGATACCCTCGGGAGCCCCCGCCCATGGCTTGATGGCCAGGAGGTGGCTCAGTAAGTCACCTGGCTGGAGCCAGTCCCTCCAGCTCTCCCTGCCCAGCCCCAACTCAGTGCCTTCAGCTGGCCACCCTGCCTCCTGTGACACTCACAGGGATGGGGTAGAAGGCCCATGGAGGAGTTCACAGGTCCCAGCCGAAAGGCAGGAACCGTTCTGGAAGAGCCCAAGGGACCCATATCCAAAGAAGTCATCTACAGCTACCCCTTTCCCTCAGACACCCCCTGCAATGGAGATGGGGCTACCAGGGCTTCTGCCTGTGGGTAGAGCATCGCCTTCTCTCCCCTGCCCTCACCCTACATCCCACCTGTGCACAAAGCTCAGCCACTCTGCCCACTCACGGGCTGCTCTATCGTTTTGGTGGCCCCTGGATATCTCCACAGCACTTCAGTGGCCCTCAGAGACCTCAAACACAGATATGCCCCAAACCCAGGTCTGCAGGACACCGCACCCACCCAGCCTTCCCTCTCAGGGAGGCGCCATCGCACACCCGCGCCTCCAAGCCCACGTCCACAAGTCACCGACAGCACTGTGGCACTGCTCCCCGTGTGTGGCACCCTCTCCCCAGGTAGCCCAAGGTCCAGCTCCTCCCATCTTGAGCCCGTGTAACTGCCTGAGGGCAGCTAGGGCCCAGAAAATGCTCTGCTGAGCAAACGTGAGTGTGCGCCAGCCCCAACGGGCCTTGTGCCTGCGTCTAAGTGGCTCTGCATGTGGACGTGGGTGTCTTGTGTCCAGCTGCCTTCCCCACGCGTCTCATTCTGCCTGAGGGGGGTGTCTACATGTGCGTCTCTCTCCATGCCTCCCACTGGGCGCTGAGGATCTGTGGCTGTGGGAGGATGGTGACAATTATCCCAGCTAACATTTACTACTGCACGTTCAAAGCGCGCCAAGTCCTGTGCTAAGTGGCGTCCACAGCATCGCTTCACATTACCCTCACAGAAGCACCCTGGGAGGGGGCCACCGGGCCACATACCCAGCTGACAGACAGGGACCTGGGCTGGAGGGTGAGTGACAGCTGGCATGGATCCCACGCGTGAGGGCACAGCCTTGCTTTCATCCACAACGATGGTTCCCATGTGTACCTGTGTCCCCGTGTGTGCAAGTGTCTGTGGTTTCATCCCCCACACCACATGTGAGCTCAGGAGCAGGGACTGTCTGCCCACAGGGTGGCCTCCCTGTCCTTGGTGCTTGCCTGGGGCCGAATTTGGGGAGCAGGCTAGGCCAGCGTGGCCTAAAGAGACTGGGCTAAACCCACCTTGGTCTGGGTTGAAGATTCGGAAGAGCTCAGGGCAGCTGACCAGGACCATCTCACCCACATGGGCGGGCTTCCAACACGTGATGTTGTCCCACATCCCAGGACAGCCTGTGGGTAAGACAGCCATGGTGAGAGGGGCCAGCCACACACACCCATACACACACACCACCACACACATCACACACACCAACATACACACCACACACACCACAGACACCACACACAGCAACATACATGCTACACACACAACACACACACAACACCAACAAACACACATCACACACACACCACACAACAGACACCGCACACATCACACACACACACTACACATACATCACAGACACCACACAGCAACATACATCACACATACACCACACACACATTACACACACATCACACACACCACACACACCACACACCACTCACACATACACCACACACACATCACACACACCACACACATATATCATACACACTACACACACACATTCACACAACACACACATCACACACACATACAACACACACACATCACACATGCACCACACACACATTACACACACCACAAACAGATCACACACACACCACATATACCACATACACTACACACACACACACTACACACACCACACACATGCACCACACACACCACACACAATCACACATATACACCACACACACATCACACACACACCACACACATCACATACACACCACTCACACCAGACACATACACATCACACACACACCACTCACATCACACACACCATACACATGTAAGCACATACCACACACATCACACATGAATGTGCACACATGCACCACACCCACACACACATCACACATGTACACACACACCCACACTTATATATACACACACTGAGGTGTGCTCCACGGCTTACAAGCCAGGCCCTTGCAGGGGGCCGGGAGTGGTTTAGGAGAGGAAAGGCAAGGCCTACAGTCTGAGGGAGGGCTCAGCCCTGCACCGGTAATATCCCTCAAACAGGAATGGAGACGCAAGGCACTTCAGGAGCTCCTGGGTCGGGAAGGAGGGAGCCCTCACCTGTTTTTACACCGCCCCACACCCCCGAAGACCCGCAGCCCCACAGCTGCACAACATCACAGGTGTGTGGGGAGGGGAGACACAGCAGGCCAGGGCTGGATCCCTAGGAATGAGATGCTGAGATGCAGGGGTCTCTGCAGCAGCCTCTCCCACATGCCCACCCTAGCCCCTCCTCAGCCACCACTGAGGGTCCCACTTCAGATCCACCCCCTCAGCAGGGCCCCCCATCCGCCCTAAGGGGAGGGGCAGGAACAGGCTGGTCTAAGGCTGCTGCTCCACTCCCCCCACCTACTCCCAAGGCAGGCCCAGCAGGGGACACAAATTCATCAGCTGGAGAAGAGGGGAAAGCCAGCCAGGCAGAAGCCTGCACGCGCCAAGCAAGAATTGTGAAAGGACCCGGAACCAGAAGAGGTGGAGGCCGGGATTGCTGCAGAGGCCCCCCACAGCATCTCCAGACTGATGGAGAGGAAGGGACAGACGAACTGAGAGGTGTTGAGGAATCCCCAAGATTTGGTGCCTCATTGGACATGAGCTGCAAGGAAGAGGAAACTGTCAAGCTTTATGACCAGATTTTCAGGTCTAGGGGGCCCAGCGGCTCCCCTCTCCCGGGTGCCTGCCTCTCCTTCTAGCCCTGCCAGCCTCTGTAGAGTTCCCCGCACTGCCTGACACCACCTCTTCCTGCTCCATCCCTGCTTCTCTGACTCTGTCCTCCCACAATGCTGAAACACCTCTCACCAAGGTCACCAGCGACCTCTTCACTGCCAAATCCAAGGAACAATTTCAGCCCTTACTGGGTCCCGCCCAGCGGCCCTGACCGAATGCAGGTGCTGGTAGCTGTCCTGCCTTTGGCCGCCCACCCTGCCCACCTTGGATGAGCTCACCCTGCTCATGGATGTTACAGAATTTCATGTGGACAACTCTGTCCTGCCCACTCTGTGAGGGTAGAGCCCACAGCTAGTTGCCTGCTGGACACCCCCACCTTGAAGAACCAAAGATGATTCAAACACAGCAGTCCAAGACTCAGTGCAGCATCTCCTGCCCAAACCTGATTGCCTGTTCCAGCCCCAGCTGGAAACCTGGGAGTCACCCCACTTCAGCTCCTTCCCTTTAGTGCTCCTGATCAAGCCCTTGCTGGTTTTACCTTGAAACCTTGTGAAATCCATGCCCCACTCTCTATCCCTTCACCCTACTCAGTGAAGAGGCTCAGGACCCCTCACTGAGACCACAGGTACACAAACCCCACACAGCTATGACCAGAAGCTTTTCAAAATGAATATCTGGCCATGTCACAAGCCCCCCACCAACAATCCCATGCTTTCTGGGCTCTTAGCACCCTCAATCCTTAACATGGTATTTACGACCCTACCTACGGCCCTGCCACTCACTTTTCCTTCCAGCCTGTGGGTAGTGATTGAGGCCATGGGACGAGACAGCTCACTTTGAGAAGGGACATAAAGTGAGAAGAGCATGGAGGAAGGAACCCTGGAGAACCCATATTTATGGAGTGGGCAGAGGAAGCACAGGTAGTGATGTGAGCAGGAGAGAGTGGCAGAGGATGGTGGGGAGGCAGGAGTGTGGAGTGCCAGGCAGCAGAGTAGAGTTGCAGGAAAGAGGCCTGCAGCTTTTAGGGGATCATAAAGGAAGGCTATGGAGAGGGCTTCTGTGCCATGTCAGGGACAGTAGGTGACCGACAGTGCCCGCCTCACAGGGCTGCTGTGAGGATTAATGAGTTCATACGTGCAAAGCTCTCAGAATAGAGCCAGGCTCATTCAATGCCTGTTCACTGCCGACAGAATCATTAATTTCATTATCCCAGTTAGGTGTCCCTGGGAACCATTGCCCCGAGAGGCCTCCATAGGCAGGGAGGTAAAGCAGGGACCTGCAAGGTGAGATGGCCTGGGGCAGGGCTGCTGACAGGTCCAGAGGACCCCTGGGAAGGTGCTGGGAAGAGGAGGGGCCTGGAGCAGGCGCCATGAGCTCACAGTCTCTGTTGGGGTCTGTGACGCTTGAGTGCTATTTGGACCAGAAGGTATCCACAGCTTTTAGACGGAGAAAATCCTGTCTCTCAGAATTCACACCCGGCTATTTTGGAGTTCGCACCCAGTCACATTGGCCCATAGCATCCTGCTCATGGAAAGACAGAGTTTGGGAACCAGATGTACCATAGAAAGCTCTGAGAAGAATAACCCAAGAAGGCAAAGACATTAAAGGCCAGATGAGGGGAGCTGGGTATCAGGTCTAATAGCAGTAGGCCAGTCATCAATAATTCCTGTGTAACCATTAGCAGAGGACATCTAGCCAGCATGTGCTTGGCTGTGACATCATGTCCTTGAAAGAGACCCAATAGCACATCTTTGGCTACAGCAGCCCATGTTGACCGTGGAACGGCCGTGGAGCATGGCTGCGTCTGGCCCATGCCCCAGCCAACAGATGTTCCCTTAATGGAGAACATTAGGCTCAGGCACAGCCAGCTGCTGCTGCCAGCTGACACTGCCGAGGTCACAGGGCCACTTCAGAGCGAATGAGCAGGGTCATGAGTGTTGAGGGCGAGGAGGGCTGCAGAGGTCGGGCGGGTGGCACAAGGGGAGAAGGGGGCTCTCATGTTGGCAGCAGGACAGGGGATGCATTCTCCTAACAACTATTTACTGAGTGCCTACCTTGTGCCAGGGACCATCTATGCACCAGGGCCAGTGGTGGAGAAAAAGACAAAGCTGTGAAATTGATGTTTGAGGATAGAGTGAGGGGAAACGGCAGGTCTCTACTCAGCATTAGCACCGGAAGCCCCAAAACTTGAGTTCTGATTTCCTTCCGCCGCAGGCTCACTTGTGACTCAGGACAGTCACCGCCCCCTCCACCATGATTCACGTTTCCTATGTGCACAGGGACAACTGAGTGTCTCTGTGAGCTCCCAGCTTTGAGTGACCAGAGCTCAAATCTGGAACAGAGATTCACCCAGGACCTACTGGTGCCCAGAGGATGGCTGGGGCAGCTACAGCTGCCTAAAGGGCATCTGCTAAGGTGCCCCACCCCAGGCCGGGGCCTGGGAGCTCTCAGGATGCATCTTCCACAGCTCTCAAAGCCCTCCTGGTAACCCTTATGTCCCCAGCCTGAGCCCCCTCTAGAGTCCTAAAGACAATTCGTATAGTACCAGGGCAGGTGGGAAACCTAGAATGAGACCTCAGGACCCCAGGACCCAAAGACAATGTCCCTGACCCTATCGAGAGCTTGAAGGCCTCCATCCAGCCCTCTAGCCTGCATTGCTGGGGTCTCAAGAGACTCACAGCTGCCTCCCTGGGGCTCCCCAGAATGCCCTGGTGCCCATTTCTCTTGCAGTTACCACCTCCCAGCCTAGCACAGATGGGAGGACCCAGCAGGCTCCCACCTCCTCTCCTCTTTTGAATGGAAATTGCTCTGGCCTCAGCGGATTGGAGCTGAATCCTTCCAGGCCCCTTTCCCTGGAGCTTGGGAGGATGGGAGTTGGGCTCCTGAGACAGCCTTGGGTTTTTCTAACTAAAAACAGCAACTGATTTTCCTTCCACTCACACACAGTACGTCCAGCTTCTACAGACCCATATGTTCCACACTCCAGTCTCAACAAAGCTAAATTTTGTTGAGACTGGAAGATTTCAAGATGCCTTTTGTCATTCTTCTCCCCCTCCTCCTTTTATCTTTTTTTCTTCCCACTTTCTTCTCCCTCTCTCTCTTAATTACTCATTTATTCAAGACATACCGAGTCAGACAATGCAGAGCAATACAAGAGTGAATAGAAAGGGCCCAGTCTCTGCCTTCACAGAGCTCTTAGTCCAGTGGGTTGTGTTAATAATTTTAGATTTTTATGCTCAATGTTTAGAGATGACACTGGATGGTGTACTCATTCCCTACTGCTGCTGTAAGTTTGTAAGCAAACTTACTGTCTTAAAATGGCACAACTCATCATCTTATATTCCTGCAGGTCAGAAGTCTGAAATGGGTCTCACTGGGCTAAAATTAAGGTGTCAGCAGGGTTGCATTTCATCTGGAGGTTCTAGGGGAGAATCCATTTCCTTGCCTTTTCCAGAGTTAAGAGGCCACCCACATTCCTGGGCCCATGGCCCCTTCCTCCCTCTTTGAAACCAGCAGCTTTGCATCCTCAAGTCTCTCTTCTCTGATTCTCCTGCTTCCATCTTTCACTTATAAGGACCCATGTGATTATTCTGTGTCCACCCAAATAACCCAGGATAAAATTCTCAGTTCAAGATCCTTAATTCCCTCTGCAAAGTTCTTTTTGTTATGTAAAGTAACATATTACAGGTTTCAGGGATTAGGATGACGTGGGCCTCTCAGGCCGGGGTGGGGGCATTATTCGACCTACCACAGAGAGGCTTTAAGACAAGGAGTCACACTTGGATTTGGTTGTGTGGGGAAGATCATATAGTCCAATAGCAGACATGCAGACATGGGGAAGCCTGTTAGGACATGGCTATAGTCTAGGGGTGAGATGAAAAAGCTTGATTTGGAGCAATGGCAGCAGGGTTGGAGAGGAGTCCTGTGTCAGACAGAGTCGGGAGCAGAGCTGACAGGGCTTGGCAACACACTGGCTGGACCTGGCTGGCAAGTCTGCAAAAGACGGTTAGTGTTCACCCACATCACATGACTGAGGGCACGCCAATGGTGAGAGGGTGGAAGTGCAGAATCCACCTCTAAAATGTCCCTCATAAGCTTCCACAGCCTGCCTTTCTTCCTTCTCTGGACCACCCTTGAAGGCCACATGTTAAGGGTAGCAGTGTTCCAAGATGGTAGAAACCTGGATCCCTGAATGACTGTGTGAAGTTGAGCTCCACCTCCTACCTCTGCTGATCACACTGGCCTATGATACATGCACGCAAGAAATGTTACTGTGCTAAGTTTCTGAGATTTTAAGATTGATTTGTTACTGCTGCAGAGTCGAGGCCAACACAGTGCAGGGGAGAGAGGTACCAAGGATGTCTCCCAGGTTTCTGGCTTCAGCGTCTGGATGAACAAGTAGATTGATGGGTGGGTGGGTGGGTGGGTGGCTGGATGGATGGATGGATGGATGGATGGATGGATGGATGGATGGATCATTTACCACAGTGGAAAGGGCCAGGTGAGAACCAGATGTTGGGGGAATTAGGCAAGTTGGAAAGCAAGAGCTTAGTCTGGGGTATGTTCAGTTTGAGATGGTGCTAAGAGCCAAGAGGAGACAGCTGTCGAAGTAGGCAGCTGGAAAAAAGTCTAGAGTCTAGAGAAGTAGCAACTGGAGAAGAGGGCAGGGAGTAGGCAGCACAGGGATACTATTTAGTCCACGGACATGGATGGTTTTTCTAGTGAGAGAGCAAAGATCAGGGAAGAAAACAGGAGAGAATAGGCCGGGCCCCAACAGAAATGCCAGCATTTAGAAAAGGCCTTGGCAAAGAAGACTGAGGAAGAAAACCAGGACAGGCAAGGGACACAGCAGCCAGGAAAACATGTTTCAGGGAGGAGATGGCCGAGTGCAGCCCAGGCCAAGTTCCCGTCCTCCCCTTCGTCCTCCAGAGGTTGAAAATGAGAACAGATCCTGTTCTCTGTGAGACCTCTCCACTCCTGACAACACTCCAAGCCTCATGGCTCCATCTGTGTATAGGCCCCCACTGGGGGACATGGGGAGAGGAATTCAGGCCCAGGGGTGGGTCGGGGAGTGCTGCGTACACTCTCCCTAGCTGCTTCCACCTAAGACCTTATAAAGTGCCCAGGAGTGGCAGTGAAGTGTGAGAGCAGGAGGAAAGGGATCCACTCAGGCAGAGCGACTGAAAGAGAACGCATAAGCTATTAGCTTTTGTCTGGAACAAAATAAGGAGCTAATCCTGGGTTGTCATGGTGATGATTTTGTCCAGTTCCACAGTGTTCAAAACTCCATAGAGCAGGGCACCAAAGAGACTCAGGCAAAGCCATGGTCCTCCCTTTGAGAAGCCACCTGAGGATGCCCAGGTATTGTTAGAACAAGGTCCCCATTTTAGCATGCAATCTAAGGGTAAAAACAATTCAATTTACCGAAATTTACTTTATGGCCAATGTTTCTGTTCCATGAAATGAGGATCCCACTGTGAGCTGAGTGCTGGGGGTGGCATAGGACTAAAGATGCCGCCCTCGCCTTTGGAAGTCAGTGATTCTCAAGATATGGACCACAGACCGGCAAAATCACCTGGGAACTTGCTGGAAATGCAGATGCTCAGGCCTCATCCAGATCTACTGAATCAGAAACTTCTGGAGGTGGGCCCAGCAATCTGTGTTTTAACAGAAGATCTGATATTCAAGTTTTAGAATGACCAGACTTCACGAAGACACAAGTTTGGATAGAAGTGACACCCTGTGTCAGACAGCGAATAAGTTCCTCAGCATGAGGGTCCCTGCAGACACCACCCTTTCCTCAGGCTTGATGCCTTTTGAGTCTCAGAGCAGCTGAGAGGCCCAGACAAGAAGCTCCTCCTGCTCTAAGGATGGGGAAGCCTGGGCCCAGCCCTGATGTGCTTCCTTCCTCTTGGCCTCTCCCCTCTATTGAACGTAGAGAGGACTGGTTCAAGGCATTTGGTGCCCTGGGCAGGCCTCTGAGACCAGGTCAGAATAGCAATGAGCAGGCCTTTCCCTCCTCCCTCCAAGTCTGCTCTCTGCTGCCCCTGCCATGGCCACCACAGGCCTCCTCTTCCTCCTCCACTAGAGTGTGGGGACCCCCATGGAGGACCACACCGACCAACCCTGCTTAGATGCAGGGAAGGTTTCTGGGCTGATGAAAACCTGCAGCCCTGCAAAGAGGAGATGCTGGCTGGTCTCATTCTGGGCAGGCAGACTGCAGAAGGAACGGAGCCTGGGGGCTGTGTGGCCTGGAGATGCCAATTCCCAGGTACAGGCGTCCTTTGTCCCTCCCTTCTGGTCACAAGAGCACTGTGGGAGAAAGGGCACTCCCTGTCTGATATAACAGACCTGGATCCCACCCCAGAGCTGGCTCTGGCCCCCAATGTGGTTGGCCAATGACCACCACCTCTGGCCTCAGCCTCTGTGGGCATCATATGACAGAGCCAACTTGGTATTGGCTTAAATCCCATTAGCATTTGGGGGTTTGGAACAAGGGACAAAATGACTATGTCTCCAAACCCCCTCCTCTCCTCAATAAACACCTTTAAAACATGCCAAGGATTTTGCAAACAATGCAAGGCAGGCTCCAAGCTTGCTTTCACTCCCCACGGCCACCTCTCTGGGCTCTATTTTTCACCCCCATTAAGCTGCCTGCTACCATGGGTGCCTCCCCTCAGTGCATCTGTCTCCTGGCTACCACTCTGAAGGCCACTCTGCACAGCACCATCCTAGGTTCTCTTTAGGGTAGAGGTCCCAGGACCAGTGAGGAGCAGGGGCTTGAAGGAAACAAGTACTTTCCTGGATCCCCCTGGAGCCCCCCAGCCACACACACAGTGCCACAGACATAATTCAACTAACAGATCAGGGCTCTTGTTCCAATTGACTCATATTACTAGATTTAAAAAATTATGAGAGACACACAAAATATATACAAGTATATTAAACCTAGATAAAAGACACTGTTGTGAGTTTACACTCAACAGGCATTGGAACAAGCTGCCAGGTTTCCTTTTTCAAGTGTGTTTCAAGGACATCAGCTGACCTTTGGCCAGCGTTCTGTGCATGGCGTGTGTGCTTGGGGACCACCCGGGCAGGGAAGGTGCAGGAAAGAGATGCAGCAGGAGGACTGGCACGGATTAATAACACAACGCACAGATGTCGATTCTTTGGTACGCTCAGATTTGACTCAGCTAGTAGTGAGCTCCCCAGCCTGGTTTATCTGGGCCCTGAGGGGCTGCTCTCTGCCTGAGATCACTTGAGTACCCTGGTGGATGCTGTGCTCTGGCCAGTGGTTCTCAGACCTGGGTACACTTTAGAATCACCTGGAGGCTTTTAACACAGATCTGCATGGACCCCCCCAACCCAAATGCTGAGGACTTTGGTCTGGAGAGGGGCCTCGACATCAGCACCTTTAAATGCTCCTGGGGGCTCTACAGTGCTGCAGGTATGATGAGAGGGGTAGAGGCCCATCTTTCACAAGTGTGTTTAATTTGGAGCCAAGAAGCCCAGCTCCAGCCAGGGTACCCCTAAGAGCAGGCCAGAGGTTCTTGAAGGTTCAATGGGGGAAGAGTAAGGCCTCCCCTGATGAGTGACAGCAAGGTCAATGCTATCCCTGAACTTGAGGCCCTTGAGGGGAGTCCCCCAACCTCAGCCTGCAGGGCAAGCTCTTCAGACAACAGCCCCAAAGTGAGCAAGATGGACACTGCTTCTCAGGACAGCCTCCCCAGGGGCCTCCCCTCACCCTGGCCTGCCCCTCTCCTTCCCAAGCAAGTCATTAGAGGCCGAGACCTCATTCTCTCCTGGGCCTTAGAAACACAAACACCCTTTGGCCTTTTCATAGCTAAGAAAAGGGTGGACCTGGAGCACATTTCAGGGTCCCTGTCTCCCAAGGCCTCTTTCCAGCCTCATTGCAACTGCCTCTGCTGTATGACCTTTCACCCTGACAAGGGGAAAGCTGAGGGCCAGGGCGTCTCCTCACTCCTCTTCTGAGCAGCAAATGCAGCCCAGGGGTGAAGGCACGGACTCCAGAACCATCCACATGCACAGCTTGGCTCCACCTTCCCGGCTGAGGGGTTTACTAGGTAAGAGACAAGCAACCTAACGTCTCTGTGTCTAAGCAGCCTCATCTGTTAAGTGGGGGTAAAACTCTACCCAGCCCATAGGCTGGTGAGGGTTAAATGCGTTCTTGTACGTGTGTGTGTGTGTGTGTGTGTGCGCGCGCACATGCGTGCGTGTCTGAGAGAGACAGAGACAGAGAACCCAGTGCCCGCCTTGAAGTGCTGGCTGTTACGGTGCCCACCCACCTTACTCACTGCTCCCTTTCCACCCTTCCCCAGCGGAACGCTTCTCTCCACCTTCCTGTACTCTCCATCTGCCCTCTGAAGCCCAGATCTGCTCCCTAACTTCTCCCCTGCTCTTCCAGAGGGGCTTCCAGGATTGTTCCAAGTGGCGCTGACCTGCTTCCTAGAGATGTCTCTCTACTCCCCAGAAGAACTGGGATGTAGCAGAAGGTGGGAGCCCTGGAAACCCCCAACACTCCAAGATGACAGCTCCTAATAACTACAGTGTCTTAGTTAAGTGCTTAGTAAATCCCATACGCTGTCCTTAGCACTTCTCACAGGCTTTTATCACTTAATGCAATAATCCTATGTGGTAGGTATCATTTTTCCTCCATTTTTCAGACATGAAAATTAAGGTGTTAAGGGCCCTTCAAAGATCCCATGGCTGGTGCTGCGCCCGGGGGGGTGCTGGGACCCACAGCATGTCACTCTTTAGAGGTGGTGCATCCCAGCAGTTGAGGGTACAGGCTGCCTCTGCCTCTTAATGGACTATGTCCTTAAGCAAAGTACCTCCTTGTGCCTCAGTTCACTTATCTATAAAATAGGGGTCATAATAGACCCACCCCCACCCTCCAGCTGCTGTGGTGATAGAATGAAGTGCTGGCACAGAGCCTGGCACACAGGAAGTCTATAGAGGGTCTGGCTATTAACATGATCCACCCCACTCCACTCATTTTAAAAGAGAAGCTCCTGAGGCCCAGAGCAGGAAAGGGTCATGGAGTTGGTGGTCCAACTGGGCCTTTACTCTTTTCCTCTTTCCCACCTAATGGCTGCCCTTTGCTTCTGCTTAATTAGCTCAGCTCTATTTTATAAAGCCCCACCCTATGATTCAAGGGAGGGGACGAGTAGGGATAGATGAGGGATCCTCTCCTTAGCAGATCGTGAGAGGGTGCAGCCTCCTCTCCCACCTGGACAGGGTTAAAGGAGAGCTATTCACTCAATTCTTGGAGAATCCTTCACACCCTGACCTCCTATGGCCAGCCCTGACTCACAAGGTCCCTGAGAGGGCACAAGTGGAGCCCCTGGGGCAGTTGCAGAGATGCCAGCTCAGTGGGAGCCGGCCACTGTTTTCCCCCACCTTCATCTCCAGTGGAGATGACATGAAATACACAATATCTGCTCCCTGGGCCCTCAGCCATGCCCCCTCAATAGCCCAACCCATCTGCTCCAATACTGAGTTCCAAATACAGGAGGTTACTCACTACTGCCAAAAACACCAGGCTCCTGCCTCTTGTGGATTCCTCAGCCTACAGTGTTCACCCATTCGTCTGTCCCTCAATTCTCCACCACCTTCAAATGCCTACTTATCCCTTGGGCCTAGCTCAAGGGTTCTCAACACCAGCTTCTCATTAGAATCGCCTGGGGAGCTTTTAAAAACTATGGTGACTATGACAGACCCAAGCTTCTGATTTAATTGGTTTGGATTGTGGCTGGAGTACGTTTTTCTGAAAGTTCCCCAGTGATTCAGATGTGCAGCCAGGTTTAAGAAGCAAGGATCCAGTTTCAATATATGAATCCTTCCCACAAAGAACTCATCTCTTCCTCTCCTGAGGACACCTGCAGGTGAGACCTCCTCCCCAGCACTGGCCTGGCCCTTCCAGGGATGCTGTATTTCCAGCCTGGCATCCATCTCCCTTCTCTGCCACGACATCCCTGTGGACAGGCCTGTCTTGCCCTGTCAGCCCAGAGTTCAACAAGCAGGTGAGCAATTAAACTGCACACAGCCTACACCGAGGTCCCTGTCCCACCCCAGCCCCTACCTTTATTCTTCCCTCCTGGATGATTTTGTCGCTCAACCCCAAATGTATCTGAGACACGCAATGCAGGAACAATGGCCCTGGGTTGGGAGCAGGACACCTGGGTTCCAGACCCACCTCAGCCTGATCCTCCATGTGATCCACACCATCCCTGCCCTCAGGGCTCGGCAGTCCCATCCTCCAAACAGAGACTTGGACCAGATATTCTTGGGATATTCTTTGGGTCTCCTCCAACTGTGTGCCCTTCTGGCCCCCTGCCTCAGTTTCCCTCACTGGTGGGGCCCCGAATCCACGTTCAACCTTGGTTAGGGCTGAGCAAGAGCTCAGCGGAGGCAAAGGCCGGCACGGTCCAGAGTAGCTCCCTCACCAGTTAATGCTCACTGAGAAGCAACTGGCTGGGCAGCTCCGTCCAGTGGGACCATTCCATTTAACTGGGCTGCAGATTAGTCAAGTGCTTAAATACATGGTGCTCAGAGGAGCCAGGAGGATCCAGAAGGAAAATGAATCCCTCCAGCCTGAGCAGAGAGCCCTACCCTTAGGCAGCACGGAGCCAGTCCTTCAACGATTAAGGCAAAAGTGAGGTTGGAGAGGCCTCTGTGATGCCCCCTCCCCTAAATCCCCAACTTCCCCTGAGGCCAAGAGCTGAGGGCGCCTTTGCTCTGTGAGCCTTAGCTTCCCATCTGCACAATGGAGAGTTAGGAGAGGGGTTCGATGGGGCCACTGGTTCTTACCAGGGATCGTGCCACTCCCTTGGGACATTTGAAATCTTGGGAGGCATTTTGTGATTGTCATTGGGATCGGGGACGTTATGGGCATTTAGAGGGAGAGGCTAAGAACGCTCAATGTCCTGCAATGTGTGCTTCCTCCAGTGGAGGGAAGCAGGACCCTCCTCAAAGGCAGCCCCAGGAGAAGCGTTGTACCCAAGTCTTCAAGACTGAAGTTCCTGCTGCTGCTTTCTTCTCTGGCTTCTGATGCAATGAGCAGAAGAGGTGGGAAAGGACCCCACGTTTCCTGCCCTGGGTTGACCAAGTGCTGTACAGCTCAGCCACAGGCAATAGCTGTGTCCCTGCTGCCACCAGGCCCATGCTGCCTGCTAACAAGCTCTTGACAGCCACTGCCCAGCTCAGGCACCAGTGCTATCCCAGCTCCTGTGGGAGAGAAGGCAGCCATGTCCAGTCACCCAGAACAGCTGTGAGGCATCCAGACCACATCAGCCTTGAGGAGAGCAACCCCAGCATCATTGCCCAGAGCAGATCCAGGACATCAGTATTCTCGAGGGCCTTCTGAAGTCCCCAGAAACCCATACCTTGACCACTCACTGGCCGAGCCTGAGCACAGGAAAACAGTTCTAAAAGCTGGCACTGGGGACGTGGCATGCTCCCTGCCGCCCCGCTCACCTGGAGAGGAATCATTGAAGCCCATCAGCTCATTGGCCCTCTGGATCTTCTCCAGGCACATGGCTTGCTCCTTCTTGAAGATGCAGTCAGAATGCATGGCAGGGGCCTGTAGGAGAACACAGGATGGATGGTGGGAGCGGGTAGGAGGCCCATCTGTAAGCTCTCCTACCAAAGCCCCAGGGGCAGTGTCTTGGGGGGAGTGGGGAGCAGAAGCAGAGAGGAGGGTGACAAGAGATGTCAGGGCCAGCAGGGGCCCTGACATTCACCTTGAGAGACACCATAAGGGCTCTTCTCAGTCACCAACTCAATGTGTGGCTTTGGACAGGTCCCACTCCCTCCTGGGGTCTCAGTTTCCACATCTTATAATAATATTAGCAAGCGCATATAGCACTTCACTCTGTGCATGCATTATTCTGAGTGTCATATGTGTGTGTGTGTATGGATCTGGAGAGTACTATGAAGTACTATTTTTATCATTTTCCATTTTACTGATGTGGAAACTTAAGTACAGAGATGTTAAGTCACTTGCTCAAAGTCATATGGCTCAGTAGGCTGAAAAGCCAGGATTCGAACCCAGGAGGCCTGACTCTAGCAGCCACGAGGCTACTACTGCAGTTTAGAGGAGAAAACAAGTGGTAGGGGAGAAGTCAGGCTGAGAAAGCTCATTTTCTCTCTTCTCCAGGAACTCAGGAAAAAAGTGCCCCCGGCAGCTGCAGGCTAAGGAGCAGTGCTGCTATTTAGTGGGGCCTACTCGCCACCCTTATTTACAGAAGGAGAAACTGGGGCTCAGAGAGGTTAAGAAACTCCAGCCCAAAGTTATACCACTGGTTAATAGCAGATATGGGCTTCAAGTTCAGGACCAAGTAACTTCACAGCCCATGCACTGCTATCATGACAGCTGCTGCCAAATGCCGTCCCTTTAACTCAAAACCCCAGGGCAGGGATGGTTCCCAGGGGGATGTCAGCAAGTGTGGAGGCAGTCACAAGGCATTTGATTGCCAAGGGCCATTTTTGGGGACATAGTCCAATCCCTACTATTCACAGATGTGCAGGCAGTTCTCAGGGAAAGGGACAGGCTTGTCTATGGCCACACAGTGAGTCAGGCCAGAGGCAGGACTGGTACCCAGGGTTCTGAGGACAGCCTCACCCACTGCTACTCTGAACTCTCAGGTAGAGTGGCGGGACCAAAACCTGGGAGTCCTCCTCTGCTCACTCCCCATCCCCACCTTCACTCAGGGAGAGACCTGAGCAGGGGGCAGGCTTCTGAGTTCTATCCTGGCAGGGCATTGTGGGCTGGTGACGAGAAAATTGAAAGAGGCTTCTGCAGCCCTGACCAGGGCTCCTGCATTCAGTTGAGCAGGTTGTGTACTGTGCAACTCTAAAGGTTGCATCATAAAGATTTGTAAATTTTGTAATCATTTCTGGTCAAATCAGTACAGGGTCTTGAGGAAGGCATGTCTTTTCTGATTCACACAAAGGCACTGGGTGGCCCAGTGGTGGTGTTGGCAGAAATACCAGCCAGATGAAGAGCTGAGCTGAGGGTACAGAAAAAACATGAGTTCTCTGGAGCGGGGACTCAGGTGAGCCTGGGGCTCCCAGAGAGATGTTCCTGGGCCCTTACCATAGGCAGCAGGAGGAGAGCAGCCAGGGAAACGTGCACGACACCAGCCATGACACTTCTTGGCCAGCACCACTGGCCTCCCACTGACAGCAGCGGCAGGTCAGCCCCAATGTGTCTCTGGGCTAGAGAGGAAGGAAAGGTGTGAATCCTGTGAGCCCAGTGCAGTGGCCGGGGGCAAGACCACCTCCCTTCCTTATTCCCCCAGCTCCCTGCAGCACGGCTCTCAGCCTCCAAGGATAACCCCACCTCCCTGCCTGCATCCGTCTTGCTCTTTCTTCTTCTGCCCTGCAAACATGTGCTAGGCACTCAGTCTGTGCTAGGTGCTGGCGATACTGTGGGCACACACTGGCTCAGCTCCACCAGTCTCCTGGCATGGTCTGGAATGGCTTTCTCCTTGGCAACAGAGGGATTGCCTCCCCAAACCTTTGCATTTTCCCCCTCCTCCACAGTGACAAAGTTTTAGCTGGCACATGCATGCTCACCTAGAGATGATATTTCCTGGTATCTCTTGCTTGGAGGTGTGGGCACATGATGAAGTTATTAGCACTTATGGAATGTGAGTGGCAGCATGTGGTCCCATCTGCACCCTCTGTGCATGAGGGCATGGCATGATCTCTGCTCTTGCTCTTTAACCCTTCCCAAATAACAAACCCCACTTTGACAGTGTGGACGTGAACCGTATCTGAGTGGGTAGGGCGCAATGCTGCAAGAGGAGGCAGGATCGCCAAGCAACCTCGTGGAGCCCAGCCACCCAGCCTGCCTGGAGGCCCACCTAGCCCCAGACTGTTACGCCAGAGGGAAACCACCTTCTAGCTAATTTACCCCCTTAAAAGGCCTCTTTGTTCCAGCTGCCTGGCCTGGTACCCTAACAATTACACCCACTTTTTGCCCTACCTCACTCTACTTCATCTTCGGGATGAAGTCTTAAACCATGACACGGAAAACACGGTGACAGGTGAAGCATGTGCTCAGGCCTCAGAGCTGCAGGAGCTCCAAGGGGGCAGGCCTGCAAGGACTGGGGCCACTGGTGGGGACCAGAGAGACAGGTTACAGGGAGTCAAAAAAGGAGGCTGCAAGAGCCCAGCACGCTCCCAGGGGAAGAGTATACTCTGCTTCTAAAATTGATCATTACGACATATACCCTACAACACAGCAATTCTGCATCTGATAAATATTTGCAATTGGACAAAAAGAAGCATATGCAAGCACATTCACCACAGCATCCTTTAAAATAGCATCAACAATAAAAAATGGGACAGCAAAGCATCCGTCAACAGGCACTGCTAAATAGGCTCCAGTTCAGCTGTACGATGGTTATGGTTATTTAAAAATTATTATTACTATTAAATTATTATAAAAGAGATTGAGTAGGCCCATATCAGGGCACTGCTAACCCACAGGTGCCTGGCCCGGGAGGCCATGGGGGGCCCAAGCAAATCCTACATGTGCATCCCAACCATTAGTCTTCGCACACCCCCCCACCAGCAGGCAGAGCTGCTGCACCCCAGGGGTCTTTGTGTCCCTCACTCTCTGCTTAACCACGTCCCCTCCCTCTCTCCTTGCCTCCCACAGGGCCTCTCCAAGCTTAAGCTGGAGATAAGCAGGCATCCAAAAAGCAGAAATAAAACCAGCTGCAGGAAGGCTCAAAAAGAGGGAGCCCCCATCTCCCCATATTATGCAGAGATGGGGAGGGAGGCCTCAGATATCCCAAGAGATGCTCCGAGAAGCCTGGGAGCCATGGCAACACTGGCCCAGCCTCCTCCTGTGGGTCAGGGAGGACAGGGCAGGCTGGGCAAGCACTGGCCTCAGCACTTCTAGGCACCCTGAGGCACCATCTCTACCAGGCACTCAGGCTTCCGTCTCTGTACCAGCTCCCAGGGCTTGCCACGCCCCTGGTGGCCACAGGCTGCCTCTGGCGTGACCTAGCACTGGTGGCCCCTAAAGGGCTTGGTCACTTCTACCAGCCCTGGGGAACCCAAGGCTCTGCCTGCAAAGAGACAACCCTCCTGACTTGCCTGGCTGCGAGGGAGGAGTGTCTGGCACCAGTGACAGAGGCTGGAGGCCATCTCTCTAGGCCAGCAGAGTGTTGCAGGCAGATCCTGCAAGGCAGAGAGCCTCCAAGATCAGGCGTCGATTCCCTGCACCTTCCGCGACCTCAGGCCAAAAAGGTGAAAACAGAGCTCCTTGCTCCCAGCAACACGTTGAGGTGGCAGCAGCACTACCCCGGTTAGGACTGGGCTGCCCCCTAGCAGATACTCACTGCTTCCCCAGCAAAGCCCTAACCTCTGACCCCAGTATGAAACCTGGGCTGCCCACTAGAGTCATCAGAGCTTTCCACAACTACCCCGGGCCAAATGAATCAGAAGCTCTCAGCTGTGGTTCGGGCAGCAGTGTTGTTTAAAGTTCTCCAGGTGATGCTCGTGTATAGCTAGAATTATAAAGCCTCTATTTTAACCTTTATTAGAACCCAGGGAGCTGGCACAGAGGAACTAGGAGTTTGAACAGCTCTGGTGGGGTGGGGGAGCCGGTGGCAGCAAATAGACAGAGAGTGAGTTTGTGTTTTGAGGACTGGTGGATTTCTGATTCTGTTTCTCTCTCTTTCTCTCTCTCTCTCACACACACAAACACACACAAATACACAGAAATAGGTCCACAGAGATGATCATAAAGACATGTCAACCCTACAGAGACAAAGAGAGACATTTATCCCCAGGGCCACCACTTGAAGGTATCAATACAAACTCCCATGATGGGGATACACAAGGTGGAGATTCCTTCAGGGACCGACAGGCAACCACACACACACACACACACCACACACACACACTCCTTCACAGACACACACACTCCTTCACAGACACATAGAGGACCACACACAGAACAAAGATATGTGCAGATGTAAGCACATGACAATTCAGATATTCAGATATGTCACATATCAGACTGTAGATATACAGAACAATTCACGCTTACACACACTCACTCAGCAAAGGCATTCAGCTATAGAGAGGCAATAAGATATACTTGGATTCAGATATGGGTGCAGGTATAGGCACACATGCACATGTGTGTACATGCACGCACACATGCAGGGATGCCCAGACTTGCAGGGGCCTCGCCCCTGCTGTGGGAAGGGCAGCTTCTCAGCTGTAGCTGCGGTGGACTGAAGACAAGCTCCAGCAGAGGCCCCAGCCCCGACCCACCCCCAGCCCTCTGCTTCATCGCCAGGCTGCTTACTAGGAGACAGGTGTGTCCCCAGCCCAGTGACCCAGGGTAAGGGAGCTGGGGCACTCTCAATAGGGTGCCTCTTCTGGAACTAGACCCAGGGTTCTTGATTCCCACTGTTACCTTCTCTTGGTCCCCACACCCATTACAGTCCACCCCCTGCCCAACTGGACACAGACGCCCCCGCCAGCAAAGAGGAGGAGAGAGAGAACCTGGGAGCTCCCAGGCCTCGACTCCGCTGGGGACCTCAGGGATCACCTCCCGCAGCCTCTCCCCTCTCTGGGCGGTAATCCTTTCAGCCCCTCCAGGCACTTCTGCCCCCACCGCAACCCTGCACTGCCCCCAACTGGACAACGCTCAGAGCTTACAGACTTAGGCTGCCTGCCCCAAACCAAGTGCTTCTCTGCAGTGTCCCTCTAAGATGCCTCCCCTCACTTGCTGGCCACCCCAGCCCTGCCAGTGGCTCCTCCTCCTCCAGACTCTCCCAAGCTGCTAGTGACACCCTCAAGGGACAGGCCAAGCCCCACCACTGCAGCCCAGGGTTGATCTCTCCCCTCCCTGAGGATGGATTTCAGCCCAGCCACAAAAGTGGCTCAGGATGGGAAAATGGGTCACTCCATATTCCCTGGCTCTCTCTCTTGGGTCCAGACTCTGTTGGGGCAGATAGTTTTTGAGGATGATTAAAGTCACCTCCTGGCATTTAGTATGACAGACTTGGGACCATTTTGCCAGAGGTTTCTGCCCCAGGAGCTTGGGAAAACTGCTTAACTTCTCTGTGCCTTCTTTTTATCATCTGAAAAATGGGAATAATATTAATGTCTATCTCATAGATGTTACAGTGAGGCATCAGCAAATTTATACAAAGAAACTATAGAGTATATACTATAGCCTGGCACTCAGTAAGGGCTATACATGTGTTAACTATTATTATTATCTCACCACTTTGTGTTCAGACTTTTTGTACCCTGTTGCTGTCACCTCCACCCCCACAGCACCGTGTCACAATCAAAATGGGAATAGCAGGCCTCCTGTGCTTTTATTTACTAATGGCTAACATTTATTAAATACTTAGTATGTGCCAGACACTCTTCCAAGCAATAAACATGTGTTAACTCATTTAACCTGCCTGAAATAGTTACTAGCATTAGCTCCTTCTATGGCGGAGGTGACCGACACACAGAGAGGGTAAGCAACTTCCCCAAAATCACACAGCAAGTCCCTGGTAGGGCTGGGAAGTAAACCCAAGCAGTCTGGCTCCAAAGTTGGTGCACTCCATCCCTATGCTTCCACTGCCCTCTCTTACTGGTCAAATGAAGATCAGTTCAGAGTCCACTGGTACCCTAGTAGGGACCCCCACACACACCTCCAGGGGCTGGTCAGGTCCGCCACTACACCCATTCACATATCTATATCTAGTTTCCTCCTTAGGAAGAGTTAGTTACAGACACAACATTTCAGACCTGAAATAGACTTTAAAGCCCACCTCCCAAGGTGCAGATAGGGAAACTGAGGCCAGAGAAGGCGACACACTTTCCAAGGTCACACAATATAGAGCCTGGAGGCTTGCCTGGCAGGAATGGGATGTGTTACAGATACCTGGACTGTAAGGGAATTCAGGGGGATCCCAATAGCACACCATTCCCCTTTCCTCCTCAGGCCTCATAAGCCCAGCCACCGAACCTGGAGTGAAACTGACTACAGCAGCCATGTCCTCCTCTGAGTCGCTGCACCAGGAAGTGGTGGCCCCTGCACACACAGGATAGCATCATCAGGCAGCACATGGGAGCGAGCGGTGACTCACTGGGCTCGAAGACTTTCCACATCTCCGTGCAGAGGGGACTCAGAGACCCTCCAGCCATCCCTGTACTGTCCAAAGCCTGGCAGAGCCCTTCTGCTTCCCCTGGCTGAAGGCAACTCTGCTCTTGAGATGGACACTTGCCCCACTCCAGCGTCTGGCCCAGGCCCACAGTGGGAAGCTCTGATGTCCCTGTGCCCTTCCCAACCAGCCCAGAGCAGCACAGTTTCCTCTGCCTCACATAAGCCCACACAGGGGTGTGTGGACAGCCTACCCCACCTCTTCTTTGGGCCACACAGCCCTGGGACTCTCATCTGCCCATCATGGGGCTGGGGCCATCTGTGCCACCTCCTACTGGAATCTTCTGGCCACTCAGCATCCCTCCCCATCAGAGGGCAGGACAAGCCTGGATACCAGAAAGGAGATGGCCAGGCTAAGTACATCACTCGCCTACCCTGCTCTCCCCGTGCTCCATTTACTCATGACAGGGGAGCTGGACCGCCCCTACTTCCTCCTCTCCCTCCTAGGGCCAGGAACAAGGGACAGAAGGCTGAAAGATGAAACACTGCCCCCCTCCCACTCACCCCTCAAAGGGAGGGACAGAAGCTGCTGCAGGGAAGGAGGGGAAACCCTCTAGAACCTCTTTCCTCCTCAAGACCAGAGCTGATAAAGGGCACAGACAAACTCCTGGGCCAGGGGCCTCCCGGCAATGGCAGGCGTGACAAGGTGACAGGAGTCAGGCCACCAGAGGGGCCCCAGTGATGATCCCACTCATGCCCTGCATTTCGCACAAGCTTGGGTAGGGAACCAGGTCCAAAGCAAGGAAGGGCCAGGCTGGGGCACCTGTGCCCGTTGGCAGTATCATCCCATCTCACTGGTGAGGCTCTGAGGCCCTAGGAGACCAGGAAACTTCCCCAAGGTCATGCTGCAGAGTCCTTCCCAGGGTCCTGTGAGGAGTTCTCTTCCATACTGGATGGTGCAGGGACCTCTCCTGACCTGGAGGAGTCAGGGAGTGCACCCCCTGGGCCAGGTAAGAGGAGGGGGAGGAAGAAGGCAGAAGATAAATGCGGGGAGAAGAGGGAGGTAGGAAGGGAAAGGACGGAGCGAATGAGAGGAGGGAGGGGAGGAAGGAGAACAGGAAGCCTGGCCAGAGGGAGGCACAAGCTTGTGGAAATGTTCACTGAGCACCTACCCGGCAGGGGGTGTGGTGTGGAGAGGAGTAGCTCTGCACTGAGCGCCTTTCCCTTTGTGCAGACGCTGGTTAAGCTTCAGCCTCTCCTAAGTGAGCATGAGCCCAGCTCTGACGTGCGTGTGCCCACAGCACCTGGCACAGGCAAGACACACGAGTGCCCAGAAAACCTGGATGAGCGCCCCCTGGATGGATTTGGGAAGGTGATTCCAGGGTGTCAAGGAACACAACAAGATATCAGGAGGTGATGAGGTGGATGAGAAGGTGGAGGGCTGGTGCCAGTCTGTGGAAGCTGGAGGGTTGTTCCACCAGACAGGGGTGGGGCAATGAAGAGTTCTAAGCAATGGAGTGGAGTGATCAGCTTCTCATTTAGAAAATATCCCTTCAAAGGCTGGGGAGCAGAGATGAAGGGGGAAAGTGCAGGCAGAAATGTACCCTGAGGCCCTTTCCCGGATCTAGGGTAGAGGTGATGGGGGACTAAGCTGAGCAGGAAGGCGGTTGGGATGGAAAGTGGGGGACAGAATCCAGAGACACGGAAAAATGAGAGAGGTGTGTCTCCTTGGCCCACCCCCACCACAGGTGGCAGGAAGGAAATTTCAGGAGGAGGCAGTAGAGAAAGGAAGAAACAGAAGGCAGGACCTGGTTCACTACACAAGTCCACAGGCCTTAGATCAGCAGCTGGGAAGTTCAGAGGTGCCTAGGAAGGATATATATATGTTTGTCTCAGCCAACCCTCTGCAGTGCCCATCGATCAGGAGGGAGAAAGATGAGGGCAGCTAAGGCAATGCATGGAGTCTGCGGAGAGCTGGGATGAGAGTGTCCAGCCATCCTCCAAGGCCAACTCAAACCCCCACCACCACCTCCAGGAAGCCCACTCAGGCAGCACCCGCCCTTTATGACCTTGCCCTCCACTGAGAAGCCCTAGCCCTGAGATAAGGAGCCCCTCTCCTTGGAGCTGTTTCAGGTCTCATCATGTTCATTGTGAGTTTCGAGTCTTGTCTAGAAACAAGGGGCATGCCCAGGTTTCCGTGTGGCTTCCCCACCCATGAGGATGGGCACAGACTTGGACACAAAGGGTGAATGGTGAAGGGGGCTCAGGAACTGTTTGGCAAGCTCAAGTGACAGCAGTCAGTTTTTCAGTCCTGAATGTTGTCTCCAGGTGTCTTTAGAGTGGGGGAATCAATCACAGGGACAAAGCAGAGGCCAATCTGGGGGAGGGTGCTGAGGCCAGGCAGGGACCCTCTCCTAGGCCTGACCCATTAAACAGATGGGCACTCTGAGCTCCACGTAGAATGGAGCGAAGCATCCTAGGTACCATCAGGCATCTGCAGCTATCAGAGCTAAGCCCCTCCCTTTGTCAACCTCTCTGACCATTTATTTATCTTTCCTAACCTTACATCGCAGGAGCTGGCAACCCCTTCCAGCCAGTCAGATCCAGCCTGTAGCCTATTTTTGTACGGCCAGTGAGCCAGGAATGCTTTTTACATTTCTAAATGGTTGGAAAGAATTAAAAGAATCATATTTCACGACACAGGCAAAATGTATGAAATTCAAATTTCAGTGTCCATAAATAAAATGTATCAGAACAGAGCCATGCTCACTTGTTTACATATCATCTAAGGCTGCAGTAGGCTACACAGTGGAATTAAGTAGTTGTATATGGACACAAGCGTAAAATAATTGCTATCTGGCACTTTACAGAAAAAGGTTGCCTACCCTTGTTCTAGGCTTATGCAACACGCGCGTGCACACACACACACACACACACACACACACACTTTCCTCCATTCAATTCAATACTCAGCTGGACTTTTATTAATGAAGACCTTTGTGATCTTTGGGCAAATATCTCTGAGTCCCCGGGTGTGCCCAGATCTGTGTGAGAGGGTGTGTCTCAACGTCCATTTGTCTTTCTGGTGTTGCTTGTCACTATTGTGCCCCAGCTCTCTGGCAGGTGTCATAGAAAGCCTATATGCCGTCCCAGCTGTGTGTCATTCCCTCTCTGTGTGTCACTGTGGGGGTGGCTGTCACCATTTGCCTCTGACGGCATCCAGAGCTCGGTACAAACACGTCGCAGCTGAGGAGTTTCCAGTCTCCATCTTGCCAGGCGGCTGGACCACTAAGCCCAACTCATTCAGACCCTGGAATCAGATTCCTCTCCTCAGGGAAGGCTGAGGGTCTCTGAGGCCTCTAGGCCTTCCAGGGTGGAAAGCCACTTGGCAGCTCCTGTCTGGGGCATCATCCCTCTGCTCACAAACCTGCCCAGGACAGGAAACTCATTGTCACCTCCAGTGTCAGCCCCATGGTGGGTGGGTCTCAGGCAAGCAAGGCCTTCCTGGCACCGAGCTAAGCTCCGGCTCTGCACTTGGCACACCTTGGTTCTGCCCTGTGGCAGACAGCACAAGATGTCCTCCACTTAATCAGTGCCAGCCCCAGGTCAATGAAATGCTTGTCCCTGGGAGGGCGGCAACCTGGGACACTCCAGCTTAAGCCCTGTCCCCAAGAGAAAAGCCACCCTGTGGCCTTAGCTTTCCTAGCCTCTCAGCCACATATACTATAAACTCCCATGTGTGTATTTATTTATTCGACACAAATTGAGGGAGTGTCCCAAAGTTGACGCACAACAGAGAGAGGTGGCCATGTGAAAAGCCATGGGTCCCAAAGTGTTTCTCCAATCAATCCCCTGCCAGCCTGAACCTTATACAAAACAGGACTTAATGCACCCCTTAGCTTAGATCAGTCCCGAGAGTGCAGGAGAGGGATCCTTTCAGAGGCTCCCCACAGACACCTCCCCTCACCACACATGGGGACAAACAGACTTTTGGGGGTCTTGTCCCAGACACCCAACCACCCATGAACCACCCATGGCCAAAGAGGAAAAGTATCAGGCCCGCCTCCATCGTCACCCCACACACACTTGTTGATGGATCAGTTGGAAGAGCTGGCCCAGGGCCTGCTCAGCGTGTTCCACCTCCAATCTGTATGTTCAGATTTCGGCTTGTGTCCAAGCTGGTGCCTCTGCCTGCCCTCCCCAAGGTCAGTGAGGAGCAGAACTTAGCTTAGGACTGGGGACTCCACCAGTGCTACTTGTACCCAGCACCAAACTCATTTAATTGGGGTCTCCTGAGAAAACCTGGGTGCTGCCTGCTGCCCCTGCCCCCAAAGGCTCAAACATAGTTTTCCATCTGCTTGGGAATCCTACCGCCACTCAAAGCTTCTAGCTTGACCTTCAGGATGCTTGTCTGCCTCTGGCCAGCTGCAGTCCCAGGGCAAGTTGCCCTCCACATGCTGCGTCCAGCCCCTTCCCATCCCCCAACTCCTCCCCAGGGCCGCTCATGGGAAGAGCCAAATGCTGTGTCTTGGAGAGGGCCAGGGGGGCTTTGCGGGACATTGTAAGGCTGGGGAAGATAAAGGGAGTCTGACGCACCTGCACTCAAAAACATAAAAATGGTCGGAAGAATTAGCAGGTGTCCACCACCCCACCCCCATCTTCCAAAAAGGGGCTGAGCTCCATCCAGGGGTGAGGCTCCCCTCCTCAGCTCCACGTGAAATGCAATCGGCTTCCGGCTGGGTTCCCTCCTGAGGGTCTAGTTGCATCCATCGGCTCCCCTGTCCCTTCTGAGCCCCCTAACCTGCCAAGGTCCCGCCGAGGATGTGGCCTCCGCCCCCCGCAGCCGCCGCAGGAGCTTCTGCCTCTAAAGCGGCAGGCAGGGGTCTCAGCGGGCCCACTTCAACCTGGGAAGGCCGGTGCGTTTCCCCACAGACCCCGCAGGGCGTTTCTTCTGGGGACCACTGAAGCCCTGGCATCCCCAACCCCAGCCCCTCCGCGCCACGGGAAACGAAGACGACACTCTTTTGAACAATCCCGGATGTGTCACCACAGAGGGGCATTCTACACTGGCCCCTACCCCAACCCCCACCTAGCACATTGCTTGCCCACCCCTCAAACCCCGTGCGGATTGCGGTACCTAGCCCCGGGGGACCCTCCAGCCCTGCCTTCCCGATCCGCGTAGGTGCGTCCGTCCACCTAAGGGTAGGGAGGCATGTCCCTCCGGGTCCCTCCGGCCGCATGGCTTGCCTGCCCCCCTGGTCTCCCTTCTCCGCATCAGGAGGGGCGTGAGATAGCTAGGTCGACCCCCACCCCGGCAGTCTGCGGCGATCGGCCGCCCCGAGCGCAGCGCCAGACACTTGGGTTGGGGGGTGTCAGCCTGACGCGCAGGAAGGGCGCAGCGGCGGGAGGGGGCTTCATTTCAGATCTGGGAGGCTTGCCTGGCGCCGGCCCTCGCCCGCTCTCCGTCGGTGGAGGTCGCGGCTGGCGGAGACCGCCAAGCCAGAGGAGGGGATCCGAGGTCCCGGCTGGGCGAAGGTTCTGGAGGGGGAGAAGACGGCCGAGGCGTGGAGGGGCAGCCGCGGCGGGGCGACCCTTACCTGCTCACTGCGGGGCCTGTCCGTGGGGCCGGGGCAGACTCCGCAAAGGACGCGCAGCCTGCAAGTCCGCGGCCCGCGCGGCGCGGGGATGGGGAGCGTGTGCGCCGAGGAGCGCGCGCCGAGCCGGGTCTCCGCGCCTGTGTGGCCGGCTGGCGGCCGGGGTCCGTGTGTCCCTGCGCGGCGGCGTGTGCGTGTGCGCACGCGGGGACCACGCTCGCCCGGAGCCGCCGCCGCCGCCGTCACTCCCTGCCCGGGGCCGAGCGCAGCGCCCCCTTTGCCCGCCCCGCGCGGCGCGGCAGTCCAGCTTGGCTCCGTCCTGCGGGAGAGGCGCCGCCTCCGCCGCGAAGCCAGGCTGGGCGCTGGAGGGAGGCGACCGACCACCGCCTCCCCCTGCTCACTTCACAGGCTGGGGAGGGGGTGCTGCAGGCCAATGAGCGCCCGGGGGCGGGGTTAGATCGAGGGCGGTGCGGTGGGGGGCGCGGTGGGGGGCGCCGGGCTGCTCAACCCGACCCCACCCGCAGCACAGACTGGAGCAGGAGCTGCGGCGGGAAATCCCAGCGGCGGGGGTCGGGGGCGCTGAGGTGGAGCCCTCAGCCCCCTGTCATCCCCGTCTCCTCTGACTCTGGGCCTCCTGGGCTCACCACCCTCTTTCCAGTCTCTCCATCATAGCCAGGACTAGAAAGCCTTCTTTCTTCTCCCTAGGTCCTCAAGATTTCCTGTGTATCAGAGCCTGTCTTCCCTCTCCTCCAAGAAGCCTTCCTTACCAGGCAAGTCTCAGACCCTCCTTGGGCTCTTCTTTGCCCCTACCGCCCAGGCCTGGGAGGGTCAGCTAGTTTTGGGGTGCCTGTCGGGATGTCCTCCAATGTGACCCCCCCGCCCCCGGAGAAAGACCAGGAAGGGGATGGTGGTGCTTACAGGACAGAGGCAACTTAAAATATCAGACTGCCTGGCTCCAGTCCCTGCTGTGCCACAGCTCTGTGAGCTTGGGTAAGTGGCTCAGCCTCTCTGAGCTTCAGCTTCTTCATCTGCACAAGGGAACAATAGTACCGGCCCCCAGGTCTCTTCACAGCAGCATTAAATAAAAATGGTACACTCACCCCATAGTAGTTTCTCCCTGGTATCATTGATTCGCCGATGCTGAATAAATTACTATTGCTACTGTTATTACAGTCCTGTCCAACCTCCTCCTAGTGCAAATGGCTTAATAAGGAGAACTACACAGGTAAAGGTGGCCTAGCGGGTTGGCAGCGAAGCCCAAACTTAACTGAGAGTAGTTAGTTACCCACTCCCAGGCAAGTTCTCACCCTCTGCCCACCCCACCCAGCCCCCATCCCACAGCTGCTCCTGCCTGCCTCTGCTCTCGGTTTTTGGTCCCTGCCTCAGGCGTCAGTCTCTGAGAGCTCTCAGTTCTGCAGCCAGGCTCTGTTCTTGCCCATTCAAGTAAATTCTCGCTCAGCTTCCCTTTGGGTCCAAGTTCTAGGTATGGCCACCTTGTCCAGGAGGCCTCAAGAAGGGGGAAGGAGGAGGGAGAGCCTTGAGCCTTCCTTTGGGGTCGCCAGTCTACCAAAGAGGAAAGGACCTGTGGATGGAGAGGAATCCATATGGAAACTTGAAAGAAGCAATCTGAGGGCCCAGAAAGACGCGTGGAGGTTCCTAGGTCCATGTTTCTCTTTACTGACCAATGACCGCTGACCCCCATTGACACAACACACTGGTAGTCTGATTGGTTCATGTTCCTTTCAGTCCAGGAGAGCTTCCTGGTGGAGGAGAATATCAGTCTTATCTATATCAAGAAAGAATGAAGAGAAAGGAGAGAAGAAATAATGGAGAGAAAAGGGCCAGGTGCTGTGCTAAAATCAGACACAGACAGGACCTCCCTTTAATCCTGGCTAACCCCTTCTTAGCTTGTTGCCCTAACCCCTGAGAGCTGAGAGCCGCTTTCTTCATCTGCCTCCAACTCTGGTGTTGTGAAGATCAAATGAGATGATGTGTATAAAAACTCTCTATAAACTGTGAAACTAAGTGTGAGGGAAAGGAGGCTGCCAGGAGTCTCAGAGTCAAGAGGGACTCAGAGTGCAGGACGTAGAGGGCCTGGGAGTGAGAGGAAGGGTGAAGATCAAGGTCATCTATGGCAGACCAGCCCATCCTGGGAATGTGGATGGCCAGGCTTCCAGATAGAGGCCCCCCTACTTTGAAGTTCAGCACTCAGTTCCAGATTTATTCTCTTTCCGTACTCTTGGTTCTCCAGTTTCCACTGCGGGTTCCAGATCCCCTGGAAGGGGCCAGTGGGGCTGGAAATCCAGATCCTGCTCTACCCACTGCCCACCAAACCAGGCATGCCCCCATCTACCCAAAAAGGGCAGTTTTTTCTAGTGGATTCACCTGGAGGCGGCACCTCTCTAACTGTCTTAAAGATGCCGTGTAGGCTAGCAGCCCTCGTAGATTTCGATTCTAATTCCAGCCCCCCGAGTAGCATCAGCCTGGGTGAGGCATGGAACACACATTAGAGCTGGGATCCAGGAGGGTTGTCTAGTCTCCTTCTCTATGGGTGGGGTACCTTAGCCCAGAGGGGCAACAAGACTAGCCCAAGGACACACAGGCAACTTTCTTATCAGAAATCTTATCCTGCTGCCCAACTTAGTGTTGTTCTACCTTGTGAGCTCTTCCCACCCCCTTAATTCTGGAAGCCACTCAGGCTTTCACGTCCTGCGCTGTTCTCCGCCTGTCACAGGCATGCCACTGTGGTCTCTCCAAATAATCTTGGAAGAGGAGCTATGCCAATTCTGTTCCCTGAGATTAGGCCTCCCCAGGGACAGGCCCCTCTTCTCTGCCTCCCCACCCATTCACCCAAAAAATCAACTTCACCTCCAGATCTAGCTCTGACCTTGTAAGCCAGCCAGCCTACCACTCCCACCCTACCCCTACGTGCCTGGCTTTGGGAAGACCTGAGGCCAAGGGACCACCCCTGGGAAGGGTCTTCTCTCAGAGGACCCCTTGGGCTGCCTTCTGTCTCCTAGGGAAGGAGGCTGGGGGCCCCCCTCACCAGCTTTTCCCTGCCTTGAGGTGCTCACTGCCTCACTCCCTTCCACAAGCCAGCCAGCCAGGCGGGCAGCAGCTGAAAAATATGGGTTTTAATTCAATTTTCTGAGACGTGGCTGAGGGAGATGGATGCCAGGCCACCCTACCCAGCATTCATCTTTCCTAAGCAACAGTTTCCTCCCTGACTACAGGGCTCCCACCCCAGCCCACCCCACTCTACCCCACCCCACTCCAGCTTTTACGCTGCTCAGGCAAGAACAGCACACACAAGGACCCAGGTGCTTTATTGTAGACAGCTGACATCGACCGAATGCTCACCATGTCTTGCACCAGTGCTTGTCAACCCTCCGGGCGCTACAGAATCCCCCCGGGGAGCTTTTAAAAAATACCTACACCCAGGCCTCACCACCCAAGATAATTAGACAATTGGTCCATGGTGAGGCCTGGGCAAGAGAATGTTTTACAACTCCCCAGGGGATGCTAATGTGCAGCCATGGTTAGGCACCCCTGTCGTCAGCCCTTTGCTAATACTTTGCGGGCAAGCATCCCAAGATAGCATGCTCGTATGTCCAGAACAGGTTAGAAGTGTGCTGAGTTGCTGGTCCCTCAGCCTCCTGGGCAGCCATAAGCAGCCTTTTCCACTTTCCTCAGGAGACATATAAATGTTTTCATTTTCCACAGGCACCAGGGTATGGAAAGGCTGGGAAGTAACTGCCTTTTGTGCATTGGCCCATTTAATCCCTGTTTGGGGAATGGTGTGAGCCTTGAATGCCAGACTGTGAAATAGCGTTTCTGTCTATGGGAAAGCTTCATTCAGAATGCCCTCCGGTCTGCTACATCTGCACTGGGGTCAGATGGCCAGAGAGACTCTGAGAAGCCCCAGGTGCCTCAGAGAGTGCTCCCTGGAAGGCCTGGAAGCATCAGCATCAGAATAGAGCAAGCAACAGAGAGGCCTTGGAAAGCTCAGCCCCCCTAAGCTGGGTAAGCCATGCCCATTGCCCCACTAAGGCCCTTTGTCCCTGAACGCACAGGCTCCAGAGACATTCCAGTGGCAGGGCTGAGTTCCCTGGGAGAACACCCACCCCAGAAGCAGGCCCTAGAAGGTCAAGTGCACTCCTTTCCCCTGATGTCTCATAGAGGAGCCAGGAGGTAGCATCCTCATCAGATGAACCAATGCCATCTAGAACCTTTTCAGTCACCCCATGGACCCTGGTCCCCAGGACGCTTGGAATCCTCTGAGAAACCAAGGGAATGAAGGTTAGGTTGCTTAGATCCATGATTTTCAAACTGTATTCCAAGAGCTCTAGAAATCCTTGAAGCTGCCTCACAAAAAGCCTAGAGTCAAGGAGGAAGGGATACCCATGTTAAGAGATGCCTGGGAGCTCCTCACAGATTAGGCCTGAGTCCTCTCTGTCCCCTACTGACCACAGGGCACAGCAATGGGTGAGGACACGCAAGGGGAGAAGGGCCGTTGGGAGTGGGTGCGGGTGGGGCCAGGAATCAAAGGACTTGGACTCTGAATGCTAAGTGCAGACTTGACCATTTACCACCCCCTTTCACAGATGAAGAAAATGAGGCTCAAGAAACAGAAATGATTTGTTCTGTTATGGGGCTAACTAGTGGCAGAGCTGGGCCAACACACCAGGTCTCTGGGCTTTTAGTCCTGTGCTCTATCCCCAGAAACATGACGTTAGAAGGGAAGACATGCCTCTAGGGAGCTGGAAAGTGTGGGTGTGTTGGGGGTGGGGTGGGTGGAAGAAGTAATTTCTTGAAGCCTGGAGCAATAGCAAGAGACATATGTGAAGCATTAAATGCCCTTAGTCTCTGTCCTTAGTGTACATAAATACCCAAATGCACCCTTATACCCAGATGAGCATATACTCAAATATGCATACTTATTGCTACACACGAGTACACTGTGCACACATGCACACGTGCATTTCCATTTAACATGTATGCCCAGAGGTGCATTCACATACGGTCCAAGTATGTGCATGCACTCAGTTGCGCAGGCCTGCCACACACACACACATACACGCCATCCACAGATCTGGAATAGGAAAGCACATCTTCTCCACCGAGATAGAGATGTTCCCTCTCCTGCAGACTCTCAGGCAGGCAGCAGGCCTGTCTGCAGAGGCATAGCTTCATCGCTGTCAGGCAATTCTTGTCAGAGAGTGAGTGACACTTTCCATTCACCTGCTGTAGTCTCCTCCCAGAGACACAGCTGTTTACTCATGGGAGCTGAGTACCCTCCAGGGCCCCTGGTTGAAGGAGAATGAAATATTTCCATTCTCGCTTCCAAATCTCTATTCACAGGACTTCCTTTTCTTATCTCTACCTGCATCCTCTCCTCCATCTTCTGCACACCCTGGCATTTGTGCATAATATTCGTTGGCTACAGAAGGGACCCTGATGAGTATCCTACAAATAGGCCATATCATGTGTGTTCAGGAGCCACATTGCACATGCCCTGCCGTCTGCACATTTGCTGTCCTCAGTGGTCTGGGTCTAGATACTCTTGGGGTGAACACCGTACCCCCTCTGCCTGTCCCCCCTTGCAGGTGCTGCAGTCAAAGCTAGGTCCCTCCTGCTGTTCCTATAGCTTCCTGGAGCCTGGCTTGACTGCTTTGAAAATAACAGTGTGCTCCAGCTCCACACAAGTCCTGGCTTTAACGCAGGGCCACGGCAAGCATGGAGGTGTGGAAATTACAGATAATTTGTGTGGGAGGAAGCAGCCTGCATGAGGCAGGGATACAGCCTTTCCCAGAAAAGCAGCTCAGGATAATATGGGGCCTGTGACAGCCTGAGCCCTGACTCGGTGTCATGCAAATGATGCCGATAATTATATTAAAAGTAGGGCCAACAGAACAATCTTTGATGACCAACTTTGGGAACAGGTTGGCAGCTGATGAAACAATATTTTGCCATGGGTGATGGGAGGACTGTCTGTGAGAAATTCATTGAGGCACCCAGGGCTTTAGTCCCAAATCAGGGGCTGGGAAGGTTAGTGTGAGCCGGCAGGATGGGGCTGGCCCAAGGCCTTGCATACATTCAAGGGCCCTATAACAAGTTACAGCAAACAGTGGCTTAAACAAGCACACATTGTTTATCCCACCATTCCCATGGGTCAGAGTCTCCTGCTCAAAGTCTTATAATGCTACAGTCAAAGTGAGCCAGGCCTGGGGTCTCATCTGAGGATTAGGGTCCCCTCCCAAGGTTGTTAGCAGAATTCTGTTCCTTGTGGTTGTAGGACTCAGGCCCTGAGCTTCTAGAGGTCACCCACCATTTGCCGCCTCATAGTTTTCTCCACTCATGGCAGTGTGGTTTGTCAAGGCCACAGGAGAGAGACCCCACTGCTTCTCCATCCTGGATTTCTAGGCCCTCTTCTTTTTTTTTTTCTTTTATTATACTTTAAGTTCTAGGATACATGTGCACAATGTGCAGGTTTGTTACATAGATATACATGTGCCATGTTGGTTTGCTGCATCCATCAACTCCTCATTTACATTAGGTATTTCTCCTAATGCTATCCCTCCCCCAGCCCCCCACCTCCTGACAGGCCCCAGTGTGTGATGCTCCCCGCCCTGTGTCCATGTGTTCTCATTGTTCAATTCCCACCTATGAGTGAGAACATATGGTGTTTGGTTTTCTGTCCTTGTGATAGTTTGCTTAGAATGATGATTTCCAGCTTCATCCATGTCCCTGCAAAGGACATGAACTCATCCTTTTGTATGGTTGATAGTATTCCACGATGTATATGTGCCACATTTTCTTAATCCAGTCTATCACTGATGGACATTTGGGTTGGTTCCAAGTCTTTGCTATTGTGAATAGTGCCACAATAAACACATGTGTGCATGTATCTTTATAGCAGCATGATTTATAATCCTTTGGGTATATACCCAGCAATGGGATTGCTGGGTCAAATGGTATTTCTAGTTCTAGATCCTTGAGGAATCGCCACATTGTCTTCCACAATGGTTGAACTAATTTACACTCCCACCAGCAGTGTAAAAGCTTTCTCTAGGCCCTCTTCTAACGGGCTCATGTAATTAGCTCAAGTCCTCTTAGGATCATCTCTCTTTAGATAAACTTGAAGACAACTCATTAGAGTTTTTAATAACATCCACAGAATCCCTTCCCCTCTGCCGCATAACTGGCCTGATCAGGAGATCAAAACCCCATCTTATCTATAGGTCCTGCCCACAGTCAAGAGGAAGGACTTGTACGGGCTTGTATTCTAGGGGGCAGGAACCTTGGGGACCTTAGAAGCCAGTCTACTACGGTCCCCCCATTCTAGCCTGGAATGTGACAGCTGGGGGCAACCCATTGACCAAGCTCCCTGAGGAGCTCCCTGGAATGTGAGAGCCCATGTCAGTCTTATTCCACCTCCAGGGCTGGGCATAAAGTCAGTGCTCAGGAAATATTTATTGATTGAGTAAGTGAGTAACCCATCCCTACCTCCATAGTACCTTGATGGGGAAACTGAGGCCCAGAGAAGGGAAAGAACTGTTTTAAGTCATTCAAAGCAACAGATGACAAAACAAAACAGTAATAAGCACTACAATTTACTGAGGCCCCATGCTCGGCTATCTTGCTAGCTTGCCTCCCTAGATTGTTGTAAAGCTGTGATTAGGAATTATGATTATCCCAGGTTTACAGATAAAGAAACCAAGTCTTGGAGAGGTGAAACAACTCATCCAAAGATGCTTCTAGCTCTCTCTGTCTCGGCTCCACCCTGATGTCCCAGATGCTCCCTTTTCTATGTGCCATTGTCTGTGTCTGCAAGCAGGACAGACTGAGTGCAGGGTCAGGAGACCAGGCATGCAGGGAGGGCCAGGGGCTCCTGGACGTATCCTCCCTCTCATGCCTCTGCCCAGTCCCGCTTCCTTCCCGGGGGAATTAAGTCCTCATTCTGTTTCACACTGGGACAGGGCCACCCACGGGGGAGAGAGGTGTTTCTAATTACTCATAATTAGCCAGCCTGATTAGTCCTGTCATGAGGGATTGTCTCTTCCAGCTTTTTCTTTTGTGTTCTGAGAACACTTCTCTGTTAAGGAGGGGATCCATCTGCAGTGGCCAGGGAGGAGAGGACACACAGGAATTTGACTGGAGCCAGCAAAGGGGTCTTTGTATGCCCACACCAATAAGCATCTCTCTGAGCCTTCCCCTCCCACCAGGTGCCCCTGGAAAACCTTCCTCCAGCCCCCCAGCACAGAGAACACTAGTCCACCTTATTGGAAGAAGGAACCTGGCTCAATCCCTGAGGGACACGTCTGCCCCACCTCCCTTCCCCAGATATCCATATCCGTCACCCCCTCACCTTCTTTAAGTATCTGTTTGAAGGTCCTTACCCGCCCTATGTAAGCTACACCCTCCATCACTTTCCACCCCTAACCCTGCCCAGTGGTTGCCCATAGGTTTTGGAGCTAGATTATTGGGTTCAAATCCTGGCTTTGCCATTTGGACAAGTTATTTAACCTGCTGTGCTTCAGTTCCTTCATCTATTCAGTGGGATTGAACCATCGCATCTACCTTTTAATGTTAGTGTAAGATTTAAATAAGTGAATGCATGTAAAGCATTTAGAACAGTACCTAGCACAGAATAAGTACAATATAGTATCAATTATTCATTTTTAGCTCTTTTTCTTCATAGATCTGACATGTAGCATACTGTCTGTCAGTTTGTTTCAGATCTGTCTCCCCTAGGTGAATGCGAGCTGCTTGAGGGCAGGGTCCTTCTTTGCTCAATGCTCTGTCCCCTGTGCTTAGAGTTGCTTAGAGCAGCTTAGAGCAGCTAATAGTGTTTGTTGAGTTGGTGAATGAATCCCACCTTCCCTGTCTCCAGATAGCAGGTTCATTCTTCTCTTCACCCTCAGAAACTGCAATTTAAAGACAACAAAAATGCATCTTCCATGTCCCCATCATCTCTTAACCCCTCTCACCCTGATTTATGGCCACAGACTCCGTTTCTGGAATCATAGACTCCCCTGAAATACAATAACTCAATTCTAGAATACAATTAAATGGTCTGAGGCCCATGTCGCAAAGTCCTGGAATTCTAGAATTCATGGAGTCCTAGAGTGGACTCCAGGACTTGAGAATTCCAGAATGAAACTCTGCAATCTTCAAATGTAATCTGAGGATTGCTGGTAGTAGGACCTAGGAATCTTGGAAAGGAAGCCCAGAATTTCAGAAGACAGGCTTGTAATCGGATCACTGGGAGAATCTGGTGAAACCAGCTGGCTTCCTTTCACTGGCTTTTTTTGCAGTGATAAAAAGGCAAGTGGTGCTTGTGTGTGCTCAGAGCCGAGGGGCAGGGTGAGGGGCCAGGATGGCGGTGGGAAAAGAGCTCCCCTGTGAGTGTTGCTAGGCACCGGCACCAGGGAAGGAGAGGACAATGGGGCTGGCCTGGCCGGGGTAGGTAGAGCCGAGGGCTGAATCCTGATCAGAATGCTGGGGGAGGAAGGGAGGGAGGGCTTCGGGGCGGCATGCAGGGAGGCGGGCATAGCCAGCCCTAATCCCATTACAGCTGCTCATCCAGCTGCCAGGGCTGGCAGGCATCAGGCCTTGGCTATGCCCTCCCCTCCTCCAATTGTGGGCTCAGGCAGCAGAGGGCTTTGGATTCAAAAGTTTATCCACCTTGTTCTGAAGTCCCTACCCCAGAGCAGGAGTGTGGCTGTGCCTTGAGCCCGGGCAAACTTAGGGCTAAAAGTAGGGTGGTGATAAGCAGGGGCTGGAGGGTGGAGGAATCCCTCAAGGATAGATAAAATGGGCGTACTTTGTAAGAAATTTTGGACATATGACAGAAGTTCAACTAATGACCTTGACACTAGTTCTACCCAAAGAACTAACTCAACCCCAGCCAGAGCTTCGGCCCAGGTCAGACATTCAACCCTGACTCCATCTCAGTTTGGCCTCTAATCCCAGCCTCAGAACAAGTTCCTGCTCTGGTCACAGACTGATCTTTAACCCTAACTCAAGGCAGAGTACTCATCCCAACTACAGATTCCTCCAAAAATGATGCTTAGATGAGCCCACAGATCACTGAAAACAGGATTCATCTTAAAAAGTTCAAAAGACCAGTGGACTTCCTTAAACTGGTCAAATGGAGCCCCCTAAACATGCTGGCTTATGGAAACCTACAGCTGCAAAAACTTGAGCTGCAGTCCTTGTCAAAGCCCACAGCAAGCTGACTCATCCCCTTCCTGATGGAGGAGAGTCTTCTGCTCCAGGAACAGTTCCGCTCCAAACCCTGAGTTCTTCCCAATATGGGAAAGAGTATCTGGAAGGAGGTTGGTGGACCAGGCAGTTAATTTGACCCAGAGTCAAGACACAGGGAACAGTGTCTTGGGGATGGAATTGGCAAAGTTGGAGGTGATGCTGATTGTGGTGGTGGGTGAGTGATCCTGGAGGTGGCCCTGGTGGTGTTGGAGGTGGAGATGCAGACTTTGATGATGTTAACAAATGGAGATGGAGCTACAGATGAATATTCCTAAACCCAGCAGTAGCCACATACCCATGTCGGTCTTTCAACTTTTCTTTTCTCTCATTGTTTTTCCTTCATGAGTCTGGAAATTTTTAGGAGGAATTTTGTAACAATCGAAATAACAAATCTGAGTCTGCGTGTTCCCTTTTTCTCCTTTTAGCATCTCCAAGGTGGAGGAAGAGTTACCTTCTTCCCGCCAGTATGGCTGCACAGCAGAGCCGGAGGCTTCCCCCTTAGACACTTGGTCTGACACACCTGCTCACTCCCAGAAGTTCAAGGGAGTTCTCTCTGGGAAGGAAGGATGGACCCTCTCGGAGCTCCAATCCTCTGCTCCTTCCTGATGCTTCTGCCACCTGACCCCATGTTCACTTCTCAAGGAGGGCAGCACGGCAGGTGTGTTAATCAGGACACTTCTTTATTGGTAGGCTGCCCTTTGCCACACAAACCATTTAGCATCCTACATGGTTAGCATTCTAGACCTTGGTCCTAAATGCTAATGTCATTGCCCAGTCACTGTGACATTCAAAACACCCCCACACATTGCCCACCCTTTACCCCTTTGAGAACTATCTTGAGAGATTGTCCATGAAAGACTTGCAAAGAGAGTGGCCTCAAACCTGTTTAGCCAACATTATCCCACACCCCCACCCCTACATGCAGGTAATAGAAGGTGAGGACTTTAGAAAGTGAAAACCTCTGAGGATACATTTCTTGGGGACATCCAAGCAAGGCAGGTAGGAAGGGAATCTTCCTGTCACCTCAATCAAGTAAAAGGAGCTTGAAAGACTCTTTGGAGATCTTGGAAAGTTTCCCCTGAAATTGGGTGACTCAGGGATGGGCAGCTGACTGCACAGTGACACATCCCAGAGTGAGGTGTAGGAAGAACAATGGACAGTTTGGGGGATAAGGTGCTAGAAGAAGCGCAGTGTGAAAAGCAGTTGGAAGGTGAGCAGGACCAGATTATGGCCGTGAATGCCAGGCCAAGGGATTGAATTTATTCTTGGAGGATACAAAGCCAGGGAAGAGCTTAGAGCAAGGAATGTTAAGCAGGATAGCTTGGGCTGCAGGATGGAGGATGTATTGGAGACGGGGAGATCAACTGGGAACCTACTGAAACAGTCCAGAGGGCAGATGGTGAAAGGCTGAGCAGTGGCCACAGATAGAAAAGGACAGGGCTGGATCTGAGAAGAGAATAAGATAAATGAATGGGAACCATTTTTGAAAACTCCAAGGGCAGGACCCATAAGAATAATTTTTGTTATTGTTTTTAATCATATTTTTAAAAAAGAAGAAAAATAGGGAAAATCTCTAGAGAATAAATACCTTGAGCCATTATTAGTCATTAACATTTTAGCACAAATTCAATGATTCATCCACACAGCAATTAAAAATTAGCGCAGTCAGGGCACTAAAGAATGGACACTAGGTGGGGTGAGGAAAAAGGAAAATGTACCACCAGGAAAATGAAAGATCTAGGTGGGAATAAATCAGGACACCTAGATTTGGAGTTGCTGATACAGACAGAAGCAATAAGAAGGCGTGTCAGACAGACAGCTCTAGGCTGGAAGTCTAGAGAACTGAGTTCACTTATATGTCCCCCTTCCACAACCTACCAGCCAGCCTTAGGATTCTGGTAAGTCACTTAACTTCTCAGAGTCTCCATTTTCTCATTTATAACTCAGGGATGATACTATCTATCTCACAGGGTCAAGTTCTGTAAAGGACCTGTTAAACTGCGAAGCTCTGTGAATTCCACCAGATGGCTGAAAGTCATCCTTGGAAATTGTTCCCCATTACCATTCACTGACTTGCAGCCAGGCCATCAGCTACCTGTCTCCTTAAAATTAGTTTAGTCTCTTCCAAGGAAAGCTTGATTAGTCTTAACATGTACAAGATGGGAAGGACAAAAGAAAGCAAGTGAGAATTCGTGCAGCTAAACATCACATTTACCAGAAACCCCTTTGTGGACCTCAGTTTCCCTGTCTGTCCAAGGGGAGTGACAATGCCTATCCCCATTATTTACAGAGAATCCAAGGAGATAGCCCCATTCCTGTAAACATTTTTTTTTTGGAGGGGTGGGATGGAGTCTTGCTCTGTCACCCACGCTGGAGTGCAGTGGCGCAATCTCGGCTGACTACAAGCTCTGCTTCCTGGGTTCATGCCATTCTCCTGCCTCAGCCTTCCAAGTAACTGGGACTACAGGCACCCACTACCACACCTGGCTAATTTTTTGTATTTTTAGTAGAGATGGGGTTTCACCGTGTTAGCCAGGATGGTCTCGATCTCCTGACCTCGTGATCCACCTGCCTCAGCCTCCCAAAGTGCTGGGACTACAGGCGTGAGCCACCGCGCCTGGCCACCTCTAAACTTTTTTAAGCAAAGGGACTATAGTCTTTCTTTTCATTTCTTGCCACTCACTAGCTGTGATCTTGTTTTTAATTTTTTATTGCCTCAGTTTTCCCAGCTGTAAAATGTGAAGAATAATGGCACATAGGGTTGCTGTGAAGATTAAGTGTGTTTAAATGTTATAATGCCTAGGATGGTATTTGGTGTGAATCTACCTTATAAACAGTAGCTATTACTACTGCCACTACTCTGCCACTACCACAGCCATCATCACCCATCCCACAGGCCTGGTATTCAGTGGACATTCCATGAGTGTTTGCTGAGCTAGACTGCTCATGGATTTGAACTTGTGGTGGGAAGTGTGCAATGTTACACAGGAGGGGGAGCACAGATCCAGTCCTCCTGTGCTCACTGTGCTTGCTACTCAGAACCTTGGCTTCCTTGACCATCTGAAGGGCTCAGAACAGGACCTTTCAAGATTAGAATTCAGTAAGAATTAGAGTAGCTCCCAGTTCCCAGATTCCTTCCATCTAATGTCAGACACATGCCAAGACCTTCTGAATGGCTGCCCTCTTAGCAGCCTTGACCCTTGATAACCTGGGTCCAGATCAAGAATCCAATGTCAGCTGGTTGAAATAGGACATCTCCCCAGAGGTCCAGAGCCATGTCCAGCACCTGTTGACCCCAGTGGCTTCACAGACACATCCAGCTCGGTCTTTGCAACACTGGACACAGGATCTGCACCCGCCGTGTTCCACCTCCACAGATGGTACCACATTCATCTCCTGGGTAAACTGGAAACCTGGGAGTCATTCTTCATACTTCTCCAGCCCTCATGATTCACCTGAGCAACGAGCATTTAGCACAGGCTTCCTGTGGGCCAGGCACAGTGCCAACCACTGAGGTCGCAATGGTCCCTGCCCTCCTGAAGCTTATAGTCAGATGCAGTACACAGAATTGAAACAATAATCACACAAATAATGTAAAACAACCTGTGATAGTGAAATAAAGAATAGAATGCCATAAACCTATGTAACAAGACATCCTGATCTTACCCAAGGGTCAGGGAGGCTTCCCAAAGAAATAGTCAGTTTATCTCAGATCTGAAGAACAAGTAAAGGGAGCTGGGAGTTGGGTGGGCACAGAGAGGGTGGGGATACTGCAGAAGAGTAAGAAACAAGAGCAAGCTGTGAGTAGAGAGGGAGGCACCAAGCACTCAACCCACTGGACTCAGACCAGCATGGCTGGAGGACAGAGAGCAAGGGAGAGAGGTTGGATTTGAGGCCGGAGGGCCAGGTCAGGCCCAGGGCCCATCAAGGCCTGGGGCTTTACCTCAGACTAGTGGGAAGCTGCTGAACACATGAGGAAGCCTCATTTGCATTTTAAAAATATCACCCAGGATGCAGGGGAAAAATCGGATTGAAGGATGCAGGGAAATCAATAAGGAAGCTTGTTGCAGTAGGTGAGGCAAAAGACTATGGTTTTGACTAATGGAATGGTGGGAGAGGTAGAGAGAGATGGAGGAACTGGAGACCACCTTAGGAGATAAAGCCAGCAGGACTACAGTTCCCAGATTCCCTTGCAGCCAGGTGTGAGTCGTGACTAAATTCAGGGCAGTGGGGTGTGAGCAGGAGTGATAGGAACAACATCTAGTTTGTGCCTCTGAAGGGAGGGGTATGGCCTCCACTTTCCCTTTTCTCTCCCCACTGGCTGGAATGGCGACGCGATGGTGGGAACTAGGGCAACAATCTTGGGCAAAGAGGAGGAAGCTGCTTTGTAAGGAGAGCAAAGCCATGTGACTTAGCAGGAGCCCCCCACGCCCACCCAACCCCACCGCTGCCCAAACCCGTGATTACGGAACTGGCATACCAGCCCTGAATTGCCTACTCACATTTTTATGTGAGGAAGAAAGCAATTTCTATTTTGTTTGGGCACTGCTATTTTGGGTCTCTCTGCTACAGCTGCTGAATCAAATATTCACAGAGTGGTGGATTACACATGAAGATGATGGAAAAGAGAGGGAAGGCCGGCTGGTCCTAAGGTCCCTGTCTTACACCACTGGATGTGCGGTGGTCATGTTCATTGACACAGGGAGTCCTGGTCAGAGAAACAGGCTTTGAGATGGAGCGAGGCAGTGGTGGTAGAGATTATGACTTGGGCAAGTAAGTTGGAGGTACCTTGAGGGGAACACAGGGAGAAACATCAAGGGAGCAGGCAGGGTGCTCAGAAGAGAGATGGGAGTTGGAAGAAAGTGCAATCAGAGGGTGAATTAATCTGCGGTTCTCAACTCTGACTGCACAGGAGAACTTGGTAAATCCTGACACCTCGGTCCCAACCCAGAGATTCTGAGTTTATCAGGTCTGGGAAGGGGGCCTGGCATGGACATGTTTTTAAAAGCTCCCCAGGTGATTCTAGCATGCAGCCAGGGCTGAGAACCACTGGTATGGATGGTAATTGAAATCATGGGAGTGGATAAGATGGCCCAGGGAGGAAGGATAGAGTGAGAAATGAATCAGTCTTCAGGTCTCATCAATTGCAGTGCCTCTCACATCTCCTGGGCCCTGCTGGGATGTGAGAAAGAGCGGGTGACACGTAGCAACTGTCCAGCCATCCCCAGCACAGTCCCCATATGGACTGTGGCAAGGAAAGCCAGATAGGAAGCACAGTAGTCCTCTCAGACAGGGCCTTGGAGTGACAGCACTGCTCTGTCTCCTCCCTCCCTCCCAGGGCTGCCTCCTGGCCACTAGGAAGCTGCTCTGGTCTTCACAGCTGACCTGGCCACAGGCTGACAGGGAGTGAGCTCCACTCGCCCTCCTGGGAAGGAGCCCCTGCCCAGGGCAAGACCACAAATGTCTGTCACTGCAGCTGATGGCCCTGTCTTCAAGTGCCAGGTCAGGCTGCACTGCAAACACACAGATGAGCACTCAGGGACATCTACCACTTACTTATTATCTGACCAGCCAGTTTTTTTGTTTGTTTTCCTGGACCTCAACTTGCTCATCTATAAAATGGAATAGCTATGCTCAACACTACCAAGAAGGTAGGTTTTTCGTGAGCATCAAAGTCATTAATGAGACAATAAGAATTTATGAAGTACCTTTCACTGGACCTACCTCTACTGTTCTTTGGATTAGAGTGGACAGAAGAGCAAGAGAGAGAGACAGAGAGATGAAGGGGTCTATAAAGTCCCTGCTGCTCTTAGGGAGCTTACAGAAGAATGTGCCAGACACGAGTGAAAGCCCAGAAGGGAAAAAGCCCATAGCATTTAGGTCAGGAGGAGGCCGTGATTTACAGAGCTAGGGCCAGTGGGAAAGGGAGGATGCAGGGAGGCCCACCAGAAGGATTTTCCAAAGGGTCATCCAGACCCAGTTTTGAATGTCAGCGTTGCCACCCTCTGGTTATGTGCCACTGGGAAAGTTACTAATTGCTTATCCTTTCTGAGCCTGTTTCTTCATCTACAGATTACTCAGCTAATGCCTAGAATATAGTAGTAGTCAATAGTAAATATTAGTTACTTTTGTTGTTAGCAGGATTATACCAAATTCAGAGGGCTGTGAGTAAACTTGCAAAAAATCTGACCTAGATTAGATGTTCACAATATATTTGTTCCTCTTCTTCATTTAAATTTAATCATGTAAACCTTCAGTGTGGCCCAAGTATAGCCCCAGAAGACTGTCAACGTGCTGTAACAGTGAGATGTCCAGCAGCTTTGTGGCTTGTAGGGGTGAGGACTTTGTGAGACAGAGCTGGGCTGACCATCCACAAGTGTGAGCAGCTGGTTATCCACCTAGGCTGCTAGGATCAGATGTGAAAGAGCAGACACAGGGCTAGGAGGACCTGTCTGACACAGGGAAAGTCTAGAGAGAATCATGCCTGTGGTGGGTGGGTGTGGGAGGCACCCACTGGGCAGGAGCACTATGGGAATGGGGAGGAAAGGAAAGCCTAGAAGAAAACATTTATTGGATGGGTAGTACTGTGGTCTGAACGTGTCCCCCAGAATTCATTTGTTGAAACTTAATTGCCAATGTGATAGTACTAAGAGGTGGGACCTTTAGGAGGTGATTAAGTCATGAGGGTGGAGCCCTCATGAATGGGATTAGTTACCTTATAAAAGAGGTTGAAGGGGGTGCCCTAGTCCTTTTTGCCCTCTGCCTTCCACCACAGGAGGACACAGCAGCAAGGCATCATCTTAGAAGCAGAGAGCCAGGCTTCACCAGACCCCGAATCTTCCAGTGCCTTACTCTTGGACTTTCAGCCTCCAGAACTGTGAGGAATAAATTTTCATTATTTGGAAATGACCCAGCCTCAAGTATTTTGTTATAGCAGCACAAATGACTAAGGCAGGTGGGTAGATGTATGGATGAATAGGTGGGCTCCTGGATCCCATGTCCAGGCAGACTTGGATAATTGGCTGCTGAGCCCCTACCCTGATGCCTACTGGTTCTCCAGCCCCTCCTTCTTCCCCTGCTGCTGTGCCTCTGGGACCAGGATTGCCTATCCTGCCCTGTAGGAATTGCTCTCCCAGTGTCTGTACTGTGGCCACCACCCAGATCCTTGAGTTGAAAGATTCTCCCAGGGCTGGCTGCAACCTCAGCTCCCAGTCCCTCCACTGGGACACACTGGCAGGTCCTAAGTAACTTCAAGGAGTCTTCCATTTCCCATCTGCCCAGGCCCTGCTCTTTCCTTCTTTGGGGTCGAGGGGAGCAGGGAGAATCTCAATCTGAGGTTGTGTTTCCCTGTGCTCTGCCCAGCTACCTTAAGGGAGTTGCCTGACTTCCTCTCCCAGCACCTGGCCTGCCTTCTTGGTGACCAAGCCTCCACCTCTGTGTTCAGAGCCTGGCCAAGGTGTTGAAGTGCCCTTCATGGGGTCTTGGAGTTCTCAGAGAAGATGCCAGCCTGATCTGAGTGTCCCTGAGGCCCCTTTGTGGTTCAAGGGCTTTCAAACATCGAGGCCAATGAGCTTGTTCTCCGGGCTGCGACCTGAGCCTGGCCTCTCCACAGGGGTTGGCCCTGGGAGGTAAGAGAGAGGCAACTTCTGCCTGTTTGATTTGGGGCCCAGGGCACAATTAGTTGAGGCTCCTGAAAGTTCTGGCACATGGATAGAGCTTCACCCATGTTTGCTGAATAAATTATACCTGGAAGGGACCTTAAACACCATCTGATCCAAGCCCCTTTATTTTTTAGACAAGAGGGTGAAAAGTACTAACCTGCTGGGAGTAGAACACATGATGGGTGGTTCCTTCTTCTCCCTGTAGAAGGCTGTTCCCTTAGCACATTCCTCTCAGAACACAAAGCTAGGTTGGACTTGTGCACCTCTCCTCCAGCAGGACACATTCTCTCTCAGCCAACAACACATCCACTCTAGGTGTTTGCCTCTGACAGTGATCCTAAGGTGCTCTCCTGCCATAGGTACCCTAGTGATGCAGGAGGCAGCCTCCATGCCCCAAAGACATGAACTGTGGATGATGGAATCTCAGACAGAAGCCCTCCTTGTTAACATCACCCCCACTGGCCAGCCCCCATGGGTGTGAGTGACCAGAAGATCCCAGCCACTCAGCAGAAGTAGAAGCAATTGGACTGCAGAAATCCATGAAAGAGAATGGATTTTCTTACTATGTGCAGAGTCTTTAATTTCCTGTGTTTGCCCCCAGAGGGCTTTTTCATCGACAAAGCACTTGGTTCTGCGGGCAGTGTGGTTGAAGGCAAGCTGCTGATGGGGAAATTAGTGACAGGGAACGCACAGAGGCTGGTAAGCTGGAATGGCAGATCCAAGGAGGAGGTGGGAGAGACAAAACCAGGCTGGGGCTGGAGGTGGGGGGTGCCCAAGGTAGCCAAGAGTGGGCAGACTGAGGACAAAAGCCAGGTCGAGTGGTGCCAGGATCCAGGTGGCAGTGAGCAGATGCCAGACCAGAAACACGTGCTGCAGAGAACAGATTCCTGGAGACAGAGACCTTGTGAATCAGCTGAGAGACAGCTGGAGTGAGGGATGGGGGCCAACTGGAAGCTTCTAGTGCCAGGGTCATGACACAAAAAGCTCAGATCAGAGTTTCTACCCACCTCTCCCCTCATGTCCTGAACCCCAAACTCTGTCAGAGCCCAGAGCTGAATGTGTGGGGCTTTTACAAGGTGGAGAAACTTCTCTTATGGCCTAAGAAAGAAGGCGTAGTCTAGGGGAGATAGGGTTGACATGTTTAAGAGAGATCAGGGGAGGGAGTCCCCCATCCACCCATTGTGGGCCTGATTCTCCCTAGACCTTCCCTGTGTCTTTTGTCTTCACCCAAAAGAAGGATATGTAGGAGCTAAGTTTATCTTAAGTACAGAAGTCACTTTGAAGCAGGTAGGGTTAGCTGCTTCAAATGAGCCACCTGGGCCACCCTGCCCACACCTCAGGGCCTTCCTCTTGCCTCAGCTGGGCCACTTGACACTCTCCTGCTCCTCCGTGTCTTTTCAGGAGGAGCCTAGCTGAAATGCCTAGCTGCAGGGGCTCAGCATGAAGCTGGCCAACCTGCAGGCCTTGGGCCCAGAAATGAGCCCAGCTCCCCAGATGCCCTACCTTGGGTCAATGAGCCCTGCTGCTATCTTGCTCCAACCAGCCAGAGGCTCACAGGCAAAATGTGAGTGAGCCTGGAAACTGACCACACCCTCCCACTTGAGATACTTCTTCTCATGCCTGGTCTTCCTTTTGCCTCACTGGAGTCTCTCTCCCAGCCTCCTGCATTGATCCTTCTCCATGGCTCATCCTCTAACTGCTGGTGTGCTTCAGGCTCTGTCTTAGCAACCTTCTCTCCAACATCTACAATTTCTCTAGGTGATCACATTCCTCATGGCTTTAAATTCTGTCAATGTACTAAGGCTGACCCCCAAATGTCTCTCTCCACCCCTGGTGTCTCTCTGCAAATCCAGCTGCTTTCTTATATGTCTATAGTCATCTCAAACTTAGCAGGACCGACACAGAACTCTGCAGCTCTTCTTCCAAGGCTATACCACCCCCAGCTTCCCCATCTCAGCCAAAGACATCACCCCCCACCTCGCTGTTCACAGCAAAGCCCTACTGAGTGTTCTTGCCTTCTTCCCTTCCCTTACACATCACCACGCCCACTCCATCTGTGAGTCCTGAGGAGCCCCTGCGGACCCTGAACCATCTCCCCTCTCTCCATGTGTTAGTCCATTTTGTATTGCTATAAAGGAGTACCTGAGGCTGGGTAATTTCTAAAGAAAAGAGGTTTATTTGGCTCTCAGTTCTGCAGGTTGTAAAAGAAGCATGGCATCAGCACCTGCTTCTGGTGAGGCCTCAGGAAGCTTCCTGTCATGGCGGAAGGGGAAGGAGGAGCAAGCGTGTCACATGGCGAGGGAGGGAGCAAGAGAGAGAGGAGGAAATGCCAGGTACCTTGAAATAACCAGCCTCCAAGTGAACTAACAGAGCCAGAACTCACTCATTACCATGGGGAGGCCATGGAGCCATTCATGTGGGATCTGCCCCCATGACACAAACACCTCCCACCAGGCCCCACCTCTAACATTGAGGATCACATTTCAACATGAGATTTGGAGGGAACGAACATCCAAACTCTATCACTCTGTCGCCACCATTTTCATCATAGCCAAGCCACCATCCTCAGGACATCCAGACCCTGGAACCAACTCTATGCTTACTCCCTGTGTGGCCTTGGGCAGGTTACTTAACCTCTCAGGGCCATAGCCCCCTCATATATAAGCCGAAAAATAGTAACAATATCTCCCTTATGAGATTGTTGTGAAAACTAAGTGACGTGCATAAAACAGAACAGTGCTGGGACATAGGAACTGGTACGATGAGTATTATCACTAGTCAACTCAATGCTGGGCAACAGAAACATAATTTGCGATCCATAAATGGGAGCTATATATGGAGTTTTAAAAGTTCCACATTATTAAAAAAAACAAGTGGAATTAATTTTAATGATATATTTTATTTAACCCAATATATACAAAATTTTATCATTTAAAAATGTAATCCATATAAAAACACAAGTGAGATATTTTATTCTTTGTATTGTGCTGAGTCTGAAATCTGATATTTTATACTCACAGCACTTCAGTTGGACTAGCCACATTTCAGGTTTTTGTTTTGTTTTTTGAGATGAAGTCTTGCTCTGTCACCCAGCCTGGGGTACAGTGGCACCATCACTGCAACCTCCACCTCCCGGGTTCAAGCAGTTCTCCTGCCTCAGCCTCCCAAGTAGCTGGGATTATAGGCACACACTACCATGCCCGGCTAATTTTTATTTTTAGTGGAGATGGGGTTTCGTCATGTTGGTCAGGCTGGTCTCAAACTCCTGACCTCAAATAATCCACCCACCTCGGCCTCCCAAAGTGCTGGGATTACAGACATGAGCCACCACGCCCGACCACTTCAGGTATTCAAAAGCCACATGTGGCCAGTGGCTACTGCATTCAGCACAGGTCTAAGTAGTTGTGCTGCTTCCCTTCTTCCTGTACAGTAGTTTCTCAACCTCTGCACCGTTGACATTTTTTTTTTTTTTTTTTTTTTTTTTTTTTTGAGACGGAGTCTCGCTCTGTTGCCCAGGCCGGACTGCGGACTGCAATGGCGCAATCTCGGCTCACTGCAAGCTCCGCTTCCTGGGTTCACGCCATTCTCCTGCCTCAGCCTCCCGAGTAGCTGGGACTACAGGCGCCCGCCACCGCGCCCGGCTAATTTTTTGTATTTTTAGTAGAGACGGGGTTTCACCTTGTTAGCCAGGATGGTCTCGATCTCCTGACCTCGTGATCCACCCGCCTCGGCCTCCCAAAGTGCTGGGATTACAGGCGTGAGCCACCGCGCCCGGCCACCGTTGACATTTTGGACAAGCGGTGAAGATAAAATTTGAACCCAGAGTATATATAGAAAGAGCCACAGGCTGGAGTACAGTGACCCTGGGTTATTCTAAAAGAGCAAGGACCCGGGGGACACCAACATCTAGAGCAGAGTTTCTCAACCTCGGTATTACTGACATTTGGGTTCAGATAATTCTTTGTTGGGAGTGGAGAGCTGTCTGCCCTGTGCGTCGCAGAATGTTTAGCAGTGTCCCTGGCCTCTACCCACCAGCTGCCAGTACCACTCCTACCCTCACCCTCTGTTGACATTGCTAAAAATCCCTGGGAGTTGCGAGGATAACACCCGATTGAGAATCATTGTTCTAGAGTCGCTTCTGGGTCAGTTCCTCAAATGGCTTCTCATTGCACTGAGGAAAAAGTCCAGACCCCTCACAGTGGGTGACTGAGTCCCAAGATCTGGCCCCTGCCTCCAGAGTGCATCCCCTCTTCTCTCCTCTGCATCCCCCAGTCCTACCAGCCTCCTTGTTCAGTTCCCGGACAAGGCCACGTTCATGCCTTCAGTGCAATCTTCTCCCACCTGGTCCCTTGACTTGCCCCACTCCTCCCCTTGATGCTTACTTTGCTGATTCCTTCATATCACTCTGTTCTCAGCTTAAAGCTCAGTGGGTCTTGCCAGATACCTACCCCCCACCCCCAAATCTAACATCACCTTTCACCCACCATCCATCCTGTGTTTGAAGTCTTTGCTGTCTGATAATTTTTCTAGGTTACTATTGTCTGACTCTTTCCTCTAAGACACAAGCTCCAAGACCACAGGGACCTTAACTATCTTGATATCACTCTCTTCCCAGCATCCGAAAGAGTGCCAGGCACTGGATAGGTGTTCTCAATTCATATTTGTTGAGTTGAACCCATGCCCTTTCTGTACTGGCCTCTGGGGCTCAGGCTCAAGGTCAGCAAAGCCTTCCCCAGGCAACCATGCCAGGAACCTCCCTTGATTTTCCAGTATTTGGTCAAAGATTCGCTGCCTCTCCAATTCTGCTTGGCAGACTGCTATATACAGCAATTCAGGTTCTGCTCCATTCGATGGCACCCTAGGGAGGTGTGAGGGACTGAAATCCATGCACTGCAGGGCCATGACTGCCAAGAGAGGGCGTCTTTTATTCTAATTCACAAAAGGGGCCCCCGACAACATCCTTGCCTATCTGGCTGCCTGATGGTGCCAGCTGCCCCCTCCCAAGGGAGCTCCCCACTGCAGCAGTTGTGCCTGCTAGTGCTGAAAGCCTCTTGGTCATTTGTGGGACCCAACCTGGATGGGGGAATGCCTGGGTCTCTGCTCTGGACCTGGGGGTCTGCTGTAGGTAGGACAGCACCTCCTTCCCTTATCCTTGGTCTGTGGGTGCTGCCCTCCCTGCCCAGCTACTCACATACAGAAGCAGCAGTCTGCAGGACTCTCTACTCTCTGCACACCCTGCCTTCAACCCCATGTCCCAAGGTCAGCTCCAGCTTCTGTCTCACTCGGGGCAGGGGTGGAATGGTGGCCTCAATGCAGGAGTGGCTGTGATCTAAAACAGAACTGCCCAGCCTCCAGAGCCTGCAAGTCCTGGGAGCGGCAGAAAAAACTACAAGGGCAAAGCCATCCTGGGAGAAGAGTCCTCACCAGTGGCATGGAGTGAGAAGCAGCGGGTGGTTTGGAGCAAATGGCCCTGGAGACATTAGCTAATAAATGCCCTTGAAACATGCACCCTCCAAAGTCCTGCAGTGGCAGTGTGGGCATCTGTCTGAAGGCCATTAGCCATCAAAGCATGTCCATTCCTCAGGCCTCTGTCATCCAGGCTGGGTTCTTGTCTTAGGCCATTAGTCTGGAGGGTCAGAGACCTGGCCCCTCCCATTTGATAGATGGGGAAACTGAGGTCCACGGCTGAGTGTTCTGGGAAGCAGGGGTCACTGAGAGGGCAGTATTGGGAGGATGAGGTGGGAGGGGGCAGCTGGGGCCTCCGAGCTACTTTCCCAGGCCCCCCTGGCTCCGGCGCCCCACCCCTCCCAACTCAGCCTTTGTCTGATTTGCTCCCTGTGACAGCTGGGGAGGCTGGGCCTCACCCTGGCTCCTGCCATCAGCCATCTCTGTGTGGCACTAAAGATCTGTGCAGGAGCCAGGCCCGGCAGCAGGCTTGGCAGGCAGCTCCGCGTTGCCCGGGAGACCACGGAGGAGGAAATCTGCGCCACACGGCTACCGAGGGCCAGATGGCCAGTGGTCCCAGAGGTGCCTCTCCCAGGGGCCACAGCCGCATATACACACTACTGCAGTCCCATGGATGCTGCGGGGCAGACGAGGAAACTGAGGTGCAGGGGGTGAAGGGCAGATTCATGGCCACTGAAGGTGTGTGGCCAGGAGCTGGGGACAGAGCCCGGGCCCTGCCTCCCGCGCCGAGCCCTGATGGCCTCATGAGGCTGCAGCCAAGAACATGGTCAGAGGGGCTCATAGGTGTCTGTGGCCAGGTCTCTCAGGCCCCCACCCAGGCCCCTCTGGGAGCTAAATTTCCCTCTGGAAAGACCTCAGACTCTATCAAAGACCTCTATTAACCCTTGTCCTTGGGAGCAGCTGCCTTGTGTAGGCCCAGAGTCTGAGGAAGGCTCCCAGCTCTGGGTGCATAGGATGTAAGTGGGCAAGCACTGACAGGCAGAGGCTAGGCTCTGTGTTAGGCCCAGTGGGGAGTCAGAAAAGAAGTGCTGAGACTGGGAGGCGGGACCCATAACCAGAGAACCGAGAGCTGGCTGGGCCTTGGAGATGGGAAGTCCACGGGCTTCATTCCACACAGAAGGAAATCAGTTGTGTATTGGGTGAGGGCAGGGTGCAAGTCTCTCAGGAAGGCTGTCTCTGGCCTGGTCGTCCCTCCTTGAAGCGGGACTGGGGGAGAAAGAACAGAAAAGGGCCCACTGCAGCCTGCCTGAAGGTGTCAGGCCTCCTCAGACCTCCAGAGACCCACCCACAGGAGGGGACCCATGATCCTCAGGTGGGCATGGTTATTCCACTCAAGGTGATTCTAACATAGCCGTTCCTCAGCCCTGCTATGTCTGGGATGCAAACCTTCCAGCCCAGTGCCTAGAAATGCTGAGCAGCCCAAGGCCCTGGGGTCCGGCCCTCAGAACAACTGTGACCTGCCTCAGACAGCCCCGAGGCTGGTGGGTGACTCTACCCCTTCTTCCAAAACATGAGTCAGTGAAGAGCCCAGACCTGGGCCTGCGCAAGGGTGGGAAGGTGAGGCTGAGACTCTTAGGGCTGGGAGACGGTGGGGTGGGGCCATCAGGAAGGGATGGGGAAGATGTGGAAGTCTTCCCAGAGAAGGGGAGGGAGAGAGCACAGCCAGCCCTGTCCCCACCTTCTGTGGAACGTCTGGAAATACCCAGCAAAGCTCCAAGCCAGGATCCTGATGGGTCCCTTCCGGTATAGCAGGGGACGGCTTGAAGGTCTTCAGCTCTGGCACTCAAGCATAAATTAAACGGGGAGAGGAGTCGGGCAGCCTCTCAAGGTTCACATAACTAAGCTAAATCACTCTACAGCCCGCTCCTCTTTGGCGCAAACGGAAATCCCCCCCACCTGCTGGAGCTTGTCACGCAGGCAGGGCAGAGTCTGCTCCCTGAGAGCTCGGAGCTGCCTGCAGCCTCCCGCCCCCAGCCCCCGCCTGCTGCCTGAGCTGTCAGCCCGACTCCCAAACAGGCTGATTATCCCCATCTGGGGAAAACAAAACATGTCAGCAGCGGCGCCTGAGAAGAGGGCTGTCTTCTTAGTGAGAAGTAATCTGAGGAAAACTCCCAGCTCTGATCTACAATAGGAAGTGAGTGAGCGACCTTGCTGTTCTTGACATTGCTTTCTCCTGATACGGACACAGGCAGGCCTCCGCCAGCATCACCTCCTCTGAGAAGCCTTCTGGGCCTGGGCTGACCCTGCCCAGGCTCTCTGCAGGGTCCCCTGACCCTCCCAGGGCCCACTGTGAGATTTCAGTCAATGGTCCTCTGTGCGGCCCTAGAGCTTCAGTCTATTTCAGAATGAGACTCTGGGTCACACCGTTTGTTGCTTTGTAGGGATTTTGGAGATGGCTCTAGGCTAGAAGACTTGTGGACTCCTCCAGGAAGAATGTTCCCGTGGAATCGGGAAACCTGGGCAGGCCGTCGGGATGCAGCGCAGCTACAGATCCAGCTTGTCTCCCTTTGGGGAAAAAGATAATCGTGACTTAGACCTTCACACCGCTCACGATTTCCTGTCTCCGTGCTTCCCCATGGGTTCCCACCACCTGGGATACCCTTCAAGCTACCTGGCATGCCTACATTTCTTCTATCTTAGTTGCCCCTAAAACCCCAGTTCAAAAACAAAACCCCAACCCTCCCTAGCTGAAGGGGTCCTCCTGCCTCCAGTGAGCCTTTGCACCTCCAGCTGGCATGGTGTTCATTTGAGGAGATGTCAGCCTGGGCTGCTGTGGTCTCACCTGTCAGCCCCTGGATCCAGCCTAGGGCCAGACATGGTCAATATCCTGGAAACATGCTAAGTGAGTGAAAGTGAAAGTTTCCTCTCTCCCAGCCTGGCCTCTCTCATGGCTTCCACCTCTGTTAGCTGCTATGGCTGCCACCTCCATCTTCTCCCTAATTTATAAGGAGGATCCTTGTCATGACACTTTATCCAGGGCCCTCCTGCCCGTCCTCTTAGGGAGGGAAACTAACATTCCCTAACTCCAACATGCCTTCATCCTGCCATGTAAAATGATAAGTGTTTTACACATTTATCTAATCTAACACTCACAGCAACAATGCTGTATATTTGCTGTAATGTTACCCACCTTACAGATGCAAAAACTGAGGCTCCGAGAAGATACAGACCTGCCCAAGGTCCTTGGTGGCAGAGTGAGGCTCGGTGTTCCAACTCTCTTGTTTCTGAGACAGGGCTCTTTCCTCTGCAATAGGCCACCTCATTCAACCTTCAACCAGAGTTCCAGTGACCAAGCTTCAGACAAAGAGGGCTGCTACTGGGAGAGCCCACACACCACAGCTCCCCTCCAGGGCGGACACTCATTATTATCAGCTAACCGTTGTGAGCATTTACCATATGCTGGATACAGGGCTAAGTGTTTTGCATAAATTGACACATGATAAATTGCAGATGAGGAAACTGAGGCACAGAGAGGTTAGCAAACTTGCTGAAGCTCATAGCTATTACGTGGCAGTCCATCTTCTTAATAGCATTCAGGCTGTGTGACACAGAAAATGTGGGTCATCTGCCTTTACCCTGCAGCTACACAGAATGCCCCCACCCAATTGAGGCAGGGTGCGAGCTCCCCTTTCCACCCTGCCTGCAGCTCCTGAGGGTAGCCCCAGAGTCCACCACCCTCTCTTTCCAAACTCTCATCCTGACCATGAGCTTGTCAAGGGCAGGGGCCAAATTCAGCCTCCTTCATTTCCTCCCACAAGGGAGCAGATACCAGAGTCAAACGAAAAGGGAGCATAATGATTTTATATGTGCATTTATGATGTTTACTCTTCCTGCTTCCAGAGCAAATGTAAGGTGGTTTCGAATATTGAAATGCATAATTAGGACAATAAAATTATTCTTTAAAACAGAGCTGTTGGGATGCAATCAGTAGGCAGGAAGATGGAGTTCTAGCAGGCAGCTGGGAGGAATCAGGCTGGGATGCAAGAACTTGGGTTTTTGTCCCTGGCTGTGCCACAAACGTCCTTGTGTAAGTCACTCCTTCTTTCTTAAGTCTCAGTGTGCCTATCCATAAAACAGGCAGGCCAAATATAGAATGCAGAGGGACTGAAGTCAAGAGACAGTTTTTCAAACTCTGCTACCTGGAGCCCTAGGAGTTCATCAAGGACACTCAGTGGCTGATATGGGTAGGCAGGAATAGCAGGGTCAGTAAGTGAGCCCAGGCCTTCCACCCACACTGCGATCAGATTGACTACTTTCATCTGTTTTAATCATTTGAGCTTCTAAGATGCCCAGTCCTTTGAGCTGCTAAAAATGTTTGAGAAACCACACTGGACAAGACTTTCTTTAAAGGCCTTTCCACGTTTAAGGCCCTCTGCCTTTCTTGTTGCCAGCTTGCCTACCCCCAGCAAGCCTCGGTTCTGGGCATAGCCTGGCATTCCTGATCTTGGAAGGACGTTTGAGCGCAGGGGTAAGATATGGGCATCCCTTGGGGAGGCGGCTACAGTTCAGGGGTTCACACGTGGTGGAGGTTGTTAAAGTGGAAGCCAGAATCCCTTTCCTCTCCAGGTAGGAGCTCACTCTCTGTCCCCAAGACCCAAGACTTGGGCATTGGTCTAGGGAGCTCATATGGTTTGAATTTGTGTCACTGCCCAAATCTCATGTTGAATTGGAGGAGGGGCCTGGTGGGAGGTGATTGGATCATGGGGGTGGATTTCCCCCTTGCTGTTCTCATGATAGTGAGTGAGTTCTCAAAAGATCTGATGGTTTAAAAGTGTGTGGCATTTCCCCCTTTGCTCGCTCTCTCCTACCACCATGTGAAGAAGGTGCTTGCTTCCCCTCTGCCTTTTGCCATGATTGTAAGTTTCCTGAGGCCTCCCAGCCATGCTTCCTGTTAAGCCCGCAGAACTGTGAGTCAACTAAACCTCTTTTCTTCATAAATTACCCAGTCTCAGGTAGTTCTTGTTAGGAAAATATGAAGGAAGAGAGAAAGAAGGCAACTTGATGGCCAAACAGGTTTATTTACAAGAATAAGCCTGTGAGGGGTCCCAGTCAGGAATGTGGCTGAGACCCTGTCACTTAGAAACTGAGGTTTTTATAATAAAGTTTCTATAGGGGAGGGTTTGCGTAAGTGCTGGCAGGTTGGAACTGTTGGGGGCTGGAGAAGGATGTGGTAAGGGCCATCAGGCTCTGTTGTGGTTAGGGTTGTTATGCTCTATTAAAAGTATGGGCAAGGTTGACACCTGCTTTGTTTCTGGGAACACCGTCACCAAGGTAGAAAACACAGTCACCAATGTAGAGAAATGGCATCGCTCTTGTTAGTCCCCACATTTCTTTACAGCATTGTGAGAAGGGACGAATACAGGAGCCATAGATTTCAAGGGTCCTCCCTTACCCCTCCTCAGCCCACGTCTGCAGGGCCTCCGTGCTGCAGGCAAACATAGGCCCCTGAAGGAGATCACATCAGACATAGGCAGACAGGCACATGGTCCAAATAAGTGCCTGTCCACCAGTGGGGACTGGATGTTCCAGGCCCAGTGGCTGCAAGGATGACTCAGTCACTGCCCAGATCACCAGGTGACCCCTATATGTGCCTCAAGGAGGCTGTGCTATCAGCTCCCCACTACCAAGGGTGTAGACTCCCTCCCTCAACCTTTGCCATAGCTGTGAGCACTGATTTTTGACCACTGTGATGGGGAGGGCAACATAGAGCCATTCATGCTGCCCCAGCCAGTGCTCCTATAGCCAACTTGCTGGTGAACTTTGTCACTTCAAAGTCTGGTCTCAGCTTGAGCCTCCTCTTAAAAGTCTAATCCCCCAAGCCCAGTCATAAGCGATCCATGAAATCAGAGGTCTGAGCTGCAGCATAAAATTCAGGTTCAGTCTGAGTACTCCTGCACTCCTGGAAAGAGAAAGTTCTAAGTCCTGGGAGAGGGCAGGAATGAGGACACACTCAGGCCTGTGGTGGTCTAGTCCTCTGGCCCTGAAAGTGGGAGGAAGAGAGAAAAGTAGGTAGGAGGGCAGCTGGCCAAGACCCAGGGCAAATGCGCTGGGATAGGGTAGAGCTGCTGTGAGTCAGCTTCCCCATCCATAATCACAAGATGGGACTTTGGGGGCCTGGAGTAGTGCAGCCCCACATTCTTCCCAGGACAGCTTGGAGATCCCAGCCTACCCAAGGGGTGCTGACAATGGCAGGCCTGACTTGGCTTCTGAGACTTGGGCTTTTCCATCAGCTGCCCCCAGGAGGACTCAGAGTCCCCATGACCTCCTGGTCACTGGGCCTGCTAGCCTCATGCCTCACCTTACTCTGTCTCTGTAGCACAGGACACCTATGACCACACCCCTCAGCCTCCTTGATCCCACCCACTGCCACGCCTCCTCTGCCTCCCTGGGTAAGCCTCGCCCCTCCCCTTCAAGGAGGGTGGTCCCCAGGGTGTGGGTCCTGACCTTCTTCTCCTTCTTGCCAGTAACTCTCAGCCAACACTTGAACTAGGACACAGCACAATCTCTGTGGGACGGGGGACTATGTAATTAGAGATGTCTCCCAAGGGGGTCCAGAACTCGGGGGAGGGAGTGCAGGGCAAACCGCCCTCCAGCATCTGGAAAGACCACTTCATGCCATTGGCCCTTACCTGGCCTGAACAACAGCTTTATGTCTCAGGGGAAAAACTCTGGGCCCCCAGTTGTTCTGGAAGAGTTTTGTACCATGTCTTGTTGGGTGAGGGGTTTAGGAGCCTGCATCTTGCAGAGGAGAAGCCTGGGCCAGGCCCCCTGACTCTGGCATTTTCTTCTCCCCCAGCATCTACCTGGGACTGATGGCTGCTCTCGGGCCTTGCTGACACCCTTTGATTCGGAAGCTATTCTCTTCCTCCCTGCTCCATGTGCTGCTCATCACCCGCCTTTCTCCTGAACTGTAGGCTGAAAGCTCCAGGCCATTTTAGTCCAATTTTCTCCTCAAATAGGCAGGTGATTGTAGCATTAAGACCTAGTACATGCTGTTCAGAATCAGCAAGGAGCAATAAATGGGACAGATAATGAGAGTTGTCGGGCAGGAACTGAACCTGTCCTCTCTCCTCCCCACCATGTCCCCAGCCCTCAACACCCCCTGAGGTTTCTCTCCAGAGATCAAATTGAAAGGAGTCTCCTCAGGCACAGGGAGTCCCAGCCTCCCCAGCTGGTGAGATCCTCCATGTGGCTCTGGGCAAACTACCTGTCTTCTCTCAGCCTTAGTTTCCTCATCTGTACAATGGACATTAATACCTCCCTCAAAGGGTGAGAAATGTTTTTTAAAGCCAAGGAGGAAGCCAGTCATTGGCAACAGTCGCTGTTACAGTCCATCATCAACATGGATTCTCTCACCATCCATGGCAGGCTGTCTGAGCCAGGCTCATTCTCCTCTTTTCTGTGAATAAGGAGACAGGTGTGCAGGAGTTAAATGTGGCCTGCTGTCTCTGCATCTGTTTGAAGCACCCCAAGCAATAATAGTACATATTCGGCCAGGCGTACTGGCTCACACTTGTAATCCCAGCACTTTGGGAGGCAGAGATGGGTGGATCACCTGAGGTCAGGATTTCGAGACCAGGCTGGCCAACATGGTGAAACCCTGTCTCTACAAAAAATACAAAAATTAGCCAGGCGTGGTGGCGCATGTCTGTAATCCCAGCTACTCAGGAGGCTGAGGCAGGAGAATCGCTTGAACCCAGAAGGCAGAGGTTGCAGTGAGCTGAGATTGCACCATTGCACTCCAGCCTGGGTGACAGAGCGAGACTCCATCTCAAAATAATAATAATAATAATAATAATAATACATATTTATGCAGACCCTATGATGCCCCGGGCTCAGCACTCTACTTATATTATCTCATTCAAACATCACATCACCACCTTGAGATGGTTATTTTATTATCTCCAGCTTATAGATGGACAAACTGAGGGAGACAGCATTCAAGCTAGTTGCCCCTAGAATCATTTAGTCAGCAGCAGGCAGATATTTGAGCCCAGACAGTCTGATCTCCAATGCACACTAGGCCATGACCCCTCACAGACCACTCAATGCCCCATGACTCCAAGGACCAGACACCTGGAGAGAGAGGGAATGAACCTGGATGGCTCAGAGTGGTCACCAGCTCATGCAAACCAGGAGTCATTCCTGAAGAAGGTACACTTTAGCATTTCCTATAAACAGGGAGATTCTGTTTTGTCTGACCAAGGGTAAGGAATGGGGAGAACAAAACCCTCCCAGGCCCTCCATTGCTTCTCCCTTCTGCCTCCCTCTTGGCCTCTTTCTTTTCTCCAGGTCTCCACCCTACTCTTCCCCTCCCTCCATCCTGTTCCACCTGGAGCTGCCTCTGGCTCACACCTCCTGCTCTCTCCCTTTTGTGTTTCCCCAAATCTCCATATGTCTACCTGCCCCTCCCCCACGAAAGTGGCTTCCCCTCCCAGACAAGGGCAGAGTGTGAGAATGAGGAAAGTGTGTTGCTGCTCACTCTGGCTGCAGAGCTTACAGCACAAAAGCCAGCATGGGCAGATCTTGGGCTCAAACATCCTGGACCCCCGCCCCACCTTCTCTGGTCACTTCTGGCCAGAGGGTCCCAGCTGGCCAGAAGTGACACCCACGCCTAGCCTCTCCTCCAGGACACCTGCCCCTTCTCTCTCTCCTCTCTTCTTTCCATCTACCTTCCTCCTGCATTCATTCATTCATTCTGCAAGCACCAATCCAATGCCTATTCTGTGCCAGGTATGAGGCCTGGGCCTGGGGGTCAGAGATGAAAAGGACACAGCCCAGGCCCCGGGTGGCAGAGGAGTGGCAATTCCTCTCAGTGTGCGAAGGGCATATAGAGGCTTCCATAGAGAGGCTCACAGAGCCTGAGGAATGGGCCTGTTCTCTGGTATTTGGAAAGCCTCCTGGTGCACTTCCTGATCACCCTGAGCTGATTCATCTCTTTTGAACATGGATGTGTTGATGACCTACCTACAAGGGCATTTATGATATCTGTGCTGAGGCTTGAAGGAGGATCAGAAACTCCTGGGGATGGACCCATCTCCCACCCAATCTCTACCCCACCCCACACTCCTGTCCCCAGCCAGCACGGCTGATGCCCAGGGAGGCCAGGGGTACAAACAAGGAAGGGAAGACGCTGCTTCTGTAGCTCTCTGACTGAGGTGGAAAGAAAGCACAGAGTTCTCCCCTCCCAGCTGGGAAGCCTCCACCCATTATCCTCTCTTTCATAGCAAATTCTCCTCCACCAAGACTAGCACCAGCTTCCAGCTGGGCCCCTCACCCTGTACCCCTGCACCTCATATCTGGGCACTGACTTGGCCCTCTAGTGTCCTCACTCTGATCCATAGCCAGCTTCCTATCATCATGGCCTTGTCCTGGGTGACAGGCTAGGGTCAGGAGATGGGGGACAAGGAGGAGGAGAAAGTCCAGAGCATCACCTGGTGTCAAGTACTCCTGCCTCACATCTTCCCAGGCCCTCCCCACAGCCCCCACCGCCCCACCCCTGAATGGTCAGCTGCTCCTCCTGCTGGCATTGGTGGTGCTATGGAGGAAGTGTGGGTGAGGGTGGGGCCTTCTGACCTCCCTCCTTGTTCATGAAGTTGTAGGAAGTGGGAGACCACAGGAGCCAGGAGGGGCCCCTGGCAGATAGCAGGAGCTCTAAAGGTCCTGGGAGGTGGTGGGGGGATGAACTCAGGAGTCCCCCAGCAGCTCAGAAGTGGCTTTGGTCTTCTGCTTGAGCCCAGGTGAGAGCCAGGAGAAAAGGCTAACTCTCTTGCCCCCGCTCCTTGGAGGACCTGACTGCTCCTCGCCACAGAAAGACAACCTTATACAAGGCTCTTTATTTAACAGATGAGGAAACTAAGACCAAGAGAGGCTATATGAGGCACAGATCAAGTTCCTTGGGATGCCCCAGATGATGTGGGTCCTGTGGCTGTGGTGGGCTGTGGGGTGGGCATTGCTACCCATGATGAATGCCATCTCCTTCCCCAGGGGGGCAGAATAGAGGTGGCCCCCACTGAGTATTGCAGAAGAAGAGCCAGTGCTACCCACCTGCCAGGCCCAGAGAGTGTGCAAAGCCAGTTCCAGCAAGACTTTGCCTCCCATTACCAGCCCTCTCTCCCACCTCCCTCCTGCCCTACCCACACCCAGGAGGGGTCAGAAACTGGCTTATAAACTGGAGGGCGGCTGGAAGAGAGAAGGCCAAGGAGAACAAAGAAACTGGCCATGTCCTCACCCCCTGCCCCTTCCACTGCAGGTTCCAGCCCTGAGTCTGGCATGGGGAAAAGAAGTGCCATTAAATCAATTTCAGAATTTTAATGAACATTTTGTCTGTGACACAGGAGTGAGCAGAAAAAACATGGGACCTACCTGAGTTTTCAGCTCATAAAGCAAGCAAGGATTTCTCCCATAATACAGTTTAAAGGGCCTGTGTGGTACAAAAATAAAATATCTTTTCAATAGACCCAAACTCTGCTTGTTCTGGTGCCTGTCCCAATAAATGTGGGCTAAAATTAACATCATTCCCACACCTTTGTGGTCTCGTCTCACCCTGATGGGACACATCGCTTGTCACGTACTCACAGGAGCACATGCATTCTTGGGTCATCCTTCTGTTTATCTGCCCTGGATACCTCCAGCTGCGGCTTACTACTAACCCATCCAGTGCCTTTGGCTAAGGAGGTCTCTGCCCCACTGGGCCCCAGTTTCCCTATCTGTAGCAGGATGAGACAAATAAGACCATTTCTAAGGGCTTGGTTTATCTTAACTGTTCAAGGTAACAGCAAGGTTTCCCTCATCCATGATCTTGAGAAGGCTTGGGCCTACGTGGGCAGAGGAAGCTGGAATGAGGACTATAGTAAGGAAAAAGGCACACATCAGGGAAGTCCACATAATCTGTATTTCTGGCTTCGTCTGAGCAGTTGGACAATCTGGCAGCATTGACCCAGCATGTGACAGCAGTCAGATGCAGCGTGTAGAACAGTCCCCTCATCCAGAACCAAAGCTCTCCCCTTAACCACACTCCTCACCAATCCCCATTGCTCCCCATCCCTAACGCCAGCTGGCATCTACCACTGGACCTGAGCTGTTGCTTTAGTAGAGATTGATTACTCTATCACTGTGTCACTATCAAAGGTAGAAAATTGAACTGGAGGATGAGAGGACATGTGTGTTTTACAAAAGATAGCAAAAGGGGACTATTTCCTTGGAAAGTACAACATGTCGACCCACCACTTGCCTGGTCCTGTGCTCTTATTGGATGTCCCAGCCTGAGGCTTCTAGCAATTGAGTCAGGGTTCTCAAGCCACTCAGAGACCACCTGGCCCTGCCCTACTTGCTGCTCCCTGCTGCCCCAACAGGACTGAAGGGTCTGCACAGGTCCCCAGCCTGCTGACATTCTCTGGGGGGCTCCCTCATCCCCTTTCTTCACCCATGCTAAGACAACCTTCTCTAGACCCAGAACCTCCTGTGGCAGCAGGGGAAGCCCATGCCTCCTCCCAAAAGGAAGAACGCCTGCATGGCAGACGCGGGAGCCTCCTGGAGCCAGGCTGGGCATGTGAGACGTGGGGCACTAAGGGGCCTTCCTGGGTGAGGGTCTTTCCTGGGACCCTCACTCTTTACCCCCCGCAGATTCCCCCTTGGAGAACCAGCCGAAACTGAAATTAATTCAGCCTCCTCAGGCCCTCTCCCTTCCTCCCTCTGCTGGAGTTCCCATGACAACCAGAGTTCACCTTTGATGCCAAAAACACTGCAAAAACAACAAAACTCCACCCTCCACTAAGAGGGAAGTGGGGCAAGGCCCTTCCCCTATATCCCCCCAAAAAAGCACAGTGCTGGAAATTTGGTAATCTGCAAGGAACCAGAAGCAGAGTGGGTGGGGCAATTCCAAAGGGACTTTTCCATTTTCCCTCCTGGGCTGCACTCCATTTTCTGCATGCTCACTGGTGGCTTACAGCTGACCCAGAGCTTCTTAATAGTGTCCATCTGATCTGGCGCTATTCAGGATGGTGAGCAGAGGACTGCGGGGGAGGGGGCAGTGCAAGGCTCAGAGGAGCAGCTGTAGCCCAGGTATGTAGGTTCAGAAGCTGCCCCGCTCTGCCTGGCCCAGGCTGTGTGACTTCAGACAAGGCGTCTCCCTTTCTGGTTCCCTAAATCCTCCCACTTCACTCCCTAGCCCCCTTCCTTCATTCACACCAAAGTATAAGTGACTGATAAGGCTTCAAGTGGCATGAGGAGCGGGCCTGTGACAGTGGCATTTAAGTCTTGAGGAGCCAGGCTGAACATCTGGGAGCATTTTCTACTTCTCTGAGATCGCACAAGATGAAGAAGGGAGTGAGTCTGACTCTCTGCCCAACCCCAGCCCCTGCCCACACCAGTCCCTTCAGGGGACAAACCACCAGCATGGGCCACTGCCTGAATGCTCACCATGTGAGCTGAAGGACAGTCATCACCAACATCTTGCCCTCCATCCCATTCCCCTAGGGTGGGACAGCTTCTGAAAAGCAGTGGTTGGGCAGCAGGAGCGGGGAGGAGTGTTGGGGGAGGAACAGCGGGACTGAGGTGATGGGAAAGGGCAGATAGTGAGCCTTAGGGCCCATATTTGGACCTGTGAGTGGAGAGAAGTGGCGTCTAGGCCTAGCTCTGCCCTCAGCTCCCTCAGCACAGTGTCTCCTCCCTGGGCCTCAGCCTCCTGAACAAGGAGAGAATTGGATGAACAGTGGTGGAGAGCATGGCATGATGATGTCCCACCAGACTGCACCTCAGTGGGACTTCGCCTTCACATCGGACCCCAGGCTTCCAATTCAGGTTGTGGAATGAAGGAAGGAAGGGTGAGGAGGAAGGATAGGTGGTGGGCATGGAGGTCAGGAGCAGAGGCAGGTGGCGGGGGGGGGGGGGTGCTGAGCCCCAGCAGGTGGCCAAGGCCCAGCCAATGGGGGCAGGTCAAGGAGCTGCCTCTACCTGGGGCCCCGTGGCCCCTGAGCCTGGGGAGGGAAGCTAAGAGACAGAAGGAAGATGCTGTGCCCTATGGGATTTACACCTGCCCCTAACATCCAACAGGGGCTTTAGATGCTCACTGACAGATAGGGAGACCCCCAGGTAAACAGGTACGGCTCCATCACTGCATGGGAGATGGAAGGTCTCCTTAGGGAGCTTCAGGTGAGAGTAATGAGGTGGGTGAGTATGATTCGGCTCTCCCTGAATGTGAGCTATCTGAGCAGAAGAGGCATCCCAGAGAAAGTGACAACAGAACCAAAGCCAGCATGAGGACCTCATGGGGCAAAAAGCAGGGGCAGCAGCTGGCAGGCAGAGAGGACCTAGCAAAGCCTAGAGGATGGGAACAGCCAGGAGCATGGGGGACCCATGGGAAGGGTGTGTGTGCATGTGCATATATATGTACCTTGTGTGTACATATGTGTGTGTGCGCATGTGTGCATATACATGCATGTGTGTGTGCACATGTTTGTGTGTGTATGGCTGAGAAAAACAGAGAAGTGGGAAGGGGCCAGAGCATGTAAAGCTCAGGCTCCTGAAAGCCTTGGCAATCCAACAGTGGAGAGGGCAGATTGGGAGGGGGTTAGCAGGACACAAGGGGACCTGCCAGGAAGCTGTGGCTGTCCAGAGCCAAAGGGACAGCCCACCTCCAGCACCCTGACACAATTCCACCCAGCAAATCTTTCTTGAGTGCCCACTTTGTGATAATTGGCAAAACTTTTGTAAGGCTTATGTGTGCTGGACACAGTTCTAAGCACTTTGCATGCACCAGCTGGTTTAATCCGTACAACAATCTAATTTGCTAGTGTTATATTCATACAGGTTTTGTAGGTGAGAACACTGAGGCATGGAGCAGTGATGGGACTCTGGTTTTCAAATCCAGGCAGCTGCTCCAAAGTCTCTGCCCTTGGCCATCCTGTGCTCCTGCCTCCTGCCCACCCAGCACAGGCAATGTGCCCGGTGGGGGCAAATAAAACATAGACCAGACATGCTGGAGCCTAATCTATGGCTGGCAGGGGTGGTAGGAATAGTGAGAAGAAGGTGGTTTGGGGAAATACTGGGAGATGATGTTTCATTAAGAGGCTATGGGGGAAGCAGTGACAGCAGTGGCAGTGGCAATGGGGAAAGGGCTGGTGCATTGCCAGGGACTGTTCCCCACTGAGGTGGCTGCACCTCACTGAGCTTCTCACTGAGGCCCAGGTGGAGGCGGAGGAGTTGGCACATGCTAGTGACAGTTTCCCCACCCACCCAGCCCTGGATCTGTGCCCAGCCTCTCTGGGGTCCCAATTAGAGCTGCGATGGGAAGACTGTGAAAGCAGAGAGGTGTGACAGGAGGGGCACAGCCACCGTCACAGCAAGAGCAGCAGAAGAAATGTCCCTGCTTACTCTGGACACACCTTTCTCCTTGGGGTCCATGGTGACCCAGATCTGGGTCCCTCTGAGGCCAGGGCACAGTAATTGGCAGGGACTTCTCACTCATCACAGGCTCCTGAAAACCAAGGCAGTTCTCCCTCCTCAGGTAAAACGCTGCCCACTGCCCAGACCACAGTGGACTTCACCCATCCATAATTTAACAAGTATTTAATTGAACACTAAATACCTTGTAACATTAATTTATAACCTGTATAATTATATATAAAATATATTTATATGAATACGTAACATACAGTCTATATATAATTATAAATTAACTATAACATTAATTAACAGGTTTAACAACTCCATGCCTGCTTTCTGCCGAGCACTAGGCCAGCCTCTGGAGGCAGGGTGGGCAGGTTCACACACCCTGGGCAGGGCAGTCAGGAGCCTGCTTTCACAGAGCTTGCAGCGTGATGGGAAGACAGGACAAGACCAGGGGAGGATGTTGCAGTATGAAGAAGGATGGGCAGAAGGGGCACCCATGCAATTTTGGTGAGGTGGGGAGGGCTGCAGAGTTGCAGAAGGCTTCCTGGGGGAGTGACATTTAAGCTGACACCCGATGAAGAAGGGAGGTCGGGCAGAGGAAAAGAGGCGAGGAGAAGGAGAAGACAGAAGATACAGGGAAGGAATAGGGAGAAGAGACAGGGACAACTCTGAGGGCTCGAGGTGAGACGTCAAGTGTGATGAGCACTATTTGGACTCCAGAGCACTCAAGGTGGGAAGTGGGGATGCAGCAGACGGGCCTGATGACAAGCCTCCTGGGCTGGGGCAGTGAGGAACTGCGGGGGAGCTTCCTTGTGTATTTGGGCATGAGCAGCATGATGAGATGGAGAGGTGTCTCTCTGAGCCAGACTTGGGAGAACGAAACCACTTAAGAGGCAGCTGCAGTCCAGTGGAGAACCGATGCATGGGCCAGACTGATCAAGGTGGCAGTGAAAGGGGGTGACCAGAGTCAAGAGGAAGTGGAATTTGAAGTGCGTGACAGCTGCGTGTCTTGGTGGGATGCATAAGGTGAATGGCAGGGGTATCCCCTATGGCAGGACACAAGAGAAAGAGCAGCTTTGGAGGGAGTGGGGATGAGATCAGCTTCAGGGATGTTGAATGTGAGGGGCCTGTGGTCCACACCATGCACCCAGGCCTCTGAGGAGAGAGCTGGGCTGGTGAGTGGAACCAGGGGTCGTCAGCATGGAGAGGGGCCAGGAGGCTTATGAGGCCCTGACTAGATGGCCTTCAGGAGACTTCTGGATCTTCCACGGTCATTTATGTTCTCTACACAGACCCCTGCAAAGCCCCCACTGACAGGAACAGACAACCAGAGGAGACAACGGGAAGCAATATGTTTGAAAAGGAAAGTGGAGGAACAGTAAATGCCTTGGCAGAGCTGAGAAGGCGGAAAGCTAAGTGCTTGTCAGGGGATGGATTTCACCTGGGCACCCGGAAAGGCTCAGGACGTAGAGCACCCAGTTCCTCCGAAAGCAGGAGTGAGGCTGGACACAGAAGGAGTGGTGAACATCTCCTTAAAAAAGGACTTAAACACTCCCCATTGCACTCTTAAATTCCCTTCCCACCTGGCTGAGGATGGAAAGTTTACTCTCACAAGAAATGCACCCAGAGTCTCAGGTCTTGGTGACTCTGGGGCTGTGAAGCAGGGTGGAGGATGAGACACCATACTGAAAACAGGGGATTATGCACAGAATTGTGGGACTCCAGCCCCTAGCTGCTACTCCACTTGCAGAACACTAACCATCCCCAGAGAGAAATTAGATAGCTCCTCTCTGGAAAAGCTAACCAGCCCAAGAGGAAAAAGACCTAGAAGCACTTGGACTTGCCACCTGATCACCTCCAGGAAAGCCCATGCCAGGACAAGCCCTGTCTATGCACACATACTCTCCTGTCAGATTGTTGGTGCCTCTGTCTTAAATATGGACTCCTGCCAAGGGTCCCCAAACATTTTAGAAATGTCTTCTACATGAAAGACATCAGCCAGAGAGGAGGAGCTAGGAAATGACTAGATAGACAGAGACAGAGACTTCAAGGAAACAGAGACAAATATGAGAAAAAACTAAAAATACAGCTAATACCCTTAGAAAATTAATAAAATATATTGGATACATGGGGTTGGCGGGCAGAATGGGGAAGAACATAATACATTTTTTTTTTTTTTTTGAGGCAGAGTTTCGCTCTTGTCGCCCAGGCTGGAGTGTAGTGGCGTGATCTCAGCTCACTACCACCACCACCCCCCAGGTTCAAGAGATTCTCCTCCCTCAGCCTCCTGAGTAGCTGGGATTACAGACGCCTGCCACCATGCCCGGCTAATTTTTTTTTGTATTTTTAGTAGAGATGGGGTTTCATCATGTTGGTCAGGCTGGTCTCAAACTTCTGACCTCAGGTGATCCACCTACCTCAGCCTACCAAAGTGCAGGGATTACAGGCATGAGCCACTGCACCCAATCTATTTTTATAAGAAACATCCGAAGAATAAGCAAAAGTTTCTAGAAAGTAAAAAGAAAAATATCATAGCTTAAATTAAAAATTCAAATGAGGCAGGGCCCGGTGGCTCACACCTGTAATCCCACCACCACTTTGGGAGGCCGAGGCAGGTGGATTGCTTGAGGTCAGGAGTTTGAGACCAGTCTGGCCAACATACTGAAACCCCATCTCTACTAGAAATACAAAAAATTAGCCAGGCCTGGTGGTGCACGCCTGTAATCCCAGCTACTCGGGAGGCTGAAGCAGGAGAATCACTTGAACCCAGAAGACAGAAGTGGCAGTGAGCCAAGATTGCCCCACTGCACTCCAGCCTGGGCAAAAGATAGAGACTATGTCTCAAAAAAAATAAAAATAAAAATAAAAAAGTTCAATTGAAAGGCTGAAAGATTAAGTTGAAAACATCTTTTGGAAAATAGAACAAGATGACAAGTTAGAAAATAAGAGAGATATAAATATCTTTTATATGAAATGGGAGGTTCAAATCATTAAGCGCTAACCCCTTACTAACAGGAGTTCCAGCAAGTGAAAGCAAAAGGAGGAGATTTTTCAAAGAGATGATACAAGATTTTCTAGAACCCAAGGATATGAGTCTCTGCTTTGAAACACCCATGAATCATAGGACAACTCATAGAGAATCCATACCAACGCACATGATCATGAAATTCAGAATATCAGGGGCAGAAAAAACTAAAAACAAGGGGGAGAACGGGTCACATACAAAGGACAAAGGACAAGGACTGAGCATGGCATGAGACCTTTCAACAGCAAATACTGGAAATGGGAAAACAACTGAGCAATGCCTTCAAACTCTTTGAGAGAAATTTTTTTGCAACCTAGAATATCATACCTAACCAAACTATCCATCTTGTAGATAAAACAAAGAGTAAATAAAAGTGAAATAAATACACAATCAGACATAAAAGGAGTCACAAACTCTACCTTCTGTATATGCTTTTCAGGAAGTTACTGGAGAGTGTGCTACACCCAAACAAGGAAGTTAGCAAAGAAGTTGGAAGCCATTGCCTCCAAGACACAGTGGAGTTGATTAGAAAGAGAGGAGAAGAAAACCTTCAACAAGATGAGGAAGGACAGTTCTAGAATGATAGCTGGGGAGACCTGGAGAGCAGCCCTTCCAGGCAGGAACAGGAGGCTCTAAGGAGCATGTCTCCAAAAAAAGAATAACAATTTGAACTGATACATTCCCTGAAGAGGGTGGCAGAATTGAAAGCCATTTTAGGTTTTGTTGCAGATTTTGAGGGAGAATTCATGATAGGTATATAGAAAACTACGTAAACAACAAGCAAACAAAAAAAAAATCCCTAACTTTAGGAAAAAAAATAAGTCCTGTGGAATTTCACTTCTGAAACATCTCCCAGGTGATTCCCACTAGTGCTTCTGCATCCCAGAGAGCCAGTAGCCACCACTCAGTCAGGATGCTGATTCTTCTCAAGAAGAAGAATTTTTTTTTGTGGCCTGAACAATTTTTTTTTGTGGCCTGAACAAAGCCACAGAAAAAGGTAAGATCTGACATTTGGGCATCCCCTAACAGAAAGGCAGGCTTACTGTGTGAATCCCACTGGTAGCCCCACCCTGTCCAGGCACAGTGGGCTTCAGTCAGCCTCTGAGAGTCTCTCTTAAATATGAACTGGCAGTCAAGGATCACCAGACATGTGAGAAAATCCTCCAACATTAAAGACCAACATCCAAACAAAGAAACTGAAAAAAAATAACCTAGAGAAAATAGAGAAGATGCAGGGAACAGAAGAAAACTTCAAACTATGATTAACGTTCTTAATGAAATATATATAGAGAGAGAATCCAGACACAAGAAAGCTTTGAAGAAGGACCAGAGAAGAAAAATGAGCTCTTGGAAAAATTTTTTGAAGTATTAATAAATTACCAAATCAATAGAAGAATGAGAGATAAAGTACAAGAAATTTATTTTAAAAATTTAAAAAAGTAAAAGATACGGAACATAGGGGGGAAACAGAACAACAAAAATTAGAGCTCCATTGTAGGAAGCCCAACATCTGGCTGAAGAAAATTCCAGAACGTAAGGTGAGGGGAAATTAAGAAGAAATTATCAGAAAAATTACACATAAAAGTTTACTGGCCTAGGACAGGGTTTCTGGAATAAAAGGGATATTCAGTGCCCAGCACAATGGATGAAAAAGGACACACAGACAAGCAGAGGGAGGGCAGTGAAGACATCTGAGAAGCCTCCAAGGTGACCGGTGTGGTTTGGATCTGTGTCCCCACCCAAATCTCATATTGAAATGTAATTCCCAGTGTTGGAGGAGGAGCCTGGTGGGAGGTGATTGGATCATGGGAAAGGAGTTCTCATGAATGGTGTTGCACCGTCCCCTTGGTACAGTCTTTTGTGATAGTGAGTTCTCCTGAGATCTGGTTATTTGAAAGTGTGTAGTACCTCCCCACTGTCTCTCTTGCTCCTGCTCTTGCCATGTAACTTGCCTGCTCCCCCTTGCCTTCCACCATGATTTTAAGTCTCCTGAGACCTCCCAGAAGCTGAGCAGATGCCAGCATCATGCTTCTTGCACAGCCTACAGAACCATGAGCCGATTCAATCTCTTTTCTTTATAAATGACCCAGTCTCAGGAATTTCTTTATGACAATGCGAGAATGGCCTAACACAGTGACAAAGCAAGTCACAAAGGACAAAGAATCAAAACGACATTAGGTTGCTTTTTAGTAATCCTGGGAATTAGAAGACAATGGTCAGGACTTTTGAGACTGTGAGGTAAAAGTATTTCCCACCTAGGTAACCTAGGGAAGCCATCAATCAAATGTGCAGAGAGTAACACATTTTCAGGCGTTTCAGATGTAAAAGCACTGAACATGTTGCTTCTTAAGTCCCCTTTCCTAAGTCCCCTTTCTCAGAACACTATGGGAGGATGTATGCAACAAAAACAGGGAACAAACCAAGGAAGAGGAAGAAAAGAGATTCCAGAAATGAGAAACTTAATGGAGAAGGGCAGAGAAGGTAAATCTCAGGCTGAAGAGAGAGGTCCTAAGAGGACAGTCGAGTAGCAGATCCAGCAAGCAAGGAGTTCAGAGAAGAGCCAGGAAACAGAGGGGAAAACGAAACAGATACATTCGATTGAACGGAGATGATTTCTGATTAGTGAGTGGTAGAGATGTGGAGCACTTAGAAAAAATTAACAATAGATACTAGACATCAGGCGAGTTAAAAAGGGGTTATTAACTCCAGAACAAAGGAGGGCTGTATAAAAAAGAATGCATAGTCATAATGTGTAATGGCCTCGACAGTGCTTGTCCTCAATCAAAAACTGGAACATAATGATGATGAGAGGATGGGGGGAGAGAAGCAGGAGGGAGATGGGAGATTTACCTGCTATTTACCATGGCAAAAGCTAATGCCCAAAACTGATGTATCAAAAAAAAATACTGTGTAAGCGTATATTTAAAAATTGAGTTAAAAACTAGAGGAAACACCCAGGAGAATTAAGGGTGATTAGAACCTAAAGGAGGCACTGGGCTTGGAGAAACAGGGAACAAAGATTGCTGCTTTTCATTCTAAACCTTCTAGTAGAATTAAATTATATGATGGTATTATCTGAATTCCCCACATACAGCTTTTTAAAAATTCAATCCCTGTATATCCGTAATCCGGCCTGTCATATAGTAGGATCTCAAATGTATGCTACAGAAGGAATGGAGGGAGAGATCCCGGGACAGGAGGCATTGGGAAGGACTTCCTGGAAGAGAGAAGACATGGGCTGCGCCTAGAAGTCTGTGTAGGATGTGGATGAGCAGAGGGAGGGACCCTAGTTTTCTGGAGTAGGAGACGATAGAGCAAAGGGTCTTCAAAGACAGAGCAAGTTAATTTGTCGTATCAGCTAATCATTCTAGGAGTTTCTGAATTCTAAGAGAATTCACAGAGAATGTCCCAAAGGGATGGAAGTGGAAAAGCAGAATGGCAGTCCCCTTGGCCGATGGGACCTCTCTTGTCTGTTAGCATATAACTCTTAAACAGTGCAGTCCCTTCTGAAGGGACCATATGGCATCTCCCATCCCTTCCCCTCTGCAACCTTCAGGTTTCATGTATTATTTCTTTCAGAGTGGGAGTACTCAAACCTCTGATAGCAGAATTATCTGAAGAGCTTTTCCCAAATATTACCATCTTGATCCCATTCCCAGAGAGGCCAACTCCACTGATCTGGGAGGAGCCCCAAGACTCAGGGCTGGGGTAGGGCGAAATGAGAAAGGCACTTGTTCTCAGGCTCCTGCCGGCACAAGGTCAAATGCTGCCTTTACTTAAGTTTGATGCTCTGTTCATCATGGATTTTTTAATTAATTTTGTTTTGTAAATACAGGACATTATTATGTATTTTGATTATGGGGTTTGGGGCACTCCTTAAATTTTGCAGCCCAGGTGAGTAGGCACTCTTTAGCCCCAGCCCTAGTAAACATCAGCAGTTTTGCTTGAAGCCCGGCCAGGGTCTGAACCGTGGGGCGTAGTCATTGCTCTGAAGCCTCCAGGGAGGCAGGGCAGGGATTCCCACAGCCCTGCACAGCCGGAGATGCAGGACAGGCTGCAGTTGGGGCAGCCCTGAGCTTCTGCAGGCCTTCCAGAGTAAAACCAGCAGCAGCCTGGCCTGGGTGGCTCCCTCTGCTTCCAGGGGCAGTGTCTAGATGAGCAGAAAGACTCCGTTGCCCCTGTTCTATGCTGGGAATCTTCTATGGAGGCAAAAAAGACATCTGCACAACCTTGTTTTTCTGGAAAAGTCATCCAAATAGTTCCCCGACACAGAACCCTTCAATTTTCCAAAGGAGTAAATTAAATGCCTGCTCATTGCTTGAAAAGCTAATGCTCCTCACACTGGTTTGAGGAGAAATTTTCAATCCAATGGAGCTGAATTTTCTGTGATAGCTAATTATCACTTACCATGTGTGAGATAGGGTGCTGGAGGGTTATCTTTGGGAGGGTTATCTAAGCGGATTCTCGTGTCACCTCACGAGGCAGATACCATTGTCACCCTAATTTTACAGATGAGGAAATGGAGGCCCAGAGAGGTTGAGTAACTTGCTGGAGGTCACACCGCTGGCAGAGGGGATAGTTGGTTTTGACGCTCTGTCATCCTGACCCCCATCCTTGTGAGTTCTCTATCATTCTCACAACAGGAACAGAAATGTCTAGCGTCTAGACTGTAGCCAGGAAGCCGGGGTCCTAGCATGGAGCCACTGCATGAGCTTGGGTGGCCTTCCCACATGCTGTTCATTTCCTCACCTGAGAACAGGGAAGGGGACAGCTGTGCTGGCCATTCTGGCCCGGACATGCAGGGATCCTGTGACTGGAGCCATCTGGGCGTTTCCAGCAGTCACGTGCTCTGCTGTTGTTTGTTCTGAAGATGCAGGAGCCGTAGAGGAGAATAACTCACAGAGAAGGGCAGTGGGAATATTCCAGGCCAGGGTCTTGGAAACCACCTTAGTCACCTTCTTCAGCATCCCCTGGTCAGAGGATTCAGCAGCTCCCAAGCAGTGAGTGTTCCCTCCTCTTCCCCCAAGGATCTTGAATCAGCAGGTAGAGAAGGGTAGAGAAGAGGGGGTTGCAAAACCCAGTATTAGTGGGGGAGACGAGGAGCTGGTCTTGGAGAGTACAGGGGGTGGAGTCAGAGAGCACAGACCTACCCAGAGGGCCTGGGGTGATGGGGCCAGGCGGGGATGGAGCCCTGAGAATCCCCCAAGTGCTCAGGAAACAGGTACTCCATGAAATATCTGTGTCTCCCTCTGAGGCAGGAGGGAAAAGGGAAAGAAAGGCTACCTGAGGTCCCCAGTCTGGGAGGAGGAATGCCCCCACAGCCTGTGAGAGGGTGGGGTGGAGAGAAGGGGGTCCAAGAGCTGAGGTGCAGCAAAACTTCTTACAGGGAAGCAGGAGCAGTCTCAGAAGCTCAGGTCTGCCAGTGGACAGGCATGAGGAGCTGGGAGCTCACAGCAGTTGAGCATGCAGTTGAGAGGAAGCTGCAGCCCTCCCTCCAAGAGACGGAGTAGCCTGCCATGTTCTCCAGGGCACCAGGGAGTCCTGGAAGCTGTGAACTCCTGGGAAGCCCCAGTTGGGACTGAGCCACCAGAGAGGCAGTGTCTGGTGACCAGTGGCTCTTCCTAGGATGCTTCCTTCTTCCTTGGTGGCCAAGTGTGAGGCCAGTAACTTTAACTGGAGCCCTGCCCTTTTCTGGGTGAAGGAGAGAGGACCCTAGCCTGCTAATGGCTCCTGGAGCCTCACTTCAATGCCACTGTCCCTCTCCTATGGGAACACACAGTGACCACAGGGTTCCACATAGTTTTCCTTCCTTGGATAGAAATCAAGATGCTTGTCATCTGTCATCAACTCTTTCAGTGCCTGGCTGGGAAACCATGTGGTCCCCAAACCAGAGGGTTACACTCAATCATCACAAAGGGTCTTGGTGTATCAAATAGCTGTGGTTCTTGGTGACCTGGGGATCCCAAGACTTTCACCAAAGGTACGTTCGGATGGTGCATCTTGATCTCCCATGGTGGAGGAACACGTGATTCTCCTGCAACATCTCAAGACCCCAGTCACCAGGCAGCGTGAGAGATTCAGAAGAAAAACAACTGGTCCTGCAGAAATGGACATACTGACCAGATTCCTCTGATCTGTAACCTCCTGACAATAGCAAGGTCCCAGCTCCTCGCCCTGCCTCCCTCTTCTCTCCTTCCTGTCTCCTTCCTCCCAGAGCTTCTTGGTCCCCAATTACTCAGAACTGCAGGAGGCCTGCCAGGGAAGAAATTAGAGCTACACATCAGCTATTCTATATTTACCACCTGATGGCTGAGGAGGATCTATCTTCTGCACAATTAAATGAAAAGATTTTTAATATCGGCAGGCAAAGGACTCTAGCAACAATGGAGAATTAGGTTAGAGCCAGCAATTGGATTAGCGCCGAGCTGTAAGTGAAATGAGGACTCAGACACGGGAGGGTCATACTTCTCCTGGTGACAGGCCCTTCCTTGGTGTGGCGTGGGGAGGGTCTGGGATGGCGAGGCCCAGGCTGGGTTCCTGAGCCTGGCCCAACCCCCATCCCTGAGGACTAAAGGCTGGCAGGGGCAACCTCTCCCAGAATCCTCTGCAGAAGAGGAGGCCCTCAGCCAGGTGCAGGGGCTGAGCAAACACAAGGGTTTTCATGGATGCCACCCTGGGGCCCCACAGACAGTCAGGAGCTGCATCCCCAGCTGAGAAGTAGACCTCACCAACGTCCTTGAACTTCTCCCTAGTTCAGGCCCTCCTCACCTTTCACCAGGGCTGCTGCAGCCATCCTACCACCTTGTCTCTCTCTCACCTTCCAGTCTGACCTGTGAGCATACACAAATCACCCTTCCCTAAGCCAGCCTCCTTCCCTGAAGTGTAGCGGAGAAATTCAAGGGCACACAGGTTCCCATGTGACAGTTATTGAGGGCACAGCAAAGATGCCACAGTTGGAGAGGGTGCAGACAAACAACTATCCCTTCCCTTTTTCCCTCAATTTTGCACTGAGTTATTTTTTCAAGATTTATTAAATGTGAAATGCATGAATGCACCCTGTCTTTGCTAGGTATGTGTTTGGGGACAAATTCCAGCACTGCCTAGGGAGAGATGGCACATGCATCTCACGTTGTTTCTGGCTGCCATCTACCTTTGCTAGGCCACTGCTGCTGTCCTGACATAGCAAACTCAAATTCCTGGCTAGAAACTAGGGCAAGTCTTTCCCATCAGCTTCCTGGAGGTGGGTGTCATGCTTCCCATTCCAAACAGAGCCCTGGGAGGTATCCAGTCTGACCCTGCCTCCTGAAAACATGCAAGCTCCTGTCCTGTTTGTGCAGAGCTCCAGAAGGGAAGACTCCACAGCCAACTGGATCTCTCCTAGTCACATTCCTCTTTCTCACTGACAGTGAGTTGTTCCTTCCTCTGCCCTAAGTCTCTCTGGGAGGGGTCTAAGTTTGCTAGCATTACCTTGAGAAAAGACAGAAGTCAGCTGGTGCTTATGAGAGAGCAGCAGTCATCTTCCCCCAGACTTTCAAATCTAACAGCCCTGAGTGAGAACCACGGGTCCTAGATTGTTATCCCCATTGCAGAGGGTAAAGCAGAGGCTCAGGAAGTGAAAAGGCCACCAGAGAATTAAGTATGGAGAAAGGCTATCCTGGGACTCCCTTGCCCCAAGATCAATAAGTGAAAAGCACAAGCCTTACTTCCCATCATTCCACTACATGCCCAGTCCTGTGCTGAACTGGAGTTGGGATGTCAGGAACAGTGCAGTGTCTGAGATTTTTACCCAATTTACAAGCTAACAAGTTAGCCTGCTATTGTTCCATGGATGCCAGCCAAAGATACAAGATTCCTGGGTCAGAGACAAAGGACTTCATCACTCACAGCAAAAGCACTAGCCAGAGCTGCATAGGATTGCTTCGGTTCTCCGACATCACCCAAGTCCCACAAAGACAATGCAAAGGGCCCATGATGGTGAGTCACCCAATGGATCGCATTACAGGAGAGTAACACTGAGCTTGGAACATTTGCCACTTCTCTAGCGAGTGGAAAGAAACCTGGTCTTTTCCTGGTGGGAGGTGTTACTGCATCTCTCATGGCTGCTCATGGCAAATACAGCCCTGCGAAACAGCCCGGGTAAAGAGTGACTAGAGCCTTGCATTCTCGGCACACCGAGCAAGAATGTTCAGGGATGGGTCCATGGCAAATTTTCTCATGGACCATGGCAAATTGTCTCTCACAACAGGGGAAATTGTCTCTCTCAACTAGGAGAAGAGAAGGGCCTTGTACCTGCCCTCAGGATGCTCCAGATGACCATACCTATAAGAGCTGCCTTGTACATGCACAGTGGATGCCTCGTTGCAGTTCCATATTTTCACTATAGAAGTAACATCAGGAAGAAGGGCTGGGTTCCTGAATATCACACAGTAAAAGCAAGTATCTAAAAAGAATTGTTGTGAAATGAGGTCTGAGTGAGACCCATATTAAAATACTGGAGAAACGTATCTAAATACATCTAGCCAAGAATAAGACTATGCTCATAGAACTTCATGAGTGTGTCAGTTAGGATAAGAAAGGGTAGGCTGCAGTAACAAATATCCTCGAAATCTCAGTAGTTTAAATCTCACACAGGTTTTTTTCTTACTCATGCTACATGCCTATCATGGGTTAAATGGGGCTCTGCCTCAGGCCCAAATGGATGGTTCCCCCAATATATCTGAACCTTTTCCAGTACCTGAGGTTGTAGGTACATGGTGAAGTATGTATTGACTCTTCTGAAAAGAATAAAGACAGGATCTCAGTCTGTCAGCCAGGCTGTAGTACAGTAGTGCAATCATAGCTCACTCAAACCTCAAACTCTTGGGCTCCAGTGATCCTCCTACCTTGGCTTCCCAAAGTGTTGAGAATACAGGCCTGGGCCACCATGCCCAGCCAACTCTTTTCTTTTCCTTTTTTTTTTCTTTTTTCTTTCTATTTTTTTTTTCCCCCTGAGACAGGGTCTTACTCTGTTGCCCAGGCTGGAGTGCAGTGGCGCAGTGTTGGCTCACTGCAGCCTCTGCCTCCCAGGCTCAAGCAATTCTCCTACCTCAACCTCCTGAGTAGCTGGGATTACAGGTGCCCGCCACTGTGCCCAGCTACTTTTTGTATTTTTAGTAGAGATGGGGTTTCACCATGTTGGCCAGGCTGGTATCCAACTCCTGACCTCAGATGATTCGCCCGCCTCCACCTCCCAAAGTGCTGGGATTACAGGTGTGAGCCACTGCACCCGGCCTCAGCCAACTCTTAAAGCGTCTGCCCAGAAGTGACACTCATTGTTTCTATTACAGTCGACTGATCAAGCTAAGTCATGTGACCATAACTAACTCCAGATGGGCACCAAAGGGCCATCCTACACTATGCACAGAAAGAAAGAGAGCTAGGGAATGGGGACTCAGCCCTTATGACACCCAGCGAGGGATTTTATGCTTTCCTTACTCTATAAAGAAACCAGAACAGGAAATCAAAGATGAGACATCATGCACGTGGTTTTTTAAAAATAAAGATATAAAAGAACTCTCATCAGCCAGCAGACTGCTGTTCAAAAAAGAGACCTTGGCCACACATCAAGAGTGCTTAATGAATATATATGATTTTTAAGCTGTCTCCAAATATTTAAGGTGTTTGTCATTGTTTACGATTGTCCACTTTGACTGACTTTTTTGGTTGTCTCAATAACCACATCTTGTAGGGCTTATCTTCCTCAGACTAAATTCTCTCTGGACCTCAAAAAGGAGTGTTTATTTTTTACTGAAGTGTTCAAATAAGTGTCCCAAAGTCACTCCAAACTGAGAGGCAAGACTTCAGAAGGCAGCTCACGTGACTGCTCCCCTGCTCCCTCACCTTTCCCCAGAGGTTTCCTCTTCACACGCCTTCTCCAACTGATGTTACTACCCCTCCTCCTTATCAGCGGAGTAACCTTGGTCAAGTTACATCATCTCTTTGTGCCTCAATTTTCCCATTTGTAAAATGAGATGCTGATAGTGACTGGGGTTTTGTGAGGATTAATTAAGGTGACACGTGACATGCTTTAAACATGCAGTCTGTTGCCGATGTCTGGAATAGGAAAGAATTAGCTATTTGCACAATTATTCCATGGACAACCAACCCTTCCCCTCAAGGTTAAGTGTTTCAGCAGCCCAGTACATCCTTGAGCTTTGTGAACTGCCCTGCCTCAGGCATTTGCTATATGTTTATGAGTCCCTGAATCTGATGGCTCTAGGCAGGAAGCAGACACTTCTATCCCTTCAGAGTCCAAGAGGAAGGCAGTGGCACTTCCACCTCTGGTTGGTCTCTGTACTGGCAATGTTGTACCTGTTTTTTTCCTATGTTCTTGAAAGCAAATACAACTCACCAAGTAGACTGATTTCTGTCAAAGATCACCCTGTCTAGTTCAAATGAAGAGTATCAACTTCTCCAGTTGCCCCAGTTTTGACCCTAACCCATGGGAAATCATAAGCCAGGACTGTGAGCCTGAAGGTGTGTGTGTCTCTTTCCCAGCAGAGTGCCCAGACAGTGGGGTGTCCCAGTGAACTGAAAGTACCCATCCCTAAGACAGTGGATGGTGCCGTTTGAACAGCGTCACTCTTGCGTGGTCAGCTCGGGCTGATGTGACCAATTCCACAGACGACCGGGATAACCGATTCCACAGACCGGGATAACCAATTCCACAGATCGGGGGGCTTAAACCACAGAAAGGCATTTCCTTATGATTCTGGAACCTGGAAGTTCACAATCAAGGTATCTGCGGGGTTGTTTCTTCTGAGGCCTCTCTCTCCTTGGCTTGTAGACAGATGTTTTCTGGCTGTGTCTTCACATGGCCTTCTTCCTTTGTCTGTCTGTGTCTGAATCTCCTCTTCTTATAAAGACACCCGTCATGTTGGATTAGAGCCCACCCCAGTGAACTCGTTTTAACGTGATTACCTCTTCAAAGGTTCTGTGTCTGAATAATCACACTCTGAAAGACTGGGGGTTAGGACTTCAGCATATAAATCAGGGGGTGGGGGAACAAAATTAAGTCCATAACACCTTCCATCCTCAAGTTTCAACTCCAAGAGCAAGGGTGGGGGGCAAGTTTCGATTCATGTCACTGTCAGTCTGGAGTAGAAGTTGCTCCCCTCTGTTATCCCCCCTCTACCTGGCCCCTCCATTGCCTCACCCTAGTTCAGTTCCTCCCAGCCATGCCCTCGCCCGCAGAAAGCCTCCTCCCTGGCCTGCTCTTCCTCCTCTAATCTCACACAGCTCTGGCTTTCTCTCCTGCTACCCCCAGCCTGGAAGGAACCCTGCAGAGGGTGTGGACGGGGTAGGCTTGGCCCATGCTGAGCCAGAGGCAGGACTAGGGAGTCTTGCGGTGAGGCTGGGAAAGAGCCAGGCCGCACAGGTTCCGGAAGCAATGTTTGGGGTTTGGGAGCAGGAAGAGGCCTGGGGGGTGTCCCACTGGATCTATTTGTCCACCCCCTGCCCACATTAGCCCTGGCCCAGTCCTCCTCAGTGGGAGAGAATGGCTCACAGATGTTCCAGATGTTCCCAAGGGCTCCTCCGCCTCCAAGTCCTGAAAAGGGTCAAAGGATAGGCTTGTCATTTCCTGGTAGAGAAGGACTGTAGCTAACCTCGGAACCAGTGCTTTGCAACGTTTCCCTGTGCCTCACCCTATTTCTGTTTTGAACTTCCCTTTTTTTCCCTGTGTATCTATCCGTCTCTTAATTGCCTTGCCAGTCTGTCCTTCTGGTTATGGGTCTCACCATTGCAAGAGGGTCTGTAATGGTAGTGAGGCATCTAAGTCAGGGACTGCTCACATCTTTTCTTGGTCTGATATTTTTGTTTTCATTACTCTATCCATGATGCCTGGAACAGTACCTGGTACACAGTACATCATAGGTTTAATAAACATGTTTGGGGTTTTTTGTTTCCCCCCCTTTTTTTTTTTTTTGAGACGGAGTCTCGCTCTGTCACCCAGACTGGAGTGCAATGGCGTGATCTCAGCTCACTGCAACCTCTGCCTGCCGCGTTCAAGTGATTCTCCTGCCTCAGCCTCTTGAGTAGCTGGGATTACAGGCACATGCCACCAGATCTGGCTAATTTTTGTATTTTTAGTAGAGACGGGGTTTCACCATGTTGGTCAGGCTGGTCTCGAACTCCTGAACTCGTGATCTGCCCCCCTCGGCCTCCCAAAGTGCTGGGATTACAGGCATGAGCCACTGCGCCCAGCCTGTTTCTTTTTGTTTTTTAGAGACAGAGTCTTGCTCTGTCACCCAGACTGGAGTGCAGTGGCACTATCATGGCTCACTGCAGCCTCAAATTCCTGTGCTCAAGCGATCCAACCACCTCAGCCTCCAGAGTATCTGGGACTACACATGCATGCCACCACACCTAGATATTTTTGAATAAATGAATGACAAGAATGAGCAAACCTTGTCTTGGGCCCCAGTGTGCTGTGTAGAGCAGAGAAGAAGTGTCAGGAGCCCTCTGTATAGACAAGGGTAGAGAGAAGCTCAGGAGGTCCTTAGCAGCACCCTGTGGGAGAGCAGGGAAGGCCACAGGAAACCTGACCCCTAAGACCTGGGTCCGGGACTCAAGAGAATGGAAATGGAGAGGAACCAAGAGGAAGCACAGACTGGTAGTGGGCACCCTGTCATTGGAGCTATGTGAGGCGATAAGGTTTGGCTGTGTCCCCACCCAAATCTCATCTTGAATTGTAGTTCCCATAATCCCCACGTGTCATGGGAGGGACCCGATGGGAGGTAATTGAATCGTGGGAGCGGTTTCCCCCATGCTATTCCTGTGATACTGAGTCAGTTCTCACAAGATCTGATGGTTTTATAAGGGGCTTTTTCCTTTTTGCTGGGCACTTCTTGCTGCCGCCATGGAAGAAGGATATGTTTGCTCCCCCTTCTGCCACGATTGTAAATTTCCTGAGGCCTTCCCGGCCCTGCCAAACTTGGTCAATTAAACCTCTTTCCTTTATAAATTACCCAGTCTCAGGTATGTCCTTATAGCAGTGTGAGAATGGACGAATACACAAGGTTACCCAGACGCTAGGAGTCCAGCCCAGAGGAAACACACTAGAGGCCTTAAAAGAGCAGATACCTTCAGGCTCAATGGTGACACGGAACTCTAATTCTAGACCTAGTCCTGCCTTGGGCCCCTGGACCTGGGCAGGCCACTTGCCTTCTCTAATCCTCAGTTTCCTCATCTATATGATGTTAAGAAGAGGTATGACACTGAATTTTTATGACAGCCCATCTAGCCCTGAAGATCAGTTTTCTTGACGCTTGGGAGAGTCTGTCGCAAAAGGGCGGGCTGTGGTCCTTCCCAGAGCTGCTCCAGTGAGCTGGCCATCCTCAGAGGAGAAAGGGAGGAGCCAGAGCACTGGGGAGCCCTGGCAGAGGCACGCAAAGACCTCAGTGAGAACCGGCTTTGCCCTGACTCCCACGCCTCCAGCCATCCCCACAGGCCTGCAGCTCTGAGCTTGATGGCCCCAGGGGTGCTGGAGGAGTGGAGGAAGGCTTAGCAGGGTCAGGGGCCACGGCTTCTTCCGGGGGAACCCTAGACACAGGCTAGAGATGGGCTCCGAAGAGCACGTGTCTGGCAGTAGAAGAGCCTCAGGCAAGGAAGCAGGAGGCCTGGCCTCAGCCCCTGCCCAAGCTCTGATTCTCTGTGTGACCATAGACGAGTGACTCTCCCTCTCTGAGTCCCAACATCCTGATTTACCAAGGCTGGATCTGGGCTCTGCTGAGAAGGGGGCAAGAAGGAAACAAGAAACGTGGAAGGGTCCCAGCCCTTCAGGAGTTCTCGATGTAACTAAAATTTGAGGAAGGGGGGAAAAGTTACACACAGGAAAAGATATTAATAAATAATAAATTATTTGTTGATATAATAACATATAATTTATAATAAACATGGTAAAATCTGGAAAATGGGCTTACTAATCTCCACCCTGCCTTCCTGCTTTCCTAGTGAGGAGCAAGAAATGAAAGCCAGCATCTGCGTGTCACCTGCAGAGCGCCCTGCAGCTGGTCCTCTCATTTGCCCTCCAAGTCAGCTCACAGGCTCAGCCTTAACACGAGGAAAGAGCTCCAAGGAGTTAAGAGACATACACTGACTGTTCTCTCCTTCTGGAACTTTCTCCCTTCCCATGGGCGCCCACAGCCCCCGGGCTTCCCTGTCATAACTCTCGTCATTGCCACCTGCTCCTCGTGGGCCTCCCCCAAGGCTGTGAGCTCCAGAGAGCAGGGTGGTGTCTCTCTTTCTCGCATCTCTATTTACAGCATCCAGCATAGAGCCTGGCCTCAGAAACCCTCCAAGTGCTTGTTTGTAGCAGACCATTGTGTGGCTATGCCCTGAATCAGAGCTGGAATTCACCCAAAGGAAAACAGAAAAGATTCTTTTAGGTGACGTGGGTTTCAAATAATTTGATACGGAAACTTCAGGGAAGTCATGGGAGAAATTAGAATTCTGGACATCCTTATGACTATTTTAATTCAATTTCAATTCATTTCCACAAACATTTTTCTCATGCCTGCTCTGTGCTAGGCACTGCTGAACAAACGGAACAAAAAATCCACCCTTATGCAGCTTACATTCTAATGGAGAAACAGAAATGATACAACAAAGTAAATAAACAAGTTATGTGGCATTTTAGTAGTAAGCACCATGGAGAAAAAAATAAAGTGAAGAAATAGCAAAAGCCACTGCAGAGGCTGCAGGTGGGACTAAGAGTGAAGAGGTGAGTGAGTCATATGGGTGTCTGAGGGAACCTGCTCCAGGCAGAGGGAGTGACAAGTGCAAACGCCCTGGGGCAGGAACTGCAAGGAAGTCAGCAAGGCTGGAGTTGCGTGAGCAATGAAAGAAAGAAAAGAAAGAAGATTCGTCCAGAGAGGCAAGACTCGGAGGTCTTTGTAGTCCTGCGTAGGCCATTGTAAAGCCTTTGGTGTTTTACTTTGAGTGAAATGGGGAGGACTTCACAAATAATAGGATTTATTTTCAGTCATAGTGGGATTTTATTTGAGGGGGCGGGTTGAATAGTTGAATAGCCACCATATCTTCCTGTGCCCCCAAACCTGGCTTGAACCCAAGTGCAACTAACGACAAACGTAGTGCCCACTCCGGAACCCATGCCTCCAAGAAGGGAGAGGCAAGAGAGGAAGAGGCCCTCCACTTTGAAGCCTGAGCCCCGGGCCACGGTGGAGAGAGCTCTGAGCAGCTCTATGAGGGAGTGTGCGGCCCTCTTGGTGACTTAGCCTCCACAGTGCCAGGAATGTGGTGTCTGCCACCAGACCGCTATTGTGAATTGAATGGGGAAAAGGTAAAGGGAGAAATGCAACCCCCAGGGCTGGGGCTGTGCAGCCTGCAGGTTGCGCAATAGACTCTGCTGGCCTCAGGCCTGGCTCTCCACAATCTGGTCCCCTCCCCACGCCCTCAGCAAGCCTCTGGGTCACAGGACTAAAAAGCTGCTTCCAATTAGATTCACTGAACCCCTTGGGCCCTAGAGGGAGGAACTCGACAGGAGCCATTGCTCTGGGTGTAGGGAGGAAGAGGAGGAGGTGATCAGGGAGGTGAGGTGGGAGGATCAGGCAAGCACCTAATCACTGCTTGCCTGGGTGCTCACCGCTCCCAAGCAGTGCTGCAGGCTGGTGTGAAGAGAGTGACCCGGGAAGCTCCAAGACCCAGATTTAAACTCAGTTATGACGTTTCCATGAGTGTCATGACTGAGCAAGAAGGTGAAGAGCCCGCGCCTGTTTCCTCATCTGCGGAACGGAGCGAACACGCCACCTACTTCATGAGACTTAACAGACGATGGAAGTGGAGCATTCAGCACAGAGCCTGGCACATGGTGAGCGTACATTATGCAGCGGTTCCTTTTCTCATCGCCCAGTCCACAAGGCTTCCTGTCTCCCTGTGTGCCCAGATCTCGACATGGCTCAGCAGGGCCGGGAGCGGGAGGCTTCTGAGCTCAGCCTGAGGGGAGACCTGGGCTGGCTGGGGGTCAATGCAGGAACCAAAATAGGATGCAAGAAAGGAGAAGGCAATCTACAGGACTGAGTGTCCTTCAAACTTGTTCACTTTCCCATAGTGAGAAGTTCATTTTTCACTCTGACTCAGCATAAACACGTGCATGTATGTAACATGGAGTTAAAAGCTTCAAGAAGCAATACTGACTCATGCTCTAGCTTCTATTCTCTTCTATTCCATCAAAAAATATTAAATGCTAGTCACAACCCAAACACAAGATTTTTAAAGCTAACGAAAAGTCCAAGCCCGGGCCTGGAACACAGTTGGTCTCACGACTGGTCCCTCTCAGTCTGGGCCAGGGCTGTGTGGACCGACGGGTGAGCAGGTCCACAGGCATTGTGACTATTCTCTTCAAGTCTCCAGAAGGCCACCAAGAGGCAGAAGGGGCAGGAGGCAGCAGAGGCTGAGTGGGCAGATGACGCCCTGAAGAACTGCTTCAGACCCTGTCCAGGACGGCCTTCTGCCCCACAGAGCCAGGTCAGGAGCAGTGGAGTGGGCACCCACGCTGGCTGTCTTCAGGCAGAGGCTAGAGGGCCATCCACCAGGCCACCTGCACAATGTGAACCTGACCTGGGAAGGGCCAAGGGCCTGGAGGACCTGAGAGAGGCCATGTAGCATGGTGGTCAGCACAGAGCTTCTACTACCAGGCTGCCCAAGCCAATGGTCCATGTCCTGGCGCCATGGCCTCCCAGCTGGGCGGCTGAAGGCAAATCATTTACCTCTCTATGCCCTAGTTTTCTCACTTGTAAAGTGGAGATGACGATCCTTCCTCAAAGAGCCCTGTAAGGACTGTGTATGGATGTGTGCATCCTAGAACAGTGCCTGGCGCTGTTGTCATTTTTATGCCAAGTCAGATGAAGGCGCTGACTGGCTGGAGGCCAGCCAGGTTGTGTGCCAACAAATGCCATATGGCTTCGGGGCCCAGCTTTCTCTCTCCACAGCCTCCAACCGGTGAGCCAGGTTCTCCTTGAGATTGGCAGGGGTGGGAGCAGCATGGGTATGTGCCCACCTGCCGCTGCCCTCAGCCAGGGCCCCTCGACAGACATTCTCCACGGTTCATTCATCATTTGCTTGCTGGCCAGGTTGAGCGGTGAAGGGGAGGAGCTTCGTTCTCTAGATCACAGGTGGGTCCTTCTGGGGCCAGGGGCCTTTCAGGGCCACAGGGTGCTGGGAAATCACTCCAAGTCCCAGCCTGCGTGCAGCTTGATACTGCGCCCCCCCAGGCCCCCATATAAACACTATGGAGCCTCGAGCTAGTGATGCTGGTGAGAGGTGACAACGTGCTAGCAGCTCTTGCTCGCTCTGGGCGCCTCCTCGGCCTCACCATCCGCTCTGGCCGTGCTGGAGGAGCCCTTCAGCCCGCGCTGCGGTGTGGAGGCCCCTCTTTGGGGCTGGCCGAGGCAGGAGTCCACTCCCTCTTCTCGTGGGGAGGTGTGGAGGGAGAGGCGCAGGTGGGAGCCAGGGCTGCGCTCGGCGCTCGTGGGCCGACGCTGGTTCCGGGTGGGCGCGGGCTCGGCAGGCCGGCACCTGCTGGGCTTCATAGGAGGCTGGGTCCCGTGCATGGACCCCGTTCCCTCTTCGCAGGGTCATTGGTCACCATGGCTAGTCTCAGTGTCTTTCTCGCTTCCCCTCTTTTCTTCTTGGTTGTCTAGGAGCTTTCTCTGGGCTGCCGGAGTGCCCAGGCTAGGTGCTGCAAACTCCTGCAGCGATTGCCAGTGAGAACTGAAGATGACTGGGCTTCTGTGACGGCTGGGGACTTGGAAAACTTTTGTGTCTAGCTAAAGGATTATAAACGCACCAATCAGCACTCTCTGTCTAGCTAAAGGTTTGTAAATGCACCAATCAGCACTCTGTGTTTAGCTAAGGGAGTGGGGACTTGGAGAACGTTTGTGTCTAGCTGAAGGATTGTAACGCACCAATCAGCACTCTGTGTCTAGCTAAAGGTTTGTAAACGCACCAATCAGCTCTCTGTCAAAATGGACCAATCAGCTCTCTGTAAAATGTACCAATCAGCTCTCTGTAAAATGGGCCAATCAGCTCTCTATAAAATGGACCAATCAGCAGGATGTGGGTGGGGCCAGATAAGGGAATAAAAGAGGGCCACCTGAGTCAGCAGTGGCAACCTGGTCGGTTCTATTTCCCTGTTTTGGGATGTCTGTGTTTTTCCTGTTTGCAATAAATCTTGTTGCTGTTCTCTGTTTGGGTCCCTGCCATTTTTTATGAACTGTAACACTCACCGGGATGGTCTGCAGCTTCAATCCTGAAGCCAGTGAGGCTATGAACTCCCCAGGAGGAGTGGGTAACTCCAGACACACCGCCTTTAAGAGCCGTGACGCTCACTGCAAAGGTCTTGCCCCTTCACCCCTGAAGTCAGACCACAAACCCAGCAGTAGTAAGAAACTCCGGACACGTTCGAACATCAGAAGGAACAAACTCGGGACACACCATCTTTAAGAACTGTAATACTCACAGTGAAGGTTCATGGCTTCATGCTTGAAGTCAGCGAGATCAAGAACCCACCAGTTCTGGAACCACGGGGTGGGGGCGACTGTGCGTGGGAACGGGTTCGGTAGAATTGGTGTGTATGCTCCGCTCACTGTCCTTCCTGGAGGCACGTGTGAGTTCCCACAGGGTCCAGCTACAGGTCACGCTGTAGGCAGGAGGAGGGCTATTACAAACTCAGGGGCTTCTTTTTGATGTTCCTTACATCAAATACCATACTAAAAACCAGAATCAAACCTTTTGTGGGGCACATTTCCACTTAACCTCACAAGGTCCAGAGATCTGTCCCAGTCCCTGTGTCAGACAGCCCCACCTTCAAATCCCAGCTCTGCTAGCTAAGAGCCTTAACCTCTGTGACACCCAGCTCTCTGTTGGTCAAAGGGGGGCCATACCTATCTATTGTGATGGCTAAATAAAGTGTGGAAATTCACCAGCACAGCGCCTGACATTTCACTCCATAGGCACTTGCCAAATGGAAGCTGGGGTTCCTCCTCTGTGGCCTCCCTGCCCAGTCTTCATCCCTGTCCTCCGAGTTCCTCACAGTGCCTCCTCCCGAGGCCTCTTCCAGGCGTTTGGCTCATAAACAGGCTCTGTGGCGGCGGCGGCAGCAGCAGCAGCAGCAGCAGCCTTAATTTTAGTTCTGGGTTTGGTAATTTCCCGTGATTGCAGGCCCTGTCAGCACAGCGGGTGCTCCAGCTGCTAGGGAGCCGGCAGGCCTTGTCAGGGCAGAGCCGGGCACATGCCCAGGCACAAGCCCAGGCACGTGCCTGCACCCTCAGCACACATGCTCCTGTGCGCACACACATGCGTGCGTGCAGGCATGCACACCATTCCCGCAGGACCAGGAGTGGCAACCTCGGCCAAGCTGGACACGTACTGCCTGTGCCCCTGGTGACACTTACCACGGGGAAGTGGACATAATCACATGTGCACACCAGGCTTCCCTGTGTTGAGCGACAGGTCTGACCATAAGGAGAGGGAGAATGGGGATGAGAACGCTTTAGGACAAGGGCTCTCACTTACCCCCGCTTTTCTTCCAGAATCTTTCTCCTCTCCCTTGCCTGTGGTGCCCAGGAGAGAAGCACCAGAGGAAGGGACACTCTGTGTCTTTTTCGCTCTGAGAACTCCTAAGGATTGTGTGTGTGTGTGTGTGTGTGTGTGTGTGTGTGTGTGTGTTGGGGGGCGGGGCCGGGGCAGTCCATTGATAAATACTTATTAGACATCTACTGTGAGACTGGACGCGGTGGCTCAGTCCTGTAATCCCAGCACTTTGGAAGGCTGAGGCGGGAGGATCACTTAAGTCTAGGGGTTTGAGACCAGCCTGGGCAGCATGACAAGACCCCGTCTCTACAAAAAAAATTTAAAAAATAGCCAGGTGTGGTGGCACATACCTGAAATCCCAGCTACTCTCGTGGCTGAAGCAGAAGAATTGCTCAAGGTAGGGAGGTCAAGGCTGCAGTGAACTGTGATCACATCACCACACTCCAGCCCAGACTGGGTGCTGAGAAGTCACTCCAAGTCCCAGCCTGTGTGCAGCTTGATACTGAGAGACCCCGTCTCAAAACAATTTAAAAATAGGGCCAGCCACGGTGGCTCACACCTGTAATCCCAGCACTTTGGGAGGCCGAGGCAGGCAGATCACTTGAGGCCAGGAGTTCAAGACCAGCCTGGCCAACGTGGCGAAATCCCATCTCTACTAAAAATACAAAACATTAGCTGGGTGTGGTTGTGCACGGCTGTAGTAGTCCCAGCTACTCGGGATACTGAGGCAGGAGAATCGCTTGAACCTAGGAGGTGGAGGTTGCAGTGGGCCGAGATCACACCACTGCACTCCAGCCTGGGCAACAGAGTGAGATTCCGTCTCAAAAAATAATAATAATAATTTAAAAATAATAAAGACATCTACTGAATCTTGACCATGACCTGTTTCAGGTGCTGTGGATGCAGCAGTAAGACAATGGGAAGACCAACAATAACACACAAATACGTAAATGACACACACTTGACCCTCATTACTTGCACATTCCATATCTGTAAATTTGCCTGCTCTCTAACCCCAGTGTCAACACTGGCAGCGCTTCCACCATCATTCTTGAACACTCTCAGAGTGGAGAAAAGCTTGAGTGGCCCAATGCACACCTCCCAGCACAGCCCAAGCAGGGGATGCTCTGACTTCTTGTTGCAGCTCTCAGACTATAAACAAGGGTCGCTTCCCTTGTTTACATACTGTCACCAAGTGGTATTTAGTGTCATGTGTTTCACATTTTTGTGCTTTTTGTTGATGATTTCACTATTTCAAGTGACCCCCCAGTGTAGGCTGGAGTGCTTTCCAGCATTCCTATGTGCAAGAGGGCTGTGATGTGCCTTACGAGGAAAACGTGTGCCAGAGAAGCTTCACTCAGACATGAGTCACAGTGCTGTTGGCCATTAGTTCAATGTTAATGAATCAATAATACATATTAAATAAGCTATCTGTAAACAGAAACAGACATGAAACAAGGTTATGTATCGATTGTATCGATCAGTTGACAAAAATGTGACCACAGGTTCACAGGAGCCTATACCCTAGGAGCAATGGTTCCATGTTTGCTAACTCAGTGTTGGTGGTGACTTTATGGAACGTAACTACCACAAATAATGAGCATTGTCTGTAATTACTGCTAAGTGCCATGAAGAAAATAAAACAAGGAAATGCAGTGGTGAAAGTGAGTGATGTCACTAGGCAGCCAGGACAGGCCTCTCTGGGGAGGTGATATTGGTACTGAATTGGGGCTATATGGAAGAAGGCAGCCATGGGAGGCATTAGGGGGAGAGTGTTCCAAGCAGCAGCTGAGCTGAAATGAACACAAGCTCAGGGGATCAGAAGACAGCAGGAAGGCCAGTGTGGCCAGAGCGGAGCACAGGGAAGGAAGGCAAAAGAAGCTGAGGTTGGAGAGCTGGACTGGCCCAGGACACCCAGGGCCTTGCAGGCTGCAGAAAGGAACTTGGATTTATTTTTCCCTGGTCAAATCAGAAAGCAGGGAGTGACGGGATCTGTTTTGTCTCTACTGTATGGGCTGTACCCTGTGAGGGCCAAGAGGGCTGTGATGAGAGCTCTGCCGTGGAGCTCAAGGGGCAGCCAAAGCAGCAGCTGGACAAAGGGTTCTGGGCTCAGGCGGGGCTATGCGTGGGGGTCTCTCGTGTGCCTTGCGTGAAGCTCTTCCTGCTGAGGTTGCCTCTGGGGGTCTCCCTGAGCCCTGTGAACCCACAACTCCAAGTCTGGTCTGTGTTGAGCCAGCCAGTGAGCCAAGGGTTTGCTCCCAGCCATCAGATCCTTCCCTGAGCTCTGTGCAGAGGTGAGCCTGGAGAAGCTTCTACACAAGCACACGGTCTATCTTTGAGAGATCAAATTCCATCCAGTGGGTCCTGCACTCTGAGCTCTGGACTCTCCACCTTCACGGCAGCTGTTCCACCTCCCTGGCGTTTCCCTTCCTCAAATTCTATCCAGCCTTTCCAGCCCCACACACCCACCATTGCCTCCCCCAGGAGGACTTCCTGCCTGCTCTGACCCCCAACTGTCAACTGACCTGTGACTTTTGAACCCGCACAGCTCTGATGGCCTGAGTCACACACACACCTCTGTTGTCTGCCCCCAAAAGTGAGGCTTGGGTCTGCCACTCTTCCCCTCCACCCTGTGAGGGCCCCCGGGCACAGCACTGGTTGTGGCGGGTACAGCACTGGCAGTGGTGGCATCGCCATGGCACCAGCATGGCCCGTGGCTCTGCTGGGCGTGGTGCGGGCACTGAGGGGCTCTGGGCTCTGGCTGCCAGAGAGATCACTGCGGGGACGGCCCTCCTCCTGACTCTTCACAGACCACCTCACTAGGAGGCCACAGCGACTGGGAAAAAACCCAGACAGGCTCTGTGAGCCTGTGGTCACAACATTTTTGTCAACTGATTGATACATAACCTTGTTTTATGTCTGTTTCTGTTTACAGACAGCTTGTTTAATATGTATTATTGATTCCTTAACATTGAACTAAGGGGTTGGGGGAGTGGGGGTGTGCAGGGGATCGGAGGACTGAGGCCATGGCCAGAGTGCAGGCAGAGTGCAGATGGAAATGCCCGCAGGGCCTCGGGGGAGGGCCTAGCTGTGCTCCACGAGGGCTCCAACTGGGCCCAGGTTAGGACTGAGTAAGGGGCTGCAAAGGACACGGGCTGCAGGCCGGGTCTGGGGTCAGGCTGGGGCTGAGACCACAACTCCAAGTGTGGTCTGTGTTGAGCCAGCCAGTGTGCCAAGGGTTTGCTCCCAGGTCACCATGGCTGCTGAGCTGAGGTGCCCTGCAAAGAGTCAAGAGGAAGGTCGTCCCCCGCAACAATCTCTCCAGCAGCCAGAGCCCAGAGCCCCTCCGTGCCTGCGCCACGCCCAGCAGAGCCAAGGGCCACGCCGGTGCCATGGCAATGCCACCACTGCCAGCCTTCCCCAGTCCCGTAACCATGGGAATGTGCACAGGGCCTCGGGCTGATTATGCAACGCCTCTGAGGGAGGGAGACTCGCAGGCCCTGACCTACTCCCAGGGACGCCTGCGGGGAAGCTGGAGCCCAAGCAAGTTCCCCAGGGAAGGGAGTGGCAGGCTGAAGGTCACACAGCCCTCCCTCACATGCACAACACTCTACCTGGGAGGGGACAGCCACGAGGGGAAGACAGGAGAGTTAGGGAGGGAGGGAGGGATGGTGTGGGGGATGGGCAGAGAGCACTCCGGAGGAGAATTCTGACAGATGGGGCTAGCTGGCCATCTGCATGCCAGCGGAAAGCTCCGGCCACCTCCAGCCAGCCCCGGGACTCAGATGTTGGTATCATGGAGATGGGGCAGCTGCCTGATGGGCTGCTCTGTTGCTTCCCCACAGCTAAAATCTGGGGCCTCAAAAAGAGAAAGATGCAGAGAGACAGAGAGTGTGCAAGAGCAAGCCAGAAGAGAAAAATCCACACGAGAGAGTCACACAGATGAGGCAGAACAGAGTGTCAGAAAAAAAAAATAATAATATCTGCAGTTTCCTGTTGGTTTCCAAAGCCTGGATCTGCCCCAAAGGCAGCCCTGTTCCTAACAGTTCTAGGGCCAGGGCCTCTGGCAGCCCCAAAGCTGGGAGGGCAAAGCCATAGCAGGATGGCTGGACTGGTTGCCCAGGCTCCGGAGGGCAGGGGACCAGTGCCTGGGGGTTTCGGTTCCTGCTCCGCACCCTGAGTCCTCTCCACCCCGCCCTGTCTGGACTCTCCCTCTGGTCTGCCCCTCCTCACTCCCTGCATCCCACCTCTGCCCCAGCCTCCTGTTTGCAACCCCCAGGCTCCTGCAGCCCCTTCCCCACCTTCATGGCTGGAGGCTCTGGCTCGAAAGTCATCCTTGCCCTTCAACCCCAGCCTTTGTCTTGAGTGACAGCAGTGCCCAGGCTGATGGTCTGTCACCCACTGACCTCACAGTCCCTGCCCTTCCTTCTCTCAGGGACCTTCTTGACCCCCAGCAGACACCCCCTCCCACACCAACATGGAGCCCATGCTACTGCTGGAAGTCACACCAGCTGTGCTGCAAAGCATCCTGTTCTGACCACACCCTTCTGTCCTCCTAGAACTCTTCCTCTGCACCCCCACCCAGCCCTAGCACCGAATACTCCACTCCCTTCCAGCAGACCCTCCAGCAGGGACCCTGTGGCATTGCACAAATGCTCTCTGACAAACACCTACAAGTCCCTGGTGCCTCAGCCTTTGGGGCAAAACCCAACCCTGAATAAGCCCAAGTCACTTTTGTCTGTACCAGATATTCCACCCAGAAAAAGTGGTCTCACTCCAAGTTTCCGCTCTTGGGGGAGCTGGCCCGCCAGCATGGCCTGGCAACTGTATATTCTTCCCTACTGGCTTGTCCTCCCACCTCTGCCGCAGCTGCTTCCGTCTTCTGCACTCTCAAGACCCACCCGCTCTCCACTCCCACCCCCTGTTGGCGCCCACCCCCAGCAGGCCAGGAACCTCACCTTCATGACGAATGCAGGAGCCAGCAGTTGGCCTCCCTCTCCTGCCCACCCCCAGGCCACACACCCACCTGCCAGCCTCTGGGGCAGAGTCCCCTTTCTCAGCCAAGGCCCCCCACACTGGGTTCAGGACCTGCCTTCTCACTCCTTCTCAACCACCCCGCTCCATGACGTGCCCCCCACTTTTCAGTGACTCCCATATCCACTTCTTAGCATTTTTACAGGCTGTCCTCTTACAACAAAACCAAATGACTCCTCCCGCTCCCTTCTGGCTCCCCCCGCCCTCCCAGAGGAGCCTCGGTAAAGGGTTGTTCTCCTGGGCTGCCCCAGCCGCTCCCTCTCAGCACCCCTGAGCCCAGCCTCCGAGTCCATCCTCCGCCAAATCCGCTCTCGCTGTGAGCTGCGCCTCCAAATCCTCTCACAAAGGCGGCTCAGCAGCACTCGGCCGGCTCAGCAGCCCCTCGCTGGGACAATCTTGGTTGGGGCCCCAGGATCCCACATTCATCCGGTTCTCCTCCCACCTCTCTGAGCACTCCTTCCCCTGCTCCGCCTCCTTTGGGGGCTCCTGCTCCCCCGTGGGATTGTGAATGTGTGGATCCCTCCAGGCTCAGCCCTCAGTCCCCTTCTCATCCTGCTCCTCACTCTCACTGCGGGGTGGCCCCACCTATGCCCTTGGCATCAAACGCCACCAATATACTGGCCACTCATGAACTCCACTTCTGAGCTGGGCCTCGCTCCTCACTCCAGCCCGCTCCTTGGCACCCTGCTGGCTGTCTCAGTGCACCCCAAACCCAATGTGCCCAAACTGAGCTCCTGCTCTTCCCCCAAAAGCTTGCTCCTCTCTGTCTCTCCTCATTCCAGTAGGCTTGTGGGACGCCTCCGTCCGTCTTCTTGCTCTCACACAGTTTCACCCCTGAGTTAGACAGCTTTGGACTTGGTCCTTATCTTTTCCATCACTATCACCCTAGTACGTGTCTCCATTTCCAGCCTCCCTGCTTCCAGCGGAGGTCTCTGCCTGAAATTCAGTCTTCGTATACCAGCCAGAGCGATCATTTAAAACACCTAAGCCTCGTCACATCACACACTTCAGTACCTTTTGGGATGAAACCTTAGCATAGCTTTCCTGACCCTGCGTGATCTGGGTGCCGCCCGCTCTACGCTCCCCTTTTCTCCCTAAGATCCAACCACAGTAGCTAACTTGCATCTCTTCCCACGCCGAGCTCCTTCCCACCTCGGGGCCTTCACACGTGCTGTTTCCTCTACCTGGTTGTTTTTTTTTTTTAATCCACTTCTTTTCCTGGCCAACTCATTCTCATGGTTCCAATCTCAGCTTAGCTGTCACTTCCTCCAGGAAGCCTTTTTATTTTTTACACTTCCGGTCTAGGTTTGGTCATCTAGATATTTGTTCTCCCAACACTTTGCTGTTCTTTCTGCATCCGTCACCGTTACTATGTGATTGCTTGAATGGTGTGCTTGCCTCTTGGTGCCACACATCTGTCATGCTTGTGGCCAGCCAGCATATTCTGAACACCCTTCTTGTGCCTGAGAACCTTGCCACAGTAGGAGGGCCCTCTCCAAGCTAGAGGTCTGAGCTTGCTGTACCAGCCTTCCTTGCAGCTAGTGGGCAGGGTCACTGGACTGTGCCATCAGGGGTAACTCTGTGGGACTTAGATCCAGAAGACAGCAATAAGAGGGAGCTGGTGCCAGGTGGAATCAAATTTTTGGCCAGCGTGGCAGGGAAGGAGTTTGGCTTTTCAGGAGAGCCATGTGGTGGTTCTGGCATTCTGTCCCTGGTGTTGGTGGTGTGAGCAGCTGTGTCCATGACCAAAAGTGGTGAAATGAGGAATTTGCCACAGTAGCCCCCTGGTGTGGGATGGGCACTGCCTCTGGGCCTGAGCTCAGGCCCTCCTAGAGACAGGGGAGCTACCTGATGTCCTTAAACTTGTCATGTTTTTGCTTAACTCAGCCAGAGTGGGTCCTGTTGTCTGCAACAGAGAGCCCTAAATAATGCCTTCTGTATCAGTCAGGATTCTCCAGAGAATAAAACCAACATTTTATATACACACCCCTCACACATACACACACACACACACACACACACACACACACACAGTGTAGAAAGAGCTTTATTGTATGGTATTGACTCATGCAATTATGGAGGCTGAGAAGTCAATCTGCCCTCTGCAAGCCAGAGACCCCAGAGGGCGGGTGGTATATTCGAAGGCCTAAGAACCAGGATCCTGGAGGGCAGAAGATAGATGTTCCAGCTCAACATCCAGGCAGAGAAAGCTCAAGTTCAACCTTCCTCTGCCTTTTTTTTTTTTTTTTTTCTATTCAGAACTTCAAGGGTTGGCTGGTGCCTGCTCACTGGGGAGGGCCATGGCTTTACTCAGTCTGCCAATTCAAATGCTAAGCCCTTCCAGAAACACCGCCACAGACACACCCACAAACAATGACTAATCGGATACCCAGGCATCCTGTGGCCAAGTCATATTGACATGTAAAATTGGCCATTGCCAACCAGACCCTAAGCCCCTTGTGTAGGGGAACATTTGGGGGTTGCTTGTAGCTGTATTTTCAGACTCTAGCAAGGTGCGTGTTCCCCAGATACTCAGTGAACACTCACCACATGGATAAATGTGTGCCCAGCAGACCCAGAGCCCTAGCAGGAATGTCATGAAAGTCCCTGGGGAGAACGAAGCCTGGGCCCGATACCACCCTCCTACCGGAACTTTCCTCCACGTATTGCTCTCTAAACTGAGATCAACCCCATTCCGCTTCCTGCCCAGCAAACGGTAGAAAGGGACCACTGCGCAGCCTGGCCTGGTGGGGCTCTAGGGTCTACACTCCCTGCCTGAGTCCCCTCATCCAGGAAGCCTTCCCTGACTGCTCCTGCCCACACTCACACCCAGTCCTCGGAGCTCCCACATCCCAGAGAGTCTGAGCCCGGCACACCAGTTCTCACCTCTAGGTTCAGGCTCATCCTTGCAGATCTTCCCAACATTCCTGGGGGCTCTCTGGGGACAGAGAATGGGCCCTTCATTTTCCTCTCTCCTCCTCTTTCTCACAGAGGAGCCCGAACATAACAGGAGGGAAGTCCGAGTTTCTTCCTTCTCTTTAGGAAACTCTCCTCTCAGGACCCGCGGGGAGGCTGGCTGGAAGGAGGACACCGGGGTAGTTGGGGGTGAGTCCTGCAGAAAGCCTGGGACCCAGGGAAGCCCCTGTGCTCCGGATCTTGCACGGGCTCTCGTGGTCCCTGATTCTCCTGTCTCTTCAGCTCTCACTCTTCTTAATCCGCTTCTTATTCATCAACACTGGGGTCTGGGGCAGGGGGCGGGGGGCGTGGGGATGTCTTGCTCCTCCACACTCCCGCCATGACCCTCCCTCCCAACCTAGGCTGCCCAGACCAGCAGCCCCTTCTCCACCAGCCCCTTCGGCTCGCTGAGCTCCAGTCAGGCCGCAGGGGTCCTGCGTCCATCTCCAGCGTCAGCTCAGGCAGGCAGCACCGTCGGCCCAGCCAGGGCTCTTGGCTGCAGTTAGACTGCCACCTGGTGGCCAGGATGATCATTGCGCTTCTCAGCCTAGCTCGTTGCTTCCCATCCAGTGTCCCTGGTGAGACGTCCTCAGACATCATCTCCTGAGCAACTCCCCCCACCCCCCCGCTCAGTTGTGGAAGCTGGAGTCCTGAGAGAGGAAGAGCTTGCCAGTCAAAGGATCTGCCCAGGAATCTGCATCGTAGGCCCAGTCTGCGAATCCCTGTCATGGGAGAGACAAGAGAAGTGATAGGAATTTGAGGCTCCAGTTGAAACTAAAAGGGAGCAAGTGGTGAACCTGCAGCCATTGTGAAACCTGTAGGCGAGGGATGGACAGTTCACAGAGTGAGCTGCTTCTGCCACTGCCAATATCATACACTCACTGCTGACACTAATGGCTAACTAACCACCAACTAACATTAACTAACGCTAACCACTCACTGCTAACCAGCCACTAACACTAATCACTAATGAACCACCAACACTAACTAGCCACTAACTACTCACTGCTAACTAACCAGTAACACTAACCACTAAATAACATTAACTAACACTAACAGCTAGCTGCTAAACTAACTGGTAACTAATCACCAACACTAACCACTAACATTAACTAATGCTAACCACTAACTAGCCACTAACTCTACCAACTGCTAACCACTAAAATTAGTCACAACTAGTATTAAAGAGCACTAACCAAGCTAACTAACACTAACTACTATCACCACTATGCTAACACCATTACTAACAGTGCTAACACCAGTTAAAACTCAGAGAAACATATAATGATGCCAGCCAGGCACACTGGCTCACGCCTGTAATTCCAGCACTTGGGAGACCAAGGCAGGAGGATTGCTTGAGCCCCAGAAGTTTGAGACCAGACTGGGCAATATGTACTGAGACCCTGTCTCTACAAAAACATTTTAAAATTAGCCAGTATGGTGGTGCATGCCTGTAGTTTCAGCTACTTGGGAAGGCTGAAGCGGGAGGATCACTTGAGCCCAGAAGGTTGAGGCAGCAGTGAACTGTGATCACTTTACTACACTCCAGCCTGGTCTACAGGTGAGACCCTGTCTCAAAAAATAATAACAATGCAGAAAAACTGTAACACTTATATTGTTTGTGCAAGAATTCTCTAGACCAATTTTCTGGGAGGCAATTTGCCAACAGGTACTAAAAGACTTATCATGTGCATTGCATTGGTTCAAACATTCTTCCACATTAGGATAATTTATTCTGAAGGTCTAGGAGTTTAAGTTTTTGTCTTTTTGAGGTATACATGAAAAAAATGTATGCAAGGAAGTTTATCATCACAATTTTTTTTTTTTTTTTGAGACGGAGTCTCGCTCTGTCGCCCAGGCTGGAGTGCAGTGGTGTGATCTCAGCTCACTGCAAGCTCTGCCTCCCAGGTTCACACCATTCTCCTGCCTCAGCCTCCCGAGTAGCTGGGACTACAGGTGCCCGCCACCATGCCTAGCTAATATTTTTGTAATAAATATTTATTTTTAAAATCGACAGAAACTTTCACGAATAAAATATGTTAAATAACTATTGGCTAAATAAATAATATTATATAGACTTTTCAAATTATGTAGCGGAAAAATTGTCTGCAAATGTTCTCCAGCAAACACTCATTTACTCATTTTTAATAACTGCTTTATTGAGATAGAATTCACGTACCACAACATTCACCATTTTAAAGTGTACAATTCAGTGGTTTTCGTGTATTCTCAGAGTTTGCAACCATCATCACGATCTAATTTTAGAACTTTTCATTACCTCAAACAGAAATAATGGAGCTAATATCCCATCGTATGGATATTCCACATTTTGTTAATTCATTCATAAGTTGATGGATGTTTAGGTTGTTTCTACTTCTTGGCTACTATGAATAATGATGTTATGAATATTCATGTACAAGTTTTGTGTAGACATACATCTTCAATTCCCTTGCCTATATACCTAGGAGTGGATTTTCTGAATAATTCAGTGTTTGACTTTGTGAGCAACTGTGCAACTTTTTACCAAAGCACCTGACAATTCTCTGGTCCCACCAGCAATGCATGAGGGTTCCAATTTCTACACATTCTTGCCAATACTTGTTATTGGCTATTTTGTTTTCCTTTTAGCCATCCTCATGGACATGAAACAATATTGCATTGTGGTTTTGATTTACATTTTCCTAATGACTAATGATATCGAACATCTTTTCAAGTGATTATTGGCCATCTATATATAATGTATATTGTTTTAATGCATACAAATCATATGAAATTTTACAAATATAATCTCAAGCTACTTCCAAAACACAGAAAAAAAATCTTTCTGGAAACATACAAAAGTATCTATGGTGAATGTCTTGGTAATAAGATGATGATTGATTTTTTAAAAAATCCTTCTGTATCTCCTAAATGCCTGCAATGAATATGAATTACTTTTATGATTTGAGACTGAATATGATGGGTTTTCAGACTGGGCCCGCACTTTGACATTTGTCTGACCAGGAAGGTGCCAGGCAGCCGGGCGTCATGGGCAACAATGTGGCCTTGGGCTTCATGTAGCTGTGTCTCCATTCCCTGGAACTCTCACGACTGTAAGGAAGGAGGATGTCCATCTGCTGCGTCCACCAGATACACACTTGTGAGCCAGCACAGGTAAAGGATGCCTACTCCTTCTGTTCCCAGTGCATGAGAAAAGATACCTGGTCCAGGCAGGCCATGGAGGACAAGCTAGATCCTCCGTGCAGAGGAGAGGGCCACCATGCAGGGGATCACAGAGAAGAGAGGCACCCAGGCAAGGACCAGGACAAGGCAAATGGCACCTGGCGATCAGCCCGAGTAGGCCTATTCTCTGTACTGGAATCTCCCTCCACCACTGTCAGTCAATAAATAGGTCCCCACGGACAGAGCCTGGGTCTCCTTCTCCTCCCCGCTGCCAAGAAGGAGGTTGGAAGAGGGACAGACTATGTAGATGTGTTACATTAAGGGAGTCCTCAGTTGGGTGGGGGACAGCAGGCAGTATGCTGGGACCCAGGAGGGCACACAATGGGGACGACGTAAGAGAAAGACCTGGAGTTGAGGCATCTCCACTCCAGAGGAAAATAGGGAAAGAGACTCAAGCAATTTCCAGAAGAAGAAACCCAAAAGGCAAGCGGGTACAGCAAGAGATGTTTACACCCATTAGATATCAGGGAGATGCAAATTAGGACAACAGTGCCATGGCACTTTACACCCATTTGGCTGGTGAACATTACAAAGCTGGGTAATGCCAAGTGTTGGTGGGGCTGTGGGACTTAGGGACCTCAAGAGCTGCTAGTGGGAGTGCAGAACTGAAGCATGCAATCTGGCACCTCCGAATCACATCAACAGGTGGCATAACGGATGCCCAGCACTGCTCCTCCTGGGTGTGAGTCCCGGACAGAGGCTCACTCTCACAGATCCTGGAGGGGACCGGCATGTGCATGTTCACTAGAGTGCAGGGGAGACAGGACAGGACAGTAACACGTGGGTGATGACTCTACACAGCACCACATACAGCCAAAACGACAGACCAGATGTATGCAGGGAAACACGGGAGCATCTCTCTCTCTTTTTTTTTTTTTTTTTTAAGACAGAGTTTCGCTCTTGTCGCCCGGGCTAGAATGCAGGGGCGTGATCTCGGCTCACTGCAACCTCCGTCTCCCGGGTTCAAGCAATTCTCCTGCCTCAGCCTACCAAGTAGCTGGGACTACAGGCACCTACCACCACACCCAGCTAATTTTTTGCATTTTTAGTAGAGACAGCGTTTCGCTATGTTGGCCAGGCTGGTCTCGAACTCCTGACCTCAGGTGATCTGCCTTCCTCAGCCTCCCAAAGTGCTGGGATTACAGGCATGAGCCACCGCGTCCACCCCGGGAGCATCTCTTAAAAGCACAGTGCTGAGGGGGAAACGTTAGAAGCAGGATGAGGCATATGACCAACAGCATTTATGTAAATTAAAGTACAGACACACAAAACACCACGTATTTTGCAAGACACACAGAAACACAAGTATTCACATTAAGCATGCTCTCTTTGCCTGTGAGAGGAGGCGAATGGGAGTGGTGAAGGCAAAAGAGAGTACATTTTAAGAATAAATAAAACAAGAGGCCCCTTGCACAGATAAATAATCATAATGTAGCATGAACTGAGGAATGATGAACGCAACTCAGCACCAGACGTCTAAATAAAGAACGCAGGTGCGCTCCCCTTTAAAGGCCCATTTACTCACTCAAACATGCGTCTATTCATTTACAGGTTTATTGGCTCCTCTGAGCCTTGGGCTAGAGCCCCAGGCCCCAGTAAGAGGAATGGATGAGAGCAGACACAGAGGGACCACAGAAGTCAGAGGTAGACATACAGGGACCTCAAAAGAGAGTCAGATGCAGAGACAGGGAGGAAGGGCTGCACCTGCCCCGGGCTGGGTAACAGCTGGGGTGGGGATGTGGCCCCCTTGCTCCTCCAGAGCATGGCAGACCCGTGGTAGCTGCCCAAATTCAAGTGTGGACTCCAGTGGCGTGATGAGGCAGCCTAGCACATAGATGTCAGCACCTTTGCCGCCGAGCGGGAAGGCGTGGTCCACTTAGCACGGGTCCTCCAGGCTGGCAGAAGCTCAGGGTCATGGCCATGCCACTTCCGTGAGATCTCAGTCCTCACCTCCAGGGACAAGGAAGAGGACGTTAGGAAGGTCCCCCTGTGGCTTTGCTACTCAACCCCAATGAGACTAAGGTGCAGGGAGAGGCCGTGTAAGAGAAACAGAGACATGGGGCAGGAAAAGTCATGCTTGGCAACAGGTACTGCTAAGTACTACCTCTGGAGGATACTACTTTTTCCTTCCTGTGAGTATTTCTCACCATTCTTTTAGCTCCTTTCTCTGCCTTTTAGCCCTGCCTTTGTCTGAGCCCAGTTAAAGACATTTATAGGTGCTTTCTTGAGTTCCTGGCCAAATAACCACCCTGTTCTCTCTTAATCACTTAGACCACTCCTTGCTCTGGGATTCAATTTTGTGAGCTCAACTCTGGCCACTGGAAATCTGTCCAGAGGACATGACCTGAAGGGAGAGAGGATTCAGAACTCTGTCTGAGGGGTTGCAGTTGAGGAAACTGAAAGTAAGTAAAAGAAAAGTAGCCTGGGGCAAGATGGAACGGTGGGATTGGGGGGTGGGGGTGCTGTCTGTATCTTCACATCTCCAAGGGGCTTTCAGGGGCATAGGGTGCTGAGAGAATGTGCCTCATGCAGTAGAGCCGAACTGGGGTTGTGGTGAAAGATAAAAGGAATCAGATATCTGTTCAACATAAAGATGATCTTTCCACAGCTGCCTGACAACAGAAAGAGCTATTGGGATGTAGTAAGCTCACTGTCACCAGAGGTATGTAACCACCTGGTCTCCGGCACTGCTTCCCAAGACAGCTCCCTTCACACCTCTCTGTGGAAACACTTTTTCCACACCCCACCAGCCTCAGCCTGGGATGCTTCTTGCCCCTCCCAGGACCCCCAGGGCCCATGGTCTGCTACAGCCAGACACCAGATAAGGCTGCATGGGACTTAGAGAGGTCAGGTGAGGAATAAAGAGAGGGAGAGTGGAAGGAGCAGTAAGGGACAGAGGTGGCAGATGAGATGGGAGCAAAACTCCACAGCGAAGGGGACAGGGCATCTGCAGCCAACTCTCACAGAATGCAGAGCCCATGGCAAATCCATGGCCAGCAGAGGGAGCGCATGGCCCTGCAGGTGCACAAAGGTGGAACTTGGGAGTCCGGGGCATTGAGATCAATTCTCCCCCGCCTCTCTCCCCAGAGCAGGACTGTCCTAAGGGGGAAATTCAGTGTCTCCTGGGTGGAATTCACTTTGCGTCAGTCTCTGTCGTGTCCCCACGTTTCCACATGTGCAGCAGCACCATCTGTTCTGTCTTTTCATGTCTATCTCCCCTTCTGTCCACTCTCTTTGTGTGTCTGTTTTCTTTAGGTGCTCTCTCTGTTTCTTGGGCTCCAGATCTTCCTCTTTGTCTCTGCATCTGATTATTTTCCTAGTTCCCTGTATGTTTACCTCTGACTTTCTTGGCTCCTCTATCTGTTCTCTCTGATTGTCTCTCCCTCAGCTGGCGTACCCCCTCCCCAACTCTCCTTTTTGTTCAATTTTAGGAACACAGAATTGGGGGATTCCTTCTGACTCCCTACCCTAATCCCCCTCCTTATCCCTGAAAGGCCTCCTCCACCTCCTGAAGAGTAGCTAGTAGAACTTGGCCCAGCTCAGAGGAAGGATGGATAAGAGATGTTTACAGGAAACATTCCGGTTCAGCTTGATCCAGAAGCTCAGGACAGACTACCACAAAAGCTCACAAGAGTGAAGGTGTGGCCTGAGCTGGGGTTTACAGGGCCTGAGTGGGAGAGAGGAGGAGGGGCCTTAGGTCTGGTGGGAGGGGGACTCCATGAGGGATAGCCTCAAAAATCACACACCTCTTGGTTGAGGAAGCAGTAGAGGATGGCAACAATGAAGCCCTGTGGGTCCAAAGAAGAAAGACCCCATCAGAACCCTTTGGCCTGGCCTGAAGGTGTCCACCGTCTTTCTGCTACCTTTTCCCTACTCATCCCCAGGCTATGGCTTGGGCCAGGTTTGATTGAAAGGGGAATTTAAATGCATTCATTACTTACTATGTGCCAGGCATATTGTCATAGAATTGTCATAGCAAGCCTGCCAGGGCTGTACTGTTGGCCCCATTTCTCTGACTTTATTTCTGCATCCCTTGTGAATGAGCACAACACTTGGCACATAATAGGGGATCAGTAAGAGTTGAATAGATTGGATGGATGGGTGGATGGATGGATAGATGGATGGATAGATGAGTGGGTGGGTGGATGGATGTATAGATGGGTGGGTGGGTGGATGAATGGGTGGGTGGATGGGTGGGTGGGTAGGTGGTTAGGTGAGTGGATGGATGGATGGATGGATGGGTTGGTGGGTGGGTAGATGGATGTATGGATGGATGGATGGATGCACGGATGGATGGATGGATGCATGGATGGATGGATGGATGGAAGAATGCATGGGTAGTTGAATACGTAGATGGGTGGCTGGAAGATGGACAGACAGACAGATATTTGAATAGATGGATGAAAAACATAGCCCTCACCCTGTCATGAACTCAGCCAAGGCCCGTGGGCAACAGCACCTCCCTCCAGCACCCTCAATGGAAAGAAAGAGTGCCTGTGGGGGCCCTCACCTGGAAGGAACCCAGTCCCAGCTCCAGGGGGAGGCGGATGCCCAGGCCAGCATTGTCTGGCAGGAAGTTGAAGATGATGTAGTGAATTCCAAAGAGTGGGATCAGGAAAAGTGTCGACTTGGAGAGACGCCTGCAGGAAAGACAAATCCTAGGCTCCCAAGACTGGGATTAGAAACTGTCGTGTGCACTTCATCTCCTCTCACTTCCTACCACCTCCCTATATCCACTCTGTGGAACAGCCACCTTGGGAAACGCCACCTCCCCACAATCACTCTGGGCTTTTTTATTTCTGGGCGCTGGATCCTGCTGATTCCCCTACCAACTGTTATTGCCCCAGTTTATCCCAAAGTCTATGCATCTTTCAAAGTGTGGATCAAAACCACTTCCTCCAGGAAGTCTTCCTTGACCACACCACCCTTCAACTAGAAAGGATCCCTCTCCCCAGGCTCCCATAGAAATTGATCCCAGCACTCATCGTTCTATTTGGCATGGGAGCTGGCTGTTTGGAGTCCTCATCCTTCCAATATTGTGATCCCCTAGAAGGAAGGGGCCAGGTCTATTCTGTCTCTGGGAACATAGGGAAGAAAGAGTATGGGGCTGAGGTCATGAGTGCTTATTGGATGAGACAGACACATTGAATCCCCCTCCAGTTACCCTTTCCCAGTATCCCCAGACACAAACACACAGTACCAATACTGAGACTGGGTATGGAGGCTGCCCTGAGCTGGCTCCAGTTTCCTCACCAGGATGCGGATAATATTGAGAAAAAGCCCAAAGTTCACCTGGAAATAGAGGCATAGGAAGGTGGAAGACAAGGGTCAGGGGGTAGCCTTGGGTGGCTGGGGTGAGCCCCAGCCCATTTGGGGACTAGAAAATTTAAATCCTTGAGACGTGAGAATGTGCAGGTGAATGAATGCACAGATCATTGCTCCAGAACTGGTAGCCTGGAGATGGGGGGGCGGGGGTCCCACATTTGAGCATTGGACAGAGAAGGACCAAGTCCTGGGATCAAGGGGGGCGATCAGGCCTTGCCACCTGCCTCCAGCCACCTCCCAGGCTCTTCTCTAGCACAAAGCAGATGTCCCTCACTTTGCACAGTTGCTAAGTTGCAAAACATTTGTACATTTACCAAAGCCATGCAAAGCAGTCTTCACTGCCTCTGTGTTGTGTGTGAGAGCAGAGGGAGGAGAGGGGTTTAGCTGCAGACTCCATTTACTGCCCCCACCCGGCACCCCTAGTCTCTCACTGTGGTGGTAAATGATCTGCAACCAGCACATTAGGCTCATCAAAATTGAGCTGGAACAGCCTGCATGCTGATGGAGACCACCACCCCTCTAGTTTTACCAATGGGATACTGAGGCCCAGAGAGGGCCTCACAGAGAATCAGTGGCAGAGCAAGGCTGGAGCCCAGTTTTCAAGACACCCAGCCTGGAGTTGCATTTCCTGCTGTGCACAGCCCGTCAGTAGTTCCAGGGAAGTTGACTGAATAAAGCAAAGGGCACTGGCCCAGGGACTGACCCCGACCGAGAGGACAATGGGCCCTTTGATGATCCACCAGTAGGGGGAGGTGTCGTCCAGGTCCCAGCACCTGGGGAGAGAGGAAAGAAGGCCGTTGTTGGAAAGTCCCCTTCACTGTGGTGACGCAGGCACCTCCCTCTCAGGCATTCATGCCTTCTGGTCTCACCCACCTCCCCTCCAGCCTTTTCTCCTGTCTCAGCCAGTTAAGGTCTCACCCAAAGGGGCACCCCAATCCAGGCTGGGCTCACCCTTTCTATCCACCTAGATGGACAAACGTTTCTGAACTCTGTTCAATGCCTCCTTGCTGGCCCCCTGGCAGCTCCCTCACCCCACCTTCCCCCAGCCCCACAGCCCTGGGAATCTGAGCTCCACTCTCCTGCCTGGCTCATGCCCCTTCTGTGCTACTCACAGACTGTTCTCCCACCCCCCATCCTAGCCGGGCAGTCCCTTCTCCTCCTCTTCCCAGCCTGGAGAACAGCCCATGGCCTGACTGTCCACTCCACACCCCATGTAGGACCAGCGGGTATGACAAGGTGGCCGCTCCGACTCACGCGATGTCCTCGAAGGCCAGTTTGCAGCTCACCCACGTGCCAGTGAAGAGCACGGGCAGCCCTACAGGAGTACAGGGAAGACACAAGCGAGGGAGTCTGCATCCTTGACTCTGAGATCTGGCGCCACCTCCCACCACCACCATCAGCCACGTAGGGCACTGCAAAGGCAGGGCCAGGCAGGACCCCAGAGCCAGGGCCCTGGTCCCACCCTCCAACACTTGCTGCCGGACTGTGGCCTGTCCCTCTCCTTCTCTGGGCCTCAGAGTGAGGTGGAGGGGCCTTTATGTAAACTCCCTGGGCCTTTCCAGCCCTTTACCTCCCCATGGTGCCCAACCCGCCCTCAGTGCTCACCCCAGCCAGCGAGAACCAGCCACCAGAAGGCTCTCCTTGAGCTGGGGGAGGTGGAGGCCAGGAGGCAGTTCAGGTAGACGGCTTCTGCCAACAGCCAGCTGAAGTTGGTCATGGTGGCGAAATGGGAGGCGGCCACAGAGACCTTGCATAGAACCTGGGGGCCAGGACCTGGGTGCTTCAGAGCTGGGACACCCACTGGAGCCCCATCCCAGTCTCCTCTACCCTACTCAGATACAGAACCTCCAGGCCCCTCCATGTTAGGCTGGGACCTGCAGCTCCTTGGGCCACCCAAGAGGGGATGTGGTGATATACAGTGAGGGTTAAGAGCACAGATTTGGTATCTAGACAGCCTGGCTTCTAATTTACTATCTATTTCCTGTGCAAATCTCCTCACACCTTAGCTTTTCATCTGTAAAAGGAAAAACCTCCAATACCTAGATCAAGTCCTCATCATAAGGATTAAATGGAAACTGCCTAAGACTTGCTTCTATTTTCACTTACCCCCATCCTTCCTGAGCTGAAGTCAATCCCTAGAGCTGTGACTTATTCAGCCACAGCTCTGTCTTGCAAAAAACACACACAGGCACCCGTGCATTCACTCACTCACTGCATGACTTGATCACCTGCCGGCAGGGGAGCAGGACCACCTCTGAGTTCAGTTGGCCCAGGTTTGATCCCAGCCCCACCCGTGTGCCACTGGGTGACCTTGCCAACTGTCTCTCCTCTACAAAATGGGATTAAAGTGATGCTTTCTTCTTCAAGCTGTTTTAAAAATTCAAGAGATAATGCCAGCTGACTCTTGAACAACAAAGGTGTGAACTGCTGAAGTCCATTTACACATAGATTTTCTTCCATCTCTGTCACCCCTAAGACAGCAAGATCAACTTCTCTTCCTCCTCCCCCTCAGGCTACTCAACATAAAGACGATGAGGATGAAGACCTTCATGATGATCCACTTCCATTTAAAAACAGCCAATTTTTATTTTCTCTATGATTTTCTTAAAATTTTTTCTCTAGCTTACTTTATTGTAAGAATACAGTATATAACACGTGTAACAGACAAATATGTGTTAATCGGTCATTTATGTTATTGGTAAGGCTTCAGGTCAACAGTAGGCAATCAATAGTTAAGTTTGGGGGACACAAAAGTTATACTTGAATTCTCAGCTGAAAGGGGGGTCAACACCACTAAACCCACATTGTTCAAGGGACAACTACATATGTAAAGCACTTAGTGCAATGCCTGGCACAAAATAAGTGCTCAGTATGAAGTATGATTAATTCTTTCATCAGTTAATTGAGGTCATGTGTTAGTTTGCTCCCTGATTTCGCTGTTCATTTCCAGCACACTTGCAGAGGATCTAGCAGGTGCTGGGTCTCCACATTCTGCCCAACTTCCCTTTAATTTCAATTGCCTCTTATTGTCTCCACCCCATCTCTCCCATGGTGCCTTCCCAGTTTCTTGGACATGGCCCAGGTCCTCCTGTCTTTGAGAGTTTGTTCACCCTGGTCTCTCCTCTTGAAATGTTCTCCTTCCCCATCTCCCTATTGTTGCTGCCAATACAGCTCCAGGGTCCTCTCCTCCCTGAAGCCCCCTCTCGTTCTCTCCTAGCTCTCAGCTTCCTCCACTTGGGAGTCCCCTAATCTGTGTGCATTCTGTCCCATGGGCTCTTCCTGAAGGAGGGACCCAGCTCCTCCCAGCCCCTTGCGTACACACCCCCAGCACAGACCTATGAGTGCTCAGGGAGGGGTGAAAGGAAAGGAAAAGGCTGTGCATAGTGAAACGTGGTCTAGGTTGGACTACAGAACGCGGAGTAGAGCATGCAATATGGGAAATGACATGGATCGACACCACAGTCCAGGAAAGGCGTGAGGACTTAGGGGGTGACATGGGAAAGGAGCATTTTCCTGTTCTGTAATTGGCCATGCGGGAGCCCCAGGGTCAGCCCACAGGGCAGGGAAGCCTGACGCAGGCACATCTGGGTCTGTAATCCTACCTCCTCTCTCCCCCACCTGCCCAGCCCCTTCACCCATGGCCATTACAGTGGAGAAGCTGCAGTGGTCAGTGTCGTCGCTGTGGAAAAGGGCAGCATCCTTCAGGAACACAGCTCCCGCCTTGAGGATAAAAGTGGTGAACAGCTGGGTGTGGACGTAGTTCCGGGGGCAGTGGAGCCTCCTGGGGGTAATGGGAGAAATGAGGAACAAGAAGCAAGCAGGGAGAGGGGATTCTGGTGTGCTGCAACTGGGCTGAACAGGGCAGGAGGTGAATCGAATCAAACTGGATGCAATCAAACTGAATTGAATTGAGCTGAACTTGAGGCTTCAGTTTAACCCTTGCAGGACAGCTGAGCAACCATTCCTGTGCTCAGGGTAAGTGTGGAAAGAGAGGAATATCTGGTCCCTGCCTCGAGGGTGCTCACAGTCTCAGGGAACAGAGGCAGAAACGGCAGGTACTGCCCATGGGAGCCCCCTGGATGATCAGAGACACTCATCCCCATGAGACCAAGAACAGCACAGGCCAGATGCAGTGCTCAGACTTCGAAGGCTGGAGGAGGGGGTGGGGTCTTAAAGGGGACAGTGGTCAGAGAGTTATAACAGTCAAGAGGGGCTCTGGGCAGGAGGCAGAGGACTGTCAGATGCAGATAGGAGCTGGGCTTTCTCAGTTATAAATACACTGAGAACAATGAGGAATTCCAAGCAAATAGAATGAGCACCACGTGAGCAAAGGGGCAGAGGTAGGAATGAGTTCTGGTGTTTGAAGAGATGGGTCTACATGGTGGGGAAAAGGGAAGGGAAAGTTAGACATGGGTATGGCGCCTAGATCTGGGAAGTTCATGGCTATGTAGGCAAGGAAGCAGACTTGACCCTCTGGGAAATAAGGAGCCAAGGAAGGTTCTTGAGCTGGTGATGAGGATGACAAACCTGAGAGCAACCAGGATGGTGATGGCCACGAAGAGGGCTACAATAGAGATGCTATGGCCCACGGTGTAGATAATCTTCACTGTGGAGAAGTAAGATTCCTGGGAAGGGCAGAGACAGAAGAAAGTCTCAGCTTCTGGGCCTTTGGAGGAAAGAGAGGCTTGACAATCAAGCAGGTGAAGCCTTTGCCATTCCACCCCAACACTCCCCATCTGGAGGCAGAGGTGTCCGCGAGTACCATGGAAAGCTCCCCCTGTGCACTGGAGCTTTAGTTTACAGCCTGCCTTCCACCTGACCTGCGGGTGAGGGAGGGGTAGTGGCGAGGAGTGGAGATGCTTAACATTCATGATGCTCTGAGGGTGAGGAGAGGCAGCCGCAGAAACTACATGTCCCTGGGGAATGACAAAAGCCCAAGAGGAAATCAGCTTGTTTATTGACATCCAGCTTGCTCACCAGCTTGGGAACACAATGTATCCAAATAAAGGAGATAGCCAGGGACACCTGGGGACAGCCACAGGCAGGCAGGCAAAAGGTTTCCGTGGCCAAGTGTTTGGATCAGTCAGAGTCCAGCCTGGCCCTGAAGATAGAGGGTGCAGGCAAGGGAAGGGAGCAGGGGCCTGGGCACTGGCCCCAATCCCAGCTCTCCTGTGGGGTCCAGGCAATCACTTCCTGTCCCTGACTCAGTCTTTCCATCTGAAAAATGGTTACAGTCATGCTTTACCTCTCAGAGATCAAGGGGACAGAGAAATGGGATGATGGGTTTGGGAGTGCCTGGCAAAGGCCCTGCTGGATACACAAGTGTGCGGTGTGCTGGCTGGTGTTAGGAGCTCTCTGCAATCACCCTGGGCTTGAGTTTCCCTCACTTGCCCACATCGCAACCATGCACACTGCTCCACAGACTGAGGGCCAGAGAAGGAAAGGAGCTTCCCAGGGCTGCTAGGAGCCTTGTTTCCTCTGGAACCACTTTAAGCTCCCTGCCCTGGAGGCCTGGACACAGAACCAAGACAGCAGCCGGCAGATCTCCCACCTGCCCTCTGCCCCGCTTCTCCCTCCAAGTAACTTGGCCCGTGGGTCACCCTTCAGTAACTTAGCAAAAGACCCCATCTCCTCCAGACACTTCACTGCTCTCTGCTGGAAAACTGCTGTAAGTAGTATTCCAATCTGCAGGCTAGAGAATGGCGGCCCCTACAGTTGTGCACCCACCCATACAAATGTCCATGGCAGTCCTTCCTCCAAGATGCCAGAAGACTCTTACCTCCTCAGCCAGCAGCTCCAGAGGCACAGGGCAGGCCACAGGGTAAGGTGGAAAGGGCTCAGACCAGCCAGTGATAGTACAATCCCGTTTCACAGCCCCTGGGAGGCAAGCAAGACTCTCTAGCCACAACTCCTTCCCTCTCCCCAGGAGGGGGCTGGGGGTGCCAGGGACCATCAAGTGACCCTGGCAGGGTTTGCATGGACAGCTCCTCTGAGCAACAGAGAGGGTGGCTCCAGAGGCCTGGGGCCCAGGTCTAGCCTGCCCAGGGACACACTATGGGGCCTTCCTTCTCTGGCTTCAAAGGTGCCATCTCTTCACAAAGAGGATTATTCCCCTGAGGGGTGAGGAGTGGTGAGCTGGGCTGCCAGCATCCTAAGGGCAGTAGGGAGAAAAGAGGCCCTCACTGTCCCAGCACCTAGGCCAGGGAAGTGAAGCAGAGCAGCAGAGTGCCCCACCCTCTCCATCCTGGGCAGTTGGTGGTGTCTTGGCAGTCAGGCAGGCCTGCCCTCCTCCACCCTTGCAGCCAGGCTTCTGCTAACACCTGGAGGGCATCCAGGTCCAGCACTTACAGGTTCTGCACTCTAATACTTTCCTGCACAGTTAATGCTCTTGTTCTCCCCAGTTCACAGCTCAGGAAGCAGAGATCAGGATAGACTGACTGGCCCGAGGTCACCCCAGAAGAGGGGAAGTTGGTATACAAACCCAGGTTAGCCTGCCCCCAAATCCAGTGATGATTCTGCCACTTCCAGATGAAAGCACCTCCCTTTCCCACCGCCACACCCAGCACCCCTCACCTGACTCTGAGCTGAAGTGAGAGAAGAAATCCGGGCAGGGGAGGGTGACCCACTCGCCAGAGCCTGCCGTTGGCCAGCACAGCAGCCCATCCCAGGTCGCAGGGCAGCCTGGATAGAGAGCCAGGAGCAGCAGAGACTCAGCCCAGGTGCAGGGCTGTCCCAATAATCCGAGGGGTGAGGCTGGAGGATATAAAGGAATCAGAGAAGCCACCACCTGCCTCCTAGGCCCCATACCCAGGGTGGTGTTGGGCATCTCCTCTGCTGCTTGTAGACAGGCACTCTCATCCTCTCTCAGCTGGGTGATGAAGTCACATTCTGGGTGCATGTGGCCCAATACCTGCTGGAAACAGTGAACAGGATGAGCCAAGCCATTTGGGTGTCTTTCTGGGCTCTGTGGTCCACATGACCTGAGAACAGGGACAAGGCCTGATTCATATCTGTGCCCTAATCCTAGGCAAAGACCTGCTCACAGTAGTTTCAGGTGTGTTTGGTAGATGTTCAGATGGAAGGAAGGAAGGAAGGAAGGAAGGGAGGGAGGGAGGGAGGGAGGGAGGGAGGGAGGGAGAGAGGGAGGAACAGAAGGTCTAATCCTCTCTTGTGCAGTTAATGCTCTTGTTCTTTCCATTTCACAGCTCAGGAAGCAGAGGTTAGGGTTGACCGACTTGCCCAAAGTCACCCCGGAAAAGAGGAAGTTGGTATACAAACCTAGGTCTGCCTAGGTTTGGATGGATGTTTCTCCATTCTGTCTCATGTAAGTAAGTTCTGAGACACATTAGACAATATGCTTCTGAAGATCTCACAGGGATGGCCAACTCCATTCTCATCAGGGCCTTTCCTCCTTCCCTGTGTCATTCTCCTTGCTCTCCACTCCTGCTCCCTGGAAGCAGTTCTGCATAATAATGGTAGACAGAATAATGGCCCCCAAAGATGTCCACATCCTAATCTGTGGAACCTGTGAATATGTTACCTTAAACGGCAAAAGGACTTTGCAGATGTGATTGAGTTCAGGATCTTGAGATGCAAAGCTCATCCTTGATTATCTGAGTAGGCCTGATGTAATCGCAAGGCTCCTTATAGGATGGGCAGTAGGCAAGAGAGTCAGAATCAGAGGAGGTGACATGAGGATGTGTGCCGTGGGAACTGAGATTTAAAGATGCCACACTGCTGGTCTGAAGATGGAGAAAGGGCATGAACCCAAGGAAAAGGCAAGGAAATGGATTATTCTCTACAGTCTCCAGGAGGAATGCAGCTCTGCCAATACTTTGGATTTACCCCACTGGAAACCATTTTAAATTTCTGACCTTTGTCTCAGTCTCTGCTTTTAGGGGTGCACACAGGCAGGAACACATGAGCAAATGGGTAGCTTAGTAAGTGAGAGAGAAGATGGATGAATGAATGAGCACATGGATGAGTGAGCACATGAATGAGGTGAAGGCTGCATAAAAAAAGGAAGGAGGGAAGGAAGGCAGGAAGGCAGGAAGGCAGAAAAGAAGGAAGGAAGGCTAGTGGAATGGATGAGTATACAGACAGACAGACAAATATATGGCTGGGGAGGTGGATGGATGGATAGACAGATGACTGGCTGCATGGATGGGTGCATGGTGGATGAGTGAGAGAGCTGTGTAAGGATGGATGTGTGGCTTCATGGATGTGTAGATGAAAGGATCATAACCTTGATGGCTGAGCAACCTTGAAAGATTATAGTTTTAGGAGCCTCCCAGATCTTGTGCTACACAGTGGCCATGAGAAATGATCTCTGGAAGCTGGAAACAAGTTGGGGTTTTTTTGGGAATCTTCTAGCAGTACTTCTGAAAGTGTGCCTCAAGAACCAGCTAGAGATCCATTGGGATGGAAGCAGGAATATGTAGAGATCTAGGGTGGATCCAGCACTTTGTATTTTAACAAGTTCTCCAGGAAACTGGAAGTGAACAGCAGGAATTTCTAGCACTTCTCCCTCCCACCGCCCCAAACCGAAGGAAAACCAAAACTGATCGCCCAGCAGGCCAGAGCCCAAACAGATACATACAAGGGAAGCCAAGTTTACAAAACATACTTTCTGCACTGTGAACTGGGTATACAGCATACACATTTTTGTATAAAACACACATCCAAGTCAACCAGTGTAGATGTCTGTTCCCCCAGGCTTTCACAGGAGAGGAGGGGCTGGGGAAGGGAGAAGGGCTGGATCCTAATAGACCCTGCGCAAACTGTGATCAGAAGCAGGACAGGGGCCGGGCGCAGTGGCTCATGCCTGTAATCCCAGCACTTTGGGAGGCCAAGGTAGGCGGATCACCTGACGTCAGGAGTTAAACACCAGCCTGACCAATGTGGCAAAACACTATCTCTACAAAAATACAAAAATTAGCTGGGTGTGATGACACGCTCCTGTAATCCCAGCTACTCAGGAGGCTGAGGCAGGAGAATCACTTGAACCCAGGAGGCGGAGGTTACAGTGAGCTGAGATTGTGCCACTGTACTCCAGCCTGGGCGATAAAGTGAGACTCCATCTCAGAAAAACAAAAAAAAAACAAAAAGAAGCAAGACAGGTACCATGGGAGGGAATGTCCCTCTCACAGGGATTGGGGAGGTGGCATTTGAGCTGGACCTGGGGACAAGGGAGCATTTTTTAGAGCCAGACACACACAGTGGGGAGAAGAGCATCTGGAACAGAAAGCACAGCATGTGCAAGGACAAGGGAAGTGGGAAAAGGTGTATTTGGGAAGTATCAGCTCAGGACTAATGTTTCTCTCCCCATGGCCCCCACCCCCACCCCACACACACACACCCTCAATGTCTAGCAGGATCCATGTCAGCAAATGTTTAATTAACAGCTAGTGTTCTTTGGGAGAAATGCAGGCACAGCAAATAGTGTAGCAGATGTAAGACCAGGGCTGGGGTCAGAGAGTAGAGACTTTGACCACCAGAGTGGGGACAATAGATGGTGGGTGACCACGTGGAGAGACCCGAGAGCTCTGCCGCAGATTTGTGGGATAGGAGAAAATCTGGAGAGCCAGCCCAGTAAGGAGGGTCACCCCCACCAGTGCTACCCTGGCAGGAGAAGTCACTCCTGTCCCGCCCTGCTGACCCCATGGGTCCATGGCTTGGACGCAGCTCTGCCATCTCCTGCCTGGCCCTGCAAGGCCCCAGGGTGCAGATGTCACCCACTACCCAGGCTCCAGGTCTTATTTTGGTGGGTGCCCCGGACTCAGCTCTTGGCTTCCTCCCGAGGACTCAGTAACCTCAGGTCCATCTCAGGGCAGAGCCCCGTTGCGTCTCCCCTACATCTCCCAACAGACTGAGCGCACAAAGCGGGGAAGGAAGAGCAGGAGGGCAGATGGGCCTGTATGGGACTTTCTCACACCATCAGCCTGATATTGACCCTGGGCTGTTGGAAGAGCTGTGGTCTCTGCCTATCCTTCTGCCTACTGCACAGTCTGGCAAGCCCCAACCCTGCCTGGGAAACTTTTCAGGGCCAATTTGGGGAAGCAACTGAGGGCAAAGGATGCCAGGAGAGCAGCCTCATGCCAAAAGGATGAACAGACAGTGCCCACACCTCTAAGAGAAGGAGGGAAATTCAGAGAAGCCCCACTAATGACTCAGGATGTGTGGGCATAGGGCCAGATGTAAGGAGAGATTCTAGGGAGGGAAGTGGTGGGAGTGGAAGGATAGATCGTTCTAAGATTTATCCAAATGCTCCTGCTGAATTAGGACTGGCGAAACACATCCTGGGGCTCCCAGTCACCCCCCCACACACATCGTGGACCCCACCCACCCCTGAGGGGAGGCTCCATCGCCCTGGACCCCCAGGCCTTGCATCTATGCCTGCTGCTCTTCCTGGTATCTGCAGGGGATGATGCCCACACTGGCAAACAGTGATTGAGTTCTAGCTTTGGTACTAGCACCATCTGCTGAATGGCCACCACCAGATCTTGGGTACCCCTGCTAAAAATAAAGCTTTTGCTGTAGAGTGCACACAGATGGCAGACAGGGGGGCAGTCGAAGTTTCCTGTGTTGCACCCCTATGCCCAGCCCTTGACAAATCAGATTCCACTCAATGCACAGTGACCCGGGCCAGCGGATATTTTCTCTTTTAACAAAAGAGATAAAAGCAAGACTCAGGAAGGCTGAGGAACTTGCAGTTCACACGGCTAGTTTCATGCGTCCAGGATTCAAGCTCAAAGCCTGTGCACTCAGGAGCAGGTGCAGCAAGGTGCTCGGGAGGGGCAGCACCCTCCAATAAGGCAGCGGAGGAAGAATGCTTCAGGCCCTCACCATCCCAGAACCTTGTGACTCCCAGCCTGGTCCCTGCTGTCACTTGCAGTAACCTCCTGGAAAGTTACTGGGAAACTGCAGCCCATTCAGGAAGGGCCCTCTCTCCTGATGCCCCGTGCTCCAGCGCTCTAGCCCATGGAGTACAATTTGGTTGCCAAAAGCCTCTCCAGCCCTCAGCATCGTGAGAAGATGATGGATCCCCTAAGTGCTGGAGCAGAAGCAGCTGGTCTCCACCAACTCCTTAGGTTCCATTCCTTCCCTGGCCACACCCTCTTCAAAGGAAACCACCAAACTGGAGAGTGGCTCAGGGAGTCATAGGGCTAAGGAAGGGTCCAGAAAGCTTACCACAGGAGCGTGTGGAAGCATCACAGGTGCACAGCTGAGAGAAAGAGCAAACTGCAGGGACTAAGAGGGGAGCCTGACTTTGCCTCACCAATTCTGAGGCACTGTCTTGTGGCAGACAGAGTCTCTGTGGCCCCCAGAGGCACAGCCAGGCCCTGGGGGAAGCAACAAGAAGGTGAGCTCAGCTCAGCCCCTGGAAGGACATGTTAATAGCACTACCCAGAGTCACTACAGATTGCTGGGCAGAGGGAGATGAGGGAGGGAGCCCCAGTGTCAGGGGCTCTCCAAGCCACAGCCTGCCACCTGCTCGTAGGGAGGGACTCTAGAGCAGGAGAAGGGCAGTAGGGTCTCCGCCAGGCTCCAGTTGGCCCTGTGGCTCCCAAATCTGGAGCCCAGTGGCAGAGGCCAGAGGGTCTCAGCTGGCTACTCACGGTCGGTAACGGGCTCAACACGCAGAAGACGTGGGCCCCCCACATCCGGCGGTCCATGGTGAGCCCAGCAGTGGCTCCCTCCACCAGCCTCAGTAAGCCTTGGCTATCTTCCTTCCCCTGCTGTCCCCTGACACAGCCGTTTCCACCGCACCCTCTGCTTCCCCTTCTCAGGTGGCTGTTTGCATAGGCAGGAGCTAGCCAAGGGGACACAGACCGCTGAATATTCACCAGGATTGCAGGACACCTGCCCAGCTCAGCATTGACCCTGAGGTGGGACTCTGTTTCCAGCAGGCAGGGGCTGAGCCCCCACCCTCATCGCCTTCTACTCTGGCTATAAGTCTGCTTGTGTGTCTGTCCTGATAGCAAGGGCCCAGAGAGGTGACAGCCACAGGTCACTTGGTCAATATTCTCTACCACTTTCTTCTCTAAGCCCAGGTCTCTGGTGGCCATCATTGGAGTGACCCCTCAGATTGATGGGATCTTAAAGAATAGGAAGGGGACCTGGGCCTGCCCTTGGGAAGCTCCCAGGTTATTTGATGTGTGCTCCTAGCCTCATCCACAGGGCTGGAGAGTGAGGTCAGAGCTGTGTGGAACTGGTGGGGAAGGGGAAGGGTATGGTATTAGTGGAGATGGAGGGTTGGAATGGTCTTAGGAAAGGAAGTATGATCTGTAAGCACTGGCATGGGCTGGCCAGGAATGTGTCATTTCAGCAAGACCTGGGTCCTTTACTGGGCAAGGACGCTGGCCTGGATGGTGAGCTGAAGCTGCAAGCATCAAGGCTCTGGATTTCACATGGGGGCTTATCAAAATCTCTCCAAAACTCTCACGGCAAAAGGGGAAAATGAGGTTGGTTGGAAGCCTTGTGAAGGATTCATGGGTCAAGCCATCTTGAATAGGGGGAGGACAACTCTCATCGGTAGCAGAAATGAGAAGACTTACACAGCAAACTATATTGAACATTCATTGCCTGGTCACTTTTATTATAGTTTTAGACTTTAAAATGCAGGGTCTCCATTGGCCAGGCTAAAGACAGTGTTCTAAATGCCCCTGGATCTTGCACAGCACTTTGAAATGTCAAAGATGTCACCTCTGAAAGACCTGAATATCCCAGTAGCCGACAGGTCCTGATGTTTGTGTGCACGTCTCCACTCACAGAAGCTGCTGGGCTGCGTGCTAGAACACCAGACATGTTTACAGCCCGATCACATCATGAATGTTGAAGGCTCCTCGCCCCCGCTACATCTGGATTTAGGGCTTATTTTGACATCAGCAGGGGTTTATTTTTCCATTTTTCTTCATTGTCAACAAAATACTGAAAAAAAAATATTTCGAAACAAAAACATGAACCACCCCAAGCTCCAAAACCCTCCTATCCTGTGCAAGTGTTTTCATGAGCTTAACTGTGAAATGGGTGCAAGCAGCATGCCACACAGAGCTCTGCACACTTTTACACTTTTAGGGGAGAGCAGAGCTCCTCTCTTGGCAGGCTGAGAGCTCACGGGTTGGAAAAGCAGAGTGCTGAAAAGGTATAACTTGAAGGGAAAGCTAGAACCTTCTGTTCCTCAGCTACAAAGAAGCAACAGCACCAGGAAAAAAAAGTCTTACGATTAATCACTGTTGATAATTAGCATCAATATCATTAGCATTAATGATGGCTAATTATTGAGGTTGATAGTGATAATTAATAATAGTTATTACTGTCTAAACGAGTGGTTCCTAACCTGGAGCAATTTTGCTTCCCTAGGGGACATTTGGCAATGTCTGGAGACATTTTTTGTTATCAAAATAAAAACTAGGAGTTAGGGTGAGGAGTGGGGTGGTGAGTTGCTCCTGGTATCGAATGAGTAGAGACCAGGGATGCTATTAAGCATCTACAATGCACAGGATGCCCCCACCCTTGATCATATGAAGAATTATCCAGTCTCAAAGATCAATAAGACCAAGGCTGAGAAACCCTGCTCTAACTGTACATGTTCCCCAAGGATCCCTGCAGGCCTGTTTCTTCATGGAGCTGTCTTCTCTAGCTAATTCTGTATACACTCAGGATTCAAATTCTGCCTCCATCACTTGCTAGCTGTCATACATTTGGCAAGTCATTTAGCCTTTCTGAACCTCTGTGTTAGTACATTTGTATTGCTATAAGGGAATACCCAAGGCTTGGTATTATATTTTTAAAAAGAGGTTTATTGCGGCTCACAGTTCTGCAGACTGCACAGGAAGCATGGCACTGGCATCTGCTTCTGGTGAGGGCCTCAAGAAGCTTCCATTCATGCTGGAAGGTGAAGGGGGAACCCCTGGTGTATCACATGGTGAGAGAGGGAGCAAGAGAGCAAGGGAGATGTCTGGCTGGCTCTTTAAAACTACTAACTCTTGCATGAACTAGCAGAGTGAGAACTCACTCATTACCATGGGGAGGGCACCAAGCCATTCATGAGGGACCCACCCCCATGACGCAAACACCTCCCACCAGGCCCCACCTCCAACAATGCAGGTCTATTTCAACATAAGATTTGGAGAGAACAAAACATTCAAACCATATGAGCCTCCGTTTTCCCATCTGAAAAGTGGGGATGATACTAACACCTTCCTTATAGGATTGGTGGGATAAGTGGACAAGGAAAGCCGTGTACTATAAAGAACCTCATACAGAGCCTAGATCCAGTGGGCAATCATTTATGACAGCATGTAACAAAGATGGACTAACAGCAAGTAAGATTGGAACAGCTGATTCTTTGTACAAAAAAATAAGATTGAATCTCTAGCTCACATTTACAAAATATAGATTCTAGGTTAAAAATCCTAATTATAAAACAACAAAATCATAAAAATGCTTCAAAAAATAGAAATTCATGTTTATGGCCTTAGAATAAAGGAGAGTGTCATATAAAATAAAAATCGTAAAGAAAAAAATCAAGTGTGACCACATTAACATTTTAAAATGTATGTTCAAGAGAGGATGCCATAGATGAAAACTAAAAGCATTTTTCTGCTACAAACTGAAAGAAATATTTGCAACCAATCCTGACAAACAAATCTGTAGTATCAAAAATGTATTTTAAAAATATCTAAAAATCAGCTGGTCGTGGTGGCTCACGCCAGTAATCCCAGCACTTTGGGAGGCCAAGGCGGGCGGATCACCAGGTCAGCCTGGCCAATATGGTGAACCCTTGTCTCTACTGAAAATACAAAAATTAGCCAGGCCTGGTGGTGCACAACTGTAGTTCCAGCTACTCAGGAGGCTGAGGCAGGAGAATCCCTTGAACCTGGGAGGTGGAGTCTGCAGTAAGCCAAGATCGTGCCACTGCACTCCAGCCTGGGCAACAGAGTGAGACTATGTCACAAAAAAAAAAAGAAAGAAGAGAAAAAAATCAGTAAGAAAGATAAAAATAACTCAGAAAAGTGAGCAAATGATACAAATAGACAATTCAGAAAAGAAGTGAAATATACAGGCCAATAAACAGATGAAGAAATGTTTAACATTCCTAATACTAAAGAATATGAAAATAAAAATAATAATAAGCTACCCATTTTCACCTAATACATTGCCTAAAACTTTAATGTCTGATAACACAGTGTCTGGAAGATAATGTAAAGAAATGGGAGCATTCATAAATGGCAGATGAGAGTGAATTTTGTATAACCACTTTGAAAAACAATTTGATATTATCTAATGAATTTAAGAATGAACATACCCTATAAGCCAGAAATTCCAGTTCTGGGTATTTGCGTTCTGAGTTCAGTGTTGTTTATAACATGTAGTAAAAACCAGAAAACAACACAATTGTCCAATGAGAAAGGAATAGCTAAACAAAATGTGATCTATTCATACAATGGAATACTACTGAGCGGTTAAAAGGTATGAACTAAATCTATTTGTACAAGAGGATTTCACAAAGTTCATGGAAATATGGAATTAAAAAATAAAAAATATAAACTTTATTTCTCAACATAAGCTTTCAAGACACTTTTGTAAGCAATGATACCAACCATGTAATCCATCCCTAAAACACTGAGAGTCCTGGGAATTTAGCCATGTCAATGCAGTCTTTTTTACATTACTACCTAAAGAAAAATGAGTGCCCTTAAAAGATTTTTTAAGATTAGAAAACAAAAAGACATCATGAAAAGCCAAATCATGGCTGTGAGGTGGATGTGTAATGATTTCCTATCAAAACTCTCGCAAAACTGGCCTTGTTTGATGAGAAGAATGAACAGGAGTATTGTGGTGGTGGAGAAGGATTCTCTAGTGAAGGTTTCCTGGGCATTTTTCTGCTAAAGCTTTGGCTATCTCAAAACATTTTCACAATAAGCAGATGTTATCGTTCTTTGGCTCCCCAGAAAGTCAACCTGCAAAATACCTCAAGCATCCCCAAAACTGTTTTCATCATGAATTTTGCTCTTGACCGGTCTGCTTTTGCTTTGACAGGACCACTTCTACCTCTTTGTAGTCATTGCTTTGATCATGCTTTGTCTTCAACATTGTACTGGCAAAGCCATCCTTCATCTTCTCTTACAAATCTTTGAAGAAATGTTTCAGGATCTTGACCTACTTGTTTAAAATTTCTGCTGAAATCTCTGCTCGTGTCTCCAGTTGATCTGGGTGCAATGCTTTTGGCAACCATCAGTTGGGAAGTTTGCCCAACTTTAATTTTTCTGCTGGAATTGTGTAGAGTGAACTGATTGAGATGTCTATGGTGTTGGCTATTGTTTCTGCCATTAATCATCAGTCCTCTTCAATTAGGGAATGACCAAATTAATTCTTTTCCTCACAAATTGATGTGGATGGTCTGCTGCTACAGGCTTTTTTTTTTTTTTTTTTTTTTTGAGACGGAGTCTTGCTCTGTTGCCCAGGCTGGAGTGCAGTGGCGCGATCTCGACTCACTGTAAGCTCCGCCTCCCGGGTTCACGCCATTCTCCTGCCTCAGCCTCCCGAGTAGCTGGGACTACAGGTGCCCGCCACCAAGCCTGGCCAATTTTTTGTATTTTTAGTGGAGACAGGTTTCACAGTGTTAGCCAGGATGGTCTCGATCTCCTGACCTCGTGATCTGCCCGCCTCGGCCTTAGAGGCTTTATCTTTAACGTCATCTCATCCTTTCTTAAAAGGAATTATCCACTTGTAAACTGCTAATTTATTTGGGGCATTGTCTCCTTAAACTTTTCATAAAGTATCAATTATTTCACCATTCTTCCACCCAAGCTTCATCATAATTTGATATCAGTTCTTGCTGCAATTAAAGCATAATTTATTTTGCTCTGAAAACAGCTTTTATTTTTTTTTTTTTTGAGATGGAGTCTCACTCTGTCACCCAGCCTGGAGTGCAGTGATGCAATCTCAGCTCACTGCAACCTCTGCCTCCCAGGTTCAAGTGATTCTCTGCCTCAGCCTCCTGAGTAGCTGGGATTACTGGTGCCTCCCACCACACCTGGCTAATTTTTGAATTTTTAGTAGAGACTGGGTTTCACCATGTTGGCCAGGCTGGTCTTGAACTCCTGCCCTTAGGTGATCTGCCCACTTTGGCCTCTGAAAGTGCTGGGATTACAGGCATGAGCCACCGCGCCTGGCCTGCTCTGATAAGAGCTCTTTTCAAACTTATGTCTTATCCTTCTTAGTGCCTCCAACTAGATCCTGTTCAGACACATTACAATAAGTTAGTACCAGTTTTTTCAGTGCTAAAAAATTTTGAAACCTATGCATAGTTTTTTCATAATATTTATTTTCCATGAGCTTTCTGGAGACCCCTCACATCAACATGGAGATGTCTTAAAAATATATATTGAGGAACTGCTTCCAGCCAAGATGGAGTAACAGGAACTGTTACCCTCCTACCTTAACAACAAAAATTTCAACCAAAATATACAAAACCTTTTACTTTTAGACATTAGTAGACAAGCTGATCCCTACAAGCCAGTTTTTTGTTCTTTGTTTTTCCCTAGAGGCAATTTCCAGGCCACAGCTCAAGAAGAGAAACCCAAACATAGTCTGGTGATTTTTATAAGTAAAGGAAATAAAGATTAGTGACTGAGAAAGTCAAGCTTGGTGAAATTTTTGAAGCGGAGCACTAGAGAGAGAACCATGACACAGAGACAGAGTTCCACAATTGTGAAAACAGGTCCTCCCAATGTTTTCACCTTGCAGTCTTTGGCTGGATACCTATCTGAGAATGTGTGAGAAGAAACTAAGGCTGGAGAAAGAATAACAGGAATGGAGTAGGCAGAAAATGCACAAAACTCACATAGGATTAAAAATAGTCTGTGGTATCATTAGCCCAAGTGGAAAAAATAAGACGTGTAACACACAGGGCATGAATGTATAATAGTAATGACTTAGTAGTGTGATGAAATTAACCTTAGCGTAAGGTTGCTCTGGACCCATTCTAACAAAGCTTAAGTGCAAACCTTAAAAAGATCCAAAATATAACTTCACTGAAAAAAAAAATCCAACACCACTTAAATAAACAAAATAAAATATAGAAATCAACGATGTAAAATTCACAACGTCTGACATCCAATAAAAAATTTATCAAGCAGGCAAGGAAGTAAAAAACGATAACTCATAACCAAGGGAAAAATAAATCAATAGAAACAGACCCAGGTCTGACAAAGATGGTGAAATTAGCAGCCGCAGATGTTAAAACAATTATTACAAATAAGCCTCATATGTTTTACAAAGAGTAAAACGTGGTCATAGTAAATAGAGAAGGAAGATATTTTTAAAAGACCAAAATTCAATTTATTAAAATAAAACATACAATATCTGAAATGAAAAAAATAATACACTGGTTGCAACTAATAGCAGATTAGACACTGCAGAATGAAGAGCAATGAGCTTGAAGACGACTCATTTAAACTATGCAGAATGAAATGCAAAGAGGAAGAAAAGACTGGGTAAAAACTGGAAAAAAACTTTTAAAAAATAACAGAGTGTAAATTAATTATGGAACAATATCAAGGGGTCTAATATATATGGAACTAAAGTCACAGAAGGAAGGGAGGTTCAGAAAAATATTTGAATAACAAAATGGCTGACCTTTACCAAAGTTGATAAAAAAATATATATCAAGGATTCAAGGAGTTCAATGAACAATATAAGCAATAAACTAAAAACACTCCAAGGCACATGATAATTATTATAAATTACTGAAAACAGTAATGAAGAGAAAATCTTATCAGCCACCAAAGGGGAAAAGACAAATTGTGTACAGCGGAACAAAAATAAGAATGACCACAGATTCTCATCAGAAACTATGCAAATCAGAAGACAGTGGAGAGATATTTTTAAAGCACTGACAGAAAAAAACTTTCAAACTGCATCTATTTATTAATGAAAATATCTTTCAAATATGGGGGCAAAGACTTTAAAGAGAAATCAAAGATGAGATAATTCATTTTCAGCAGAGCTGCACTACAGGAAATGCCTAAGGAACTTTTTCAAGCCAAAAGGAAAATGAGAACAAATGAAAATTTGGAACTACACTAAAGAATGAAAAATGGCCAGGCACAGTAGCTCATGCCTGTAATCCCAGTACTTTGGGAGGCTGAAAAGGGAAGATTGCTTGAGGCCAGGAGCTCAAGACCAGCCCCGGAAATGTAAGTGAGACCCCCTTCTCTACCAAAAAAAAAAAAAAAAGAAAGAAAAGTATTAATTAGCCAGGTATGGTGGCACGCATCTGTAGTCCCAGCTACTGAAGAGGCTAAGGCATGAAGATTGCTTGAGCCCAAGAGTCCAAGGCTGCAGTGAGCTATGATTGTGCTACTGCACTCCAGCCTGGGTGACAGAGTGAGACCCCATCTCAAAAAGAAAAGAAAAGGAAAAAACAAAAGAGGAGAGGAGGTGAGGGGAGGGGAGATGAGGGAAGAGAAGGGAAGGGAAGCAGAGACTAGAAATGTGAATAAAACTGAAAATAAAAGGTCTTCTTTCTCATTTTACACTGTTTAGAAGATAATTGATCTTTATTAATATAGATGTTAAAATACTCAACAAAATACTAGCAAAACAAATGTAACCACATATTAAGAGGATTATACAACATGGCCAAGTGGAATTTATCCCAACAATTCAAGGGTAGCTCAATATTTGAAAATTAATCAGTGTAATACACCATGTTAATAGAATAAATTTTTTGAAAAAGATAATCTCAAATGATGCAGATTAAGTATGTGACAAAATCCAACACCATTTCAAGATTAAAAACACTCAGTATATTAGGAATAGAAGGGTACTTCCCTAACATAATGAAGGCCATATATGAAAAAAAAAAAAAAAACCCACAGTTTGCACTCAGTTACACTCAGTGAAAGACTGAAAATCCCCCCTGCCCTCACCGAGATCAGGAACAAGACAGACTTCTTGCTTTCACCACTTTTATTCAACATAGTATTAGAAGTACTAGCCAGAGTAATTAGGCAAAAAAAAAAAAAAAGAAATAAAAAACATCCAAATTAGAAAGGAAAAAATAAAATTATTTGTTTGCAAATGACATGATCTTATATGTAGAAAACCCTAAAGAATCCACAAAAAAAACTGTTAGAATTAATAAAAAAATTCAGGGCCATACACTTATCTGCATTAGTTCAAATCCTGCATCTGCCTATTACTATCTTAATCACTCTGTGCTTCAGTTTTTCCTTCTCTAAAATGCGGATAATAAGATAATCTAAAAGGTTCTATGTGGGGATGAAATACATTGATTCATATAAAGGTGTTAATCAACTAGTCACGGGCACATAAAGCACATATGTTTGCTGTTATGTCACGTCTTACTGCTTCTTTTTGACAAAAGTGTCTTGGAAAAAGTATTTGAAATTTCTTATACTAGAATTTAACTTTAAAATTTTGTCTAGATGGCTTTATTTTGGTAATGATATTGAAATTCTAATACCAGACAAGTACTATGACGACTCAGGCACCCAGACTAAGTAACAAATAAAATAGTCTCTCCGGAAAGGAGCTGAGCCAAGCAGGGAGTTGGAAACCATACATGTTAAGCACCCGTGATAACAAAAAGGGTAGGAGTGGTGCAGAACACCAACTACTATGTAAATCGTGTAAACTTCCTTGGCTAGTGCTGTACTCCCCAAGCATTTGCTATGTAAATGCCAACTATGTCTGTGTGAAATAAAAACTTGGACTATCTTAAAGCTTTTTTTGTTTTTTCAGAATTCAAAATCATTTTTGTGGTTGCTGAGGATAAAATTTAGACTATAATATTTCTTTTTATTCATTAAAAAACAAATTCAGAAAAGTTTAAGAATACAAAATTAACATGCAAACTTTAGTTCTATTACTGTACATTAACAATGAGTGCTCTGAAAAGCAAATTAAGAAAACTATTCTGTTTACAGTAGCATCAAAAAGAATAAAATAGTTTGGAATAAATTTAATCAAAGAAGTGAAATACTTTTACATAGCAAACTACACAACTGCTGAAAGAAATTAGAGATCTAAAGCAAGGGAAATGTATCCCCTGTTCATGGACTGGATGACATAATATTGTTAAGAGGACAATATCACCCAAAGTAATATATGGATTCAATGCAATATCTGTAAAAAATTTTATTGCCATTGTTTTCAGATATAGAAAACTCCATACAAAAATTTATATGGAGTTTCAACAGACCCCAAAAAGTAAAAACAATCTTGTAACAAAGCCAAAACTGGAAGTAAGCTGGAAGTCTCACATTTCTAAAATTCAAATCTACAAAGCTATGGTAATCAAAACAATGTAGTGCTGGCACAAAGATGGATATATAGACCAATGAATGGAATACAGAGCCAGACATAAACCCTCACATATATGGCCAATTTATTTTTGACAAGGCTGTGAAGGTCGTTCAGTGGGGAAAAGTCAGTCTTTTCAACAAACAATGTTGAGAAAACTGGATGCTCATATGCAAAAGAATGAAGTTAGACCTTTACTTTACACCCTATACAAAATGTAACTCAAAATAAATGGATAAAGATCTAAATTTAAGAGCCAAAACTGTTAAATGAAAACATAAGGGAAAATCTTCATTACCTTGGGTTTAGCAATGGTTAATTAAGTATGATACCAAAAGTATAGGCAACAAAAGAAAAAATAGATAAATTGGGCATTGCCAAAATTAAAAACTTATGGGAATCTAAGAACATAATCAAGAGAGTGAAAAGACAATCCACAGAATCAGAGAAAATGTTTGCAAATAATATATCTGATAAAGCATTAATATCCAGGATATATAAAGAGCACTGTGATGGTTAATATTAAGTGTCAACTTGATTGGATTGAAGGATGCAAAGTATTGTTTCTGAGTGTATCTGGATGTTTCTGGGTGTTTCCAGAAGAGGTTAACATTTGAGTCAGTGGACTGGGAGAAGAAGACTCACCCTCAGCAAGATCCACCCACACTGTGGACAGGCACCAGCCAATCAGCTGCCAGCATGGCTAGAAAAAGCAAGCAGAAGAAAATGGAAAAAGTTGACTTGATGAGTCTTCCAGTCTTCATCTTCCACCCATGATGGATGCTTCCTCCCCTCAAACATCAGAACTCGGAGTCTTATGTCTGAGGACAGGAGGCATCCAGCATTGGAGAGAGATGACTTTGGACTCTTGGACTTACACTAATGGTTTGCCACAAGCTCTCAAGCCTTGGCCACAGAATGAAGGCTGCACTGTTGACTTCCCTACTTTCGAAGTTTTCGATCTTGGACTGAGCCACTACCGGCTTCCTTGCCCCTCAACTTGCAGACGGTCTATTGTGGGACTTCACCTTGTGATCACGTGAGTCAATTATCCTTAATAAACTCCCTTTCATATATACATATATTGTATTAGTTTTGGCCCTCTAGAGAACCCTGACTAAAACAGATTTTGGTACCAGGAGTGGGATACTGCTATAAAGATACTTGAAAATATGGAAGTGACTTTGGAACTGGGTAACAGGCAGAGGTTGGAACAGTTTGGAGGACTTGGAAGAAGACAGGAATATGTGGGAAAGTTTGAAACTTTCTAGAGACTAGTTGAATGGTTTTGACCAAAATGCTGATAATGATGTGGACAATGAAGTCCAGGCTGAGGTGGAATCAGATGGAGATGAGGAACTTCTTGGGAACTGGAGCAAAGGTCACTCTTGCTATGCTTTAGCAAAGAGAGTGGGACATTTTGCCCCTGCCCTAGAGATCTGTGGAACTTTGAACTTGAGAGAGATTACATGAAATTGGAACTTATGTTTAAAAGGGAAGCAGAGCATTAAAGTTTGGAAAATTTGCAGCCTGACAATACAATAGAAAAAAAATAACCTATTTTTCTGGAGAGAAATTCAAGCTGGCGACAAAAATTTGCAGAAGCAATGAGGAGCAATGTTAAGAACCAAGACAATGGGGAAAATGTCTCCAGGGCATGTCAGAGACTTTCATGGCAGCTCCTCCCTTCACAGACCCAGGGGCCTAGAAGGGAAAAATGGTTTCATGGGTCAGACCCACAGTCCCCACTCCTGCTCTGTGCAGCCTCAAGATTTGGTGCCCTGTATCCCAGCCATGGCTTAAAGGTGCCAACATATAGTCCCACAGTTGCTTCAGAGGATGTAAGCCCCAAGCCTTGGCAGCTTCCACATGGTGTTGGGCCTGCAGGAGTCAAGAATTGAGGTTTTGGAAAACTCCACCTAGATTTCAGAGGAAGTACGGAAATGCCTGGATGTCCAGCAGAGGTCTGTTGCAGGGGTGAAGCCCTCATGGAGACCCTCTGCTAGGACAGTACAAGGGGGAAATGTGGGATTGGAGCTCCCACACAGAGTCCCCACTGGGGCACTGCCTAGTGGGGCTATGAGAAGAAGGCCACCATCCTTCAGACCCCAGAAAGATAGATCCACCAACAGCTTGCACTGTGTGCCTGGAAAAGCTACAGACACTCAATGCCAGCCATGAAAGCAGCTGGAATGGGGGACTGTACCCTGCAAAGCCACAGAGGCAGAGCTCCCCAAGGCCATAGGAGCCCACTTTTTGCATCACCATTCCCTGGATGTGAGACATGGAGTCAAAGGAGATTATTTTGGAGCTTTAGGATTTAATGACTGCCCTGTTGGATATTGGACTTGCATGAGGCCTGTAACCCCTTTGTTTTGGCCAATTTCTCCCATTTGGAATTGAAGCATTTATCCAATGTCTGTACCTCCATTGTATCTTGGAAGTAAATAAACTGAGTCTGATTTTACAGGCTCCTGGGCCTTGTCTCACATAAGACTTTGGACTTGGACTATTTAGTTAATGCTAAAATGAGTCAAGACTTCGGGGGACTGTTGGGAAGGCATGATTGATTTTGAAATGTGAGAACATGGGATTTGAGAGGGGAGAGGCCAAGGTGAAATGATATGGTTAGGCTTTGTGTCCCGACCCATATCTCATCTAGAATTGTAATCCCCAGGTAGGGAGAGAGCTTGTGGGAAGTGATTGGATTATGAAGGTGAATTATGAGGTTGATTATTATGCTGTTCCCATGATAATGAGTGAATTCTCTCAAGATCTGATGGTTTTATAAATGTTAGTTTTTCCTGTGCTGACACATGCTCTCTCTTGCCTGCTGCCATGTAAGATGTGCCTGCTTCCCCTTCTAACATGATTGTAAGTTTCCTGAGGTCTCCCCCACCATGAGGAACTGTGAGTCAATTAAATCTCTCTTTTTTTTTTTTTATAAATTACTCAGTCTTGAGTATGTCTTTAAAGCAGTGTGAGAATAGACTAAGGCAAGAACATGCAACTCAACAATAAGAAACTAAACAATCCAATTCAAAAATAGGCAAAGGACCTGAAAGACATTTCTCCGAAGATTACACCACTGAAAAAATGCTTAACATTATTAGTCATTAGGGAAATACAAATCAAAACCAGAATGAGATAGAACTACTCTGTTTGACATTGCTATAAAGAATAACTGAGCTTGGGTAATCTATAAAGAAAAGAGGTTTATTTCATTCACAGTTCTGAAGGCTGTATAAGAAACATGGCACCAGCATCTTGTGAGGGCCTCAAACTGCTTCCACTCATAACAGAAGGTGAATGGGAGCTGGCATGTGCAGAGATCACAAAGTAAGAGAAGAAGCAAGGGGAGAATGTGCCAGGCTCTTTTAAACAACCAACTTTTGTGGAAACTAATAAAGTGAGAACCAGTTCACCCACCCCCACCAGGGAGGGCATTGATCTATTCATGAGGGATCTGCTCCCATGACCCAAACCATTGGACCATTAGGCCCCACCTTTAACATTGGGAATCCGATTTTAACTTGAGGTTTGGAGGATTCAAATAAACTATAGTATTCCATACCTGGACCCCCAAATCTCATGTCTTTCTCATGTAGAGAATATAATCATTCCTTCCCAATAGTCTTCAAAAGTCTTAACTTGTTTCACACCAACTTTAAAGTCCAAAGTCCAAAATCTCATCTGAGACTCAAAGCGGGTTTCTTACAGATATGATCCCATAAAATCAAAAGCAAGTTATTTACTTCCAAGATACAATGACAGAGCAAACATTGGGCAAACATTTCCATTCCAAAAAGGAGAAATAAGACAAAAGCAAGGGGTAACAGTCCCTATGCAAGTTCAAAACTCAGCAGGGCATACATGAAATTTTAAAGCTAAAAAAAATTCTCCTTTGACTCCAGTCCTACATCCTAGCCCCACTGGTTCAAGGAGTGAAATCTCAAAGCCTTGGGCAGCCACACCCTCATGGCTTTTCTGCAAACAGCCCTGTGGCTTCCACCATGGGTTGGACTTGAATGCCTGTGGCTTTTCCAGGCTGAGGTGTCATGCTGCTGGTGGATCAATAATTCTCAGGTCTGGAGGACAGCAGTCCTGCTTCCACATAGCCACTAGGCAGTGCCCAAGTGGGGACTCTCTGCAGGGGTTCCAACTTTATATTTCCAAGTAGCATTGCCTTAGTAGAGTCATTCTGTTGGGGTTCCACTCCTTTAGCAGGCATCCTGGCTTTCAGATACATTCTGTGAAATGTAAGTGAAAGCTGCCAAGCCTCCACCGCTCTGGCATTCTGTGCACCTGCAGACGTAACACCACATGGAAGCCATGAAGGTTTATAGCTGCACCCTTCAGAGAAGCACCTCAAACAGTACCTGAAGCCATTTGACCCTCAGCTGGAGTCAGAGTGGCTGGGATGCAGGAAGCAGTATCCTCAGGCAACATAGGGCAACAGTGCCACAGACCTCTCCCCCAAAATTATTCTGTCCTTTTAGGTCTCTGAGCCTATGCTGAGAGGTGCACCTTGAAGATTTCTGAAATGCGTTCAGGAACTTTTTTCCATTGTCTTGACTATTAGCACCTGGCTACCATTTTTTTAAGTTATAGATTCCCTTTTATCTATGCTAATCTCTCTAGCAAGAGGTTGCTTTGCAGCACCCTTGGATTTCTCTCCTGAAAATGCTCTTTCCTTCCCTACCACATGGCCAGGCTGAGAATTTTCCACATTTTTCTGATCTGATTCCCTTTTAATCATAAATTCAACTTTTAGGTCATTTCTTTGCTCCCACATCTGATCATAAGCCACTAAAAGCAACACTGGCACTTCTTGAATGCTTTGCCACTTAGACATTTCTTCCACTAGATACCCTAGAACATTACTCTTAAGTTTGGTCATCCACAAATCCTAGGGCATGGACACAATGCCCTAGGCATTGACAAGTTCTTTAACAAGGATGACCTTTGCTCCAGTTCCCCATAAGTTCTTCATTTCTGTCTGAGACCTTGTTAGCCTGGCCTTTACCCTCTATATTTCTATCAGCATTTTTGAAACCACCACTTAACAAATCTTGAAGAAGTTTCAAACTTTTCCTGATATTTTTATCTTCTTCTGAGCCCTCCAAACTCTCCCAACTTCTGCCCATTACCCAGTTCCAAAGCTGTTTCCACATTTTTAGGTATCTTTATAGCAACATCCCACTCCTCCGTAACCAATTTTCTGCCTTAGTTCATTTGTGCTGCTATAAAGAAATACCTGAAGCTGGGTAATCTATAAAGAAAAGAGGTTTCTTTGGTTAATGGTTCTGCAGGCTGTACAAGAATCACAGCACCAGCATAGGCACCTAGTGAGGGCTTCGGACTGCTTCCACTCATGGCAGAAGGTGAATGGGATCTAACATGTGCAGGGATCACGGAGTGGAAGAGGAAGCAAGAAGCAAAGGGGCCAGGCTCTTTTAAATAACCAGCTCTCACAGGAACTAACAGAGTGAGTACTCACCCACCACCCCCAAAGGGAGGACATTAATATGTCCTCCATGAGGGAGCTGCCCTCATGACCCAAATACCTCCCATTAGGCCCCATCTCCAACATTGGGGATCAGATTTCTACATGAAATTTGGAAGGGTCAAACGAACGTAACAATGGCAACTTTATATCCACTAGGGCGGTTATTTTTTTTAAAAAAATTAAGGAAAATACCAAGTGTTGATGAGGATGCTGAGAAATCAGAACTCTCAGGCATTGTTAGTGGAAATGTAAATGCACAGCTGCTGTGGAAAACAGTTTGTCAGTTTCTCAAAAAGGTAAACGTTGAACTACCATATGACCCAGCAATTCCACTCATATATATATATATATACACACACACACATATATATACACATATATATATGTACACACACACACAAACACACATACACGTATATATGAATGAAATTTAAAGGAGAGATGCCAACAGATATTTGTACACCAATATTTATAGCAACATTATTTATGATAGCCAAAGGCGGGTGACCATCAACAAATGAATGAATAAACAAAATGTGATTTATTATACCTACAATGGAATATTATTTAACCATAAAAAGGAATGAAATTCTGATATATGCCACAACATGGATGAACCTTGAACACATTATGCTAAATGACATAAGGCAAACACAAAAGGACAAAGACTGTATAACTCCATTTATATGAGGTATCTAGAAATGACAAATTTATAGACATAGAAAATAGAATATAAATCACCAAAGTCTGGAGAAATGAAATAATGAGGAGTTGTTGCTTTAATGAGTACAGAGTTTCTGTTTGATATGATTAAAAGTTAGATGGTGAAGATGTTTCCACAACATTATGAATGTATTTAATGCCACTAAACCGTACATTTTTAAATGGCTAAAGTGGCAAATTATGTCATGTATATTTTAACCACAATTTTAAAAGTGAAAAAAAGAGATAATTGATTGATTGCTTAAAGCACAACTAACAGTTAATGTTGTGGAGTTTGTGGCCTAGGCAGAAGTAAAAAGTATGAAAACATGGCAAAAAGGATTGAAGGAGGAAAAGAGAAGTATATAATTGTAAAGTTTTTATTCTATATAAAGCAGTATAATATAATTTGAAGGTAAACTGTTATGTATATTTGAAATCTGTGAGGTTCTACTTTTAACGAAATAAAACAAAGAGATATGATTAATTAGTCAATAGTAGAGATAAGATAAATCTTATAAAAACGATTAATCAAAAAAAGGAAAAGAAGCAAGACAAAACAGAAAGCTGATGAGACAAAGGGCAAATAGCAAAGTTGTAGGAATAAATCAAACAACATCAATCAATAAATTACATGTAAATGACATTACTCCAGTTAAAGAGATTGTCAGATGGAAAACAAAATCAAGACCCAACTACATGCTGCCTCCAAGAAACCCATTTTAAATATAAAGCAAAGATAGGTTGAAAGTTAAACAAAGGAAACAGACCACGCAAACGTAACTGAAAGAAAGTTAAAGTGACTATGTTAATATCAGACAAAGTAAATTTCAGTAAAGTAAACAAGAAATAGTAGCAAGGATAAATACGGACATTCCATAATGATAACGGAATCAACCTATCAAGAGGTCATAACAACCCTAAATGTGTGTGTACCTAATAACAAAACTTTAAAATGTATGAAGAAAGCACAGAAGGAATTTTTTTAAAAAAAGAAATAGACAAATCCAAAATTATAGTCTGAGGTTTCAGTACTCCTGGGTAATTAATAAAGCAAATATAAGACCATAGAAGCAATGACGCCCCAGTAGCAATGAGCATATCTAATGCCCAGATCTTGGTGCGTAATATCATTCTACAATAAAAGGAATCAGGAATCCTTTAAAAAATGACCAAATTTAACTCTGGGGCAGGAAATATACAGGATGAATCTGGAACTTCTTATAGTTACAGGAAGTAAGGAAGCACTCAAAAGTTCCACAATAATGGATTATATCAGAGGGACACAGGAGCCAACAGAAAGAGCTCCCAGTGGCCAAAGCTGAAACAATATGAGCAACAAAATTAATTAAATAATATTATATTATAACCCAGAGTATCAAATATATATCCATGAATCCAAACTTATATGAATAAACAATTAGATAAATAGATAAAAGGGAAGAATAGACTAATGGCCTATGCAGACTTCCAAATAATTTATGTAGCTACCCCAGCCTCAAAAAGTGGAGCATAACTCTCCATGCCTTAAGCATAGGCTTCCCTTACCAACTTCCTTCCAAAGAGCACAAATGGGAAGGAGGAAAAAACTTTACACTGGAGAAAATTTACAAACACTGTATCAGCCAACTGATTAAGGTTAATATTAACTACGATAAACTACACTGATAGTATATGCTCTTGATATGGTATGATAACAACTGCACTTTACCTCTGTGGTCTTTCTCCCACAAATCCAGTCTAAGTATGAGGAAAACATCAGACAAATCCCATTTGTCTTAGTCTGCTCAAGCTTTCAAAACAAAAATACCATAGGCTGGGGGGTTTTAACAATAAACATTTATTTCTCTGGAGGCTGGGAAGTCCAAGATCAAGGTGTCAGCAGATTCGGTGTCTGGTGGGTGCCCTCTTTTTGGTTCATAGACAGCCATCTTCTTGGTGGAAAGGACAAGTTAGCTCTCTGGGGTCTCTTTTATAAGGACATTAATCTTGTTCATGAGAGCTCCACTCTCATGGCCTAATCATCTCCCAAAGGCCCCACCCCCTAATATCATCACATTGAGGGTTAGGATTTCAGAAACATATGAATCTGGGGGGAATGACAAACATTCATCCCACCACATCATTAGAAGAGCATTGTACAAAATACTACCAATATTCCCTAAAACTGTCAAGGTCATCGATAACAAGGAAAATCTGAAAAACTGTCATAGCCCAAAGGAGACTGAGGAAATACGAAGAGTAAATATAATGTACTGCCCTAGATGGAATCCTGAAACAGAAAAAGGATATTACATTAAAAACTAAAGAAATCTGAATAAAGTATAGACTTCAGTTAATAATAATGTATCAACATTTGTTCATTAGTTGCAACAAAGGTATCACACTATTATAAGATGTTAAAAATAGGGGAAACTGGGTGTGAAGTAGATGGCAACTTTCTGTACTACCTTTGCAATTTTTCCGTAAATCTAAAACTATTCTAAAACTAAGAGTTCATTTTAAATATAACAGTTCATTTTAAAAAGTAAGAAAGGATATAGATAATTTGAACAACACAACCAATTTGAACAAATTGAGACATATAGAAAAACTTTCATAAATATTTTATCTAATAAAACTTTTATCTAGTATTTTGTACAAGAGAATACACATTCTTCTCAAGTACACACAGAATATTAACCATGATAGAGCATATTCTGGGCTACAAAACAAGTCTCAATCAATTGATAAGAATTGAAATCATACAAAGTATTTCTCTGACCATAATAGAATTACACCAGATATCACTAATAAAAAGGTGTCTAGAAAATCCCCAAATATCTGGAAGTTGAACTGTATACTCTAAATACTATATTGGTTGGAGAAGAAATCACAAGGGACATTAGTAGATATTTTGAACTGATTGATAAGAAAAATATAATGCATTAAAATCTATGGGGTGCAGCTAAAGCAGTGCTTAGAGGGAAATTTGTAGCACCAAATGCTTACATTTAAAAGGAAGAAATATCGAAACCAATGACCTAATGTCCCACCACAAAAATAACAGAAAAGGCCAACTTATGTACAAAATAAGCATAAGAAAGGATATAATAAAGATAGCATAAATCAATGAAATAGGAAAAAGAAAAACAACAAAGAAAGCAAATGAAACCAAGCCTGCTTTTTTAGAAAGATCATTGAAGTTAATAAATATCTGGAAAAACTCCTCAGGGGAAAAGAAAGACAGGTTACCAATTTCAGGAAGGAAAAAAATGTTATCACTATAAATCCTATGAATGTTGAAAGAATAATAAAGGAATATTATGAACAATTGTACGTCATTAATTCAACAACTTACATGAAATAGACTAATTATGTGAAAGACTTTAATAAAACTCAAGAAAAAAATTATAATCTGAATAGACATGCATAATTAAGAAATCTAATTTGTCTTTTAAAAAATCTTTCAAATAAGTAAACTTCAACATTAGAAGCTTTCACTGGTGAATTTTTGCAAACATTTAAAGAAGAAATAATATCCATTTTTTTTACAATCTCTCCCAGAAAAAACGAGGAAGGGGTGCTTTCCCTAGTCAGCCAATGAAGTCAGCATTGCTCTGATACTAAAACCAGGCATTCCAACAGAAGAAAATTGCAGACCAACATCTCTTAAAAACATACACAAAATAACCTTCAACAAAGTATTCGCAACTTGAATCCAGAAATACATACATATATATTTCTGGCTCAAAATTCAAGGTCCAATCAATATAATTCACTATATTAACAAACAAAAGAAGAAAAACCATATTATTATCTCTAGATACGTAGAAGAAAGCTTTTGACAAAATTTTACAACTGTTCATGACAAAAACTCTCAGTGAACTAGGAATAAAAAGAAACTTCCTTTACCTGACAAAGGAGCACCTGTAAAACACCTACAGCCATTATGTTAAATGATGAAAGAGTGATGCTTTCCTCCTAAAACAGGGAACAAAAGAAAAATGTCCTCTTTCACTACTCCTATTCAACATCAAGTTAGAAGCCAGGAAATAGAAATAAGAGGTATACAGATTTCAATGAAAAAATAAAACTGGCTGTTTTGGTTGAAACCCTAATTTATGTAGAAAATCCAAATAAATCTACAGAAAAACATCCTGGAACTAATAAGCAGATTTAGCAATGTTGCAAGATCCAAGTATACATACAAAATCAATTATATTTCCATGTATTTGCAATTAACAATCAGAAATCAAACTTTTAAAAGTGCTACATACAATAGCTTCATAAAATAAAATACTTATAGATAAATATAACAAAATATGCTGAAAACTATAAAACATAAGTGAAAGTAATAAAAACCTGAAAAAAATAGGGAGTTATATTGTGTTCATGGATTAAAAGATCCAATATTACTAAGATGCAAATTATCCTCAATTTGATCTATAGATTCAACATAATCCCAGTTAGCTGTTTTCATAGATATAATTGAGCTGATTCTAATATTTGAATGGATAAACAAAGAAACTAAAATAGATAACACAATTCTGGGAATTGTGGGAAAAAGTTAAGGACACACTATCCAATTTTAACACCTACTACATAGCTACAGGGATCATGAGAGTGTGGTATTGGCAAAAGGATAGGCACATAGATGAATGGAACAAAATAGAAAGCCCAGAAATAGACCCACACAAATACAGTTAACTGATTTTTAAATAAAGGTGCAAAGTCAATTTAGTGGAGAAAGTACAGTATTTTCCACACACGGTGCTGGAACAACTGAACATTTGTTTGGAAAAGCAAAAATGAACTTCAATCCATACCTCACAACTTTTACAGACTTAACTCAAAATGGATCATAGACCTAAATTTAAACATAAAATAATAAATGACCTAGAAGAAAATATGGAAAAAATCTGCATGTTCTTGGGCTTGGGAAAGACTTGTTAGATACAATACTAAAACCACAATCCATGTGAGAAAAAATCTTGATAAATTAGACTTTAACAAAATTCTACAAACTTTTGCTTTGCAAGGAGAAGAAAAAGACAAGCCACAGACTGAGAGAAAATATTTGCAAATTAAATGCCCAAAAAGGAACTTGTATGTAGAATACATAAAGAACATCAAAACTCAACATTAAGAAAGACAATGCAATTTTTTAAATCAACAAAAGAATTGAAGAGTCACTTCATAAAGAAAGATGCACAGATGGTAAGTAACATCTAAAAGATGCTCAACGTCATATTTCATTAGGGAAATGCAAATGCAAGCCACAAGCTACAAACCACAAACTATACACCTACTAGGATGGCTAAAATTTAAAAATGGACAAAACCAAGTGTTTGCCAAGATGCAAAGCAACTGGAACTCTCTGAGAACTCCAATGAGAATGTAAAATAGTACAACCAATTTACAAAACACTTTAGCAGTTTATTTTAAAGTTAAATATATACTTACTATCAATCCTTCTCCTGGGTATTTACCTAAGTGAATCAAACATTTATGCTTACCTTTACACAGATGTTTACAGTAGCTTTATTCATAATTATTAAAAACTGGAAATCACCTTTCTTTCAACAGATGAATGGTTAAACAGACTGTGGAACAGTGACACAATATAATATGACTCATCAATAAAGAGTAATAGACTATTGATTTATGCGACAATGTAAATGAATCTTAAATCCACTTTGGTAGGTGAAAGAAAGAAACCAAACCCCGAAGGCTACATACTATATTATTCAGTTTATGTGACACTCTAGGAAAGACAAAAACTGTAGAGACAGAAAGCAGATAAGTAATTGCCTAGGGTCGGGAGTGGGGGAAAGGTTTGACTACAAAAGTACAGCATGAGGGAATTGGGAGGGTTAACAAACCCTTCTATATATAAAGTGGTTTTGGATATAAGATTCCATGCATTTGCCAAAACCCATAGACCTGTACACCTCAAAGAGTGAATATTACTGTATGCAAATAGTTAAAAACAAAACAAAACAAAACAGGACGTCAGGGGTTCCCAAGGTGGAATGCAGACTGTGACAATGAAACTGACTGTATTGCAAACATATGACACAATCACCCTGGAGATGAAAAAGAAAGGATTGGATCTAAGCACTTCGCCTGGATGCCGTGAGATTAAAGATTAAAAGAATGGTCTATAAACACTGTACTCTATTTGTCAAGTTTGTTTTTCACAAAAGTATGAGGTAACAAGTCGAAAAATATTTTACTTGTACAGTAGAACAGGGCAAATAAGTAAATATACTGTAGATAATAAGATCCAAAGAAAGATTGTAGTTAATGAGAGCTAAAGTTACAAATAAGTAAAGGGAAAATGCCAGAATGAACACATTGTGCTGGATTGCAGTCACAAGTGTCAGTGTAAAGTTACGCCTTTCTTTAATAGATAGATGATGGATCAATAAATTGGTGGATTGATCGATTGATCAATTAATAGATAGACAATTTGCATACAAATGAATTAGTACACGTTCATATACTTCCTAGCTCTGTCTGATGAGAGAGCCACCTGCATAGAAGCTGGCACACAGATCTTGATATGTATTAATGATATTTACCATTCTCCAATTAAAAAAACTAAGATTGCTTGACGAAGTTGATTCCAGGTCTGAGACAAAAATAATTCAAGATAATCCTGGAGCATCTCATGGTTCCAGAAAGATGGAGAATGCTCAAAAAAAAAGGAAAGAAAAGAAGGCAGAGGAGGGAGGCTGGCAGCATGCCGAAGAACACAGGAGCAAACCTAGAGGAGCTCCCAACAGCCAAGGCTGGCCATCTGAGCAACCAAATAGGATTGGATTACAATCCAAGGAGTAAAATAAATAGCCATCAGTTCACACATAATAAATAAATGATGGAGAAGAGAAAACTCTTGCAGAAGGATTCCAGTTAATAAAGGTAGCTGGAATGAGAAGCATAGAAAATTGCCATTAGAACACCATAGTAATAATTGCTGCAGGCAAACTCACCAATGAATGCAAAAGATTTGTTTGTTTCTTTCATTTTGTTTGTTTTTGGTTTTTGTTTTGGGGACTGCATCTCACTCTGTTGCCCAGGCTGGAGTGCAGTGGCATGATCATAGCTCACTGCAGTTTCTAACTCCTGGGCTCAAGCCATCCTCCTGCCTCAGCCTCCTGAGTAGCTGGGACTACAAGCACATGCCACTATGCACTATGCTTGTCTAATTTTTTTTTTTTTTTTTTGAGATGAGGGCTTGCTTTGTTCCCGATGCTGGTCTTAAACCCCTGGCCTCAAGCAATCTTTCCACCTTGGCCTCCCGAAGTGCTGGCATTACAGGATTGAGGAAAGCAAAAGTTTAAGGAAAGAAAGGATAGTTGTTTGGTCTCAAAGTATCTCCCTCAAACTTTCAAACCAAATGCAAAGGGAAAAAATTTATAACTTTTTAGTGAAGAAACCCATCAGACACCAAGTGATGAAGGTTACCATTACCAGCGATGGTGTCCTATTCCTATCATGTGCCTCATGAAATGATGTAACCAGAAGGGCATTTGGTATTCTTCCCCCAAATCCACAACCTCAATGCAATAATGAGAAAACATCTGACAAATCCAAGTTGAGGGACACTGAACAAAATACTTGACTGTCACAGATAGAGGAAACCAAGAGGACATGGTCAAATCCTGGAACAGAAAAAGAACATTAGTGGAATCTGAATAAGGTCTGTGGTTTAGGTATAATATCATACTAATGTTAATTTCTTAGTTTTGATAATTGTACTGTGGTTATGTGAGACGTTGCCATGAATGGAACTTTTGTACTATCTTTGCAATTGTTCTGTAAGTCTAAAATTATTTCAAAATAAAAAGTTAAAGAGACATAGTTACATTAAGAAGATGAAAAGACAAAACACTGAAAGAGGAAAAATATTTCTAAAATATATGTCTTACAAAGGACTCACACCCAGACTATATACAATATTCCTACAACTTAATAATAAGGAGATAATTGATTTTAAATGAGTGGACAAGATTTGAATAGACACTTAACCAAAGAAGATGTGAATGGAAAATAAGCACATTTAAAGATATTCAACACCATAAGCCATTAGAGAAATATAAATTTCATCATAAGATCCTACTACACACCTACTAGAATGGCTTAAAGTAAAAACCTGACAACACAAGTCTTGGCAAGGATGTGGAGCAACTAAAACTCTCTTACGTTGCTGGTAGGAATGCAAAATGGTACAGCTTCTGTAGAAAACCATTCAGCAGATGAACATAAAGCTAAACATACACTTATACCACGCAACAATCCTTCCAAGTATTTCCCCAAGAAAAACAAAAGTATACGTTCACGCAAGGACTTGTACTAGAACGTTCATAGGAGCTTCATTCATAGTGGACAAAACCTGGGAACACCCCCAAATGTTCATCACTCATGAATGGATAAGTAAATTATGGTATGTGCATACAGTGGAATATTACTTAGTAATAAAAAGGAACAAAGTACTTACACACAACTATATAAATGAATCTCAAAAGCATTATAAAAGCTAAGTGAAAGACATCAGACTCAAAAACTCCATGCAGGACGATTCCATCTATATGAAATTCTATAAAAAGTAAAACTGTGGCAACTGAAGGCAGATGAGAGGTTGCCAGGGCGCAGAGGTGAGGTTGTGAATTGACTGGAAAGTGTTAAGAGAGAATATTTCAGGAATGTCAGAAATCTATACAGTGACCATGATGGTGGTTACACTATTGGACACATTTGTTAAAATTCATCAAATTGAACACATAAAATTGGTGATTTTTATAATACCTAAATTTATTCCTCAATAAAGCTGATTAACATTTATAGATTTTTAGCAGAAAAAAGCAAGTTGTAGAATGTATGTGCTTTTTGAATTTAAAAAACCCTATATTTGCATATATTTTAATGTCTAGAACTATAAAAATAGGGAAAAGAGGAAAGGGATGGGATGTAGGGGATGGTCAAATGGAACATGATCTTTAATTTCAGTATTTCAATTGTTAAGAAAAATTTATTTGTACCCTCACTACTTGCACAATTAAAATTATTTAAATTTAATATAGGGGGTAGCTGATGTTATGGTTTTTCCATGTAATCTTGGCGGATATGAGAGATATCAGCCGAGATTTTAAGCTGGCCTGTCTATCCCATTAGCAGATGGACTCCTTGACCGCGGGGACTGACAAGTTCTCAGAGAGCACGTCTGGTGGATGGTGAAACTCCCAGGGTTTAGTCCCACCTGTACTGGTGCCCCCTGGTGGTGATGACGCGCAACTGCCGCCTCTTCCCGACGGCGACAAGCAGCTCCCGGTCTCAGGATGGCGCCAGGCATGCGCAGGCTGAAGGGTGCCCAGACCTGGGGCCGGGGGCTTGGAGCTGGTGGATGGGCCTTGGGGATCAGCAGTTTCTGGATATTTGGCCCAAATCTCCCTTGCTGGGGGACCTGGAAGCGACTCCTTTGGCTGGGGTGTAGTCCCTCTCCTGCGCCCCACGCTGTCCTTCCTTCAGGCGCAGGCAGCAGTCCTGCAGAGACACAGGGGCCTGGGACTTCAGAACGGATCCCCGCAGACAGGAGCCGCCAGCCCCAGCCCTCACTTAGCTGTGGCTCTGCAGGGCTGCAGGGGCTTGGCGGCCTGGAGCCATCTGCCGCTCTCACGTGATCCCCTGAGAGACCCAGCTCTAAACAGGGCTGCAGTCAGGACTGCCAGGGCTAGGCTCTGGCCAGGGTCAGGTGCAGGACAAGGACCAGGGATGAGAGTCCTGGGGACACCCTTAATAATGACACTTAGATGCTTTAGGTTTTTAAGACTTTTAAGTCAAGAGCCAGGCACAGTGGCTCACGCCTGTAATCCCAGAGACTCAGGAAGCTGAGGTGGGAGGATCACTTGAGGCCAGGAGTTCGAGACCAGCCTGGGCAACACAGCGGACCTCGTCTCTAAAAAAAATTAATTAATTAAAAATAAAAGAAAAAAAGACTTTTAAGTCAACTTTGCAGTTCCAAAGTGAATTTGCTGCTGAACAGAAATGATGAAACTGAGGAAGGGAATCCCTTATCCCCCACTGGGGCAGAGGCACCATCCTTAAGGGCCTGCCTAGCCCCACTCCCCCACAGGCCGTGGCTCCTTCCTCAGATGCCTCTGTCTCCTTCTCCCAGCAGCAGACTCAACCCCTGCAGTCATTTAGGAATGTCCAAAAGTGTCCTATCCAGGGATCATGATGATTGTCACCCTATGGTCCACGTTTGTTAAAAATCACCAAAGTGTACACATAAACTTGCTGAATTTTGTTGTGTGTAAATTATTCCTCAATAAAGCTGATTAAAATATAAAGATTTTTAGTAGAAAAAGCAAGTGGCAGAATGTGGAGGATTTTTTCCATTAAAAAAAACTATATTTGTGTATATGAGAGTTTTTTAATGTCTGGAAGTTTCCACATCAAAATCATTAAAAATAGGGAAAAATGGGGGGAAAGCAGGCAAAAGAGGTAGCACCTGTTAGGGGGAGGGGTGAGGGCGAGGTGTGGGCAGGCAGGGGTGTGGAAGAAACACTGGCCTTCAGCCAGACAATGTGAGAACAATGTGACACTTTGTTTTCCTCCAACCGAAGACGGTGGTTTGATTTGTGCATGGATAACTCATTTCTTTATAAACTTTAAACTTCACTGCAGACTTTGCCCTGTTTCTCCTAGAGCAGGCTTTCTCTATCCAGCCCTGTGAGGGGAGTGGGGCTAGAGAGGTGAGATATATACACCTGTGAGATACACAGACCCACCTGTTCCTCGCATGTGCCCAGCATGGAGAATTGGCCTCATTTTGCAAAAGGAGAAAGTGAAGTACCCAGGGTCTCACAGGAAATTGTTCTCTGAGCTGGGACTTGGACTCAGGCCCCTAGGTTCCCAGCCTTGGGTGCTGTCTGCAGCCCAAGTTGCATGCTGTAACTCCCCTCGAAGCTTTGGTTCAAAATTTCAATGTGCCTATTTTGGTTTGAAGTGGTTATTACACACTAACTCAAGGCACAGAGGAAGCAGAGCCCCCAGAGCATGGTGGGAGCATCCTGGGGAAAGGTGCCTCCCAGGCCCCAGCTACACCCCACACATGCACTGTCCCACCTGGCCCCACTCCCCAGGCATTCCAGATGAGGCAAAGCACCACCTCCAGGCCAGGGAGGGACTGGGACACCACAGACATTCCAGAGAAAGGACCACTTCACCCACTCTCCTTACAGGTGGGGAGACTGAGGACAAGAGAGGGCAGGAGGCCCACCCAGGGTCACACAGCCAATTAGAAGCAAAGCAAGGACTCAGGCCCAGGTTGGTGCCCCTGGCCAGTCACTCCCTGCAGAGCAACATACAGATGGGAGAAGAGGCAGTGTCTAAAAATGTGGCCCCAGGTCTGGGTAGGGACAGAGCTAGACAGCTAGGGCTAGAGTGCTGAGGAAGGGGCCAGCTGGACTGCTGCAGGAGAGGAAGTTTGAGGGCCTGGAGGCTGGGGCAGACACAGTGGGCTTTGTGCTCTCCCTGTGGTCAGGAGTGGGAAACAGTGGCCGGGAAGAAATCAAGGGTGGTGAGTTCCCCAAAACAATGAACCACTGCCACAGGCACAGCATTGATGCATCTCCCAGAAACTGAAGATTGAGTGGACAGCCCAGAGGCTACCTACAGTATGCTCCCATTTTTATAAAGCTCAAAAATCAAGGAACAAATTATTGATTAGGTGTACAGGCATGAATACAAATGTTTTCTTTTTAAGCAAAGGAATGACAAACACAAAATTCAGGATAGTAGACACCTTTAGGGGATGCTAGGGGAGTGGGAGAGACGTACAAGCTAGATGCAAATTTTGGAAATGTTCCAGTTCCTGAATTGAGTGTTGGGATCATGAGTGTTTATTATGTTATTAAACATTATAATTTACATCTCCAATAATTCATACTTATTTAGCGCTTACTATGGGCCAGGCCCTTTAATAATCACTTTATGTATATTAGCTCATTTAATCTTCACACCAACCTCATGAAGTGGGTCATTTTCCAGATGAGGAAACTGAGGCACCAGTGATTTGTTGGAGTTCACACGCCTGATATCTGGCCCCAGATTCTGACCCAGGCAACCTGATTCCAGAGCCCTTGGTCTAAACCATTCTACTAAGTTCCATGTATTATTGTATAAGTAACAAACGTTTTATTATTTTAATCAAATAAAAAATTTAAAGTGTACTGGGAGAGGCAGGAAAGGAGGTAACCACCGTATCACAGGCAAGAGGGGCAGGGCCTGAGATGGAGAGAAAATCCCCCACCAACCCTCCCCTTCCCCAGGTTAAATTCCTCCCCTCCCTCACCCTCCCCTCCAACTGCCCAGCCTCTACCCTTTCTTCAAGGCTCCTCTCCCCGCAATAACCTCCCTCTTTTCTGACCCCTCTTCTCTGAGCACCGAGGGCTGATGATCCTGTGCTTTTGTTTACAAACCTGGGTGGCTTGGTGATGTGTACTGGTGTGGTCAAGATAAGCTGGACTCAGCATGGAAGACTTCATGGAGGAAGCAGCCCTGGTACCCTCTGGGAGGACCTGGAGGGCTAGACCAGAGCTCCGGCCCCTGGTGCCCCCTTCAGAGATGCTGAGCCTGGGGCTGGACACAGGGGATGCTAGAGTCAGCTCTGATCAGAGGAGGGGGCTGCCCCCAGGGTGATGGGGGGTGGTGAGTACCAGGAGCAGATGTACGTCTCCTGAGGCCTTCTCCTGGCCTCTCCCTGCAGCTCAACCGTCACCCTTCCCACCCAATCCATCCCTGCCCCACCCAGCTCCCTTATTTATAAACCATATGTCCCTGTGTCCCTGCCTGCCCCTACTGTTTGTCCAAAGCTTCAGCTGCTTCCCCTGATAACCCTAGGACAAGAGGTCCTGGAGAACTGGGAAGGGCCCAAGGGCAAGAGTAGTTCAGGGATGCTCCCCCGACCCCTGCTCAGGAACCTTCAATGGCTCCCCATAGACACTCCACGATCTGATGCACAGAACATGCTCAAAAATCAGTAGCTATCCCATGTAAAATTTTAATTTCAGTTTTTGCCCACAGGAGCTATTCCAGACTGCTTGGCCAAAGGCCTCAAAATCTACTGAGGAAATTCAGGTCCAGGGAGGGGAAGTGACTTGCTCTTGCTCACATAGCAAGGCCATCGGGCCCTCTCTACTCCACCGCCCTGCCTTTCTGCCCAACCATTATAGACAAAGGCAAAGAACTTAGTCCCAGACCTTTCCAGCTGTGTGACTTTGGGTGCTTGCCTAACCTCTCTGATTTAGAGTTTCTTCATCTATAAAATGCAAACATTGTCTGTTTTCTTCAATACCCAGCACCCAGAATGGTGCTTGACAAATAGTAAGAGCTTGATAAATATTTCTTGGATGAATGAATGAGTAATCCCTAACTCTCAGCTCATTTGTGAGTATCAAGCCAAGCAGTAAACATGAAATGCAGTTCCTGCGCGGTGCCAAATACACGGCAGGGACTTTGCAAACGGTGCTCCTTTTGCCCCCTCGCTGACCACGCTGAGGATTCTAGCCTCCCCTCTGACCCAAGTCAGGGACCCCTGATCTCCAAAGCCCAGACTCTATCCTGAAATCACAGGCACCCAGAGCTCTGAGTCTCATGAGTTTGCTCAGCTCCCCCAGGCCAGCCTCCTCCCCAGCAGCTCCTCTGGCCTCTGCTCCTACACCACAGGCCTTCCACTAGGCACCTGGGGAACCAGTGCCCCTGGCCTGGCCAGAATGCCCAGCCTACAAGGCCCGGGCCCCCTGAACACTGTTTTCTCCTCTTCTTTGTTCAGCGAATGTTTCTTTGCCCCTGGAACTGTCTCCTGGGACTCACAGTGGAAGAGAGGCCAGCAGGGATGGCGGTGCTCAGAGCAAGGACAGGTGAGCTGGCGATCGTGCCTGTGCTTAGGACCATTTGGGGGGCTGTAAAGGCCTTGGCAGGGATGGTGTAGGACTGTCCCCCATGGGCAGAGAAAAGCAGAAATGAGAAATGGTCACAGTAAAAGGCAATCAGAGGTGAGGGCCAACGCTAGCTCAGGGCAGCAGAAAGAGCTCCAGTCCCATCTCTGCGACTGAGGCCAGAGGTGACTTGGGGCAGGTCCCATCTCTCTGGCCTCAGTGTTCCCAGCTCTATGATGATGCAGGTGTCGGGGCTTTGGTTAAACCCCATCACCTCCAGCTCTCATCTGGCTTTCTCTTATCATGAACCCGAGTATCCCCACAGGCAGACACGGCGGTCCCAGGACAACCACGCCAACAGGAAGCTTCTGCCTCAGCCCCACCTGCTAAGGAGCCTAACTCCCTCCTCAATGCATTAAGCCCCAGAACCTGCCCTGCAGGGGTCCCCGAAGGATTAGCATCCAGCAGCAGAGGGTAGGGGCGGTGTGGGCACGTGGGCAGGGCTTTGAAGACGGTCTCCCTGGGAGTGCTAAGCTCTCAGCTTTGAAAATGGTTCCCCTGGGAGGACCCGGGAAAGGGGCCTCTCTGGCAGCTTCCCCACGAGTTGGGCTGAGGTGCCAGGGTGATGTTTCCACCCGGATAAGCCCCAGAGTGTATGGAATGAGAGCCAGGCCTGTGAGGGTCGCACGGGCTTCCTCCTCCCACAGGCGGGCAGGCAGGACTGGCTCTTGGCTCCTGCAGCAGGGCCAGAGAGAGGCCCCGCCACAGTGAGAGCACACAGCAGCCACCTCAGGCCTTCCTCTCAGGGCTGTGTTATGGGGGCCTCAGCACAAGGAGAGGCTGCCCAGGGTCACACAGCAAGGCAGCGGCAGGGGCAGCAGGTCCCCTCGGGTGAGTTCAGGCCTACCCCTTTTACAAGTGGACCGTCACAGTGGCCCCACCTAACGCTGGTCGCTGGGATGCCGGAGCCTCTGAGAAAGGTCCCCAGACCCCCGTCCCTCTGTGTGTCCCTGATAGTGAAGCTGAGCAAGCGTGGAGCCCGTGAGGTGTGATTTAGGGCAGAGCTGCAGGATATCAGCTGGGGTCTCAATAATAAGGCTCCAGGGCCAACACGTAGACTGCCGGGAGTGTCTTTCAGGACTCTCAAATTCAATCCCCATGTCTACATGGGGACACTGAGGCCGAGAAAGGAGAAGGGGCTCCTTCGAGGTGCCATGGTGAGTCAGTAGCAGAGGGGAGCCTGGAACTCTGGGCCCTGACTCCTAGCCCAGTGCTCACTCTACTTCCACTGGCTGCAGTGGCTCGGGAGCAAGGGAGTCTCGGTGTGCAGAGCCCATCCAGATGGGCTGGGATTGGCCTATTTTGGAAGCGTCTGGATGAGGCCGTAGCTCTGCCTGGGCTCACCCCCAGCCTGCACCACCTTTGCCCACAGCTCCAGGAGCTTGGCACGGACACCAGCCCCAGCTGGTTCCAGCACAATAGAAGGACAGTCAATGATTCATGGAGGCTTCGTTCCTGGGGACCTTCTCCCCCAGGAGAAGCTGCTGGCTCCTGTACAAGCTACCCCAGCAGGGCAGCACAGGGATTAATCAGTGATGGGCCTGGAGGGAGAGCGTGGGAGGGTCACAATCTCTTCCTCTCTCCTTCTCTTTCTCCCTGCTTCTCTCTGTCTCTCTGGCACACCCCATACCTGCCCCCTCTCCCCACTACCTCACCAGCACTATCACTGGGAACTCTAAACCTCACTTTCCTCCTTCTTCTCTCACACCTGCCCTCAGGAGAGGTTTTGATAGACTAAGCCACCCTGAGGCTTTATACAGGGCAATCTGAAAGCTAAGGGGCCCTCAGAGAAAACACCCAGGCCAGCATTTACAATGGGTGTTTTGTAGAAATCCAGTTGTCTGAAATGGTAATCCATGTCACTTCCGAAAGAAGGTTATGTGGACAAACAAGTTTGGTAAACGCTTGCTTAAATAAAATGAGTTCTTATTGAAGAACTTGTCAGAGCCTCTGCTCTGCTGACTCGAATGGTGAGGCTCCAAGAGGGTGATGTGGTTTCCAAACTTACCTCGCCACCCGTGAAAATCAGTCAATAGCTCCAAGAGCTGGGACCCTCACGGGGCGAGGACCACAGAGGGCAGGTGACTTCCCCAAGCCACTCCACTCAGGCCTTAGCCAGGAGCATGGGTGGCACCTATTGGTAAAGTCCCTCTGGCTGCTAAGGTGTTTCAAATCCAACTCTCCAGGATATTTCCCTCCAGAAAAATCTCCCCGAGGGCGGCCTGGGTAGCTTCACACTTAGGGAGAAAGAAGGAAAGGGGCAGGGGTCTGGAACCCTCTGAATTTTCTGGAATCGAAACTGCAAGCCCATGGAGGCATTCCTGGGCATGGCGTCTCAGACCTCACATTCCTGGAGGCAGATGCAGCTGTTCCTCCCAGCCCTGGAGGTCACTGCCAGCAGCGGAAATTCTTGGAGTTCGTCTCGGATGGAAGCTGCCACAGGCCCGTCAGCTACAATCCAGGCGCGGTAGCGGCTCACCAGTTCCAGGGAACTTCAGCTACAATCCAGGCGCGGTAGCGGCTCACCAGTTCCAGGGAACTTCACGAACAGTTTAGCAGAGGAGTCACTCCCACCCAAGGGCCCAGAAATCCTCCCGCAGGGCCTGGAATGGAGACTCCTCTTTAGGTCTGCAGAGACACAGATGGGAGAGAGGGGGGGAAAGCAAGGCAGGACAGAAAAAGGTACAGGCATAGGGAGGGCGAGGAGATCCCTGAGTCCATCTCCTCGCTGCTGAGACCCAGACACAGGGTGAAAGCACAGAACGCTAGGAAAGGGCACCCTGAGGTGTATTTCAGAGCTGCGGCACGTGCTTGGCGTTGGCATGCACTTGGCATTGGCACGCGCAAGGTGGCCTGTTGGAACTATGGGGCCACATCCCCTGTGACCAGCCTCCACAACCTGTCTCTGTCAATGATTTCACTGGGACATGAAACTAGCTCTGGCCACGCTATGCCGTCTTAAATATGGAATTCACCTCCCAGTGCCTGACTTCACAAGGAATGTCAGCTGAGGAAATGTGATCAATGAATACAAAGGTTACTGACATTCTTATCACATTTCGAATTTATTATACATTTCTTATTGAAAAAAAAATGTTCACTGACCCAAAAAAATATTTTGTGTATAATCAGTCCAAGGTTAGACGTTGGATCTGGCAAAGAAGATGGATGAGAGCATTGGTCCTGACAGCCTGGTTTGGCAAGTGAGGAAGGGGAGCCCAGCCTCCCACCAGACCCCCAGGAACTTGCTCTTCCCAGCAGGAAAAAACAACATCAGCTGCCCAGAACTCGGCAATGTGCCTCTATTCTGCGACTGGGTCTGGATAAGATGCCCTCATATTGTTCAACAGCTAGATTTAAAGGTTTCCTTGGAGTCCACATGAATCCTGTCATCCCCGGCAGGCAGTAGCCTGACACAGTCCAGAAGACCCTGCAGCTGGGCCCACAGGCAGCTCGCAGACGTGCACAGATGCAGCGTGGGCATTCCTGCTGACAGGCCTGACATGACTCTCCGAAGAACTGAACCTCCTATGCACGTGCACACACACACACACACACACACACACACACACCCAAAGTGATATTCCAAATATATTAACACCCTGTGTGCCATAAGCACCACCCCCAGCCATCAACTTTACACGTACATGATTAAAATAAATTTTCTTACTTTCATTGGTTTGATTTGTTTTGGTTTCCTATTTGAGTTCCTTAAAGGCATAAGTTATTACATCTATTTAAGTTGCATTATGAAAAATATAAGCTAAGTTTAAAAAAAAAACACTCATATGAAATAAGGCACCAGGGACACTTTGACCCCTTTCAGAGTGTTCAAGACTGCTGTGAATTGTAAGCTTCAATCCTTAAGAACTTTTTCATCTGTACTGATTCTCTGATTTGCTTTTTTTGGATTGGACTCTTTTGTTGAATCAGCTTCCCTCATATTACTATTTCAGAGGGAGAAAGGATAATACTCTTCTACAAATTATATATCTACTTACCTACTTAAGCTTATTGAGAAATGTATGCCAATTCACCCTTAATGAACACAAGCCAGGCCAGCCTTCTCAAATCAATATTCTACCTGGAGAGCATGCTGGCTCTAGGCAAACTGAGTCTAGTAGCTGGTGGTGACATCTGTTAGGAAGAACACGTCTCTTGAGTTCCACATAACTCAAGGCACAGAGGGAGCAGAGCCGTCAGAGCACAATGGGAGCATCCTGGGGGAAAGATGCCCCCCAGGTCCCAGCTGCACCCCACACATGCACTGTCACTGTCCCACCTGGCCTCACTCCCTGGGCATTCCAGATGAAGCAAAGCACCACCTCCAGGTCAGGGAGGGACTGGGACACCACAGACATCACAGAGAAGGGACGACTTCACCCACTCTCCTTACGGGTGGGGAGACTGAGGACCAGAGAGGGCAGGAGCCTTGGACTCCAGCCTTGGACTATGTGCCCCAATCTGCTGACACACACACACATGCACATACACACACTTTTTTTCTAACTTGGACCTTGCTGGATAGACACCTCTTACTGCTTCCCACCCAGGGTTGATGTGTAAAACATATACCATCCTGGTATTGTGGGGACACCAATCCATCAGAACTATCCCACAACTTTAGTACTGGACAGGGTCCGAGGGGCCCCCTTAACACATTGAGTGCTGGATTGTGGGGAGGTCTGGGGGAGAATAGAGAGAGGCCGGGAAGCTAGGAAGGCCAGAGAGCAGGGATGGGAGGATGTTACTTGGATAGCTCAAAACAGATGAAAATATTTTAATATTTTAAGAGCAGGTGGGCTGGGCACGGTGGCTCGTGCCTGTAATCCCAGCACTTTGGGAGGCTGAAGTGGATGGATCACCTGAGGTCAGGAGTTTAAGACAGCCTGGCCAACATGATGAAACCCCGTCTCTACTAAAAATACAAAAACTAGCCAAGTGTGGTGGCACACGCCTGTAATCCCAGCTACTCGGGAGGCTGAGGCAGGAGAATCACTTGAACCCGGGAGGCAGAGGTTGCAGTGAGCTGAGATCGCACCACTGCACTTCAGCCTGGGCAACAGAGGGAGACTTCATCTCAAAAAAAAAAAAAAAAAAACAGGTGAATCTGTACTAGCCCGTACGGCTGAAGATCAGTTGTGCTCTCACCCAGTTCCAGATTGATGCGCTGGAAAGAACAGAAAAATAAGCAAAATCCTACATGCAGAGAACATGGCTTTATTGGAATGAAGCAGAATCACCTAAGCAGGATGAGCTCATTAAAATTGCTGGATACCCTTTGCCATAGGTCTCTCTGCACACCAGGGCCCAAGGTATCAGTGGGGACTAGTGGGCTCTTGAGGGCTAGGGAAGACACCCCTGTAAGCACGGGCTTCACCTGCCTTCCCTACCTACACAATCGCCCCCTTTTTGGCAGTAAGGACAGTAAACATCACTACCTTTGGGTCTTTGGGCCCCCAAGAATGGCCCCATCCTGGCCCCCAGCTCAGCAGCAAATTCCACTCATCGTCCTCATTGTATTCTAAACCTAAAGAAAACAAGGTGTCATGCCCAGCAGTTCCTCCATGAAACATTAATCACTGTCCCCTCCTAGACAGGCTTCTGACCAGTGAAGGCATGACCTACAGGAGCGATGGAAAAATCCCAATGGGCCAGCACATGGCCTGGCCACGCCATGGGTGGGGGCCCCGGCACCAGTTCCTCCAGTGCTTTTCCAGACTCCTGGCTTGGGTTCCAGGGATACTGAGGACCGCCTAAGAATCCCGAAAGAGAGAGAACCCTCCTTGCACCTACCGCATCCCCCAAGAGTGCCGTGGTCCTTGTGGTCAAGTGGCCTTGAGCCACCCACACCCTTCCATTTGGGCCCTCGGAGCCCACAGGAGCTTTGAGATGGATGACGGTGCTGGGAGCAGGGCCAGGGCTATGGGCCACTAACCCCGCTGAAGCTTCACCACATCTCTGACCAGTGGATGAATCCTAGTCCACGGTATTTCAGAAATCAAGTCTTCTCCCTATAACCTCTCAACACCCCTCCAGGGCCAGGAAAGATGAATCCCCTTGATTCTGGAGGAGAAAGTGAAATGTCAAAAAGAAAATATGGATCTGTAAGGATCTCAGACTCCTGAATGTTTAGAAACCCAGAAGAGGTTGATCCGATGCTTGAGATCATAAATATGTGTGGCTGAAGTGAACATTCACTGCTGGGCTCTGGCTGACCTGATCTTCCTAGGGTTCCTAGGGGGCCTCAGAATAAATGGAGCAATTGCAGAACCGTAACTTTTTGCTCTTGTGAATTTAATGGAAAGACAAATATTCTAGGATTCAGTGGCTGCTGGATTACATCCTGCTTCCTTCTGGGCCAGGTGCAGAGGGCATGACCTTCCAAGCCAGCTGAGCCATTCCGTGTGCAAGTCTCAAGGGGAGGGCCAGGAGGGTGTCTGATGGAGATAGTGACCTGTTGTCTGGTCTCATCAGGGACCCAGTCAGAGATGCGTGACAGGTGCCCCTCACCAAGTCACATCACATGTGCAGTTGCCTGAATGTTCAACAGCCTGAGGAAAAAGATTGAATCCTGGGAGTTTTCAGGAAATTTACTACCTCCATTAAAGTCTGATGAACAAACAGACAAGGTCTCAGCTGCCCAAGGAGCACCACTTCATCTGTTATTTCCTCAAACCTCTCCCTGTGTTGGGCTGTATAGAAGATGAGAAGATCAGAGTCAGGGGTAGCCCCAAAGAGATGGGGTGCCTGGAGCACTAAACCCACAGGCTGGAAGGTGAGGAGGAGTCTAGGATCCCTTTAGCCCAAAGCTGTTGCCCCCTGGCCTGATGGGTAGCTGAGGGCCTGTCTTAGTGCATTATTATCCCTCATGGTGCAGCATTGCCCTTCCCCTTCTCAGGTATTCTGCTGGGTGAACATGGTCCTCAGACACTTTCCTCCCAAGGAGGGGGAGAGTCAGGCCGTGGAAGGCAGCAGGGAGGTTTGGGTGACACCACGTCCAGTTAGCCCTGGAATGAACAGGCTTCTCCAGATGCCAGATGGCTCTGTGGCTGGCCCTTCTCCTCCCTTCCCCCTCCCCATGCCCACTCTGCAGGAGTGGCTGCCTTCTTCATGCAGTCCGGCTTCCTGGCTAGCCCAGAGCTTAACTTAGCAGGAATCATGACAAAACCGGCCCAGACCACATCGTGCAAAGAGCCTGATCTTTGAAGCCAAGCAGAATAGGTTCAAATCCCAATTCTGCCACCAACCTGCTGTGTGGCCTACGGCAAATCATTTCATCTTCAGGGGCCCTGGCGTCTTCTACAAATGGGGACACGTATCTCTACCTTCTAAGGATGTTGTAAAGATTAGAGCGAATGTATGCAAAATCTCAGAGAGATTCTTCACACATGGTAAGTGCTCAAGAAATACCAGTTCCCTAATGGCTTATTCAGGCCCTGCCTCGTGGCTCTAGGATTCTAAAAGTCATATCTAAGCAATACACTAAAGAAGGCTGTGCCATGGAGCGGGGGTGAAATGGGGGTGGGGGTAGAAGTGAATGAGTAGGAGTTGAGGTGGCGTGGCTGGGCCCATAGTGGTGATTGGGAGGGCTTCAGGCCAAGAAGAATGGGACAAATTAAGGAGACAAGCTGAGAAGGGCTGTGAGAGATAGCCTCGGCACACCCTCACAGGCAGGCCTGGGATGCAGCGGGCTGGCCCATACCCAATTCCCATAGCTTGGCTGGCACTCTGCCATTTATATGCCCCTCTTAAGCTGGGAGATAAGCTTCCTTATCTATTAAATGGGCTAGAAGTTCTTGCAAGGGAACGGAAAAGAGTGTGCAGATGTGATGCACTGATTTGCAGGGACTTAGACAGCCTAGTGACCCAGGGCACACTTAAATTAGAAACCCTGTTCCATCAACATGGCCTCAGTCTTCATTGCGGATGCCTAGCCCCTGGCTCCCTGAGACCCAGCCCCCCTTATATCACCATCAGCCAGGCATTCCACAGAGGGGACAGGAACCATGTGTCTCCCAGGAGCAGTGCTGGGGCCCCAGGACCTGTCCATACACTATTTCCTGCCTCAGCCCACTGCCGTGGTGATACCTGTTCCCTATTATCAGGCACTACTAAGTGTGTGTGCACGTCGGGAGGGTCAGGAGCCAGGGTCCCAGTCTCAGCCTGAAGTAGCCCTAACTGCACTGGGCTCTGATGAGTGAGTCTGTCTCCCATGAGACGCCCAGCCCAGGTCAGATGGGTTGCAAATGTGAGTGGAGGGAGGGAGGAAGGTGGAGCAATCCCTAGTGTTCCCTGGGCCCTGCTCTGTGGAGGGTAGAGGGGATGAGGGGGCTGTTAGACTTCAGCCCTGCTTTCCCCCATCCCTTCCATACTCCGGAATCAGAAATGGCTCCCATCGGTCCATTTAAACTGATCAGAAGCCTGCCCCTTTTCCCTGCCCCCAGGTCTCCAAAGTCATCCCACTGGGCTCTGGAAGTCTCCTACTAGGGGCAGGACCCTGTGTCCCTCAGATGGGGTTCTGTGGTGTGGCTGTATCCATTGCCTGAGATCAGGGGTCTTGAAGGCAGAAGGGGAGGCAGTGGCTCCTCCTCAGACTGGGTCTCTAGCAGTGGCCTGATTTCCTTGTGGAGTAATCCAGAAACATTTGTGGGGACACAGCATCAAAAGAAGAAAAACTACAGGAAGCCTGAAGGACCTTACAAGTCATTTTCCTTTATTTTCTTAACATATAATGAAATTCCAACTCCAAAGAGACATATATGCAGAGCAGACAGATGCAGGGCCTTGGTGTGCAGCAGCCTAGAACCAGGCAGGGGGTGGGTGTGACCCCTCTCCCCTCCATCACAACTCTCCCCACTCCTGGCCCCTGGCCATTGCCCAGGCAGAAACTGAGAAGCTGGAAATGAGAGGAATCAGCCTCGTGGTCCAGGGAGTAGCCAGAGACAGGGCCTTGGTTACTAGGCCTGGCCAAATCATTGTCTAGCTGAAACCGTGGGCCTCAGTTTCTTTATCTGTTAAATGAGCTAGAAGTTCCTGCTAGGGAATGGAGAAGAGAGTGTGCAGATGTGATGCACTGGTGATAGTTAAGGGCCTTCTGGTTGTCCCTCTGCTTCTAAATACCTGCGTAATTGTGTCTCTTGGTTTCTGTTGCCATCATGGCTAAGTGCACAGTGGTGGAGCTGCTCTGGCCCTGGTGGAATTGAAAGGACTTATGTAGATAGAATCCAGCCTTCAAAGCTGATCCTGATCTCTGAACTGTCCTTGGGCTGCAACTATAGCTACCTCATTAGGTCAAGGCTGACCTCTCCCCTCCAGGTCAATGCAGAGGGAAGGCTGTGGCCAGGGGTCATACAGCAAGCCTGTGCAGGTTATTCAGCTGCTCAAATGCCTCTGATCAGGAGCTCATGAGCAAGGGAAGAGCTTGCTCCATCCTGGTCAGGACCAGCTGAGGGCTTGGAAAACCCCCAGGCCCAGCAAGGGCATCTGCCTCCATGGGCTGACCTGCATCAGGGTCTTTCTGTCCTCAGGCTTTGGGCTTCAGACAGCTCAAGTGCTCTTTGATAAACATACACCAGCATAATGGTGACCTGTGTCTACACTGACAAGAGGGAGTAGAGAACTGAAGAATGAGCAAGATAATGCAGTGATAGATGGAAAGACCAACTAAAACTCAGAGAAGTAACATGGGTATTTCTCCTTCACCCTCTAAATGGCTTCATTCTGCAATAGCAGGCCCTGTGTAGGGAAGCCTCTCCATAGGGAACAGAAAGTTCCAACTACCTGGCTGTCTGTCGATCTCTGCTTTGTAGCCTGTCTGCTCTGCACACATGTACACAGAGGCGTGTGGCGACAGTCATGCCCCTGGGGAAAGAACACAGGGCAAGTGGAAAGAGCAGCCCTGGTCTAGACCACGTCTTCTGGACCCATGCTGTGTTTGCACTTAGGGGCTGCAGGCCTGTAGAGCTCTGCCGGTCCCTGCCACTTTGCAGAAGGAGGTCACTCAGGCCCTGATATAGGGACGATTCCAAGGTCAGGCAGTAAGTCCGAGCGGGTCAGGGGCTTGGGAGCAAGCAGAACTGAAGGAGCAAAGCTTGCCCCCTCCACTGCACCTCCTGGGATCTCTTCCCCCTCCAAGCACCATTGGGAGCAAGGTGCATGTTAGGAAAAGAAGGAGGGCCGTGCCCAAAGGCACAAAGCAATTACGGTAGAATCCCAGGCACTTGCGCAGGTGAGTCGGTGAGCAACTTTGGGGCGAGGGGGGACTTTCTGGCACACCTCCCATCATGCTCTGAGGGGCGACTAGCAGGTGGGTCCCTTTCTTTCACCTCCTCCACAACTTCAAGGGAGTGGGTGAATTGGTAAATCTTGGTCCCCAGGAAGCTCTGAGGCCAGGAAACAGAAAGAGAAAGAAAGAGATAGAAACACCCCCATAAGAGGCTTGACCATGCAGGTCTGGCAGATCTTGGGGAAGTGACTTTGGCCAGCTTGTCAGAGTGTCTACAGTATGGATTTCACCCCTCCCCTCCCTCCGCCCGCCCCTGCCCCTGCCCCCTACGTGGATGCCCGGGCCAGACCCCTTCTATTTGGGCTTCATCTCCACCCTGGAGTTGATGTCGTCGGCATCCAGGTCATACTCCTCCACCTGGCCGCTGGTCCACACCTTCACGCGGTCTGTGAGGTCACTGCTGCGTGGGGCCAGGATGAAGTCGTAGATGAGTACAGCCAGGGCTCCCCCGATGAATGGCCCCACCCAGAAAATCTAGGAACAGAGCAGGTGTGTTCAGAGGGCTCCACTCAAAAGCCCCTGGGAAGCGTTCCCTAGGTTACCCCACAGCCCACCACCCCGTTGGACAGGTTTTTCCCACCTGGGATGGAGGCAGGTAGGAGAGCCAAATCCTAACATCATGATTCCGGTGCCCCTCAGAACCGGCCCAGGCCAGAGTACGTGGTAGGGTCAACTCCTTGCCTCTGTGGGGCCCAGCTCAGGCATGGGCAGTAGCAGCCCCTTCTTGAGGAAGGCCACTGCCCCCACACTCCCAGCTTTGGAAGGGCCCCAGAGACCATTGTCTAATGCAAAGCTGGCCTAGCACATCCACATCCACAACCATAAGAGCTAAAATCCACTGAGCGCCTCCTCTGTGTTGAGCTCAGTTTACAGATGGGGAGTGAGCCCTTTCCTCTTCTCGGCCACCCTGAGAGGTGGGCACCACCATATCCCCCTCCGCAGCTCAGGAAACCAAAGCTCAAGCACACTGCGCAAGGTCATGCTAAACCCGAAAGTGGCTGAGCCAGGATTTGGAGCCCCACTTTTAACCACGCAGCTGGGAAGACCTGGAGGCCAGGCAGCATGGGGCAGGGCCGAGCTGGGAGGGCAGAGACTAGGCCTGAAAGTGCTGGCAGTGTGACCCCCAGCCTGCCTCTACATGGCAGGCCTCAGTTTCCTGATTTCCTGTCCTCTGGCTGTCTCCCAGAGCCTCCAGAACAGGAAGGGACACTGTGAGGGTGGGGTCAGGCTTACCATGGGACACCAAAGCTTCCCACCCCACCCCCCGTGGGTCTCCTACCCAGTGGTTGCTGAAGTTGTGTGTGATCACCGCGGAGCCAAAGGACCGAGCAGGGTTAATCCCACAGCCAGTGTAGTCAATCTGTGAGGGAAAGAAACAGAGGGAGGGGCGAAGGCAGAGAGTCATAGGTGAAGAGAGAGTGAGAGGAGGGAGAGGTTGGAGGGAGAAAGAGAACAATCAGGGTGGGGGACAATGAGACCCAGGGAAAGAGGAGTGCTGACCCCAAGCTGGGCAGGAGGTCCCTGTGCTCCTCTCCAGGGCAGGACCCTGCCCCCAGCCCCCAGCGCTGACCCGCCATCCTCCACCCAATGGCAAGAGCCCTGTCGGGAGTCCCACTGGCTGCCCATGGCAGGGCACCCCACCAGCCCCCGCCCTCCCTTCCCCCACCTCCATCTGGGAGGGCCCCTGACTCACAGCCAGGAGGTGTCCAAGGGCTACAGAGAGGCCGATGGCAAGGGGGGCTGAGCCACCAAGGTCACGGCGCCTCCGGTCGGTAGTAGCCAGCACGCATAGCACCAGCTGGAGGGTCCCGATGATCTCGATGCCCAGGCCCTGGCCCGAGTTCACACCATCAGCCAGCTGCAGGGGAGAGAGGTGGTGAGGACTGGTGAGGAGGGTAGGCAGGGACTGTGTCCCAGGACCCCAAGGATACCCAGGCCTCCCAGGCCCAGGCATGAAGGGCGGACCCTCAGATGGGCCTTCAGAGCCCATCACAGGGTCCCAGGCAAGCCTACACGGCAGGTAGTGGAAATCAGGCCTTGAACCCACCCCCTGTGTTAATGAAACTCCAGCCCAGCCCCTAATACCTGCCTAGACCCAGGCCCCACTCTGCCTAGAAGCTGGAGAGGCCTGGGGTGAGCTGGGGCCTTTGCATCCAGCTGCATCCAGGCCAGGGTATTCTGGGGTACCAAGACCAGAGGCAAGGGGCGAGCCCCAGGCATGAAGGTGATGGTCAGGAGCACTCCTAGGAGAAGAGATGCAAAAAGGTGGGAAGGCCCAGCAGGGGACACGGCTTCATACCCAAAAGTCCAGAACATTCCACCCCATGCCCGACTGCATCTAAATTCCAGGGCTGAGGAGGCCTTCGGTGAGGTCCTGGCTCCCTCCACCCCTCTTTCTCCTCTGTGCCTGCCTCCCTATTGTCTCCACCCTCTCTCTCTCCTTCTCCACCCCGTCTCTTTCCTTGGTCCAAGGCCTGTCTCCCATTGCTTCTGGCCCTGCCCTCCCTGTCTCTCCTTCTCTCTTCTTCCTCCCCACTGCTGGCCTCAGCCTCACCCTCCCTCTGCCTGGCCAGATAGGCCCCGCCACCACCGTCTGGCTGCCACTTACTCCTGGGCCACTTTTAGAAACATGACTCATGGAAAGAGAAGGGAATGGAAGCTGCTGTGAGGTCATGAAGGCCCTCCCCATGCAGCTGCCCCCGGAGGACCCCTCCCCAGGAAGCCCCAGCACCTTCCACTATGCTTTGTGGCCGTCCCAGGGGCTAAGTGCACTCACACAGGGGAGATGGACCACATCAGCAAAGGCTCACTTGCAAAGATGCCCACTTGAGGCCACTTAGGCTGCCTTCTCCCAGGCAGGGCTGGTGCACCCAAACACTTCCCAGCTGGGAGACAAACTACCCAGCTCCCATCCTCAGGATATGGGAGTGTCTCCAAGGCCATAGAGAATTTTGCAAAATCCAAGGTAGGGGGGCACACCTTGGAGGTTTTCCCAGCCCCACCCTGAGGCCATCCTACAAGAACAATTCTCTTCCCGCCTTTGTCTGCAGCCCTGGGTTACAGGGAATGACTCACATCCCCTCCCCTGCCTTGCAGCCCCAGCTTTGGGCCTTTCCTGGCGGACCCCAGGGCTACATCCCTTAGGTCCGCCAGCCCTCTGGCCAATGCCCAGTTCCCTTTCTGTCCCAAGGTTGGGCCAAAGAGGCAGAAGCCCTGTGTTCAGGTTCTGACTCTTCTACTTTCTGGCACCATGAGCATGGCCTATTCCCTCTGGTCTTCAGTCTTCCCATCTGCAAAATGGATCTCATTGTCCGTGCCTGCTCTCCAGAGCAGCTGGGAGGTTCAAAGGCCAAAGGGGCCGTCTCAGGGCTTTTGGAAAGAGTTGTCGACGCAGGAGGGATGGGGCAGTGGTAGTGACTCTTGTTTTGGTTCTTCTCATTGTGTGTGCAGGATCTGGGGACAGGCAGAAGGAGTGACGGCGGGTGGAGCTGCTGGCAGAAGCCTGCCCAGAGTTAGGACAGGCTGAATGGGGTTGAGGCTGGTGAGGCCAGCCCGGCTAGTCCTGATGCCCACCCACACTTGCACCTGTGAGGCCCCTGTCCCTCTGTATCTGAGCCCTCAGGAAGCTCGTGGCTCCTTCTATTCCTCTCTCTTCTGCTCTCCAGGGTTGGCCTAATTGCTAGCTGGCAGAAGTCCTGAAACCAGCCCTTCCCCGATGATTAATGGAGTCATCGCTGTAAGTGGCTCCCGCCTTGGAGAACCCTCCCAGCCCCATCCCTCACAGATGTGACCAGAAAGAGCTCATCTCCTCTGGTTCTTAACCAGGTGCGAGAGCCCCAGCCCCTACCCAAAGACAACATGCTTTTCATGCAAAGTGGGCAGAGCAGAGGGTGATAGTTCCAGGCCCTGTACTCTGAGTCCTTGGGAAGGGGAGGGGTCAGCCACCTGCCCTGGGAATTCTGGAATGTGCCTTCGTGACTGCTGAGAACCACATGGGCTGACAGCCTTCCTCTCCAATACCCACTACCACTACCACCAGGAAGCCTCCCCTGATAGCTTCAACATCTACTGACAACCTTCCTTCAACTATCTAATACACTTGCATTATTTACATCTGGAAACACTTGATAATTCAGAATTGGAAGGGGCACTCAAAGGCCTGTTGAAACTCAATGTCCAGGAAAGAGCAGGTAAAATACTTCAAATGTACGTTACTGTTTACAACCCATTAAATTTGAAAACTTGCTTAAACAAGGACAGTTCCCATTGTAGTCACTTGTTTTATATATATGTACATATATATTTGCACATCCCCAGGTAGTTTTGCCTGGCCCAGGTCTTATTAAGGCAAAAAAAAAAAAAAAAAAGTAAGAATCAGAACAATTCTCAATTCTCAATTCTCAATTGTCTTCCCGCTTTTGTCTGCAGCCCTGGGTTTTGTGAATGCAAGTATTACCGAAAGAATAATCCACACATTTCTTCTGAAGTGTCAGAAAGATACAAGCTCTCCATTTTGTGCTAAGCCCTTGTAAGCCCACTACTCAAGGCCCAGTTCAGACCCCACCAGCTCCTAGAAGCCTTCCCAGATCCCTGGCTGGAATTAACTTCTGCTCCCACCCACCATGCCCTCACTGAATTCTCTGTGCATCTTGTAGGAAATCAATCTTCCTGCGGCCTATGTGGGTGCATCTCCTCCTGGCCTGGGAGCTCGGTGAAGACAGAGTGGGGGACCTCTGCCATTTCTCTGCCCACGCCTCTGAGGGGAGGCTTACTGTGTGCTGATAGAAGTGGCAGAGAATGCTAATTTTCTAGAACTCCCACCCTTGCTAGGGGCAGCCTGGCTCCAGAGATGCTCTCCGGACCCAGGGCGGTCTTCTTCACTTTCTAGCTGGGAAACAATGGGCCAATCATTAGCCTCTGGGAGCCCTAGAGGGCAGCCTGTGCGATGGCTCAGTGAGATGATGACGCAGAGGCTGAGGCCCAGGGAGGATGCAGCAAAGCCAGGATCCTTGCCCCATAGTCTGTGCCACCCTACACTCACAGGTCAATGGGCTGGCCACTCCTAGGCCCAGTCAAGGGACCTGGCTATTCCCAGCTTGGACTTGGGAGCTGGCAGAAGGTGGTTCTGTGGCTGCCAGTGTGTCCTGGCTCTAGGGCAGCCCAGGGATGATCTCTCCAGGCAATGTGCTCTAAGCACTCCCTGCTACCCATAGACAGGCCAACCAGGGTGGCTTCCAAGGCATGGGGCCCCTGACTTGGCCTGGGCACCCTGGTGCCCTGGCCTTGGGGAAGAGCAGGCTCCAGAGCCAGGCCTGACTGAGGCTCTGAGCTTTCGTTCTCAAGGGATAGGAGACATCGAGGCCTGCCCTGCCCACCCCAGTGCCTCCAAGACTCAGCACTGGGCAGTGAGGGGACCTATGTGGGCTCCAGAGTGTCACTCCTCCATGGGTGTTCACACGTGGACATGGGGGGATTCCTGGTTTTGTGTGCCTCTGTGTGTCTTTGTAGATAAGTGTCTGCTGTGTCTGTGATGACCACATGTGTCCAGGGCTGACTCCCTCTTTCTCTTTTTTGTTAGATTGTAAGTGGTTTATTACACAATAATTACATTTTAAAAATCTATAAAAGAACTGGCCAGGCGCGGTGGCTCACGCCTGTAATCCCAGCACTCTGAGAAGCCAAGGCGGGTGGATCACAAGGTCAGGAGATCGAGACCATCCTGGCTAACACGGTTAAACCCCGTCTCTACTAAAAATACAAAAACAAAATTAGCCGGGTGTGGTGGCCTGTGGTCCCAGCTACTCGGGAGGCTGAGGTGGGAGAATGGCATAAACCCGGGAGGCAGAACTTGCAGTGAGCCGAGATGGTGCCACTGCACTCCAGCCTGGGCGACAGAGTGAGACTCCGTCTCAAAAAAAAAAATAAAAATCTATAAAGGAACTGCAAAAATCCCCCACTTGTATGCACCAAACAACATAGCCTAAAAATAAATGAGGGGAAAATTGACAAAATTACAAGGAGGACTGGATCACCCTACCACCAGAGTGAAAAATGTTAACAATCTTCTATTAGAAATGTACAGAATAAATGAAGCAGCCGAAAACTACCAATAACATGATCAGGGAGGGTTTGAACCCCATAATTAACAAGCTTGACTTCAGAAAAATATGAAAACCCTGTACCCCTGAATTAGAGAATGCACACTCTTTTTCATCAACTGATGAGGTACTGACCAAGTGCCTCGGCCTCCCTGGGAACAGCTATATCATACAGGCATCCCTGCAGGACATGAGGTCCTGGAGGCTGTGCTGTGTGTTTGCACTGGTATGTCTGATGGCACTTCTGGGTGCCTCACTGTCTCCCTGTGTCACACACCCACATAGCTGCCACTACCAGCTAGAGAGGGAAGAGAAGAGAAAAAAATGAGCCCCCCATGTGAGAAAGCAGCAGGTCTCAACAAGGCCTTTATTTGCTCCCAGAAGCCATTTCATCTTCCTGACAAGAAACAATACACAAAGCAATGGCTTCCTCCCTCCCTCCCTCCTTCTTTTCCTAACTCCAGGGCAGGGAGAGGAAAAGGCTCCATTGAGGAATCCCCGCCCAACCCTCCTTGGGTCCCAGAGTCTGAGTGGGACCACCCAGTCTTGAGAATGTGCTTTGTGTACCATGTGTGTGTGTCCTCCACGTAAGAGCACATGTGTGTGCATGTTTGTGTTTGTGCCATGTGTGTACACTTTGGAGCAGCAGGAATAATCAAGGGCTAGGAGGCAGTGCCACCTTGACAAGTCTCCACGCCTCTGTGGGCTTCAGTTTCCCCATCAGTAAAATGGAGGCCTTGGCCCAGATTCGAGCCCCCGCAGTCTCCAAAAGTGCCTCCTGCCTCACATCGGGGTGGTCACTCTCCAGCCCCAGATCCAGAAACCTAAGCACAGGATCCCCCGCAGGCCATCAGAATTGCTGATCTCAGCATGACACAAAGCCTATGCTGCAGAACCTGTCACCCACCCCACTGGACCCCCGCATAGACTAGCACCCCCAAAGCAGCCTCCTCACCAGAAAGCATCTACTTGCACACCCCTAATGGCAGGGAGCTTATTGACTTAGAGACAGCCCCTTCTTCGTGTCAACAACAATATCAACAACAACCTTCTTTACACTGAGTAGAAATCTGCCTTTCAAGGGGCCCTGACAGCGAGATTGCAGGCACTGAAAGGAGCTGCTGGAAGGGCCGGGGGCATTTTCCGGCCTTTCCGGATATCTTTTAAGTTGGAGATTTCAGCCTCAGAGTCTGCCCACCCCACAGAACTGTAGCTCCTGGCTGAGTGAAGACAGCCCCTCATGATCCCCCTGGGCACCACTCCATGTGGGCAAGGAGCCCCTCTCATCCCCATGGGGAAGCCCTGACTGAGGGGATCCTGGCCACTTGCAGGGCCTCGCGGACAGCATTTTCCTGCCTTCACCTCCCGGTGTGAGGGCTCAGATCCCAGCCACTCAGGAGACTCCAGACTCATTGGTGCTTCCAGAAGGTAAGGGCCATGGCCCCTGCTGGGTGGGGGCCCTAGACTAAGTGGGGGTACCATCTGGAATTGGCTTGCAGTGAGCTAATGGCCACTTCATGCTGCTAGAAGGTTGCCTGGGGTGGAGAAGGGAAGGCAAGGTGTGACAGGAGGCTGTGGCCTGGGAGTGGTGAGCAGGGGGTGAGCCCCTCAGACAGGTATCCCAGGAGGCCGTGTCCCCTCTCAAAGCATGGCCCCTTCAGAGTTCCCAGGGCAAATCCCAGTCAGGGCCAAGCATCAGGGTGGGCAACACTGGGACCGGCTGGGCTGTTCTGAGGTCCCTAAAGGGGAAGCAGCGTCAGGATTTTCCATGGTGAGGGAAGTCTCCACCACAAAGCTCCCCATCTCTGTGCCCTCCCCCTCATCTGGGGCTGGCGGAAACAGTAATTATATGTCCCAGATGTGGCATCACCACCCAGCCCCCAGCCCCTCCCTGGGCAGGACGGGCTGGGCAGGGACATGGAAACTCTGCCTTCCTTTCCCCATCCCTCCCCTGAGCTCTGGAGGAGGCAGCAGCACCCCCGGGAGAACTGGTGGCATGAAGAGGCCTCTCACTCTATGACTGGGGAAACTGAAGCCCAGAAAAACGGGATAAAGGGGAGAACTTAGGGCTTCAGTCAGGCCCCTGATGCTGCAGGTAGAAACACTTCTTGAGCAGTCAGGCCTGGAATTAGCAGGGCTGGGAGAAGACCCCGAAGAGGGTAGCTTTGCCCTCTGCCTGAGCCCAGCGGGCTGAAATCACAGGCTCTGGGAATCCAGACCCCTTCCCCCGGATGCAGCCCCTGGCCCGAATCCTGAGCCCTCACCACCCTCCTCCCATGCACCCCCAGCCTGACCATACCCAACAACTCCCGTACCACGGCCCTCACCTCCTCCTAGCCTGTGCTTGCTCACACAGTCCCTCTGCCCCTTCCCTCTGCAGTGTCTCCACATTCAGGCTCCTACGAAACCTCCTCCCTGATGCCTTCCTGGCCCTCCCACCCCTTAAGTTCAAAAGTTCCCGGGCCCGCCCTGACACCTCTTATCGCATCTGCCTCCTGCTTCATATCACAGGCAGCTGGGCACTGGCTTATCTTGACCTAGGGCTGTGGGCTTCTCTCGGGAGGGAGCCGGGCTAACCCAGCCCTGCATTGAGCACCCAGCAGTCCCTGGTCATGCTTGCAGGGAGCCGGCTGAGCAGACCAGACAGCAGAAGAATGAAAAAAGCCAGCAAATGCCAGGAATCCTGAGTCCACCAGCATCTCCTACTTCTCAGAGCCCAGCCACACCCTGCTATGTCCCTATCTCATAGACAGGAACTAGGGCCACACAGGCCAGTCTGTTGTGTGATGCCACATGGTGTTAGTGGCTGAGCTAGGACAGGGACAGGTGAGAGTGTCCACCCCAGCCTCAGAGCCTCTCACCCTTAGCCAAAATTGGTATTTGGCTCTTAGAACTAGCCGGGACCTTGCAGGCTGGACGGAGGCCCACGGTCTCTCTAGGGCATATCCTGAGCCCTGAGTCAGTCAGGAGAAAGTTGTCCCCAGCATGTCCCGAAGGGACACCCCCTGACTCACCCCAACCACTTCCTGCCACATCTTTCTCTGTTTTCCTTGGAAATCTCCATGCCAACCACTTGCCCCACCCAGGTTTTGACTGGGCTGGGGCTCAGGGCCAGAGAGGCTGCAGGAGCCTACCCCAGGTCATGAAAGAGAGTGTGTCACCTGCTGCCCAGACTGTTCCCTGCTCCTCTTGAGGCATCCAGGCCACCCCTGAGGCCCCTCCAGTTCCAGGGCCAGTGTCTGACGGGAGCCCTTAGAGGGGTACCTTCTCTATTTCTAGGCCCAGAGTTGAGGTCCTGAACCCCACCCTTCCACTGTTGGGACAGGACAGCGCCTGAGCCCCCACCATCATGCTAAGCGCCCTTATGTTCAGCACTGCCCCTGCTGGGCTGCTCTTAGCCAGCTTTCGTGGGATGGGTGATAAGCTCAAAGCAATGAAGTGAGCTGGCTGTCTGGGTGTGGCTGTGAGGTCACAAGACCTGAGTTCCCTCTCGAGGGTCAGGGTCCGCAGCTCCAAAGAAGCTCAACAAGTTAGCAGTGGACACGTCTTGAACCCAGGTGTCTGCCTCTCAGCCCAGGGCCGGACCCCACACTAGGCTGCTCCTCTTTCTCTCCCATTTGCAACACGCCCAGCCCAAGTATTGGGGTGACTATAAAAAATGAAGGCCAGGGAGGGAATGGGGCACGGGAGGCTGGTGTGGCCTCTGTTCCAGATGGCACAGAAGGGGCCCACCCTCCCGCCTCTGCCTCGGATGCGCATACTAGAGGGTGAAGCCTTCGCCAGCAGGTGCAGAGGCTCCGCCCTGTGAGATGGGAGGGAAGAGACGGGGCCAGAAAGCCTGGAAATCACATCCACTCCCCTACAGGGACGCTCCCCCAGCCCATCATACCCAGCCAAGCTTCAGTGTGAGCTTGACCCTACCCAGCAGAACTCCCTGAGGCCACAAGCTCTGCACCCACTGGCAACTGAGGCCTGGGGGGGCAGAGCTTGATGTGGCCTGCCTGAGCTCTGTCCCGTACATCCCCCGCGGCCACGTCTAAACTGGCTAAAGTCTAAACTCCAGCCCACGGAGCTAATCTTCAATCTTGGGCCTAGCAGAGGTTGGCTGCAGAGGAGGTTGGGTGAGGTGTCACCGTGACACAGAAGTGCTAAGCCCCCCATGGCCAGGCTGAGCCAGCTGCCCTCTGCACCAGACCTTCACCTAGCCTCTCCTGGGCTGCCAGCCGCAGGATCTGAACTTTGGCTGGGAAGCGAGAGGACAGCTGCTGTAATCACTATCTGCCATCTCTGAGGCGCCCTCAGAGATGGCCCACACCGTCCCCACACCCACATGCCCTGCCCACAGCCCCGCCAGCCTCATCTCTCTAGACGAGTCCTCCTCTCTGCTCCTTGGCTTCTCTCCCTCCCTGTAAGGGCACCCCCAGGCCTGCTCACCTGTCCCTTGGGCCCTCAGAGACATCCTCCAAGCCTTCCCCAGTCTCTCAGGCCAAATCCTCCCCTGCTGTGGCCCAAGCCCGGCCTGAGTTTGCACTTGTCTGAGGAGCTGGGAAAGGCCGTGTCTGGGACAGCAGGCAGCTGCCACCAGGGCCAATTTGCCATGCTAAGCAGCCCAGGAGACATTCTTTTCCACAGCTGCCACCCAGTCACCAGCATCTGCTTGTCATTAGTGACCCCAGTCCAGACCCCATTCAAGCCAGGAGCCATGGGCACGTGTTGCAAACTCACCCCCACACACCCTTACACAGCAGCACAAACATGCACACAGTTGACACAAGCACAGAGACTCATGCTGGCAAACACATGCACACATACACACCTTCACACACACACACGCACACGCACATGCACACACACGCCACACCTCTCAGTGCCTAGAGACCATGGAGCCCAGCGCTTGCCCCCCAGCCCATACTGTAATCCAGGAAAACTGCCTTCAAACAGCCCCAGAGAGTGTTTTCACTCCCTTATCTTTGTCTAATCTCAGGGGCAAAAGAGTGGAAGAGGGCCTTTCTCTTGATTCCTAGAGGTGGTTTATTTGGAAACTAGTGTGAATATGGGGGGCTCCCTGAGGGAGTCCTGCTCACACACTTGCAGAGCCAGCTGCAGACAGGCTGGGCATTTGGTTCAGGGTGGCTGGGGACAGCGGGCAAAGTTTCCCCAGGGTGCAGGGCTGCAGGAGGAGGGAGCTGGCGGCACAGGCAGGACTGAGAAGGGCCAAAAAGCTACAGCCAAGGGGCGAGGAACTGCTGGCCAAGCTTATTCCCCATAATAGATGCCCTGCAGGGGACATTGGCAAGACCATTATTCTCTGGATCTCAGCTTCCCACAGTGCCTGGCAGAAAACAGGCTTTGGGAGGCATGCATAGCTGAGTTCCAGCCCCAGCTCTTCCCCCCAGCTCTCTACGTGACCTCCAGCAACCTCTTGTCCTCTCCGTTCCTCAGTGTCCCCATCTGCACAATGGGCAGAGGATGGAACCAGTGCCTTTCAGCATCATTCTAGAACCCCCCCAAGCCCAGGGACACCCCACTCACGTCATTGCGGCCAAGCGAGTTCCCAGTCAGGGAGGAGGTGATGCCTGAGAGGATGGCGGTGGCGACGATGGCCCCCACGCACTGGGCGATGATGTACATGAGGGCACGGAAGATGCTGATCTGGCAGCTGAGCAGCAGCCCCAGTGTGACAGCCGGGTTGAGGTGGGCGCCGCTGATGTGGCCCACACTCTGCGCCAGCGTGGCGATGCTCAGCCCGAAGGCCAGCGACACCTTCACGTTGTCCTGGACCGCCGTCTGGTTGTTCCCCACCGGGTATTTGAAGCCCAGGGCAGAACCGATGCTGATGAAGACAAAGAGGGTCGTGGCCAGGAACTCGGCCACCACTGCCCTCCAGAAGAGCTTCTTCTTGAACTCGCTGGCCATGCTGGCAGGGGGCTTGGCCTGAGACCGCTGCCGGGTGCTCAATTCCCTCTGAGAGCTGAGCCACAGCCTGGGCTGGGCCTATTTATAGGGCCGGGGGGCGGGGGGAGCACAAAGGGAGGAAGGCCTCTCTTCGCTCCTGGCCCGCCCCACACCACACAGACCTCCTCTGGATGGATGCAGACACGGCTGTGCTGTCGGCCTGCCAACTTTTTCCTTCCTCCTCTCCCCCTCCCTCTCTCTCTCTCTCCCTCCGCCCTCAGCCCTGCCCAGCCCAAGGAGGCAGGCAGGAGGCAGCCGTTGCTCTAATAGGCTTTGGGAAATTCTTCCAAGCTGGCCCCACTCAGGGAACCAGAGAAATCCAGGTGTCTCGGCCCTGTGTGCAAAGCTCAGGGAGTTCCTGAGGGCAGAGCCAGGTGCTCCGGAGTGGGTGGGGTGGGCGGGCTGGACTCAGTGGGTGGACGTTGCCCTCCCTGGAGGCAGGTACCATGATCCTGCTGGCCTGACATCCCCATCCCGACCCAGAGAGGCACTGGCCTGGAGTCCCCGGGCCCAGGGCTCCAGAGGGGCAGTCAAGTCCTCCCGCACCGCCACTGCATGCCATGTTAGGGATGTCCCAGAGTCCCCAGTCCCCCAGAGCCAGGGCTCTGTGGATGGGGGCACGGAGGCATCAGAAGTTGCAGAGAGGTTGTCTGTGGCTGCCCTGCATGCTGCGGTTGAGGGCAGGCCCGAGCTAGGCAGAGCTGTTAGAAAGCCCCCGCCCTGGGAGCTCCCAAACTTCTCGACAGCGATTTGAACCAATGATTTGAGGGCAGGCTGGTGAAGATAGGGACAGTTTAGGACTTTCCTCTCAAGGCAGTCACACTGGCGGGTCACTGGGAAGGTGGAAGGAATGGCAGCCCCACCTGGCATTGGAAGGTGCTGGAGAGGAGGGAGGGAGGGAGCAGGAGAGAAAGGCAGAGACAGACAGATGCTGGCTGAGGGGAGGAGAAGAGACAGACAAGGAGAAAGGAAAGACAGTAGCAGGGAAATAGAGCAAAAGTGGAAGTGAAAGAGACAGATCCCCCAGCCAGAGACAGTGAGACAAGCAGGGCTGAGAGAGACAGAGAGAGCGCAAAGGGCTAGGAAAAGACAAACTGAAACAGGGGAGATAGGACTGGACCCAGAGCCAAGAAGCAGAAAGGGAGAGATAAATGAGGAGAGGCAGAGAGCGGGAGGGACCAGACGAGCCCCTGCAGAGGGAGGGGCCGAGGCCCTGCTGCAGATCCCCGTGGGCCGCCTGTGCCCCGGGCATCTCCAATCCAGAGGCCTAGCGCCAGCCAACAAACAAGAATCTGGACTCCAGGGCCAGCAAGCTGTCAGGAACCCCTGGGCCTGGCCCTCTTGCCTGCTGCATGGAACGTGCTGGAAGAACCAGGCCCAGAAGGGAGGGTCCCCCTGCGTCCCCTAGGGAAGGCCTGGGATGATCTGGGCTCTCCTCCCACCTCCTGCCTGCCCCACCACAGTCCCACTCGGGCGTGTTGGCATCTTCCCATTTATAGGTGGGAAACTGAGGCCCGGTGAGAGGACTTTTCTAAGTGTGCCTGGGGCAGGGCAAGGATGAGTGGGTCTTATGCCTCTTGTCCAGGGGCTATCCTGCAGAGAATGACACCAGCTGTTACTGGCCACCCCTCTGCCCAGCTGTGGCCTGGCTCTTGGGGTGAATTGCCAGGGACCAGCCTGGTGTGTGTTTGCTGGGGCTGCAGGTGGGGAAGATTCATTCCCCTAAGTGCCTGTACAGGACGGTGGTGGCCAGCAGGCCCTGCCTGCTCAGACAGCCCAGGTGGCCGAAGGTCATAAGTACTTTCTTAGCTGTCCAGGAGAGGAAACTGGCCCCACTGGGCTACTTCCTGGGCCCTCCTCTACATCCTTTCCTCTGAGGAGCCCTGGCTCAGCATTCCAGTCTCTGGGAGGCTCCCTCATGCCCCTGGCCCCTGGCCCCTGGCCCCATGCCCTGGCAGGGACACTGACCCACATGAGGAGCTCTCTGGTCAGTTTCAGGGGCGTCCAACCAGAGCTCTCTCTGCAGGGCTAGGATCCCCTCACCTTGAAGTTTTGGAGGGCAAACTGTTTCTCCTGCAGACCTGGCTCCTGAGGGCAGGGGTGGCACCCCTTAGACCAGGGTCCTCTGGAACATGGCCATTTCCCTTCAGGCCACAGGCTCCTGGGCATCTCCCGTAGACCATGTCTACTGAGGGACATACACACCTCCTCCTCCCCTCACCTGTCCCTGCCCTGCTATGTTCTGAGGCTGTCGGGTGCTGGGACCCAGCCAAGAAGACTTGAGGAAAGAAGCAGGGGCAGAGCAGGCACCAGGCCGCAAGGAGCCACTGAACTCAGGCCAGTGTGGCCATGCAGAGTGGCAGAGACAGGAAAACGGGCCTGCATGGACCCAGGCATGTCCCGTGTGTCCATGATGGTGTCCGTGGCTGGGTCAGCATCTGTGCAGCCGAGGACCCATGATTTTCCAGGGGGCCCATGTGGGTGAGAGTCATCTGGAACTTACTAATTTATCCAACATATAGTTGGATAAATGTTTAGTGTGTGTCACATGCCAGACATTGCTCTGTGTACAGGGGAGACAGCCACGAGCCAGACAGACCAGCTCCTGTTCACATGCAGTTTCCATCTTGGTGTGAGGGCCCGCAGGTTAGGTGAGGACACGGTGGCTGATGATCGAGGTATTGCAGAGTGTGTGTGTGTGTGTGTGTGTGTGTGTGTGTGTGTGTGTGTGTGCACTCAGCAGAAGCCCTTGTTCTGCATTGGGGCAGGAGGCCAGGGGGACCAGGGGGAAGTGGTCAGGCAAAGCACTTTTGTCCAGGCAAGTAGGTGCCCACCAATCTCAGGAGGCTATGCGGGTCCTCAGGGTGTCACTCCACCACCCCTTGCATCTCCCAACCTCTCCCCCTTGTGAGTGTGGCCTCTGCCTTTAATACCACCATTATGGTGCCATTCTTTTGGAGGAAGGCATGGCTGTCGCCAGGAGGCGCCACCAGAATGCAGGCACGGCCAGGAATGCCAATACAGAGCTCACGTGCCCACCACCTCCGAGGGGCCCTGTGGCTGTTACCCGGCCATGTGGCTAAAAAGGGGAAAGGCTTGCCGCTGGAGCCCCAGGCCCAGGGACGTCTCCAACCCCTCCGCCTCCTTTTCCCTGATCTGCCACAAATCCAGGCCAACCAGAGAAGGAAGAAAGGAAGAAAGGACACAGTGTCCAGCTGGGGCCTGTTTCCTGCAACCCCGAAAGGCTCAGATTGTAAGTGACTTGCCAAGGAAAGGCAGAGCTGGCACTAAAACTCAGGATGCCCCCATCCCAGAGCCCAAATGCAGTTCTCTGCACACCTGTCAGGAAGGGCCCCCAATGACCTGGTTACCAGACAGAAATCCCAGTACAAAATCTGGGGGCTGCAGGCCCAGAGAGGTGCCAGGATGGGTTGGGGGTGGGGAGGGAGGGAGGGGACAGCCTCCAACAACCCTGTATAATTAGGGTGGTGGGGTGGGAATGGAAGCACCGGGCTAAGAGTGGGCAACAGAGGAGCTGAGGGCAGCCAGAGCCACCCCTGTGGTCCCAGTGAGCCCTAGGAGGCTGGGCTCCAGGGCAGGTACTGTGTGCAGCCCAGCTCTCTTCCAGGACTTCCTGACTTAGCAGGTGCTGTTCCCTCGCCCTCTGCTGGCTCCTGGGTCCTCCCATGGACTCGGGCCCGAGCCAAGCTAGTAAGGGGGCAGCCCCCACCCCCACTTCTGAACCCTGGGCGGGGCTTGAGGCCACTGAAGCTGGGCACTGCCTGGCCCTGCTGACAGCAATGGTCTCGGCAAAGGCTTTTCCAGATGTGCCTCATTCCTGACGTGCCTGGGTGACCCACGTTCCAGCCAGAGCTGGCTGTTCCCAGGACTGTCTGGGCCCCGTCTCCCGGTGGGAGAGCCTTGGGCTTCATCCGGAGGAGAGTGGACGGAGCCTCGGATGTTGGCTGAGGGTCCAGACCTTGGGTGTGGCTGAGGCTATCACTGGCCAGAAGCTTCTGCTAAGTGCAGGGCAGAGGGGCTGAGGCGGGATGGACCATTCCTCTGGGGCCAGCAGGGATTTCCCACCCACAAGCCTGGCTAGGGGAAACAGTGACTTCATTCCCTCCAGGAGGGCCACCAGGAAGATGGAGTTTGGGGTAGGAGGGGACTCAGACAGCAGACTGGTCCTGACCATCTAGTCACCATCAGCTCGCCCACAGCTTGGATGAATTTTCCAGAATCATTCAGGCTTTCCTGAATTGGGGCAGAGAACCCTGATGGAGGGTGGGAAGAAAGGACCCAGTCCCTGAGGCTGCTAAGAAAGGAGGTGGTGAAAATCAGAAAATGCTCCTCCCAGTGAATCCATCCCAACTGACCAGTGGCTCCTGGCTCTGCTTAAAGATCCTGCACAGGGCATCCACTGCCATCCCTCTCCTGACTCTGACCTGCCAGCCCTGGCTCTCAGGTCACCCGCACAGGCCTGCACCCACAGGAGGCCATGGGCCAGACTTGGTACCAGTCTAGAGTGGTCCTTTGCACGAGGCAAGGCCAGCCCTCTCCAAGCCCGGGGGAGCAGAGGAAGGGCCCAGGCCCAGAGCACACAGACCCAGAAAAGAGACAGGATGGCCCCAGGGCCTCTCAAGTTCCTCTGCCTGGAGCTCTCCAGTGGCTGTCCTTTTGAGGTCCTCACCATACCTTCCTGCTCTAGACAGAGGCCCCGGCTCCATACCCCAGGCTGGCCGTGCCTGGGTGCTGGCACCCACACTCTTCCTTCTGCCACAGTGCCATCGCCCTCCTCCCCAGCTGCAGCAGCCCCTCCTGACCCCTCCTTCACAAGAGAACTCTCGGCGAAGGCCAAGGCCATGCTCATCCCAGGCCCACCGTCCCCGAAGCAGGGCCTTGGCCTCTGTGTCTCTGCCCACCATGCCCCGCTGCAGAGCTGAGCACAGGGCTGGGCATGTGGGGGCTGATCCTAGTGGCATCTGCTGACTATCTCAATCCCCCAAGAGAAGAGATAGGCACCCACCTCTCAAAGCCTGTGAATTCCTCCCTGTCTGACAGATAATTCCTGAACATTTAGGTGTCACACGATCTCTCTTAAATCAAAAGCGGATTTAGCAGGCCACCAGTGATTCACCAGAGCTGGAACAATTTAGTAATTTTCTAGGCTACTGCCTCCCATGCACTTCTCTCCCTGCCCCCACCCCCTCCTCACCCCTGCCGCTGCCTGCCCTGAGCACTGGCCAGGCTTACTGTCCTAGGGGTGCAGGGATAATGCTGCACTCATTTCTTTCTGGAAAGCATGGTTTTCTGATGTTTTACCATCAACTCTCCAGCAATGGTCCCTGCTTCATGCCATAGAGGATGAGCCACAGAGACAGGATGGGAAAAAGTTGCCATCAGCCAGGCTGGGGTCCGTGAGGGCTTGAGGTGCTGCATTCAGGGATGGGGGCAGAGATTTGAGAGTCAAACTGAACTCTCAGAATGAGGGTGCCCTGAGGAGGCTGGGCCCTACTTCCACCCCAACTCTGTGGGAAGGAAGTCCAGGAAGGGGTGAATTCACATTTTCCCCAGCCCTGCCCTGAGGGTGAGGAATCCCTGCTGGCCCGAAAGGGCAGGCATTCCTCACTTGCAGAAAAAGCTGGGGGTGGCATCTGTGCCAGGCTGCCAGCCCACACCCTTAGGGAGGGCAGAGCAAACAAGGGCCTCTGCCTGGAGTGGCCTCGGCGCTGTGGGGCCCTGGAAGGAAGCGTCATGTGTGTAAGTGGCTTTGGAGCACATCCTTACGCCGAGCTCCTCCTCTCTCCTAGGCCCCAGCAGCCTCCCATCCTGCTCCTCCCGACCTGGGCTCCCTCAGAAGTCTCCCACATTGGCTTGTTAGATTACAAAGCACCAGGATTGGGAGAGGGGGTCAGATAGCACCGGATCTGACGCCCTCCTCTGGTGCATGGGAAACTGAGGCTCAGAGGGTTTTCTGGTGGGGCAGGGTGGAGCTAGGCTGGAACCCCGGGTCTCCAGTCCTGCCTGGCCTGTTCTGCTTGCCACACCCAGCCTCTTCCTCCTCCCTTCTCTGCTTAACAAGAGGCCACCTCCTCCTCAGGCTGCAGCAAGGACTCAGAAAAGTGCCCTCCCTGACCAGGAACCAAGAGGCCTGGGCAGCAAAAGGAATCCACAGGAGACCCTGCCTTTTACTCTCCCAGCCCCCCAGGACCTGACGTTTTTGCATCTCCAACCAGGGCCTCAGCCAAGATAGAGGCCTGTCAACCCCCCCATTGACACCACAGTCCCTGAAGAGTCAGCAGCCACTGCCTCATGGCTCTGGGCCATCTGCTGGCCTTTTGCGGTTCTCATGCTCCCCTTCCCCACCCCCTCCCACCCCGCACCTCCAGCCAGGTGTCTCCACAGGGAGTCTCTGGGTGCTGGACTCTCTGTCCACTTCTCTCTCTCCTGGAGGCTCCCATGACATCTGTCCCCCGGCGTGAGTCCCACCCTGTCGTTGGTGGCTGCTGCCTCTGCCATCTCCCACTGCATCTTCCTTGGCTCTGTCTCCTCCTGAGAGCGCCGTGGCCACTGACACTGCTCCCACCGCCTCCTGGCCCAGTCTGATCTTCTGGGAGCTTCCGGGTTCAAGCCAGCTGCTTCAAAGGCCAAAGCTTCCCTGGCTTCTTCGGTGTTCCCAGCATGCAAAGCTCAGTGAGTTTCAGCTGAAGAAACAGATGCCCTGCCTGGAACAGTCTCATGTTCCCTCCTGGGCCCAATGGTGGAACGGCCTAGATGCAGGTAGCCCCAGAGCTTTGGTGAAATTCCTTCTTCACTGCACTCAGGGCTGTTCAAACAGGCCTCACCACCAGGACTCATGTATTCATCTTAATGCCAACGCAATTGTAAAATTGAATTTCTAATATCTTAATGTCTGGAGGAAAGGGCCCATGAAGGCCAAAGAACCCTGGCACACAGAAGTCATAATGTGGCCCTGACACCACCGCTGCCACCACCAGCACCAGCCAGCAGCACACAGGGTGGGGCTGGAGGTGGGCACACTCCAGCTGTGCTCACATGGACCGTGCAACAAGCTCCAGGTGGAGGGTGGGTCCCTAACCCTCTCCTCCCTCAGGATGAGTCTGCAGTCCCTGCCGCAGGCCCTGCCAAGTCACAAGCAGGCAATAGACCTGGCAATAGGCCTGGTTAACCCTTCCTCCACCTCTGACAGTGCATGGGCTTCATGTACACACAAACACATACTTGCACACACACGTGCACGCGGACAACACACATCTGCACACACACGATGTACGTTTCACACCCGTACATGTGTGCACACATATACAAATGTGTGTGCCTGAACATACACATGTGAGGACACGCATGTGCATACATGCACACACATGGAGCAATGCACACTGTGGTCACTATCACCCTGCCACCTCTGAAGCCCTGTGCCATGTACACTGTGGCCTCCACCACCTGCAGCCCTGAGCCTGTCTCTCTGGCCCCTCTGAGTGCTCACAGCGGTTGCCACCTGTGCTGCCCCTCATCCAGGGACCTCCCTCACCTCCTGTCCTCACCGAGAGCTGAGTTTAAATGGCAGAACAGAGAAGCTATGGGTGTTTCTGTGACTGCATTGCTTCCTGGGCCCCCTCTTGGGGCCCACTTTGATATATGTGTCCTGGTCTCTATCTCCAGACGGTACCCCAAACCCTGAGTAGGGCAGAGACTAGGCCTGACCCAGTTCTCTATGCACAGCCAGGTGGGTGGGGAGCAGGCTCCATGTTCAGGCAGCTTGGGAAGGTGTTCAAAGCTGAACGGGACCTGCCATCTGCCAGCCCACCAGGCACTGTTAGGAAGGTACGCTGGGCCACCAAGAGCAGGGATGGGGCAGGGCCACCTGTGGGGCAACACTCCTTTGGTCTTTCTCCCCTAGGATGCTGTGGGCAGGGGCTGCAGTGGGTGAGGCCTGGAAGGGTGGAAGGAAGGGTGGGCAGGGCCTACCGTTGCCCCTGTCCACCCAGAGATCCCCCTCCCTCTGAGGTCCATCTGGTAAATCTATTCATGTGAAGCCAACATTCCTGGAGCCCACAGGGCCAGCAAGATCATCTCACATGGACAGATCACTGTCTCACCTAATGAGAAAATGATGACATGGTCCCCTGCCCTGGCCCCCTGTCTCAGCCAGCTCCCAGCTCCCCAGCCTCACCCCAGCACACACACCTCCTGCTTTATGATGTTGCTCTACAGGTACACAGGTCCTGGGAAGCCACCTCACAAGCCCCCCATGCCACATCCTCCAGGCCTTCCTGTCACCAGAGCGTTGGAACATCACAGCAGCAGGATCTGCAGGCCATTACAACCCCATAGCACCAAAATAAACTGAGGCCATGGGCTCAGTTAACTTCCCCAATGTCATACACAGCGAACCAGTCTCGACCTACTCCTCCCCAGCCCCATAAACAGCAAAGTGGCCGCCGGCAGGGCATGCAGCAGAGCAGAGGACTTGCCTCATGACCGAGGCAGGACCCGTGTCCCCACTTCCTCCCTGAACACCCCACTCCAGGCTGGCATCACGGGGGCCTTTGAAGAGCCAGGGCCAGATGTGGTTAGGGCTGCAGGGCCTGGAACTCAGGAAGCCTGGGTCCCCACGCCAGGCCCAGGCCTGTGAAGAAGGCTAAATACAGCAGCACTAGCAGCCACCTGGGTGTGGGGGATGAGGGTCCTTCCCCAAGCCCTTGGTGTTCGAGAACCAGAGGCTTTGGAAGTGGCCATTTTTCAGGGCTAGCCAAGATGGAGGGGCCTGCCAGGCCTGCATCATGGGTCTGCCCTTATCTCCTGCCCTTCTCTACCCGCTGAGCCTGAGGATGGGTGGACAGAGGAGGTCCAGGCCCTAGGTTCGAAGGCTGGAAGGGTGCCCAGACTCACAAACACCTGGAGTGGTGGGGGAGAAGCTGATCAGGAGGGCAGAAGTCACAAAGCCTTCCAGCAGGAGGCAGAGCTTGGACTCATGGAGCCTGGGGATCTGAAGGCCTCGCAAAGGCAGCCTGGGAGCACACATGTTCAGACTCTGGAATCCCCCGGAGGAATCCCTGCTGGAGGGCCACTAACCCCCACGTGGGTGCTCCCCTGGTGGGGCCCTGGTCATTTTCCTGGGCAGCTGGTCCCACCGTGGGCCAGCTCCGAAGGCTGCTCCTTACATGTGGCTTCCGGGAACTCAGCCCCCTGTCCCAGTGCTTCCCTGCAGGCCGCAGATCCAACACTTCCTGCACCCTCCACCTAGTGACAGCTCTTGGAGCAGAAGCGGGACTAAGGACCCACTCCCTGGGGCTGCAGCTCCTCAGGCCAACCACTCCCAGGTCTCTCGGGCCCTCCTTGCTCCTGCCTCGTCCTGGCGACAGTACCTGGGCCCAGTGTGACCACCTGTGATGTCCCATTCACCAGGAGTGCACCACACGTGTGCATGCACGGACAAGGCATCTGAAGAAACAGTTGCCCTGCCTGGAACAGTCTCGTGTTCCCTCCTGGCCCAGGAGCAGAACCCTGAGGGCCCAGTGCCATAGGAGGGTCAACTTAGTCTGTGAGGGATCAGCCAGCTTCTGGAGGGTCCCGATCCTGGGGCACAAGCTCGCTATCTTCCTCATCCCTACAGACCACAACACAGAGGGTCCCCTCCCACAGCCTTCAGTAACTGACCCTGCCAGGGAGCAGAATGAGGAGCAAAATCAGAACAAGGGCTGGTTTGGAAGGGATGGGGCTTGGAAGGGGTGGGGCTTGGAAGGGGTGGGGCTTGGAAGGGGTGGGGCTTGAATGGGGTGTGGTGGGGCTTGAATGGGGTGTGGTTGGGCTTGGACAGGGCTTCGTGGGAGGCCCCTGGTAGGGAAATTGGGATAGGAAAGGGGAAGAGGCATCACAGGTCTTAGTTCATGCAACTTTGATTTAAAAAGTTTTTTGGGATTCCATCAGTGCTTCTCAAACTATAATGTGAGCGTAAACACCTGGGGGTATTGTTAAAATGCAGATTCTGATTTAGTAGGGCCGTATGGGGCCTGAGATTATGTATTTCTAACAAACGCTCAGGCGATGCCAATGCTGCTGGTCCCAGAACCACACTTTGAACACTAAGGGACTGAATTACAAGAAAAACTCCTAACAACAATCTAGTGAAAATAAAACCAAAGAGAGGAAGGAAGCTGCTCGTGGCATCACAGACAGATTGCCATTCAGCATCACTTTCCATCTGCGCTTCCTGGAAGTCATGGCAAGAAAGGAAAGAAGTATTTACCAACTCTTACTCTATGATAACAGAGACAGCTGCCTATCACCAATACGAAGTCTTTTCCCCAATTCTGGCCGTCCAGGAAATTGATCAAGCAGATCTTCCTATCAGGAGATTTGAAAAGCAGGCTGTAGCAGGGCTTTTGATGGAAAGGACTCAGACCGGCACCTCAGTAGGGTGAATCCCTGATGCGGAGTCATCATGGTTCTGATAACACAGTGCCCCGGTGCCCAGCCTGAGCTAGTGCCAGGGTCAATGCCCACAGGAAACCATCCTTCCATCACTTACTGGCTCAGGCACTAGTGGACTCAAACGCCCCTGCCGATGGAGGAACCCTGGAGCTGTGATGCTCTACCATGCTGCCCTGGTGTGTAGGGGTGGGCAGCTGGGACCAGGCCTGAGCCACAGGAAGGGGTGAGGTGGATCTCTGGGCAGCGGAAGAGCCCCACCTCTTTCCAGTAATCGGGAAAGGCTTCCTGGAGTAGGGAACATGGCAGACAGATTTGTTTGTATAAAGGAAGGGAGGTGGTTTGGGAAGAGGAAGGTCCAGGCAGAAAGAGGGCCAGGAGGGGTGGGCTTTTAGCCACGGCAGGAGCAGGGGAGGTTCCCTCACTGCCCCTCTCCCCACGGTCGGCTCTGACTCTCAGGGAGGAGCTGGTGGAGCGGGGATGGCATGCTGCTGCCAGGATGTGGCCACGTGAGCCTGTCTTCTCTCCATAGCCTGAATTGGAGCCATGGGGATGCTCTGCTTCCCACTGCTGGGTTGGTGCAGACGAGGAGGACAGGCTCTGCCTCGGGAGCACCCAGGCTGGGATGTAGAGGTAAAGATGTAGGGGCTCTGCCCTCAGGGAGTCCTACACCACCCAAGTCCGTCCAAGTGGGAGCCAGGGCTGAATGAGAAGCTCAATTAGGGCCTCTGAAGACAACTGTGAGAACAGTCACGAGCAAGGGAGGCCTGGCAGCCTCGTGCCATGAGGCCCTGGGGAAGTCACTGCTCTGGCCTGGGTTGTTCACTCCTAAAACAGGTTTATCCCTATGACAGGCCACCCCAAGAGGCCTTGGGCATCATCACGGCCTCAGGCAGGTGTCAGCGTGAGCACTGCTGAGTCCCACAGGTCTTGGGTTCTCAGCCTTCCCCACTCTCACTTCTTGGGGACACGTGCCTCTCTTCCTAGCCTCCTTTGTGGAGACAGCAACGTGCAGGACCCAAACGACTTTCCAGAAAAGGAAATGGAAAATCCTTAGATAAATAAACCCAAGATGTGTCTGCCTTAGCTGGGAAGAAGGAAAAAGTGCTTGGCATTTTCTGTGGTGGCCTAGAGGCGATAGGAAGTGGGTTTTGCAGGAGGCACTGGGGCTGCGTCACGTCCCCGGGCTGGCTGCCTTCTAGGTGGGCCAGACAGGGGCACTGACCCATCTCTCCCTCCGGACTGCTTGTGAGGGGTGAGGGGAGGGGTCTGAATTGAAGGAAAGGCTGGGTTCTCACACAATAGCACACGGGTATAGAAACCAAGACACTCACAGATTTTTCCAGAGTCCCCAAAATAAGTCTCAGGAAATAAAGGAAGATAGGAGAGGAGGGGCTCCGGGAAGCCCCACCCTCTCCTCTGCCCTGCTTGGGGGCCTTCCAGAATCTCAGCAAATCCTCTGGGAGGCGAGGAATGAGCAGGGAGAGCTTGGGCACCTGCCATCTGTTAGCCTCAGGCCCCGAGCCAGCACCTGGCTGGCTGAGCCTCAGTTTCTTTATCTGTCACCAGGGAGGTGTGAGTGCCAGGCTCGTTAGGGGCTGTACACAGTGTCTGTCCCTGTTGCCCTCGATCTCAGTCTCAGGAGTGGTCACTGCTGGGAATGCTGGCCCAGTCGCTGTGCAGGGAGGGCCTCCTCATCCAATCACCTCCTTTCACAAGCAGGGAACCAAAGCCCAGAGCAGGGAGGAACAGCCTTAAGGGGGCAAGCAGAGAAGAAGCCATTTATCCAGTTGGCCCAGGAGCAGCTATGGGGCCTGGAGAGCCAGGGAAAGGAGAGGAGGGCCTTGCCTTTCAGGGCTGGGTTTGGAAAGGTACAGGGAGGGACTGATTTCCAGGGATCAGTCCACAGAGACAATGCCCAGCAGACCTCACTACATCACAGCATCTCATACGGTCACCCTTCCTGAATCTCAGTGAGGTGAACTTGCCCCAACCCCCACACCCTCCTATCAGCTCATGGCAAAAGAGCCAACATTTACTGGGCACCTACTAGGCGCCAGGTGCTCTTCTAGGCACCTTACACTTAATCCTCACACCAATCTTATATAGTTTACGCTGTTATTATTCCCATTTTACAGACAGGGAAACTGAGGCTCAGAAAGGTCACTTTATGTGTGTGTGTGTGTGTGCATGTGTGTGTGTGCGCGTGCGTGTGTGTGTGCGTGCATGCATATTTTGTAACTTAGCTACGGTGACACAACTGAGAGGTTGGAGCTAAGATCTAAACTCAGGTGGTCCAAATTCCAGTAGAAGCTTGTAATCACTTCATCATCCAACCCAAGCCCCTTTCCTCACAGACCACACCCTGCGGTAGGGGCAGCAAGGATCCCCAAAACCAAGAGAGAGGGAATGGCAGACAGACTTGCGCCTCTGATCCACAGGTCCAGGACAAGGGCCCCCAACAACAGCAGACACAGGAGGAGGTATGGGTCTCTGTTCTGGGGCTGGGAACTCACTTTCCTGCCTAATAAGAGATTCCTGGTCCTCAGGAGATAAACAGTCTCCATAATGCCAACTGGGACCCCCAAGAGCTGGGGAAACTAAGTCTCTCCATGGGTAGGGGGCCTACTCAAGACCACCTAGGGACTGAAAATCATCCTGCCAGCCTGGCTGTCTTCCGCAATGGACTTGGAGGTGGGAGCCAGCCAGTCCAGCTGGCCCAAGGTCACCAACGGCATGGAAAACAATAGACAGTGGGTCCAGCCATGGCGGGAGCCAGAACAAAGCCCTGGGCACTTCCTCGAATTGAGGCCCCCTCCTTCATGGTTTGCCAAGGCACGGGGGCAGAGGAAGCCTTCCTTCATCACGTGGCGGGGATGTTTTGCAAAGATGCTCTAGGGACAGCTGCAGCCACCAGTGCTGACGGAGAAGCAGGCAGACGGAACCGCTGCTGGAGGCAAGATCTGCCTGCCAGGAAGCAGGGAAGAGAGCGGGGACTTGGGTGCGGGTCCATGGGCCCACCACCTTGCTCCTTTGGCTGAAGCACTAAAAGGCAGGATGTCTCTGGGAGGCCTGCACAGGAGGATCGCTTGAGCTCAGGAGCTCGAGAACAGTCTGGGCAACACAGAAAGACCTTGTCTCTATTAAAATAAATTAAAAAATTAGCCAGGCATGGTGGCACACACCTGTAGTCCCAGCTACTTGGGAAGCTGATTTAGGAGGATTGCTTGAGCCCAGGAGATCAAGGCTGCAGTGAGCTGTGATTGTGCCACTGCACCTCCAGCCTGGATGACCCTGTCTCAAAAAAAAGAAAAAAAAAAAAAAAGCAGGCTCTCTCACACCGGATCCTCCTCTCCATGGCCCCAGCTAAGAAGTTAGCGTCTTCCTTCTGATCTGTCCTCCACATTGTTGCCACATCAGTCTTCCCAAACAGCTTGGACCCATCACTGTCCTGCTCTGAAACCCTCCATGGCTCCCTAGTGCTCACAGCTCAAGCTCCTTAACCTGACATTCAAAGCCCTTCAGGATCCAGCCCTGACATCCTTAACCTTCCCACCACCCCCAGACTCCCCAGGCCCCTTGCCCCTGACAACCCAGACCCTCTGCTTATCTGGAATGCTCTCTGCCCCTCCTCCCACCCACTTTCCTTCAGGGTCCAGTTTCAATCCTCCCCCTTCAAGAAGCTTTCGACTGCTCCAGCCCACCAAGAGGATTCCCCTCATCTGAGCTCCAACCCCCAAATACAATCCAAGGATCTGAACCCGGAGTTTGAAGGGCACGGTGGTGGGAGATCAATCAGTAACAGAACAATCCTCCCGCAGACTACAGTTCCCGTGCACGGCAGTTCCTGATTACAAAACTGTCCTGATATAATTATTAATAGCACTCCTCAGGGTCAGTCCTTGTGCTGGGGAGGGGAGGGGAGGGGCAGGGCCCAGGAATGGTGCCAACCCTGGGCTCCCCACAGAGCAGGCCACAGGGAGGTGGACCCGCGAGTGCTGTGCTTATCATGGAGGGCTCCGTGGGGAGGTGGGACTTTGCTGAACCTCAGACAGGCCTTAAACAGAAAATGCCAGAGAAACACTCAGGATCACCCTTATCAAGGGCCACAGGAAAGGCGCCAGGTTTAATCTCAAAGCCACACCTGGAACCAACGGTTTGGAGCCTCAGGCAGCACCTTCCCGCCCTGACACCCAGCTGCCGAGGCTTTCTGCCTGGAGTGGGTGTGAGCAGGGGAGGGGCCTCAAAGTGGGCAGAAGGAGCTTTGGGCTTGTCCCCCAGGGTGGGACAGGTACCTGGGGGAGGGAAAGAGGCAGGGAGGAAGGAGCCCCGGGCCCAGGGGTAAGGAAACAGCACTAGAGGTGTACAGGGGTGTGTGTGCATGTGCTTATGTGTTTGCTTGTGCATACACCTGTGGCCAGGTGACCGACACCCTCTAACTATTAAGACCTAGGCTTGTGAAAGAGGAGGTGATTGAGTCCTGTGAGCACTCAGAGGGGAGGACTTGAACTGTCGGCTGGGTAATCCAGGAGGGCTTCTTAGAGGAGGGGCCTTGGAGCTGGCCTTGTGGGATGGGTAGGATTTGACAGATGGACATGGGGAGCCAGAGGGCAAGGACCCAGGTGAATCAAAGAACACCAGGGAAGGCTGCAGGCAGCCAGGGGCAGTTTGGGAAGAGGCTGCTGGGGTCTGTGGTGGGTGAGGTGTGGGGCTGGAGGGGGAAGCAAGAGGGGAGGCAAAAGGAGGCAGGTTGGAATCACCCCCACCCCCCATCAGATTTATTCCATCCAGCCCCAAGACCATCTGGTGGTCTGGTCTCCAAGAGACCCCTGTGGAAAAGAAATGCCCAGGAGGACTCTTAACTAATGATTCCTGTCTGGGCCTCGGTTTCCCCATCTGTATGGAGAAGGCCTTCAGTGACTTCTTGGAGGAACAGGACACAAGATAGGTATTTTGTGGGAAGGTGAGCAGGAGAATGGAAGGAAGCGCCGCAGTCTGGGAGATGGCGTAAAAAGGAAGGGCAGGAAAGGCCACCCACAGGCGTTGGTAGCCACTGGCCCTTGACCAGCAGGGTCCTGATCCCTTTCTGTGCATAACAGGTCTGCCGGGAACACACACGCAGACACTATAGCCATGTTCTTCCTGGCCCCTCCCCCACGCACCTATCAGTCCACCCCCTCATGCTGGAGTTTGCATTAAGCAATCTCTATTATCGCAAATGCCTGGCATTTTTGCCTGGTAATTAAAGCTCCCACAGCCCCCATGAGGATTAGTGCATGATTAGGAAGTAGGGCGGACTGTGGTGGGTGGAGAAATACCTGCAAATAGACTTGGCAACCTGACTGCCTCCTGCAAATTTTAGGATCCCCTAAGAGCTCAGTGGCCACGTAAGGATGGTCCACTGGGCCTCCAGTAGCAAAGGCCACTAGCCATCTTTCACTTCCATCCCCTCAATGTGCTCCCAGCCTCTGCCCCACACCCCACTCTCCTGCCAGGGAGAGAGAGGTCTGAAGCAGCACGCTGAGAAGTTCTCCTCTCCCAGGGAAACGTCCCAGCCCCAGACCATTGTCTGAGGCCCTCTCCTGCTCTTTGCCTCCACTCCTACTGCTCTGGGCCTCCCACACTGTGGTCACCCCAGAGGAGACCCGCAGACATCAAGGACTTCCCTGGTCTCTGCTTTCACTGTTCCTCTCAGCTGGAATGATCTTCCATCTACTTCGCCACTTGTTAAAACCCTGCTCATCCTCCAACACCCGGATGAGATACCACCTCCTATCTCACTGGAAGTATTAGGAGCCAACATTTACCGAGTCCTGATGCTGTGCCAGGCCCTGTTCTAAGCACTGCACCATGTAGTAACTCACTTAATCCTCATCCCAGCCCTAGGAGGTTGTAATTCTACAGATGAGGAAACTGAGGCCCAGTGAGCTCGAGTCAAGTGCTCAAGGCCCCAGAGGCAGGAAGCAGGGGAGTCAGGGCTGCACTCAGGCCTGGGATCTGATGCAGCTTCTTCCTCATGTGCCCATGACCGCCTCCCACACATGCCTTCAGTACTTCATTTTGGTGGCTATTTGTGCATTTCACACTGTCTCCCCACAAAATCACAACCTCCAGAGCAGGCTTTAAGTGAAAGCACAGACTCGGATCCCCTAGTTCTGGGCACAGCCTGAGTCCGCATTTCTAAGCCTGGACATCAGGCGGTGCTGCTGCTGCTGGTTTGAAGACAGCACTTTGAGTGGTGAATCCGGACTAGGGCAGAGACGCCCTGCTGTGCCACCCTTGCTTAGCAGAGCCTAGGGTCTGTGGAAGCCTCTCTGAGACTTCACCAGCCCCGGCCCTCACGGCGGGCGGGAGCGCTGCTGCTCCTCTTCCACGGCTGGTGTTCTGGATGGGCTGGGTCCTGCCCCCAACGCTGTGTTCCCTTTGGGCTCAGACATGGAGACCCTGGGGAGCAGTCAGGTGGAGTCTGGACAAAGCTTGCCTTAGTACAGCCTCCAACACCCCTCCAAGCCCTGGCCCAGCTCTGACCCCCAGGGAATTCTTGCAGCTCTGGAAACCGCTCTTCTGACAGGTGCTCCCTCTATGTAGAACTAACAGGGAGAGTGCTGTGAATGATCCTCCCACCACGAGAGAGGATGAAGAAAGTATTGGGCTGGCAGTCGAAGAGGTCGGGGCTAGTGAGGATGTCCCTGGAGAGAAGCATCAGTGTGCTCGGGTCCCTGGGTCCCCTTCCCCTAGCCATGGGGAGCAGAGAGGGTGAATCTCCACTCCTAAAGTCAAGTGAGGGAGGCTTCAAGGAGACTGCCTGAAAGCTTGATTTGTGTCCCCAGGATGTGGGACACTCGCATGGAGTGGGGAAGGTTAAAGGTGAGGAGCTCCCGACAGATGGTGGGGCAGGAGATGGGGTGAGTGGGGAAGGTCTGATCTCCAGGATTTGGGAGGCAATGATATGTTGGTGCTTTGCACAGTTCAAGTGTGGATCCTGCAGAAGGAAGACTCGGGTCTTCCATAAAGGTGGTGGAGGAGAGGTTGGCTCTGGCAGAGGGGCTGGAGAGCTGCCATAGCAGCAGTTGGAGGGGGGATCAGCTGACGTGGGGCAGTCCTTAGCAGTGGGAAGCCCCCTCACAAAAGAGGAGGCCAGCACTTCCTATGTGCTCATCAGAGGGCCCACAGCAACACCCAGCACTGCTGCAGGACAGGTTAAGTAAGACCTTGCTGCCCTGCCCCTCCTCCCTGAAGGAGCCACAGCCAGCTTGGGCATCTGGGGAGGACTCCAAGGGCAAGGTGGAAAGGTGACAAAAGCTAACCACAACTCCCTCTCCCAAAATGACCACTGCAAGGGGAGGGGAAACTTTCACATAATCTGGGCAGCTCTGGACTCTCTGAAGCCCACCCACAGTCTCCCTAGAAAACTCTGCCCCTTGGATGGAGATCGCCCATGGGTGAGGAGTCAGGAGCCTGTATTTCATTCCTGCAGGCTTGGTGGCAGCACCATGGACTTGTCCCAGTGTCTGGGTCTGGGGGAGGGTGGTGCTGGGCTGTGCTCATCTTCCATTCCAGGAAAACCTAGGCAAGGAATAAGAAACTGCACAATGTACCTGGCTTCTAGAGAAGCAGGTTTGTAATTTGTTGGAAATGGTCTTCTCAAGCAACACTGGGAATAGTTTGTTTTCTCCAGTGCTGCCAAAGGGACCTTGGTCAGGAGGTTAAGTGAGTTTCATTGAAAAGACACACTTTTCCTTCCCAGGCTGATAAACAAGGCTGCTGCTGGGAAACCGATTTCCTCTGCCCGGGTGCTCAGCTGGAGCGCCCTATCCCTGGCCAAGGAAAACAAATGCATAAACATTTCAGGGATATATAGGAAGCATTTCTGCTGGAAGCCTGCTGTGAATGGCTGCTGGAGTTTACATAGCAAACCCCACCGGGGCCTCGGCACAGCCTGGACAGAGCAGTCCCTACCCTCCCACTTCCCTCCCAGCCTGATTGGCTCTCCGCCTGCCTCTCCCCAAAGACCAACAGTCAGGCCTCTACACATGCCCCATCCACAAGAACACAAGACAAGTGCTTTTGCTGTCACCACCAAATGCCAGTTTTACCCCTGACATGCCTGGCGTCTAAAATAAAAGGGGTCTCCTGTAGCCAGTACTGCAGAGAGACACAGCTCCTGAGCTGCTTGTGTCCTGAGCCCCAGGCGCACATGGAAGCTGGGGACAAGCTACTGTCCGGTGCTGGTGGCTCTCCTAGGCTTCTCCCTGGGCCAGAGCAGACACAGCAGGGGTGCATCCCCTGGTTCCTGTGCGTACACACCCACCTCTACACAGCCCCCTCACAGTCCCAACTGCAGCACTCACTGGGCACAGACAGGGTGGGGTACAGGGCCGGCAGCCTTCATATGGGCAGCCATGTGACAGAAACCCTGAGAGGCTAGTGCTCTGCCCCTGGGCTCCTGTATCCATCCTGTTCTTGTAAACCACTGCAGAGGAGTCCTTCACTGTGCTTTTCACACAACCTCTCTCCTCACCCCCTTCTTCATCAGCAGGCCACCGCACTTCTGCATGTTCTCATCTTCTTTTTGAAACTGGTGGGATATCAATGAATGGAACAAACAAGGCTCAGACTACTATATCCCCTTCATGAGTGATTATTGCACTTTTCCTATTTCAACTTTGCCATCTTTGTTCTGGAATGTGAGGGCTCCACAGGCTCTGCCCATCCAGATTTTCAGACAGCCCTCTCCCCACATGCTCCCCTACAGGTACCAAGGACCTCACCTAGTCCCCAGTCCCTCTGTTTATCCCTGTCCTATTGTCCCCCCATGGCCAAGAGGTCCCTCCTCCTTGGAAGGCTCTTTTCCCACATCTACTTGGCCAGGTCCAGCTTACCCTCCAGGTCCACCTCCATTCTCCTGGGGCCTCACAAGGGCTCTGGGGCGAATCACCCTACCACATTCTCCATACCAGCCATGATCAGCACAGACAGTGCACATCACGCTCTTTGCAGCTGTAGAACAAATGAGCCTGGGCCCTTGACATGGGTTTGACCCATTTTTATAGAAAGCCAGCTACCAGAAGTAATGAGTCCCCAGGGCCAACCACATTGGAGGCCTGGGTGAGGGACCACCCAGCAGGGAGCAAGGGAGGGATGCAGACAAAGGTAGCAGAGACCCTGGCAACCTCCTTCCAGTACTCAGCAGTCACAGCTCAGCTGGGAGGGGACCCAGCAACACACTGGGTCCCCAGCACAGTCTTGGGTGGGCCCTTCATGGAAGGGGCAGGGAGGCTCTGGATGCTTCTGCAGTCATGCTGACCCAGGTTGGGGTACATGAGACCTGCCCCAGAGGCTTGGGGTTCAGCTGTCATCCTCGGTGATGAGGTGATGAGTGGTGGACCACAGGGTTTACCCACATCCAACGGTCACAGGATGGGGTCTGAGCCGTTCCAGTTCACTGATGCCCCCTTCCACCTAAGCGTAGAGTGAGGAGAGAGACAAAGAGAGATCAAGCTTCAGGGTCCCAGATGAGAGCCCATCTCTTGCCTCCACTTCCTGAAGGTTTTGTCTTGGAGGCTTTGAATAGTTCGGTTTCCATCCTGCTCATCTCACCCCTCCAAATTCACACAAACCCACACACCAGTCTCTTACGAAACACAAATACACCTAGGACCCCAGAGAGCAATGGAGAGGCCAGGCGGCAGGTGATGCATTCTTTTGTGCCACAACCTACTTTGCGCCTGGCACTGCTGGGCCCTCCACTGAGGCCCTCCACTGACATGAATGATCCACACACATCTGGACCAGCCGCTCTCCACTAGGACCCAATGGTTGGCACTTTAGAGGCACCTGTGCAGTCCTAGATATGGCTGAGTGCGAAACAATGGGGACAGAGGGTGGGGAGGGGCCGGGAAGCTGGCAGGAACTTGTAAGGGTTCTGGGCTTTACTGAGAGCCACAGAAAGGTAGTGAATGGCTGTGAGCACTGCAGTAACACGACAGTTTTTTGTTTTGTTTTGTTTTTTAACCTGAAGAAGCACGGAGTATAACTAAATTGTGGTCCAGGGTTAGAGACAACTGAATAACAGTTCAGTTGCAAAACGAAAAGTTACTGTAGGTGAGACCATGACATTTCCTAGCACTTGATTTTAACACATGGTGCTAATTTTCTAAAAACACTCAGAAGAATCAAATTTATAGCAGATGGAGTGTTTACGTAAAATCTGGCACTAGGTATATTATACATATACAGATATCCTAAGACTATATATGAACTAGGAAACAGATGTTGAATATCTCACAGCAGTTCTACAGTGCAGAGTTTGAGGCTGGAATTCATAAATGCTTTTCAAAGTATGAGGTTTGGGCAGGGAACAGACATCTTGTTTTCAAAACCTGAAGATTTTCTTCAATTCTGAAGAAAATCTAACTGCCATGGAGGAAGAAAAAGGGGAAGCTTTTCTCACTTCAACTGAATTGTACATCTACATCCAGAAAGTCGAGGATTCCTGACATTGGAACTGCGATGAGAAGGGTGGGAACAGGTTCTCCCAAAGTAACACAGTTGCATTTTCCAACAGAAGGCTTGGAACCACCAAGAGGTTTCAGTCAATGGTTCATCCTCAACCCACTGTTCCCCATGTTTATGACATAGCCTAAACTTCCACTGAATCTCTTTCTTTCTTTCCTAGGCTTCGGCTCTTTGTCTTTCTTCAAGTCAGTGCTTTCCTTCAATTGCTGCATCAAAGTCTCTAATTTTTAGGTTGAAAGTGTCCCTTCCAAAGGCAGCAAGGTTCATATTCACTCCGTTCTTCCAACTCACTTCCCTCTTGGTATCTGTAAAGACTAAATTTTCCCCTTGCATATTTTGAATACTTTACACCATTCCATTTCCCTTTGAATGAGCAGAAAGATTTCTTGTCATTTGGAGAAAAAAATCTTAATGGCAATTTTGTGCTTCTTGCTCCTATAGAAAGGTTTGGTGTGGAAGTTATTTGCATGCAGCCCATTTGGGAACAATTAATATTGCATTCTCCTCCTAGCTCTGCCCAGGGCACTGTGAGGATAGATCGTGCATACCATCGGGGAATGTAAGGATGTCACGTTCATCCTAGTCTAGACACAAGACGCAGTCCTGCCCTACGTTGTGCTCCCTAGTCAACAACCCAAGAAATTTTGATTTGTCCAAATAGGAACGCTGAATTGTACCTTCTTGTTAAAACACTCGGCATAAAAGGTTGAAACAGGTGGATGCTGGAAAACACGCTCAGCCAGGAATGTTACACTGTTTGGGGCAACTGTGTCCAAAACTTTCTCTGCGTCCTCCTCCGTGTCATTTGGTGATGTTCAGTGATGCTGAAAGATCTCACCCAAAATCAGGTTGTATGGCCTTTTGGCAATCAATCCTTTTCTGCCTGCATGAAAGGCTGAGAGGTACCCTTTTATCACCTGAACCATTTGGTTCCTGGGATCCTTCTGGTCATAAATGCTTAGAAACAGATCTGGATGTGCAAAAATATCTGCATACATTTTTAAAAGATATTTCAAGAATAAATACTGAAAGAACTACCTTGGTGAGATCCATTCCCAGTCTAACCTGTGACAAGAGGTATATGATAACACTTTCATGTTCATCCACAACCCCACCTCCCCTTCATCAATCGTTTTGAAGTGAAAATGCCAGCATCATCACTTACTCCATTGGATGTGGAAGAATTAAGTGCTTCTATGCTATCCAAGTGCTTCAGACTATTTACTGGGCTTCTGTGTGTCAAGCAGATCCAGAGGAGTCTATTGGGTTTTGGGGTTGAGCCACTTTGATGGAATTTATCCATATCAGAGCGTTCATCTTCACTGCTCAAATAAGAGACACTGGTGCCGTATTTGGAGACAAACTGGCTTGGCTTGGTGAAGTCAGACTTCTCCTCGGCAGTGAGTGCCCATTGCTGATACTATTTGGGGGTGGAGTCTGATGATGTCCTATACTGGCTAATATAGGTCCAACCAGCAGGAAAATGGCCACTGCTCTGGCTTATACAACTGAGCAGGTTCTGGAGGTAAGCAGGCTGGGAAGGCATTGTGCTGACCCCAGCTCCTGGGTACTGAGTTCATCTATTACATCTGCTGGGTTAAAAGCACCTTAGCAATCTGCAGCAACACGATGAGCATTTGAGATTTTCAATTTTCTTGTTCTGTTCATCATCTTTGCAGTTTGGAGTGTGTCATTAAAAAGCTTTTATTGTTCTATTAAGATTTGTGGGCAAGCATTGAAATCTTGGACACTAAGGAACACATCCTGAATCCAGACTCCCAGAGGGTGGCAGAAGGGAGGCAGGAAGGAGAGCAACATGCCTGCTCTCAGCCTGGTCCCCAGGCCCCTTCACCCCGCCCCTCTCTATCTTTTCAAGCCTTTACCCTCCCCACTCAGAAAGACTGAAGTACCTCGTATGAGCTCCCAAGTTACAAATTCCTTGAATCCTGGCAAGCTGCTTCAGTGCAGGGGTGAGTCACACTCATCTACCACTAGACAACATCTGTGTCACCACAGTGGCTGAGTCTTACTATCAGGCTGTTGAGTTTGAGCTTGGTTTTGAGGCTTTCTACAGACATAACCAACCCGCTCCATCCAGCCAACAGGGGCAAATGCAGGGAGAGTACTGGAAACACCAGAGGGAAGCAGTTTGCAATTACAATAGAAAATCAAAGCAGAGACATTTTAAAAATTGAAAGGGCTGAGCCATGACGCATGTTGTGCTAGTGTAGGGGACGAATCGAATCGTTCCCCGATTGGAATGGTTCTGAAAGCTTGTGAGTCGATTACAAGGACAAGTAAGAAGGGCTCTGCATATGCAACCAACAACTGCGGACAGGCACAGAAAGGGGAGGGATGAAATGGAAACACCTCTGAGGAGCAGAAGAGACACAATCAAAGTTCCAGACTCATTCATCAGTGCTAATGCAGGAGGCGGCTGACAGCCAGCCAGTTTATAGCCGGGTCTCTCATCCTCGGTACCTAAGGCATTTTGGCTGGGTAATTCTTTGTTGTGGAGACCGTGGTGTGCATTATGAAATGTTTAGCATCCTCTCCCAGGGCTGTGACAACTAAAAATGTCCTCAGACATTGGCAAATAACCCCAGGGGCACACAATTGTCCCGTTGAGACCACTCGCTCCGTAAAAACACCATGGTCCCTGGTGCTCAAGTCAACTTAAAATCACAGAGAAAGGCACTTCATGGTGGAAAATAAGGCCCTGTCCCCCCAGAGGCATCACTGCAACAGAGGGGTGGTTACCTGCCTTAACTGCTTTTCAACGTTGATGGACCCAGTGTTTTTCATGGGGAAAAAGGTGCCTGATAGAGCCTGTGTCAGCCAGGACAAGACAGCAGGCCTGAGTTCAAAGCTCCTGACTGGTAGAAAAGCATCCAGGGACGCCTCTTGTATGCTTTAAATCTCCAGACAAATAGGCCTGTGTGAAAGTTTCCGTTCCCGTGCTCCAGCCATTCGGAATGAGGAGCAGCTCTAGGATGAGCCACGTGGGTATCCCTCACCCCTGGGCCTTAACCCCTGCTGGGCCCTGCCCAGTCCGCCATCCTGCAGGATCAGATCCAGATTCCTCTTTGCAGAAGTGTTCTCTGACTGCCACCCGCGGGTCCCCGTCAGCACCCAGGCCAGGCTCCAAGGCAAAGCTGGTTTAACCAGTGCCTGCAGCCTGGGCTCCAGGTGGAGGTGGCAGGTGGGGGTGCTGCTGCATGAACACGACCCCCACCAGGCCAGCTGTTCCTCCTGGACGCCTGCTTAGGGAGTGGCCCCGCCCTCCCAGGCACTCAGCAGGGAAACCATGGTCCTCGCTGGCTCACGCTTCAAAGCCCTGCCTTGCACTCTCCTCTCTGCCTGCTCCTGAGCCCTGGCCCAACTTGCCACCACCTGATTCCTCCTCCTCCCCAACGCATGCCCAGAGGCCATTGTGGCTCACAGGAAAGGCAGTGCTTCCACAGCTCTTCTCTCAACCTCACAGCAGCTCAGGAGAGGGATCCTTAGACCCCAGGGACAGATGGGGAAACTAAGGCTGGGAGCAGAACCAGACCTTCTGGAGCTCACACAGCTTGATGACTGCAGAGCCAGCACAGGGCAGGTGTGTGTGGGGGGCAGGGCATCAGAAGAGGGCTGGCATGGACAGTGGGGAGTGACAGCGCCCAGAGAATGCTCCTCCGATGGGTGGGAGGCACTGTGGACAGGGAGCCTGGGCAAAATGGTCAGCATGGAAGCTGAACGGGAGGTTCCGCAGGGAGTGGGGGTAGCTGAGGGAGGCGGGGGCTCTGCCTCTGCCCCTCGAAGGCATCATACCCAGCTGGAATTACATTTTCAATTTCTTGTCTGCACCTCCGAACAGAAACATCTGTGCCCCAGCCCCAGGCTCCGGTTATGAGTTCTTTCCTCTTTTCTCTGGACTGTTGACAACCGTTTCATTTTTCTCACTCTAGCCAGGCTGGAAGCATGAGAGAGGTCACTGTGTGTGTCTCGTTTGGAAATGACCATAATAAATTAGCCTGTTTTTTTGCTGAGATGGTTACAGTATAACAGTGGGAGGGGGCAGGGGACAGATCCCACATTCCTGACACAAGCAAAGGTAACAGGAGACTCTCTCAGGCCGAGGTTTGCGTCACAGCAAAGCGCAGAGACACATGGGGTCTGGGATGGTTTGAATTAGGATGCTCTTCTCTGAAGGCGAAACCAGCAGTCTGGGCTTGTGCAATGTCACCGAGGCAACAAAGCCAGGTGGTGGGAAGTCACTGCCCACTAAGTGACCTTCCAATGGGCTGGGACAGCAAAAGCGTAAGCCACAGTCCTTGGAGCTTGTGACTCAAAGTGTGGCTGGGACACGGACCTCCATTCTGGAGGCCCCCATCTCCCTGTCTGTAAAAGAAGAGGTGATAACAGGGGGTGCCCAAAGGCCTTTCTGTAGAGCCAAGCAAGCTGCCAGACAGCCAGCTGTGTGGCTTGGGGGTTCTTGCAGGGCAACAGAGCTGGGTTTAAGGGTGGGTGGTGCATCTTTCCCTGGACTGGTAACAGGGTTGATTCCAAACTTGACTTTTGGCTGATGGCAAACTCTCTGAGAGCAGGAGCCAAGTCTTACTCAGCTGTTTCTTCCATGGTGTCCAGCCCAGGGGTTCTATGAGGGTTGACCTGATGTGGGGGAATTCTACCTGCCCACCAGACTGGCCTACCCTGCAGCCCCACCTACCGAGCAAGATGGACAAGATGCTGTGGGCACACAGCTGCATCTTATCAGGAGCTTGGGCTCTCACTGCAGCCTTTGAAATGACCTGAGCTCATGCCACGATGTCACGTGTATCCCCTTCCTGACACGGTGGGGCCTTCCTACAGACAGCAGGACTTACCCCTAAGCCTGCTGTTTCCCACTGCAGTGGTATGTCACCTGGTGGGTATGGGGGCAGTGTTCCCACTCACCACTCACCCACTCAGCTTTTCTAGGAACAACTGCCAAGGTGGACCCACCATGATGGGGGATTGATGGGGGAAGTGGAACAGGCAGGCAGCTGGTGTCAGCAAAGTTCTCGCAGACATGGAACACAGACCTGGGGATGAGGGGATAGCTAATGGAGCCAGGAAGAAGGTTCCCCTGGCCCAGTGCCTATGGCGGGCCAGAGAATCAATGCCTCACTTGATACCCAACTCTCACAAGGCAGCAGGGTTGGGGGGGGGGTGGGCACTGCCCTTACCTGGTTCTCAAAGTGTGGTCCTGGGACCAGCAGCATCAGCATCACTGGAGGACTCCTTAAAAATGCAAATTATTGGGCCCTACCCTGGACCTACTGAATAAAAAGCTCAGAAACCCTTGGTGTGGGGCACGGCGCTTTGTGTTTTTTGGTTTTGGGTTTTTTGTTTGTTTGTTTTTTTGAGACGGAGTTTCCCTCTTGTTGCCCAGGCTGGCGTGCAATGGCATGATCTCAGCTCACTGCAATCTTCGCCTCCCAGGTTCAAGCGATTCTCCTGCCTCAGCCTCCCAAGTAGCTGAGATTATAGGCGTGTGCCACCATGCCCGGCTAATTTTTAATAGAGATGGGGTGTCTCCATGTTGGTTAGGCTGGTCTCAAACTCCCGACCTCAGGTGATCTGCCCGTCTCGGCCTTCCAAAGTGCTGGGATTATAGGTGGTGATCTGTGTTTTAACATATTCTCCAGGTGACTCTGATGCCCCTGAAGCTTGAAGGCCACTGCTCTGGAGCAAACTTTCCCCAAGCATGAGCCACAAATGCATATGGGCTCCTCTTAGCCCCTGTGTGCTACACAAATAGAATTATTTTCCATGCATGACTGCTCAAGGAGATGGTGGGGCTCAGCCTTGTCCAAGCTCACACAACACTAAGCAGATGTGAGGGCAGAGAAGGGCAGGGCCCTGGCCCAAATCATGCAGCCTCTCTGCTTCCCACATAACCTCACTGTCACCTGCTTGCAAGTGAACAAGGGGCAGGGGAAGGAAGTTTTGGGAGATGAAGGCAGCCAATAGAAGAGGAAGAGGAGGTTCAGGCCCGTGTCCACACACTAAGACTCTCACTCTGCATGGACTAAGCTCCATGCAGACCAAGGCCCCAGGTCGATCTCAAACAATTGTCAATTAGAGCTGAGCCCAAGAAGTCCAATCCTGGGCCCACGCTGGGAGGTGCTTGGTGAGTCATGCAGTGGAATAATTTCTGGAGAAAAAGGAGTTACTCCAGAAGAGGCAGTGGAGAGGTTTCAGGTGGTGGGCCACCCCCTGGGAGGGGTAGAGAGACACAGAGTCAGACGGAGGCCTTCAGAGAGGGTCCCAGGAGTCCAGAGGCAAGCTGCGGCTGTGTCCAGGGTGTTGGAGCCCTGCTCAACAGGCCCACCTGCAGGAAGGATGCCCTGTGGCCTCCCACGCTGTCCTGTACAGATGCCAAGGCTAGTGTCACCTCCTGTCCCCACTGCTGCCTTTCTCTCATCATTTTGAATGAGTGGCCCTTTGTACATGAAAGGAAAGCGACCTGCAGGTGCCCTTAATCCTCCCGACGAAAGAAGCACCAGCACATGACCCTGCAAGAATGCTTCATCCCTGGCTCAGGGGGCGGGCAGGTGGATGGACGAACGGATGGACGGACGGACGGACAAAGCATGTCGAGGATGTCTCGGCGCTCCTCCCATTTCCCCTTCCTGGTGTTTCCACCATGTGAACATTTCTCTTTCTCTGCAGCTCCTCTCAAGGGCTCGCTTTCCTGTGGTGGGCATCAACCCTAAGCTTGCTGTGCCCCCTGGATCTCAGGCAGTAAGCATTGCAGGGCCTCACCATTTTGCATCCCCCGTCACAACCCCAACCATTTCACAGGCAGAGAAATGGAGATTCTCTGAGATCACACCAAATCAGGAGTGGCTGAGGTCATCATCGTGAGCACAAACACCATGGAGCACTTAGTAACGTCCCAGACACTCTTCACAAGGTCCAGTGAGAAAGGTATGCATCACCCCCATTTTACAGATGACAAAGTGGGGTGCAGGAAGGTGAGGTCCAGTGGCTCACACCAAGAAGCAGCAACACCAGGGCTGGAACCCAGGCGACTTCTCTCCAGAGCCCACACTCATAAAGGTTACCAGTTCCACTGCTCCCCCAGAAGGGACCAGGATCCAGGCCTCTCCCTCCCGGGCTGCTCCTCTCATGCACGCTGAGGCCTCTGGGTCATGCCCCAAGGGCTTTGTGAAGGGCCTGCCGGGGCAAGGGGAGCACTTCTGACAGCTACCGCACCACCAGCCCAGGGGCCCACTCAGAGAACACAGCAAGGAGGTGAGCCCCAACTCACCCCAGTTACTGAACATTCCCCTCCCCTGGCCTGAGCCTCAGCCTCCCCTTAAATACAGAGGGGCTGGGTCAGAGGAGTTGAAGCTCCCACCTGCCTCTGAGGCCAGAGGCACACTGCTCAGTGTTCAGAGTGGCGGAGCTGCTCCTCCGGCTCCTCCGCAAGCAGAGGGTGTCGCTCCAGGCAGCACCTCCTGCCACCCCCAGGCTGGGCCAGGCCTCCCAGCTTCCTATCCTGCTCAAGCCTCCCCCACCCTCAGGTAAGCACCCCTGTCCTGCCTCCTTCGGGCCTAACGGTACTTGCCACATCTGGCTGCTGCTGCCTTGAGGGAGGAGGGGCTTCAAGAGGTGCCCATTTAGCCCCCACCCCCAACCATGAAGGCAGTCTCAGAAGCTGTCTAAAGACGCATCACCACTGCAGACCACACACTCCTGAACCTGGGCCCCAGTGACCACGAGTGGAGAAACCTGTGTCTTTCCAATCACCACACCTCTTTGAATCAGGGTGGTCCAGGAACCTATCTGCCTTCCTGCAGGCCTGACCACCCCCAACCATGGCTCCTCAAAGCTATTCAGGGTGAGGCTCAAAGCCAGAGAGGGGCTTGACTCACTTGGTTCTGATGCAGAGCTCGAGGGGTGGGACAAGGTCGTTGTCTGTGTCCTCAGAGATGGTTTGGGTGGTGTCTGGGAAGGAGGAGAGAGGCACACACATGTCACCCAGGGCCCTGCACTCACCCTGAGGTCAGCGCTGACCACTCCCGAGACCCGCCCCCTTCTAGTCCCTGTCCCCTCCTCTCCATCTCAACTGGACCCACCCTCATCCCTGACATCCATTCTCACCTGCACAACTCACTGGTCCCCACCCGTGTCCCACTTTAGCTACCACAATACTCTTTCTAAAAACACTTCTGATCTCACCACCCTGATTCCAAAACCTTCCATGGCTCGCCACTGCCTGAAGAATACATCCAAACTTGTCAGCATAGTATTCAGGGCTCTTTACCATGTGGTGTAGGCTTTACCCAACGCCCTTAATGCCACTCACTGCTCAAGGCCCAGCTCTGGCCGCCTCCTGCAGGGAGGCCCTGCTGGCATTGGCTCTCTGATCCCCCAGTCTGGATGCTGGAGTCTGCACTGCTCTCTGTCATGGGGGTTGGTGGTGGATAGGAAGGCTGGTTTCTGTGACCAGCCTGGAGGCTCCTTGGGGACAGGGTTGGGTGGGTGGGGGGGTGAGGGCCCGCACCAATGGTCAGCCGGATCTGCTCCTGCTGGTTGGCCAGGCCATCGTAGTAGTACAAGTCAAAGAGCCTCTCAGTCCTCCAGTCACGCAGGAGCCCCGGCTGCAGGCTAAAGAGGATGCTGAAGTGGCTCTCACTGCAAACCACCCAGATGGGGAACCTCGGGGTCTTCAGGAAGCAGCCAACCTGGATGAGGGAGAGGCCTGATGTGAAATGCCGTCCCCAGGGAAAGGGGTCCGGGCATTTTTCTGTCTGACTCAAGGCAGGGCTGACCTCAGAGAGGCCCTGCTGAAGATCACGTTTGTGTCTGATGCTGGGAGCCCCTCACGCTGCTCAGGCCACTGGGCTGTTTCCCAGGGCCATCCCTGCCCTGCCACCCCACCTGCTGCTGCTCGCAGGGCCTCTGCCATACAGACCTGAGACCCGGTATCACTCGCCCCCTCATCCCCCACATCTAATGGTTCCCAGTACTGCTCATTCTGCATCCAAGAGCTCCCCCACTGCCAGCCTTTCCTCCTGAGATCTACTCAGCCTCCAACCTGCACCACGGCAGTGACCTCCTAACCAATTCTTCCCACACCCCTCAAACAAATTCAGCTTGTCCACTAGCCTAGAGCTTGCTTACCGTTGGACAGCCTGCATCTCCCAAATCCCTTGTTGGAGCAGAAATAGTTTCCTCCTTCCAGTTCCCAGGGAGCACATCACTAGGTGCCCACCCACCTCAGCCGCAGCACCTCTGCCTCATGCTCGACAGATCATACCCTTAAGTTCCAGGAGCCCGGGGTAAGTAAATGTCGGGTGAATGAAATTCCTCATGGATGAAGCAGGACTTGAACTAGAACTGCACGGTAAAGACAACTAGGAATGGAGCCCTGGGGAGCCAGGAGGGAAAGGTCTGAGTGAGAAGTCTGTGGGGGTGCCAGGAATGGAGGGACAGAGAAATTCAGGGTGCAGCAGGGCACTGAGGTTGCAGCAACACTTGGATAAGGAGCATTCCAAGCAGGGGAATTTCACATGGTGGAAGTGTTTGTGGAAGAAGACACAGAGGAATAAGCACCAGGGCCCTCAGCACGTTGCTAGCATCTTGACTACAATGGGAAGAGAAGTGACAAGGGCCCCCTGTGAAGCCCCTGAATGCCTGGCCTCCATGCACTTTCCCCCAGCCCCTGACACTTCTTGGCCAGCGCCTCTCCTGACCCTGGGCCCTGGTTTATCCAGCTATGTACGTGCCACGGGCCAGGCTGATTCTGGCCTAATCCCTACCAGCCCCAGGGAGATGTTTGCATGCTCAGGTATTTACAGCTACAGCCTGTGGATTAAAGAAAGAATGGGAATTATTTTTCCAGTGGGGAGAAGGGCATACTTTTTCCAGAACCCTTTACAGGAGAGTGGGTGAGCAGCTCCCATCTTGATCTGGGATGTCTCTGACAGAGGGGCTGTGCTCTGAAGGTCCTGAACCAGGTCCCCAGTGAAATTCCTGCACATTTAAAGCTGCCTCCTCCAGAAGGTAGGGGGACAGTCTTTACAACGCACTCATCCTTTCTTACGGTTCAAGTGTCCCCTCCCCCCACACCGAAGCCTCACCCCAGCCCTGTGTGCCATTGAAGTGGACTGCAGAGCTCATTCCTTAGTGAAGTGTGGGGGAATTAGATGTCTTACAGGACGTGGCTGGACGTGCCTAAACCCCACGTAAACTTGGCTTCCATTCCATGCTTCAAAGAGGCTTTTCTGGTGAGGGCATCGCCAGGAACAGGGAACCCTGACACAGGGACCCAGCATTCATTCACGGCAGGGAGAGAGTCCCAAAGCCAACCAGGGAGCAGGCCTTTGCATAATCAGCCACCCTGAATTTTCCAACGGAGAGACAAAAGTGCAGCTTGCCATGCAGAAGTAACAGTCGAGAGATTAAGGGAAAAAAGCTGCCCACAGACTTTATAAATGAGTTTCCTCATTCAGGAGCCTCTTTCCAAGTGGGTGACATTTTCCAGAGATGAAATTCACTTCCTTTAAATTCTTGGGTAACCAAAGGCTTGGGGCAAGGCCGCAGTCGGGGGTGGGGGGGGGTGCGGGGGAGGGCCACATTTCCTACAGCACAGTCTGGGACTTTGTCCTGGTGGGGGAACATGTAGCACAATTAGGGATTACTTAATCTTCTAGGGCGGGGGTTGTGAATGGCCTAAAGCCATCCATGGACAGCCAGGTTAGAAGCACTCACTTCAAAGGGTCAGCATTTACTTGCGTAGAGTTATGGTGTGGCATTTCTAAGGAACAGCAATGGGGACATAGTGCTAGAGACAATAAGAACAGTGCTGTCCTTATGGAGCTTACCAGATTGATGGGGATGACACATTAATTAAATAATCAAACCCACACATTTCCACTGCACTTCAGTGAATCCAGGATGCCCTCAGATTCGCCATTATTTTTTGTATCACTAAGTAAGAAAAAGCAGGTGTGTCAAAGTCTGACACACCATCAACTGTAACAATGCATCAGAATTTCAGAAGTGCTCAAATGTGGGCAAGTTTGCATCTTAAAGGCGATGAAATGCGATGCTTAAAATCCAGAGGAGGCCCTATGAAGGAAAGAATTAAGATACCCTGATGGTGATTGACAAGGTATGGAGGGGACAATGAGAAGGACCCCCTACTTAGATGGGGTTATGAGGGCAGGAAAGGCTGCCTTTTAGGAAGTAACGTTTAAGTCAAAACGATAACAGGGAAAAGCTGGGCAGGTGGAGGGTGCAGCGTGCACAAAGGCCAGGAGGTGGGAGAGAGCCCGAGAGAAGCCCCAGCCTGCGGGAGAGAGTGGTGCGGGCTGAGGTGGGAGAGGAAGGCAGGTGCAGGTCTGGCAGGGCATTGGGGGTGGTGAGAAGTTTTGGATTTTAGTTTCTGCATTAGTCTGCTCGGGCTGCCATAACAAATACCACGGACTGGATGGCTCAGACAGCAGACATTTATTATCTCAGAGTTCCGGAAGCTGGAGGTCTGAGATGTCACTAGGGTTGTTTCTGAAGGCCGTGCCCCTGAGCTTGTAGATGGTTGCCTTCTCCGTACCTTCAGAAGGACTTCCTGCTGTGTGATCTGTGTCCTAACCTCCTCTGCTTAGGAGGATACCAGCCATACTGGATTGGGACCCACCCTAGTGACCTCATTTTACCTTAATCATTTCCTTAAAGGCCCTTTCTCCAAATACAGTTATTAATACATTCTGAGGTACTGGGGGTCAGCGTTTCAACACAGGAATTTTGGGGAGACATAGTTCAGCTCACAACAGTCTCAGAGGACTGGAAAACCACTGAGGGTCCAGAGAAAAGGAATGATATGATTGTGTGTATATTTTTAAAGATCACACTGGTTTCAGTGAAGGGACAGGATTGGAAAGGGGGAAAGCGATGGGGACAGGAGCTGAATTTGGCTAGGCTGTCACAGGTGTCAAAATCAGCGATGCTGGTGGCTCTGACCTGGTGAAAGTGGATGGGCTTGAGAAACAACTTCAGGGGGAGGCACATGTCCTCCTGATGGAGAGGACGTGCTCCTGGTTGAGTAAATGGGTGGATGGTGGCCATCTCTGAGCTGGGGAGGATGGGAGGAGGATGGAGCTTTCAGAACTCTTGCCCGTCAAGCTGTTTTCCTTTGTGGGTCCCTTCATGAAGATGGCAATGAACATGCCTCGCAGGTCATGAAAGAAGTGCTGAGGCTAAACTCCCTGTCCCACCCCATCCCTCCTGGACTGTCAGTCCCCCATCACCACCATGACCATCAGCCTGGAGGGGCTTGGCCTCCAACTGCAGCCTAGAATGCAGTCCACCCCTTACCGGTGAGCCTTGTCCTGGGCCAGGTGTGGGACTGAGGGAGCCAGCTGGAAGTCAGATGGGCAAGACCAGCTGGTGGGGTCACAGATAGCCCATGGAGGTCCGGCAGGACACAGCCAGGCCGGACCAGTTACTTATGGCAGGGGGTGAGTTTCTCCAGCTCAGAGTTTCATCTGTTTACCCCAGGTACACCCTGAGTATGGGTCATCTGGGTAGCTCACTTTTAGGTAGGACCTCCTCCTCCCACATACCCAGTGAGGGCCCCAGAACCCCAGGCTGCAGTGAGAAGCCTGGAGACAAGCTGCAAGTGAGAGGCTTCACCTGCTAGTGAGTGAACGCTGCGGACGTCATGGCCCAGGCTGTTCCAAATGCCAGTCTTCCCACGGCTGTGTCTGTGCTGCCTGAGGAGAGGGCCAGGCCAGGCCAGAGCAAGGGCCCTGGCTCTGAGTCCAGGTCCAGGCTTGGGTGCTGGACCCCCTTGGACTCCTTCTATGTCCAATGTGGCTAACTGTGTAGGGCCCGAGGGACTTGGGGACAGAAGGGATGGAAGGTGGTGTTAAAGAAGAGGGAAGGGGCCAGGCGCAGTGGCTCACACCTGTAACCCTAGCACTTTGTAAGGCTGAGGTGGGTGGATCACTTGAGGTCAGGAGTTCAAGACCAGCCTGGCCAATATGGTGAAACCCCATCTCTACTTAAAAAAAAAAAAAAAAAAAAAAAAAAAAAAAAAAAAGCATGTCCCTGTAATCCCAGCTACTCAGGAGGCTGAGGCAGAAGAATTGCTTGAACAGAGGAGGCAGAGGTTGCAGTGAGCTGAGATCACTCCAGCATGGGTGACAGAGTGAGACCTTGTCTCAAAAAAAAAAAAAAAAGAAGAAGAAGAAGAAGAAGAAGAGGGAAGGGCTTTGTCTGAGCTGCTGGGCCCTGAGTCTTCAGTGGAAGGCAGGGGTTGAGGCCCAGCCCTCGGTGAGCTCATGGAGGAGGAGAGGAGGCCAGGGCTCCTTCCTTAGTGAGCTTGCAGTTGCAAGGCAGAGGAAGGAAGCATCCACCTACCGCAGGGAAACAAAACTCCCAGTCCTCAGCTGAGCACAGAACAGCAGAGGGTCTATGCGGATCCAAGAAGCCCACGAGGAGGGGAGATGGTTGTAGGGCCTGAATTTCTTCAATTTTATTACAAGGGAAGGATGACCCCAACTGGTTTTCCCATCAAGTACCCTCCACAGACCACAGGAAAATAGTTTACTCTCTGACCAACGCCCTCGACCCAAGAATGAAACCAGAGCTCATGGTGAGCCTGGGAATTCCATGAGCCTAGCCAAGGTTGCCTCTCTTGGCCCATGGAATTTTGAGCTGAATACTTTCAGAGCACACCCAGGATCCGGTGCTCGAGAGCCCTGGTGCTTCTCACCAGCCACATTCCTGGGCTCCCTCCTAACACCAGCACAGCCAGGAAGCAGCTACTCTCATTCTTTTTTCCCGCAAGTCTTTGGGACCCAGAAGTCTGCTTTTGGCATGCTGGGGGTATCATCCAGAGAGGGGATCTGGGGAGGGGGCTGCACCACATGGGTCATTAGCAAGACACAGCACACCCCAACATGTGGTCATGTGGGAAGGGTGGGTAAAACTGAGCCCTGGCTTAAAACCCTAGTCTTTTTCCACCCTGAAAATCCAGGGTGGAATCGCCTGGCGCTATCTGCAAGGCCCTGCTGAGTCAATCTCTGCGTCCTGGTTCTGAGGATAGGTGGTGAATGAGGCCTCATCCGGACCCTCCAAGAATCTTTGCAGGGGGTGGCCACTGTGAAAAGCACTCCTGCTGCCCCTCAGGACAACCTTTCCCATTTAATCAACCACAGAACAATGGACTCTCTGAAGCCATGGAAAGCAATGCTCAGAAAAATGTTCCATGGCAGCTGGAACAAGAAGGCAGGGTCCAGTGCTCCTCTGCCCAGCCCCCTCAGCACCTGGCCACATTCTCCAGAGGTACAGTCACCCATGCCCTATCCAGCTTTACCTGGGGGCCCAGCCCTTTCTGAGCCCCTGGCTGCAGTGACACAGGATGCAGAGGGACCACATGCCAACAAACAGGATGTGTGAGGCCTACTATGGGTTGAACTGTGCCTCCAAAAAGATGTGTTGAATCCTAGCCCCCAGTACCTCAGAATGTGACTGCATTTGGACACAGGGTTGTTGCAGGCATAATTAGTTAAGACGAGGTCATACTGGAGTACGGTGGGCCCTTAATCCAATATGACTGAGGTCTGTATAAGAAAAGACACAAAGGGAGAAGGTGGCCCTGTGATGATGGATGGAGGCAGAGACTGGAGTGATACATCTACAGAAGCATCACTATATGGTCGAGGAATGCCAAGGATTGCCAGAAAACACCGAGAGCTAGAAGAGACAAGGAAGGATTCTCCTTATGGGTTTCAGAGGGAGCATGGCCTTTCTGACACCTTGATCTTGGACTTCCAGCCTCCAGAACTGTGAGACAGTTAAGTTTCTGTTGTTTCAAGCCACCCAGTCTGTGGTACTTTGTTAGGCAGCACTAGGAAACTAACACGAGGCCTAAGACCTCAAGTTCCTGTCCCTTGAGAAGGCTCCCCCACCACACAGACACCAGCTGCAGCCACTGTGACCCACAATCACGGCAGAAATCCCTCGAAGTCCTTTTCAAACCATCTTCCCCAGAACACGGTATCAGCTGGCTTTGGGTCTGAATTATAGGCCTGTAGCCACAGCAGAGAAGCTGTACTTCTTCCCAAGCCCTCTGTGATTCTAACTGGACCCGAATTTCAGCCAGCTCTGAGAAGTGGAGTCCAGCTTTCCTTCCCCACTTCCCTCCTCATTGCTCCAGAGAGTCAGGCTCCCCTACTTGTGGTGAACGTGAGCATCTGGGTACCTGGCACATGTTGTAATGCTCAAAGAGAGATAAGAAGCCAATATCACTGCGTGCAGCAATGCCTCTGAGAAGTGTGATGTTCCCATCCCCAGAATCCAGCTCAACCACATCGTTGAAAACGTTGGACACAGCTTTCCCAGTCAGGAGCAGATTGACAAGTTCCTGCAGATGAGAGAAAGGGGAAAGACTCATCAAGTCTGAATCAGTTACTGAAAGAGTGGAGAGGAGACTGGGGAAAGACAAAAAGGGTGGAGAAGGAAGGAAAGCAAGGAGGGAGAGAGCCTGAGAGCAGAGGAGGCTGTGACTTCAATTCTCCCACAAGTCCTGTGGGAAAGGCACCAACTTTTCTCATCAAGGTAACTCCAGGCACCCATCCACCTTTATTCCACAAGCACTCCTTGAGTACCAACCATTCACAGGACCCTGTCCTATGCTGCAGGCTACTGGGGGCACTGGTGAGAGGGTGAGACATGGCTCTTGACATGTGCTTTGGGTCTAGACTGTGGAGTCAGGTGCATGTCTGCACATTGACTCAATGCAGGATGTGGCTGGGGCTGTAAAAATGTGTGCATGGAGTATTCTGGAGCCAGATGAACACGAGGCCACATGACTGAGTCAGGGCAGCTTTAAGGAGAAGTGACATTTGGGTGAGTCTTAAACGATGTTATTTTTTAAAGAAACCTTTTTATTTTGAAATAATTTTAGATTCAAAAGAAGTTGTAAAAATAGTACAGAGAGTTCCTGTGTACCCTTCACCCAGCTTCCCCCAACGATAACATCTTACATAACCAGAGCCCATTATCTCAACCAGGAAACTGACCATGGTGCAGTACCAATAACTAAACTCCAGGCCTTGTTTGAACTTCATTAGTGACGGTGGGGTTTTAACAGGGCAGGGAAAGCCGAGGAAGGTACTTCAGTAGGCAGCAAGAACAGAAGCAGAGAGGTGGGAGTAGGAAGCCCAAGTATGAGTTCTAGCTCTGCTTCTGCTGTTGTCTTGCTACGTGGCATGAGGCATTGGGTGGTCCTGTGACTCAAGCTACACACCTGGCAAGCCAACAAGCATGCCAACCCTGGAACTTGGAGAAAGTGACGTGTGGAGCAACATTCCTCCAGCAGTCACCTGCAACCCATGCCTCCCACATTTTGGTGTACCAACAAGGCTGGAAGGTCCCTTCCTTATGCAGGATAACCAAGGATCCAACCTCCTCTTAGGAATGGAGAAACTGGGGCTCACAGGTGGGTTACTCAAGCCACACAGCCCATTAGGGCCAGAGCTGAGCTTCCACCCACATCTGGTTCTCTCTGTCCCATGTGACTTCCCTCTTCCCCCAACCCTGTTACTTTCATGGTACTATCTGCCTGGGCACAGATTCAAGATGAAGGGTGGCCTCTAAGGGCCTACTGAGGAGGAATTTGAGCGAGCCCAGCCCCAGCACTAGGGCAGGCAGGTCTCTCTGTCTCATCCACCTTCTGCCACAGCTGGCGCTGCCTGTGACACAAGAAGGCAGGCATCACTCCCACAGTGGAGCACGTAGGAATGGCCAGAACGGCCCTTGACCAGTGTAAACTCTGGAGGGTAGAGTTTATAGAGGTGTTTTCGCCTGAATCGTTAAAATGACATCGGGGGTTAATAAATCCCTCAGTTAACACCAATACCCCTGCCCCAGTGACAGTAAAAGAGGCCTCCTCTGATGGCCGCAGAGGGACCCCCACTGGAGGGAGATACCAAAGGGGACTTATTGTGTCCTTGTAGAGGAAATGAGACACAAGAATTTGGAGGAAATGTCTGCTGTAAAATAATGCACGTCAGGGGCAGCAGCTGCTGAGAAAGGCACAGCCTTTTTCAGGCAAGTTCGAGTTTTCCCATCTGGTTTTTCAAGAGGGATAAAAGCCCCTGCTCCCTGATCTGTGTCTAAAATCTTCCTCATAGCAGGAAGCCTTCTTGAGATGGTGAAGAAGGGGCATCAGGCCTCTCCCTGCTCCTAGACTCCAAAGTCACACAATGGCAAAGCTTAGCAGTCCCTTTCTACTCAGTGTGGTCCATGGACCAGCAGAATCGCCCTCCCTGGGGAGCCTGATAGAAATTGAGAATCTTAGGCCCCAGCCCAGACCCACTGAATCTGAGCCTGCTCTTCAACAAGACCCCTAGGGGATTCATTCAAAGTGTAAGCAGCCCTGTTCCAGTCCAAATGCCTCTTGTACAAATGAGGAAACTGACACACAGGAGGGGAAAAAGACTGCCCCAGCTCATATTGTGAGTGAAACAGAGAACAGGGCTTGGGACCCAGCCCCAGACTCTGATCTGGGTTCCTCTGCACCCTGCTTGACTGCCCACACCTGGGCAGCATCCTTCTCTGCCCCAGAAAAGGGAAAGCTCCCATGGGGCAGGCAGATGCCTGGAGTGAGAGTGAGGCCACCCCGGGCAGCCAGAAGAGTAGCCACTCCCCGTGAGGCCTTCCTCTAGGGTGGTGGGCAGCAGCCAACCCCACGGTCCCTCTGTGGGTGCCCTGGACAAACCACAGGCCCCAAGCTTGCCTTGTATGGTGCCCACGTAGGTTTCCAGAGCTGGGCGCAAGTGAGCCAGGACCCCCAGGACAACTGAGTCCTCAGTTGGGCCCAGAAGATGTGCAGCTCTGTCCAGCCCGTCCATGCTACGCATTGTGGCCCCCCATGTGCTGAGAGCCAGATTTCACTGTGGCCTGTGTGGCCACTCTGGGAGGCCTCATCATGGGGAGAAAGGCATGGATAGAAGCCAGGTGTAGAGCTGAGCTCCCAGTTTTGATGCTCACTAGGTAACATCTTGAAAAGGTCCCTTCCCTGGTGTCACCTGGGTGACTGAGAGGACTGATGACAAGCAACTGTGCTCAGGGTCTTCTTTGCCCCTGTGAGGTCCATTGAGGGCCCCTCTGTAAAGATGCAAAGGGAAGGGTGGCTATAAAGACAATACCTTGTGCAAACATAGAAGAGGCCAGGGCCATCATCTCCCCAGCTGGACCCAGGGTCCCCTGGCCCATGCCTGAGACATCACTCCCTGTGTCCTGGGCTCCGGGCTGTGTAGCACTTTGGTCTGAGTTCAGCCTCTTTTGCATCCTCTGCAGCTCTGAGCACATACATCAGTGCACATAAAGCTGTCCAGAAACAGAAGCTAAACTGAGCTCTCTTTCTGGGTCTCCATGACATGACAGTGAAACCCAGCAGAGGTGGGCACGTGAAAGCTGCTTGAAGAGTGTTGGCAGAGGCAAGAAAGACTTGTCTTTTTCTGGGGCAAGAGGAGGGAGGAGGACCTCTCCCTCTCTGAGGGACAGAGGAGGGGGAAGGACCACCTGGGCCCCACAGCGCCCCCTGACCTGTGTACAGTAGCCATGTGCTCCAATCAGGTGGCTGGTGGGGACATCAAAGTCCTGGCGGATGCTGGAAAACACAAGAAGCATTGTTAGCACAGCTCTGCCTGACCCAGGTTGCAAACCTCGCTAGGTGACCAGGCGCTCCCCTTAGGTTCCAGGCTAAGACCCAGAATTCCAGATTTGGTGGGAACCTGAGCGCTCTGTTCTGTGCCCTCCACGGAGGAGGCTCCCACCCAGAAGGGATGGGGCTAGAGCCCAGGCCTCCTAGAGTAGAGCTCACTGCATTCTCTGGGCAATGGCCTCCACTCCAGCCGCACCAGGGCTCTGCCTACACTAGAGAACAGCGACTGAAGCGTGACACGGTAGAGAGGACCCTGGGTTTGGAATCCAGTGTCCTGAATTCACATCCCAACTGTCACTACCAATGGTGTAGACTGAGGAACCCTCTTCCACCTCTGAGCCTCAGTCTGCCAGCCTGTAAAATGGGAGGAATGGACTCTAATGTTTCCTTGAGTTATAGAGTAACAGTCACCACCACCTGCTCCTGCACCAGGCACTGTACGCACATTATTCCCTAAAACCCTTTGAGAAAACCAAGCCTCAGAAAAGGGATGTCTTGCTCAAGGGTGCCCAGCTCTGAGGCCTGTGCCCCCACCCCCTGGTACCACTGTGGTTCCACCCTCAGAATGGAGTCCTTCAAAAGATGCAAGGTGAAAACCTACTTTGCTGAAGACATTCCCCAAACTGAAAGAAATGGGCTGAGCACCGCTAGGAACCAGAACAATTCAGTATCCCGGTGAGCAGAGGTGTGCCACACGTGAGGCAGAAAACCCTCCCAAGTCTCCATCCTCCTTCCCGGCTTGCTGTCCTGCTAGGAAGCCTGCCATTAGGACATGGTTCCTTTTAGCCACCCCAATGTAACTCCCTCTGAGAGATGAAAACTCTGTTGAACAGAGCCCTGTAAGGAGCACACAGGGAAGGAGCTGCTATCTACTCACTGTGCTCAGCAGGTGGCAATTGCAACCCCCAGACCCGAATGAAGTAGGAATTCCTGTCTCTATTTTATAGATGTGGGAAGAAGCACAGAGAAGCTGGCTCTGGGGGGCAACGTGAGACCAGGGAGCCTGGGTCCCAGGTCTGTCCCCCCCACTTCTGCACATGACCCTGGGGGGAACACACAGCCCTGGGGGCACACACGACCCTGGGAGTCACAACTGAACCTGGCGGTCACATGCAGCCCTTGGGGGTACACACGACCCAGGGGGGTACACACAACCCTGGGGGCACACACGGCCCTGGGGGTCACACTGGACCCTGGGGGGCACACATTACCCTGAGAGGCACACTTGACTCTGGGAGGCACACACGACCCTGGGGGGCACACATGGCCCTGGGGGGGCACACACAGCCACCCAGCACTGTGTTCAGAGCCTGGCCCCCTTCCTTCAACCACACCCCAAAGAGAGAGGCCAGGTATAACATTTAGAGAGGAGACCCAGGGGTAGGAAGGGCTTAGCAATCAGAGCATTTATTTTTTCCTTTCAGTAGAGGAGAAGATAAACTTGGTCTCAATGTATGCTTTAAATCTAAGATCTGCCATAAGCCCACAAGCCTAAAATACATGCCTGAGTCTCTGTCTGCTTCCAAAACAAGTTTAGCAATTCCAGCTCCACAATACTTGGGGAAAACACTTGCTTGTGGTTTTTAATAACCATGGCCAAACACGGAAGGTTTATGGTCCACATGAGAAGATGAGCTGGGGTTACCCTTGCAGGAGCTTGCAGAGAACCACTAAGGCTTGGGGGTCTTCTGGGAAGGGTGGTTGAGGCTCACCCACCACAGACAGCCCAGCAGGCCTGGGAAGGAGCCAGCTGGGAGTGACTCATGGCAGAGCATAGCGCTTCGCTGGCGCTAGCTCAGGCAGAAGAATTGATGGAAATGCTCTCTGCAGCATATACAAGCATCTTCTGAAGAGAAGAAAATAACCTCAAAAGGGTCCTGAGGGGGGGCCGATAAGCATCACTGGCCCTATGCCACCTGGAGCTTTTAGAAGCAGTCCAATCTTCATAAGATCATTACCTCGTGTTCACCCAGCGGGCTCGAGAGCCTGCGTCAGCTGGGAGCAGGGGGACAGGCAGAAAGGACAATGGGAGGAAATGGTAATTGCATCCTTAGGTGCAAACACGATGGGAAATTCAGCAGTGCACTGAGATCTTAAAAGGGAGGAACATCTGCATTTCATATCAGGGCATTCGAGAGAGAGAGAGATGCCAAGGAGTGGCTTATGGTTTAAGAGATTTATAACTTTGGCAAATCTACAAACCTAGATGCCCAGACCTCCCTCTAGGGGAATAGGGGAATTCTCTGGAGAGCTGAGTGTGAGGAGTCCTTGAGCAGAGGAACAACAGCCTCAGCACTGCCCCAGAGAGAAGGCAATCCATATGGCTTAGTTCCAGCCTGCTGTGTGGCCTCGGTCTCCCCTCCTGCAGCACGAGGGGCCTGGAGAAGATGAGAGGTGTAATGGCATGAACTGCGTCCCCTTAAAATTCATATGTTGAAGTCCTAACCTCCAGCACCTGAGAATGTGTATTTGGAAATAGAGCCTTTCAAGGGGTGACTAACTTAAAATGAGGCCATTAGGGTAGGCCCTAATGCAATCTGACTTGGAAGAAGAGGAAATCTGGACACATAGAGGGACACCAAAGATGCACACTCACAAGGAAAAGATGAAGTGAGGACTCAGTGAGAAAGTGGCCACCTGCGAGCCCGGGAGAGAGGTCTGACAAGGTACCAACCCTCTGGCACCTTGATCTTGGACTTCTCACCTCCAGGGCTGTAAGACACGAATGTCTGTCATTATGGCAGCCCTAGAAACCAACACAAGTAGCCTCCAACATCTTTTTAGATTCAGAGCCCTTTCTTCAAATGCAATACTACAGGCAGAAGCCCATTACATGAAACATACGGGCTGAAGGCAGTGTGGAGGCTTGTCCCATCCTTCTCCTCCTCTATCAGCCCCTGGATCTCCAAGAACATGCAGCATCCTAGGAGCAGGGGCCACCTGAGCCACAGCTGTGACTGTCCCTTACCAAAGACTGACTTAACCATCCAGTCTAATGAGCAGCTGTCTCCTCCATGTCCTCCTGGGGGCTGGATGACCCTGGGCCCTCAGAGAATTCTGCACAGCCTGAGGAACCAGGCACCAAGCTGGATGACAGGAGCCAGGAGGGCCCAGAACCACACAAAATGGAAGCTGTCCTGCACTGGGGGCCCCTCCAGGGAGCAGAGCTTGCTGGGATTTCAATCCAATAAGCACAAAGGAGAGATGGGCTTGACCAGGGGGTGAAAACTCACAGAATAGGCTTGGCCCTGGCTGCCCTGGCTGCCCTGACACCAACCTCTGCAGCATTCTGGCAGCGAAGGGTCAGAACCCTGAACCAAAGGTCTGGGGTGATGACCCAGCCTCCAGGGATGCTTGGATGACCCAGCCTCCAGGGATGCCTGTATCACCCAAAGACAGAGAAGGAGGAATAGAGAGCTTTGCCCAGGATGCCAGCAAGGACCAAACCTCCCAACTCTGTCCACCATCAGAAGGTCCCTGAGATACTACGCTGTATCAAGAAACAGAACAAAGGGGATATCAGGGCTGGGAGAGTTTGCAAGGCTCAGAATTTTGCAGAAGGTCAGATGAATGCCCAGAGAGAGTACAGAACTGGCCCTGAGTTAGTGACAGATGTCAGCCCAGACTCAGGGCTCTCTGCTTCCCTTCTCCACCTGCCCTCTGTCCATACATCCCGGAAGGGGAAGAGGCTCTGCCACTGAGCAGGCTGCACAATGCATGGGCTTCGAATCTGCATAGTCTCAGGCACCTTCAAATGCATCTTTCTCTCAAAAGCCTTGTAAGGCCAGGAGGGTAAGACCACCATCTCTGTTTTACTGATGGGGAAACTGAGGTCCAGTCAGTAAAAAGGACTCGTGGTTTTGTGGTCACACAGAGTAGGCAGGACTAGGACTCTGTCCCTAGTACCAACATCACAGTGTCTGCTGTGGCCTGAAATATGGGATGATCAGCCAGGTCAGCCAGCTCCAAGCAAGCCCTAGAGTCCCAAAGCCCTACCCCTAGCCCCCACCATTGCTGGCTCAGGCACAGCTTGTCCCTTCATCTAAAAGCCTCCCTGTGTGAATCTGGGCATGTGGTATAAAAGTTTCTGAATAAGAAGGAAAGTAAGTCCAAGTGGCCTAGAGACCAGGTCCCAGCCTACAGTCACAGCCATTCACCTAACACCAGCGTCCACTCGGCCCCTGACTGGGTGAGTGACCTCAGGCATGTCCTGACCTCTCTCTCAGCTTGTGTCTTCACTTAGAAAGCCAGAGGACTGGAGCAAGAAATCTCTAGGGGCCTCCTAGGATGTGCACAAGTGTGCCTGGTCCATGACTCTATTGAAAACACCAAGCCTGAAGCAGGCAGTACTTACCCTGGGGAGACCCAACCAGCTATCCCCCCTCCACCTGACCACTAGGGCACCAGGCCCTGGAGGATCCCTGTCCTACCAGGCCAGCTCCTGCTTGCCACTCTCAGAAACTGACCCTTGACCACACTTCCCCCACCCACCAGCAGTGACCTCCAGAGATAACAGCCCTTTCGTGGGGTTTATATTGACTTTTAAGGACAACATCAATAGTGTAAGGGCAGCTGTGGTACAACCAAGAGAACTTGGGCTCTAAAGTCAGAGGGCCCTGGTCAAATCCAATTACTGCCACTTATCAGTTATTTCCCTCTCTGAGCCTCAGTCTCCCCATTTGCAATACAGGTACAATGATGCCTCCTTCTATTAAAGACTGCTGTGAGAACTGAATGAGATGAACTATATAAAGCATTTGGCATTCGGTAAATGTCACTTCCTTTTTCCTACTATAACAACCAGAATAACAAAAAACAAAACAAAACAAAAAACAATAACCAAGAGGTCATGATTCCTGCCATCTCAACCACTCATATCACGGCCAAGAACCCAGATTAAACCGAGACCTCCGAGCAGTTGAAATGGAGCTGTGAATATCTGAAGAGGATTTGGATACAGCGGATATCAACTGTTTTCCCAGGATGGCCAAGAGGGAGTAGACGATGAGTCAGAACCAATGGGTGTCAGGCCCCTTCTGCCACCTGCACTGCGTGACCTTTGGTAAATCGCTTTCCATTTCTGAGCCTCCAGTGTGTCATCCTGACAGGGATAACAATAATTACCTCAAAGGGCTGTTGCAATAAGGGACTAGACCATATCAGGTCTTGCAAACTGCAGAGTGCCCCACAGGCTAGAGGGTCAAAATTGTTTCCATTCTCAAAGCAGTAAGAGGAGAGGGCTAGGATGGGAGCCCAGGAGGCAGGGGGAGAGTTGGTGGAAGGCTCCGCAGGACGGAAAAAGAGGGACCTGCAAGGAGGAAGAAGGGAAAGCAGGGGCCCAGGCTCATCAGCAGCTGGCCAAAGCCCTTCCCAAGCTGCCTTCTGCCACCCACCTCTTCCCACCCACCATGTCCAGCTCCTTCCCTCCCAACTAGACCCTCTGCAACTGATCCCTGCAAACCCCCACCAGTGGCCTTTGCCTGCTTTGTTCTTGCTGCCTGCCAAAACCCTTCCCACTTATCCCTCAGAGCCCTGCTAAATGTCACCTCCTCTAAAATCTCACTCAACCCAGGGACAGAAATGCCCCATCTCTCCTCCGCTTCCTAAGGGTACCCACCAACTGCTTTTCACACACTGGTCTTGCCTCTCCAGGTGGCAAGGACTTTGAGGGCTAGAACTGGTCTCCAGACCCCGCAGGTGCACAGCAACTGTGCCCCTAAATGACATGAGCCTACCCACACCTACCCCAGGTGACACTGCATGTGAGAAAGGCCCTGGTGAACAGCTTCCAGGAGCTGGAAGAGGCAGGTGGAAGTGAGCACCCCACCCACACAGTTGAGGCTGGTCTGGCACAGGAGACCCTTTCAGCAGGTTAATTACCTCTCCCTCCTTCTGAGGCCTGTCCTCTTTCTCTGCGCACCTGGCCCTGCATGAACATGTAAGGTCCCTGGGTGAGTGGATAGGGGCAGGAGATGCACACAGGACCGAGGGTCTTGAGACCTCCCAGCTCTTCAGTGGCCTGGGTGTGGCCCCCCTTCTCAGCTGTACCAGGTGGACCCCTCCCACCCAGCTCTCAGGCTTGGTGTCCATGACAGAATGACTGTCCTCACAGCTCAGTGGCTGTGACTTGCCATCTCAGCAGCTTAGGGGTCTGGCCCAGGCACAGTTGGCTTGCTTTAGCCCAGCCCATGCCAGCTGCACTGCGAGAGGACAGCAGGTAGTCAAGCACCCAGCTGGTATGGGCCTATCTAGGGCCTCATTTGCCACCTCTCTTTCTAAGTCAGCAGACACAGCTGAGCAGCTCCTGTTACCCCTCCCACAGTCCAGGGAAGACGATGCAGGCACAGGGTCTTCGATTGAGAGCCAGGAGCCTCAGGTGATGCTGCCAACTGTGCCATTAACTGACCCCTCACTTCTCAAAGTTCCCACACCTGTAAATGAGAAAAGGGTTCCAGCCTGTGGGCCCATCCCTTGGGTTGCCACAAGACAACAAAGGCCTAAGATGGCAGCAAGGGCCCTTTCCCTCTCTCCTCCACCTCCAGCTCCCGCTGAGGCTAAGCCTCCAGATTCAGGTGTCTGCACAGGGTCTCCAGAGGAAGCGAGGCAGAGATCTACAGGACAGAATTTGGTTCCCTGTAAAGGGGCCTGGGGACAAAGGAGCAGGTGGCTCCCAGGGACGGGACCAGGGAGAGAGACAGAGTCAGTGGAAGGAAGTGGAGTCTCAGTGGTGGGCCCACTATTTCCATGACACTGGCATCCATGCCCCCGTGGGTCCACCTTCCATTGTCACCTTGGTCTCTTGAGACATTGCTGAAAATCTTCATTAGTGGGGCCTCTGCCCTAATCTGAATCAGTGTCAAAGTTCGGCTGGAGTTTATTGAGGAAGTTCCTCTTCTCCTGTTTCCCAGCTAAGCTTCAAAAGGTCTTAGCATGCTGGGTAGGAAGG